>NC_000006.12:167641393-168262310 GCF_000001405.40 Homo sapiens | reverse complement strand
GCCACCGCGCCTGGCCCCAGGTTAATTTTTAACATGACTGTGAACTCTCAGAGACTCCTGAAGAATAAACAAAAGCCTCTCTCGCCTCATTGTCCCCGAGGGAGAGAGCCCGGTGCCCTGCGAGGGAGAGGCTGAGGGTCCAGAGGAAACGGGAGGCTTTCCACGGCCACTGCAAGTGTTTGCTTTAAACAAATATTTCAAAAGTCAAGATCCCGAGAGCAGCCATATGCCTCCTTCTGAGGACCCATGAGTCTCTTTCATCTGCAGTTTATTCAGTGGGACTTTGGCCTTCTCCGACTTCTGAAGGTCAACCAGCCGAAGCCAACACACCCTCTTTACATTGACTCACAGCGCAGGCCAAGTCCGCTTGAGTGGAACATGCTTCTGAGAGTGAATTTCCTGGAAGGACGTGGGAAAAGGGAATTTAAAGAGGAAATTCTCATTTTCTTTTCAGTGTTTGAACTCAAGTAAATAGCCACAATTATAGGATAATTTAAGTTTATCCTTACCTTTTCTTACATAAAAATCCACTTTTATAACATAAAAGTTATAACAAATTAACTTCTTGTTTGAATGCACTTTGTGTTTTGAGAGCTAGTAGTTTTTCAAAAAGGCTTCAAAGCTTGTTCATCCTCAGCCTCACTCGCTGTCCCACAGGGACTCTGGTTATTGGGATATCTGGGGTATCGTAGGATACACATGGCTCAGCCCATGGGGCATTTGTATGTCCAGAAGGGACACGGCCCAAGGCAGCCTCTGTGGTCAGGGGATCCCACTCTTCTCTGTCTGTGGACGTCCCCCTTTCGGGGCGCATGGGAGCAGCTTCAACACAGCAGCCCTTCCTGGCGCTCTCCCCTCCCACCCTGGTGGTCTCCCCAGAGCTCCGTATCACCTGCCTCCGCGGGACATCACCTGCCTCTGCGGGGCGTCACCTCCTTACCTGCCCTGGCAGAATCAGGTGCTCCTGCACAGAGTTTGCTCCCAGTGATGGAGGTGTCACATGCTGTCCTGAGAGTTGAGATGGTCGATACAGTGTTTGAACTTCACAGAGCACATCAGGCCCACAGGAGTAAAAGGAAGAACTTTATTTTCCAAAGCGTCCCCTTGCCTCCCTCCTGGAGCTTGACCCTCTGTAAATGAGAACCATTGGCTCTTCCCAGTGTAAATCAAAGTGTGTGCTTACAGATGTCCCTGTGAAAATGAAACTATCTGGGCCCTGCCTTTTATAAACAGAAAAAACAAAACAAAGTGTCTGGTGAAGGCCATTCCTTGGGCTTCATTCAGCACCCACGAGGCTCTGGGAAGAGCCCATCCATGCGGGAGATATTATTACCAATGGACCCAAAGAACAATTGGTGGATGACAGGGTGGACAACATGAAATAGACAAACCAGCACTGGAAGAGCGCCCGGGCTGTGCCCCCTGCCCCGCATCCCCCACCCACCGCCCTACAAGGTCAGCCTGTGCAACGTCGGCCCCACGCAGGCGGCCTCTCCAGGTCGAGGGGTTTCCGTCGGTGCTCAGAGCCATGCAACTGCCCTTCCAGAGGTGGACAGGCTCCAGGGGTGCCGGTCAGCCCTGTGCAGGCCCGAGAGGGCTGTGGAGGCAGGTTTCAATGCGTGTTTTGTTTGGGGCTCTTTAACCTGTGGAAGGAAATGCCCAGCGGTTTAAGCCAAGTGAGGGGAGGGCTGGGGCTTTACAGGCAGTACCCGGGTTCCCGCGGAGACCCAGAGGGAGAACTGGAGGACCCATCCCCCCAGGACCTAAGCCTGAAGTCTCCACCACAGCCGACAGCTTTCCTGTGTTTCCCGGACTGCAGCTCCTGAGAGCATGCCGAGGGTCCTGCTGCACACGCGGTCAGCTGTGGTGTACACAGGATCAAACGACCTCCCTGATCTGATCTCAGTTGGTCAGGGAGCTGCGCAGGGCACGACAGGCTCTGGGAAAAAGTACCATATGAACGTTAAGATATCAGCCAAGGCCAGGCACGGTGGCTCACACCTGTAATTCCAGCACTTTGGGAGGCCAAGGTGGGCGGATCACCTGAGGTCAGGAGTTCCAGACCAGCCTGGTAACATGGTGAAATCCCATCTCTACTATAATCACAAAAATTAGATGGGCGTGGTAGCGAGTGCCTATAATCTCTGCTACTCGGGAGGCTGAGGCAGGAAAATCGCTTGAACCTGGGAGGCGGAGGCTGCAGTGAGCCGAGATCATGCCACCGCACTCCAGCCTGGCAACAGAGTGAGACTCTGTCTCAAAAAAAAAAAAAAAAAAATGCACCTAAAATGAGATGCACAAGGTGCTAGTCGCTGATCTCATGGAGGGTAGAGGAGGAATCTGAAGGTGTCGGGTTGTTATTTAATAGAGTCCTAACCTGAAGCTGAACAGGAACTTAAGGAGCTGAGCCAAGTCCTCACCTTCTCACAGGGAAGCCAGGCCCACAGGGGACAGTGTAAAGGAACACAGCAAACTTTCACTGGCGCTGGGATGGCATTTGAGGCCTGGTGACCCACAGACCCGGGCTGCACTCTGCCTCCATGGCTGGTCTGTAGGGTGGAAATGCTCCTGACAGGCAAGCTTGATGGACTGTGAGTATTTCTTCCATGACGATAATATTTGAGGTTTAAAGAAAAATCACAAGTACTGGAAAAAAAAAAAAGAAAGAAAGAAAACTCTATGAAGTAGAAAAAGAGAGAGAAAGAGCTCCATGTTTCCATAAATACTTTATTTTTTTAAACTTAATTTTAAGTCCCGGGATACATGTGCAGGATGTACAGGTTTGCTACACAAGTAAACGTATGCCATGGTGGTTGCTGCACAGATCAACCCATCACCTGGGTATTAAGCCTCACATGCATTAGCTCTTTATCCTGATGCTCTCCCTCCCACCATGTCCCTGAAAATACTTATAAAATTAAACAAATAAGTTACCATGTGTTAGGACGTTAGGAGTGCTTTTGGGGCAGGCGTATTATAATTAAGTGGTTATGTAAAACTTTTAAAAATGTGATTAGTTTCCACTGTTTCTGTTCTTGTTTTCATCTCCAGCAGAAAAGCAATTCAGAGTCAGTCTCAGGGAGCGGAGAGAAGGCTGGGAATCTCAGCTTTGCTGAAGGTAATTGCGGGGCCCTGAGGAAATCATTTAATTTCTTGACATGCCGTTTGTGCACAGGACTGACCCAATGGCTTCCTTGTATGGCCGTCCTGGGTAGCAAAGGCATCCGCACGCATGAGCTGTGGTGGGTATGGTGATGCCTGGTGAGGCACATGCTCCATGCACCATGGATGCTATCTTCTTTAGGTATGTCCTGAAAGACTTGACTTCTCGGCCGGGCGCGGTGGCTCACACCTGTAATCCCAGCTTGGGAGGCCAAGGCAGGCGGATCACAAGGTCAGGAGATCAAGACCATCCTGGATAACACGGTAAAACCCCGTCTCTACTAAAAAATACAAAAAAAAAAACAAAAACAATTAGCCGGGTGTGGTGGCGGGCGCCTGTTGTCCCAGCTGCTTGGGAGGCTGAGGCAGGAGAATGGTGTGAACCCGGGAGGCAGAGCCTGCAGTGAGCCAAGATTACACCACTGCACTCCAGCCTGGGTGACAGAGTGAGACTCCATCTCAAAAAAAAAAAAGGCTTGACTTCTCTACATTTTAGGATACGCTCACTTTTTATTTGAAGGATGGTCAATTGAACGCACTCCAATTTTGGGCACCTATTTGCACAAAAATGACCTCATAGAGCCATAAAGCACACACAGTGAGGCCAGAAGTAGTTTAAGTTAAAGACATTCATTTCATTTATTTGTGTTTGCTGTCATTCCCCTGCAGCTTTTGCATTTAGTAATTTTTATCTTTCCATATTGGTTGTTTCCCACAAGCTTTGGGTGACTTGATGGGGGCTGGGTCACTGTGGACGTTCTCTCCTTTGTACAGTGTCATGGAGAAGAGAGTCACATGGACAGGGAGGGGCCGGGGTCGCCATGCACATCTCTTGTCCAGGGAGGGGTCTGGGCAGCTGAAAGTCTCTGATTGTCCTACTGCCTGGGCCACCCTGAGAACCATCATCTGATGTCTTAACTACCAAGTGATTTGCCCTGCTATGAGCTCATACCCTTATAAAATGAAAATGCCCCATAGGAAAAGGTCATTTGTTTACCTAAACAGAACTTAAATTGTGACTGATGTTCTGCACTGAAGGGATGGTCAGAGAACACCAATTCCCTCCATGGGTCAGCGTCCACGTGCATGCCTGCAGGTCCTCACCATGATTCTGAGTGACACAAACTCGCTGTGTTGAATGAACTCTTTTCCTCACCATTTCCGTCGCCCCCTCAACAAGCACAACGCCCTAAAACCACCGCCATGTTTAGACCTTCGTCTATCATGGAAGAGTCCTCCACAACTGTATAGATCACCCCGACAGGTAAACTTGTGATCCTGGCAGAATTAAGAATTCTTTAAACAGACGTTTTCTAGATTAAAAAAGAATCGTCTTTCCCTGGGGTTACTAACCTGAGAGCGTGCTAATCTGCGTGGGTCATCCAGGGATGTGGAAATTGTCTGAAGAATGAAGCCAAGAAGAAAATGACAACATGAGAGACAAATGGGGAATGGGGAGAGGAGAAAGGGAGAGAGACAGAGAGAGAGGGAGAGAGATAGAGACAGGGAGAGAGACAGAGACAGAGAGATAGAGACAGAGAGAGAGACAGAGACAGGGAGAGACACAGAGACAGAGGGAGAGAGACAGAGACAGAGGGAGAGAGACAGAGAGAGGCAGAGGGAGAGAGACAGAGACGGAGAGAGAGAGAGGCAGAGGGAGAGAGAGAGAGACAGAGGGAGAGAGACACAGAGAGAGGCAGAGGGAGAGAGAAAGATAGGGAAGAGACTGAGACAAAGGGAGAGAAACAGAGAGAGACAGAGGGAGAAAGAGAGGGGGCAGAGGGAGAGAGAGATGGGGGAGAGATTGAGACAGAGGGAGAGAGACAGAGGAAGAAAGACAGAGAGAGAGGCAGAGGGAGAGAGAGAGAGGCAGAGGGAGAGAGAGAGAGAGGCAGAGGGAGAGAGACAGAGACAGGGAGAGAGACACAGAGAGAGAGAGAGACAGAAGAGAGAGGGAGAGAGACACAGAGAGAGAGGGAGAGAGAAAGAGAGAGAGGCAGAGGGAGAGAGACAGAGACAGAGAGAGACAGAGAGGGAGAGAGACAGAGAGAGGCAGAGGGAGAGAGAGAGATGGGGTAGAAATTGAGACAGAGGGAGAGAGAAACAGGGAGAAAGAGAGAGAGGCAGAGATGGGGAGAAACAAAGATAGAGGGAGAGATTGATACAGGGGGAGAGAGACAGAGAGAGATGGGGGAGAGATTGAGACAGAGGGAGACAGAGACAGAGAGAGACGTAGAGAGAGAGAGACAGAGAGGGAGACAGAGAGAGGGAACCTGACTCTGCACCATTAGTGGCGCTGGCTCAAGACCCTGATTCTGTGCCCCTCCCTCTGATTCTGTGATGCACCTATGACCCTGCTCAGCTGTGAGCCCATAACACCCCTGGGTTCTAACCTGGAAGCTGAACATGTTAGCCTGTTTCAGGATGAGTTCCCATCACTTTGAACTGAGAGATTCTGTCCACTGAATGATGACCACATTCATACGTTTGGAAAGGAAAGCTTTATTTCTCATAAAGGGCTGTAGCCTGTAGGTGGCCATTCTGACCACTTGGAAAGGGTAGCCTCCAGTCAGAAGCTAGAAACAGACATGTAGAAGGTGGGAAGAATAAGACAGGGATTGATTGAGCAAGGTGGCCAAATATACATATTCAATAAGCTATGGGGGGAGTCATGAATATTCATGAAAGAAGAAATACATCCATGTGCAATTGAGTTTCATGCCCCTTTATGGGTCCCCTGTTCAAAAATGGCCACATTAGCATAATCCCAGGGTGGAGTTTTTGTCCCTGTGATATCAAAAAGTGAAGTAGAGGACACGAAAACTCACTGTGCATCCTCAGTAGACTGGCCAGAGCCACTCTGAGGTCAGTGGTCTCTGTCAGGAAGGAATAGCGGTCAGTGGTTTTGTCAAAACTGCAAAGGGAGGGGCAGTGGCAGGTAGTTGATTGATATCAATGGCAGAGCCTTTTGAAAGGGCTGGTTTCTACCCAGTCCTTAGGGAAGGAAGCCTAATGGCGGTGAGGCATGTCTGATCTCCTGTCCTATCATGGCCAGGAACTCAGTTTCAAGGTTTCTCTGTGGTCCTCTTGAACAAGAGATGATCTATTCGGTTAGTTGGGGGCTTAAGATTTTATTTTTATTTCTCAATCCTGACTGATACATGGCCCTTGACTTGCACTACAGCCATGCCTCTATTTCTATGTAGAGGGCTGTGTCTGAGCTGTCTGACTGCTCAGGAGAAGCGAGATGGGGGTGCAGTGCCTGGACAGCAGCTCCAGGGGTCTTTGCATGCACATGGAGCAGGTCAGTGAGAGCTTGAACAACAGCTTTCCTCAGGTCTAAGGAATAATAAGTAGGAAACAAGCCAGATGCCAGAAAAGCACATGAATTAAGAGTGTGAAAGCAAAGAACCCAAAGTCATCCTTCCGAAGAGGATGGAGCTCATTGTCCTTGGTCACTTAATGCATGAGGATGGGTCAGCTGGCTTGGGTAGACACCAGTGTTCCCCAGAAAAACAGAAACAGTAAGATGCATACATAATATAAACAGAGAGAATTGGGTCATTCATTACAAGGATTATGGGGGCTGGCAAGTCCAAAACCTGCAGTGTGTGCTGCAGGCTGGGGACCTGGGAGAGCCCATGGTGCAGCTCAGCCTGAAGGCCGTCCACTGGAAAATCCCCTCTTGCCTGGGGAGGCCGTCCTCTTGTTCTGTTCAGGCCTTCAGCTGACTGCAGGAGGCCCACCCAGATTACGGAGGGCAACCTGATTTACCCAAAGTTCACAATGTAACATCAATCTCACCAAAATCACCCTCCAAGTTAACACATAAAATTAACTGTCACAAGTCCATCCCATGTCAACTTGGCACCAGACACATTTCCTTACACCATGCCCAATCTCCAGGTAAAAACAATAATAAGGCTACACTTTTGCCTAAAATGGTACAACCATCCTACATGCAACCAAGTATGCACAAACTCCCTCCCCAGAAGAGGAGGCAAAGTCCTTTAGTGGCATTTAATCATCTCCCTGATATCCTGTGACTTACATGCTATTATAAAAAGGGGACAAAAGAAGGAAGGAAACAAAGATATTTGATACACCCACATATTCATGGCAAAATAGAGAGGAAGCACTCAAGACAGTGGCAGCCCTTGATTCTGTAACTGGTCCGATGGGCAGAGCTGGTACTCACAATGACCTTCTTCTGTGTTTCATTTGCCTGCAGGAAGACCTCAGCTGGTCACAATTCTGTATTTGCCGGGGTGACCCAAATCTTCATATGTGAAGGGTCTGGGCCATTCGTAGTCTGCCTGGATTGGGTTGAGGTGGTTTTCCTGGATTGGGTTGAGGAGTCAGTAGGACAATGATTTCCCACTGACTCCAGGCCAGGGTCATGGGTGGCTGGAGCCTGTCCCGGCAGCCCAGCCCATCCCACAAGGCAGACCCTGTCCTGGGCAGGTCTCACTATGTTGAGCCTGGTCAACATAGTGAGACCCCATCTCATAAAAAAAACAAAACAAAAACTAAAACTTTTTAAAAAGTCTGTTTTAATTTTATAAACCAAGACCATAAACCTGTCCTTAAACACTTCAGATTGAGAGAAGCAACTGGTCCTATTACCTTGGTTTACAGGTGGAGAAACCAGAGAGAACCATCTAGTTGAGCATCACATTGAATTAATATTGATTCCAGCACTTGAACTCAATTTTTCTCATTCCTGGTGAAGTGCCCTTTGCATCACACACAGTGAAAAGCATCCAATCACATTCATCATGCTTGATACTCCTTATTAGTAAGGTTCAAAAGCCCATGAGAAAGAGAGACATGGCTTTGATTTCCAATTTATTTGTTGAGGAGACGTATCAGATTCATCATTCAGAGGTGACAGTGGTTGTGAGACCTGGGGGCCCTGAACATACCCTAACTTGTATTATCACAACAGGGGCACACTGCTCCTGATTGGTGCTTTTCAGCTTGGCCGTTCATGTCCTTCACAGCCCCTGGGGGAGAGAGGGAAACACAGCTTTTCCTTATGTTTGGAAACTTGTGCTTCCTGACGCGATGTTAGGAATTGGTCATCGTGCTGCTTGTGGGAACAGAGCTGGACTAGGGAGACCCAGAAGGCCCATCCATGGCCTGCAGTGTAGATGCAGCAGGTCCTCAGATGATGTCATTTTGTTCAATGTCATTTTGGTGTAACGTTGATGTGAAAAAAATCGAATTGCCACCGGGGCCACTCTCTGGGTGGAGCTCAGGGCTCTCCGGGTTCCTCCCACATCCCACAGATGTGCACAGGCTCCAGCCACCCATCACCCTGGCCTGGAGTCAGAGGGAAATCATTGTCCTACTTGTTTTTCTCAATCTTTCTTAAATGTCTGTATAGCTCACACTTATTTCCATGTTTCATATGAGGAGTGTTTTGGTCTTTGTTTCGAGGTATGGTGATAATGTTTTTTGGCCAGAAATACGTTGTAGGAATGTAACTCTTGTTTCTGTCAATTAACCGATGGCAAATTGGTTTTGTTTTATGTCATTTCACCTCAAGTTGCTATTTCCGAGTGTCAGAGCAGGAGAAGCACCATCATCTCGGACAAGCCCTGCCCCTTTTAGTTCCAGTTCCCTTTCCAGCCTCCTGCATTTCAAGGAAATCACTTCTCTTCTAACTACAAGCAGCCAGAAAGAGCAGACAGTAAAACACAGATAAGACAGCTCTGGCACCAAGGGAGGTGGGGGAAAGTCTCTTGGGTAACGGCCAAACTTCACCCTCATACAATGGGCCCCAGTAAAACAGTGGGCCTTAATAAGCACGTTGCTTTCCCTTCCGGTGCACTAAGATAGGGAAGCTAAAGGCATACTCAGGGGTGGGGTGGGGGGTTGTATGCCTGCAGCTGCAGAAAGGCACAACTCTCCCTCCCAAAGAAGCACAACAAAGAAACACAGAAGCAGCCCAAGCCTCTGATAAACTCTCCCTCCCTAAATCCTTAAAAACTCTTAGTCTGTAAGGGAGTGCAGCTTCTGACCTAACTTGGCCAGAGGTCCCTCCCAGGTTTGAAATGTTGACTGTTAAGACACGCTTCGTGGCCGGGCGCGGTGGCTCACGCCTGTAATCCCAGCACTTTGGGAGGCCGAGGCGGGTGGATCATGAGGTCAGGAGATCGAGACCATCCTGGCTAACAAGGTGAAACCCCGTCTCTACTAAAAATACAAAAAATTAGCCGGGCGCGGTGGCGGGCGCCTGTAGTCCCAGCTACTCGGGAGGCTGAGGCAGGAGAATGGCGTGAACCCGGGAAGCGGAGCTTGCAGTGAGCCGAGATTGCGCCACTGCAGTCCGCAGTCCGGCCTGGGCGACAGAGCGAGACTCCGTCTCAAAAAAAAAAAAAAGACACGCTTCGTGTTTCTCTCCTCTTTCTATAATTCTTACATCGAAAGCCTATCCCCGATGTCCAGTGAGGACCTACTGTGCCAAAGCTATGTCTCTCCAGCACCTTCTCCAGCAGCATCCACACCTGCTGAAGGACCTGGAGCCAGCTGGTGAGGGGTTATCCTCTCTGAAAATGACCTCATGTGGCTCTGGAGCCTTGAGTGTGAGACCAGAGGAAGGGCCCAAGGTCATGGCTCCCAAGAGGAAGGAGCTCGTGTCCAGCAGCCTGTGGTGGTTCTCACTGGTACTGGGTGAGGGTGCCTTCCACGGCGGGCACTGTGCCAGCTGTGTGGGCATTGCCCCATCTCCACTTCTCTACCCTGCACCTCAGCAAGAGCAACTCTGGAAGAAATCAAGACACAGAGGTGAAGGGCTGTCCAAGCTTTCCCACAAGCTCGCATTCAAATCCAGTTCTCAATTTAAAACTAGAAACCTTAATGATCACCCCCTCATACAGCCTCTAAGGTGTAGGTCAGTGAATGACAGCATACACATATTTCAGGTTTCCTTTATATGATTCTAGGTTTTCCACTAAAACAAAGACGTTCTAGGCCTTCTGGAGAAGGAATTTTCATGGAAAGATGCCCACCTCTAATCTCTGGGCTCTTGTTAGAGCAATGCGTGGTCCACTGGCCAGCATCACCCAGGACCTTGTTAGAATGCAGAATCCCAGGCCCACCCCAGACCTTCCAAATCAGAGCCTGCATCTTAGCAAGAGCCCAGGTGGCTCAGACGCACATGAGAGTTTGGGAAGTCTTATGTCAGGTCATAAAGGGCAAAACCTTTGGTGATATTGAAAGATCGAATGCCTACTATAAAGTGTTTGATGGGAAGGCAATGCTCCAGAACCCTGAGTGTCCATTTAATTTGCTCTCTCAATTTTGTCCACAAAAGATTGAAAGAGAATTCAAAGAATTTAGGTCATGCTTTGTCACTTGAGGTGCAATCTAGTTTTGTAAGTTTGCTAAGAGATTGAACAATTAAATAGTTATAACTACAAAACATTAAGATGATGATGATCAACAGAAAGAATGAGAAAAGGTACATGATTAAAAGAAAAACGCCACTTCCTTAAAGTCCCGGATATTTTGATTCTCTTTTTCTATTTTTCAATTCAGCGTAAACATTCTCTTCAGTTTGATTTTTTATTATTACAGAAGAATATGTAATCATTGTAGAAGATTTAGAAAGTACAGGTAAGCAAAGAAGGAGGGGGAGAAGGAGAAGGAGGAGAAGAGAATGGAAAGGGGGAGAAGGAGAAGGAGGAGAAGAGAATGGAAAGGGAGAGAAGGAAGGAAAAGGAAAACCTCTGTGGTCTCACTAGCCAGAGAAGACACAGCAGCTCCCATTTTGCTCTAGGTACTAATACTCAAACACTGAAGCATGCGCATACTTACAAATGAGGAACTGGATGATGAAACTATTGTAAAGTAAGTTTTTCACTTAATAAATGCATCAAGGACTTCTTCCCAAAGAACATTTGCTTTTGATCTGATGATAAATAACAGAACTACTGATATAATAGTAATAAAACTATAGCTATTTTTAAGGTATTAAGAGTAGAGAAAAAATTAAGGTCAGAAAGGGTAAGGCATTTTTTTGAAACTTGTCAAAATACACAGTCATTCTGGGAAGCCATGTTCAAAACTACTTATTGACAGCAATTAAAATTCTTTATGATGATTTAGAGCAGTGAGGTATTGAGGGAAAACTAAAAAACACACATTTGTCAGCAAAATGCCTTTTCCAAGGGAAGGCATGGTGAAGCCACCTTCTTTTTTGGGGTGATTTTGTTATTGCTCAGGATGGGAATTCCTGGATTCCAGAGTCTGTATTCTGGCGGGAGCTCCCATCTGGGTGAGGGGTCCAGGAGGGGCTGATCTACGAGATGAGCGAAGGTTGGCTTGGCCTTTGGTTGAGAGCTCTGGACCCGTGAGATTTTGAGGTGGATGGGGCATGCGTCCATGTCCTCATGTCTGGGATCTCCAGGCTACCTCTGAGACAAAAGGTTAGGGCAAGTGATGGCCTGTTGACTGCCCTTCTTTTCTAAATCTGAAAGAAAAAAAAAACCTCAAAGCTGTGTTATGTTCTGGCCATAAAAGTCACAAGCCTTTGTCTCCTGGCTGGTGTGTCCGTCCCCTTTAGCAGCGAGTCTGTGCCTTCGTCCTGTGGAAGAGCCAACGTTGATTCTCAGGCTGTGAGCAAAGCCCTCTGTGCAGACAGAGCTCCAGCCGTGGCAGGTGGCTTCTCATCACCGCCCACCGGTTCCTCTTGGGCCTTGCCCAGCCCGGGTGCTGGGAGGTCCTCAGACAGTGCTTGCTGAGTGAAGCTGAGACCTGGGGTGGTTTCAGCAGTGGCCGCCTCCAGGCTGCCCAGGCTTCTTGCCCTCACCTCCCAGACCACGAACCAACCCACAGTCCTTGCTAACCGAGAGTCCTTCCTAACCCACAGTCCTCCCTAACTGCCACCTCAGGTTCTTCTCATCTGTCACCTTTGTGTTTGGTCTGGAAAAATTCCTGAGCTGCATGAAGCTCCCTGCAGCCTTCATAGGTAGGTAGAGCAGGTTCTGGGAGGGAAAGAAGCCCAGGAGATGTAAGCAACCCAGACAGTGGCTTGCACTGATCCGGGCCCCCCCACACCCGTCCCTCCCTGGGCGAGAGTCCTCGAGACGGGAAAGGCTCTGAGATGGGAAAGGCACTGGCTTCTCCTGTCTTCCTGAAGTGTAGGCGTCCCCGACAGGGCTGAGCTATACCAGCGGAACTGCGCTGTGGAAACGTGGGTTCCCATCACACTGTCATAGCCAATGCAAGCTCCCCTGGATTTCTGTGGGAGCGACTTCCCATCCCTGAACTAAGACAGCACAGACCTCATGATGTTTGGATACTGCTCCTGTTCACAACAAACATACGTCATGGACAGGTGCACTTTGGCACCATACGGCACCCACATTTTATTCACTCATTCATTCATGAGAATAGTTTCCCACCTACCAAGTGCTGTGCACTGCACCAGCCTCACGCAGTTGGGAGAGGACATCCTGCCCAGGAGCAGCTTAGGCTCAGAGCAGAAATGGCACTGTGAGTCTAGGGCCATTAAAATGGACAGGGGCAGAAACCCAACTGTGCGTGGAGGATTAGTTACAATGGAGACTGTGACCTGGACTCTGCCCCACTGGGACAGGAGAGCCCTCATTGTGTGTTGAGCAAATGACTTAATAAAATCATGAAATCATATATAAATATTTACAATAATTCAGTAAGTCATTAGATTGATAGGTTTAGATCCTGTGTGGCAATGAACCAGCTTTATTTTTCAAAGCAATCATCCGTGTATTCTAATCTTGTCTTCATGCTTTATTTCATCAAGTTGATCTTCAGTCTCTGATATCCTTTCTTCTGCTTGATCGATTCGGCTGTTGAGACTTGTGTGTGCTTCATGAAGTTCTCGTGCTGTTTTTCAGCTCCATCAGGTCATTTGTGTTCTTCTCTAAGCTGGTTATTCCAGTTAGCAATTCCTCTCACCTTTTTTCAAGGTTCTTAGCTTCCTTGCATTGCCTTAGAACATGCCCCTTTAGCTTGGAGGAGTTTGCTATTACCCACCTCCTGAAGCCTACTTCTGTCAATTCATCACACTCATTCTCCGTCCAGTTTTGTTCCCTTGCTGGTGAGGAGGTGTGATCCTTTGGAGGAGAAGAAGTATTCTGGTTTTTGAAGTTTTCAGCCTTTTTGCACTGGTTTCTCCCCATCTCCGTGGATTTATCTACCTTTGGTCTTTGATGTTGGTGGCCTTTGGATGAGTTTCTGAGTGGACGTCCTTTTTGTTGATGCTCTTCCTTTCTGTTTGTTAGTTTTCCTTCTAACAGTCAGGCCCCTCTGCTGCAGGTCTGTTGGAGTTTGCTGGCAGTCCACTCCAGATCCTGTTTGCCTAGGTATCACCAGCGGGGGCTGCAGAACAGCAAAGATTGCTGTATATTCTTTTTCTCATAAAAATTTAGTGCAAGGAGAAAAATAATCCTCCAACCAGTCAGTAACCATCCTTCTAAAAGCCACCACAAAGCCCCAGGAAAAGCCGCCAGTCATCAAAGAGGCCAGTTCCAATCAACGGCCTTTGGGGGCTGGGGGAGGCATAGGGCTCTTCGGCATCAGACCTCCAGATGGTGTCAGTAAGAACACAGTCACCCTCCACCCAGGCACCAAGGCAGCCGGTTTCACCACCGCCCAGGACGCACAGGCACCCCAGGAAACACAGCCAGCGGGTCAAAGCCCACCTCAAGGACCTACTTAGCTCTAGGCTGGTGGGACTTCTAAGTATGTTTTTCTTTGTTTGTTGGTCTAATGCGGCAATTATTTCTAGCCTAAAACCACAAACTATGTGAGGTTTGCTTATTCTAACTTAACAACAATTTGAGGTTTCCAGTTTAAACATTGTTATCTAGAAATGTCTGATCTAAGCGCTGCAATATACATTTTTATTTCTATTTGTTACCTTATTGATTTCATTACCCAACGGCATTTTCCAAACTTGACATATTTGACACCAAGGATACTCTGTGGACTTTGTGATATGGATTTACATAGCAATGGAAATGCTAGGTGCATGCCCACATCTGCAAGGAGCAGGGGTTGCTTGGCAGCCAGTTTTCTCCAGGATGAGGGCTGTCCACAGTGACGTGACATGGTGGGGTGGGGGGAATCCTGAATTCCCTCTTCCTTGGCATCAGGTGGCTCTGCGGAAGCCGAAGCCAGCAGCGAGGGTTGAAAAGCTCCCTTTCCACAATTATGCCTCAGGCCTTTATTGCCCTGACAGAGCAGCCATCTCTCTGGCATTATCAAAGCCTCACAACCTCCCTTTGCAAGGCAACAGTGGCGTGAGGGCGGTGCCCAGAGAGCTGATGTCGATCCCTGGATGCAGTCCAGCCCTGGAACTAATTTCCTGAGCTTGCAGAGAAATGGCAGCGCGAGAGCCGCTGACCTCCCTGGCGCTCACCCTCCATCTGTCCCATGAACACCAGGATTTTGCTCTCCTCTGAGAGCCATTAAGGTGGCTAAAAATAATTACAGAGCTCGTCATAAAAGCGCAGTGTTATGTAAACAGTGCAGGAAATCCCCCATTGAGCAAATAACACTAAGATAGTCTTTATGAGCCAGCGATGGGTGAGAAACAGAGCTCAGGTTTTCTAGCATCAGCACTTTACTTCAAAACTAAGTTGTAATAGCGACAACTCTAATAAGTTATTCTTGTTTCGATCATTCTCACCTCATTCATCAGTGAAAAAATAGCGAATAGGCACAATTTGGTGTATATAACTGGAGCTGTGCTTTTCAGAACAGCACTGCATTTCACAAATTAATAACTTTCCCAAAGACTCTTAAATTCCATAGAATGTTCAGCTCTTAAGCAACATCTCTCCAGTCCGTGAATTATAGAATCTTAATATAAAGTAACAGGACTTTCTGTATGGAATGTCTTACTCTGAATACCTTATCAAAAATATTTTACAGCATCAATTACACCTCACACACTGCCCAGGGCTCAGGATACAATTGTGTGCATATTTTACAGGAGCCTTTTTTGCAGATAGAGTGGAGTACAAATTTACACACACCCAATGTGTATGCACTGCTTTCCCTGTGCATCTCCTAGGTGTGTCACTGTAACAATGCAACATGAACAACTCTGATGCTCAGACATGAGAATTACCAACTCCCTAGAAGTAATTCTGATTTAATTGGGAAGCAACATGGTCTATTAAAAATTAACACAGACTTTGGAGACATCCAGCAGTGGATTCAGTTCTGTGTCACCCTTTGAGCCTACATTTTCTCCTCTATGAAATGGGGCTCACCCTCCTCCACCTCCATGTTTCTGGCTGAAAGTTGGATTCGAGGCTGTATTTGAGATGCAGGCTTGGGGAGCCTGGGAGTGTAAGCCCATGATGTGCAGGTTGCATTTCTGCTTTTATGGTTTACAGATAACAGTGGAAATGTTAGGGGCGGTGCTTGTGCTGTGCACATCTGAAGCTGTCGTAGCTGCCACACGAATAAGGAGGAATCAGATGGTGTGTTCCTGTGATTCTGGGCATCTGAGAGCTGAGGTGTGATGCCCTCAATCCACACAGCTTCTCAGATTCAAAAGAAATCCACCTTCTTGCCCCAACCCTCCTACACTGCGTTGGTTGTAGGAAAATCACTCAGTGGTCATTCAAGGCTACAAGTTGTATTCAGCTGCGTAAGTGAATATTGGATTACATCTTTGATAAACTGTTTTTCCTACCTCTCAAATATACAGTATGCTTTAAATAGAAGAATGGTTTGTAGCAGATTAGATTCAGTTCATGAAAGGAGTAATAAATATTCAGTTCACTCCCAACTGTGTATCTTTTTAAAATCATTCGATAATGGCCACTTTGGGGGTTGCTTCTGATGATTGAAAATTCCTGAAAGTTGCTTTGAACATCCCGAAGAAGGCTGCTCTATCCAGAAATTTCGGGTGCAGATTAGAACATCCCGAAGAAGGCTGCTCTATCCAGAAATTTCGGGTGCAGATTAGAACATCCCGAAGAAGGCTGCTCTATCCAGAAATTTCGGGTGCAGATTAGAACATCCCGAAGAAGGCTGCTCTATCCAGAAATTTCGGGTGCAGATTAGAACATCCCGAAGAAGGCTGCTCTATCCAGAAATTTCGGGTGCAGATTAGAACATCCCGAAGAAGGCTGCTCTATCCAGAAATTTCGGGTGCAGATTAGAACATCCCGAAG
The DNA here is from genome assembly GCF_000001405.40 of Homo sapiens. Lineage (NCBI taxonomy): Eukaryota > Metazoa > Chordata > Mammalia > Primates > Hominidae > Homo > Homo sapiens. The sequence continues at coordinate 168,245,964 of NC_000006.12, read as the reverse complement.
AAGGCTGCTCTATCCAGAAATTTCGGGTGCAGATTAGAACATCCCGAAGAAGGCTGCTCTATCCAGAAATTTCGGGTGCAGATTAGAACATCCCGAAGAAGGCTGCTCTATCCAGGAATTTCGGGTGCAGATTAGAACATCCCGAAGAAGGCTGCTCTATCCAGAAATTTCGGGTGCAGATTAGAACATCCCGAAGAAGGCTGCTCTATCCAGAAATTTCGGGTGCAGATTAGAACATCCCGAAGAAGGCTGCTCTATCCAGAAATTTTGGGTGCAGGTTAGAACATCCCAAAGACATCTACTCTATCCAGAAATTTCGGGTGCAGGTTAGTCTGACAGCCGGCTGCCCCGGGGCTTTCGCATTTTTGTGTGAATTGGATTCAGGGTTTCTTTTTTTCTGAGCCATGTACTTTTGCGGAAAGCCTTGCAGCTTTGAAGGGCTCTGAGTTTACTCAGCACTGGAGCCAGTATTGTTTGAACTTGGTGTGTACATGTTAACAGACAAGGTTTTGTTTCCAAGCTTGACTGAATTTTTCAAGTAGTGTAAACCAACTTCAGTCCGTAAGCTGTTATTTCCATTTCAGTAACAGCACACACAGCCAGGCCTGTGGAGAGCATCCTGTGTACTAAGGCCAAAGCTCATCTGTGAAATTGTGAACTGGGTCCACGCTAAGGGGCCTTAGACAGTGAGCAGTGGTACAGTGGCAAGAGTGGGGATGGGGCTGCATGATTGGATCTGCCCGCTTTTGGGGATGGCCCAGAGGGGAGGGGGTAGATAATTGAGGAACCACGAAATATTGGCACTGCCTGGTTTCTATATGGAGGGGATCGTCATCCATAACTCAGGTGCTGTCCTGATGGGGCGGGCACCCCTGGCCCTGTCCGCGAGAGCCTCTGCAGCGTCGGCTGCTGCACTTGGCGTCCCTGAGCCGGAAGCAGTCTCCTCGAGAATCTGCGCAGAGCTACGCGGGAAAATGGAGTTTATGTTGAAGGGGTAAAGCATTTGTACTGACTTGCCGGGGGAGGGGTGTGTGTATAAAGCTGTAGCATCTCAACCTCTTCATTATAAAAAATACCACCTCTTCATTTAAGAACTAATCTTTTCTTCAAAATCAGAAAAATAATAGGCAAATCTGTCTCACTGTGCAGAAAGTTGTAGAATCTATTAAGACCACCCCCACTCACTTCTTTTTTCATAAATTCATCCAACCCTGGGATTAACTAAGTCTTTCTCACCATCTTACAAAGCCAGGAAATGTCAGCTTTTGCCCAAAGTGAAGCTCAGCTGAGACAGGACCATCCCAGTAATGGAAGCGTTTGCACGTATGGTTGGAATAGACAGGCCATCCCAGTAATGGAAGCGTTTGCATGTACGTTCGGAATAGATGGGACCATCCCAGTAATGGAAGCATTCGCACGTATGGTTGGAATAGACAGGCCATCCCAGTAATGGAAGCGTTCACATGTATGTTTGGAATAGACTGGACCATCCCAGTAATGGAAGTGTTCACATGTATGGTCGGAATAGAAAGGGTAGTTTACAAACACTGAAAAGGTGCCTGTGTTGTGTTCATATGAGTGAGAATGAAAAAGAAAACCTCCGATGGTGCAGCAGGTGCCCCCCCCTTCCCCACGAGAGCCTTGTGCTTCCAGGAATCCCCCTTCCCACTGAAGGTGAAAAGAGGGCCTCGTGCTTCCAGGAATCCCTCTTCCCACTGAGAGTTAAACGAGGGCCTCGTGCTTCCAGGAATGCCCCTTCCCACTGAGGGTGAAACGAGGGCCTTGTGCTTCCAGGAATCCCTCTTCCCACTGAGGGTGAAACAAGGGCCTTGTGCTTCCAGGAATGCCCCTTCCCACTGAGGGTGAAACAATAAGGGCCCTGTGCTTCCAGGAAGCCCCCTTCCCACTGAGGGTGAAACAAGGGCCCTGTGCTTCCAGGAACCTCACCTTCAGCTACAGAAAAGGGGCCCTCTCCATGACAGTGGTTACATGTTCATCTTCATTTCCAAAGGCTCAGGTCAAGGGCTCAGATTCAGAAGATTAAAAATCTACCCAAAGCATTAATTATTCACAGCAAAACTGGTATAGGAGGTGGGGTGGGGGACAGAGTGAGTATTTTGTGGAATCTTTAAAGAGTTTGATTTCTTTCCTTAGTGCCATTGTTTGCTGCTATGCACTGTTTCTTGTTGGGATGGAGAGGAAGGCTAGGCAGAGAGAGGGACAGAGAGAGGATGGAGAGGAAGGCTGGGCAGAGAGAGAGAGAGAGGAAGGAGAGGAAGGCTGGGCAGAGAGAGGGAGAGAGAGAGGAAGGAGAGGAAGGCTGGGCAGAGAGAGGGAGAGAGAGAGGATGGAGAGGAAGGCTGGGCAGAGAGAGGGAGAGAGAGAGAATTGTTTCTTGATGAGAACTGCTGCACACGCAGGCAAAGGGGAAAAAGGTGCCTGTGTTGCACATTCTCAGAGGAGTCTGCATGTTTGATCATAAATAAAAGATTTTTTCTTTCGTCTCCTTACCTAAGCCGAACTTGCTTCTCTTCTCCTTTTTATTTTTGTTTATGTATTTGTTTCTCAAGAGCGCAGCTTTCTTTGTGATCCTCAGGGTTTCTTTTATGTTTCTTGGGATTCGCATTTTCCAGACCTGGTGCTGCTGGGAGACCTCAGGTTGGGGCAGTGGCTGGGCCACCCAGGCTGCCTCTGCCCTCTGCTCTGCGTTGGGCAGCCTCACGGAGCTGGATCCTGGGACCCAGCTGTGAGCGCTCAGCGCAGTGCTCAACTCTCACTGGGCCGAGGTAGCTGGGAAGGCATGAGTGATAGGCACAAGCCCACGCTTGCAGGCCTTGTCGGGGTGGTGGCCCTGAGCTCCACATGGAGGGTGTCCTCCAAGCCACTCACCATGTGAGAGCCCTGAGGGTGGGACAGCCGTGGCCTCCTGCTTGCCGGTCACAGAGCCACACACACACTCCAAGGCAGGGTTCCTGGAAGCCGAGGCCTGCACAGGAACCCAGGGGGATGCTGGGGTTGAAGAGGAACGACGAGGGCTTGGTGGGTGAAGGGCGAAGGCCTGAGAGAAGAGGAAGGTCTCACCATAATTAGAATAATTAGAATGCTGACTCCACAATTAGAATGCTGACTCCAGAGCCCAAGGAAGTGAACTTAGCCCTGGCCCTGTTTTTGAGCAGGCTCTGTGGAATATCACCCAAAGGCCACGGTTCTTCAGCAGAACATGTTTGGGACCTGCTTGTTGAAGAAACATGGAATCCGAGGAATGGAAAGCTGGCCTGAGAACTGATGTATCGATGCTGTAACCCCACATGTATGTGGTGGATTTGTGTTTGGTTTTTGTCTTCCACAAAACCTCACATACTCCTCAGGAAGTTACCTTGGGAACAAGTGGCCATGGCTGTTGGGGGAGAGCCAGGCTTCCTGCAGAACTGCCCCTTTTTAACATGTGTATACACTGGAGTTCCACACAGGGTCTCCTTGGCAGAAGCCAAGCAATGACAGCCACCTGCCCAGGCCTCATTTCACAGTGGGAGACCCGGGACCCGGTACAAGCAGGGACTTGGTGTCCTCCTGAAACCCCCATGGTTGCATCACCACACTGAGGGCCTGGCCTGGGTGCTGCACTGTGGGGGCCCAGCCTGGAGCCCTCTGGCTGCTGCCCTCTCCATGGGGCACAGGCTCCACAGGGCAGAGGGACTGACCACCCACCCAGCCCCATGCCCACTCTCTAGGCCAAGCCAATGCCCAGACCTGGAATTCCTGCCCCATGTCTTGGGCTGGCAGGGTCTGTACCAGCCTACCCCTGCTCAGACAGCCAAGGCCCACCCGTGCTGCCAGTGTGCACCCCAAGTCTCAACAGGAGGCTCTGGTAGAGGGGTGCTTGGAAGTGAGAGTGGGGGTGTTGACGTGCACGCATGCATTCGAGACCCCCTGCAGGATCACTGGAGGGAGGGGGAAACTGAACCCAGAAACGGACAACAGTGCCATGTGCAAAGACGGAACTCTGACCCACAGCCCAGGATGCCAAGCGGGAACCCCTGTGACAACAGACCCAAGACGGCCGGGACTTGATGAATAGCTGACAGCTGCCTAGGTTTTGTCCCTGCTTCCAACTCAGGACCAAACAGAGAAAGCCAAGTGTGCACCCCACACTGCAGGGTGCCCTGATTCCAGTTCCCTGCCTCCATCTTCCCCAGCCAGCTGCCTCCATAGGGTGCACCTGGCACCTTCTGCTTTTGCACCGTGAGGCTCCCCTCCTCTGGCCGCCTTTGAGGCTGTCAAACCTGGGTGATGGTGGCCAACGCCCCTGCTAGTTCAATGCAGACACTTTGCATGCCCCCATTTCTACAGGAGGAAAGGGGCAGAATGCAAGCTGAGGGGCTGCTGTTTGTAATCTGGGTCTGCAGATATTGGGGAAACCCTGAGAGGCGGCAAGACCCCTTGGTTTTCTCACTGGGACACTTCTCATTTAAATTAGGCCGAATTCCTGAGAAATTAAAAAGATACTTACTGATTTTCCAAATATCTCCTTTTCAGACCACCAGCTGAGATGAGGAATGACTGTGCTCTTTCTAATTAGATGAGGGATGCTTCCCTAGGCCCGCTGACCTGATCCCTGCCCATCTCCTCCACCAGCACCTGCCCGACTCCAGACGCTACGGGAAGCTTCTCTGGGTGACCCTCCCCAGGCCCAAGGGCTCCCCTTGCTGATGTCATGTTTCCAGTTCGTCAGCCACACAGACTCCGGAGGAAGGTGCCAGGTATGGGAAAGTGAACAGGTCAGGCCCTGTTTAAAACTCTCCAAGACATCCCTGACAAAGCCCAACCCCTCAGGTGGCTCAGGCCCTGTGACCTGAGTGGATGTGATTCAGCTCACCAAGTCTGTCTCACATTCATTCCCCTGCTTTAGCTGACCTTGTTTCCATCTCTTGGACGCTCCTCTCTTCTATTGCAGGTTTGTATAGACATTGGAACATCCTCCCCCACACACCCTCTTTATCCAGCTGATTCTAGTCATTCTCAGGTCTCAGTCAAAATCAGATTTCCTCCTGACCCTTCCTTGATCACAGGAGGTTCAGATGGACACGGCGCTGCTGCACCTTCCCCGTTAACATCTGCATACTTATTGGAAGGACTGCTTTAACCTGTGTCTCCCCCACTAAACAGCAGGCTCCGTAGATCACAGACAAGACCCATCCATATCCAGCACCCAGCTCAGTGCCTGGCACAAAATCCACAAACGCTGTGGGTAAGCCTTGTTGAGAGTAGCTGGGATCTCATGATTTTACTGTATTCATATTTGAATTGTGCTTGAATGTGACCCTGTGGGAACAGGGAGCTCCACTGAGTTTCACATTTCCGGTGATGGTTGAGGGAAAATTCACCATCAGCTCCTCTAATGCCAGGAAACCCCCAGACGCAGCCCCCAGGGCTGGAACTCTGTGATCCTCCTTTGCTTTGTCAAAAGAGCTCTTCTTTTCCTGTTCCAAAGGTTTTCTTTCTGTGTCTGTCCTTGTGAAAGCAAACAGAGAAAGTGAACTTGCATCTTCCTTTCTAAAAATAAGCTCAGTACTGAAAAATCTCTGGCTTAAGCTTATCATTTCTCCCAGAGCCACGTACAGACACATCGCACCAGGGAGAAACCACTCACAGTTCACAAAAGACAGAAGCAAGGGCTCAGGCTACGTTCCCTGTTGAGCCCCCTTTGTGGTGAGGACTTTTCCATGTCAAACTCTGCTTCCAGCCATTCCTTCATCGCTTTGCACCTGGGAAGTCCTTCAAGGTAATGCTTCAGCTGAAGAAGCACCAGGAGGACCGGCTTCCTGAGTGTGGGCTCCAGGGCCAGCTGGGTGCAAACCTGGCTTTCCTGAGATCTGTTCTAGCACCGATTACAGGAGACGCTGTGCTGATCCCCACCACTGTCATCCTGTCCCAAACCTGCCTCCCCACCTTGCCCTCCGCAGCCCCCAGCCACAAGGCATCTGTTTTACTCCTGAACCAAGGCTATTGGAGAAGCACCTGTTTCCCAATAGACGCAATGCAAGGTGGAGGGTGCGGGCCACACCTCACCCATCCTTCAACCCAGATGTCCAAGGAGACGTGTCTTTATTTCGACTGAACTGACGTGGGAGGAGGGGTTACTGGCTGATCGTTAGTCCATGGTGATTTAAAAACCAGTTGACCAGCAATGCAGTACTCCATTTGGTGGTGTCAGCCCTTGGGTGGGCTGACCGCAGGCCTCTCTGCTGACCACAGATCCTCGGTTCTTATCACAGACCCTCCCCAGTCCACAGGCCCCTCTGCTGACCACAGGCCCCTGGCTCTTCAGGGCCCTGCCTCAGGCCAGTAACTCAGTGCTCTCCTTTCTCTGCCACACGGGCCGAGGGCAGGATGACTCACTCTCCCCTCGGCCTGCAGGCCGCTGAGGCCTGGAGAAGGTGGCTGGGAGCCCACGCTGACCCTTTCAAGTCGGCCCAGACTTCACAGCCTGCTGCCAGCCGGGCCTGCAGGTGGGAGCAGGGCTGCCCTGACCAGCCTTCCCCTCAGCCCCTGCCCCGGTGATTTCCTCTCACTGGGGCAGCCCGGCCCTGCCTTCTCCCCTGTGTCTCTGTCCCTTCCTTTCCCAGTGACTCTCTGGAATGTGAAGGGTGGGCTTCCCTGCCCAGCCCCTCTCTCCTTACTGCCAGCAGCTCCATGATAGGGACCTCACAGCCTTTCCACCGAGCTGGCATCGATGCTGACACAGGCGGTGAAATCATCGCGTGTTCTCTCTCTCAGGCTTCCCTGCCTCGCATCGTTGCATTTACCTGGCTTGTGTGTCGGAAGGGACTGTCCACTCTGTCTCTTTGCATTTACCTGGCTTGCGTGTCGGAAGGGACTGTCCACTCTGTCTCTTTGCATTCTTTTGTAATGATCTTCATCCCACCAAGGCTGCTATTTGCTAAGTAGGTTGTATATAGAAAATGCAAAATAGAAATGCTCATTAATATTTCTAAAAAATATCAGCCTTGTCATAAAAAGTAGAGAAGAAATAGGACCTGTCCCCGAGTCTCAAGGCTCCCTATGCAGTAGGTGGAGAGGGTTGTGGGGTTGACCCCTGGGGCCTTGGAAGGGACTTCGCCCTCACTCCCTCATCTCAACAGCGCACCACACATTTCTTTCTATGGAGCAAAGTTTTATTCCAGTAAGAGATAAAACACAAATGCCCCAGGGAGACACAATGCAACATTTAAATACATCCTAAAATGCTTCTTTTTATCAACCGCAAGATGTAGTTTTGACTCATTCTGGGAAATACTCAGACTTGGCATTTCAGAGAGTTTCCGAGAAGACGCTGCGTGTGTATAAAAGATACAATTCCCTTTATAAACCCTTCACCTCCCGCCAGTGTTTCTGTTTCTAATGCTAAGTACACCTTTGCTGTTCAGATTTTAAAGCCTAATTCAGCCTACGGACTTTATGAAAGCAATGTTGTTTATATGATTCAGTCCTTCAAGCATGGAAATGGTTCCACATTGGTAAGAATTCACTAAAATTTCCATAAAAAATCTCCACCCAGAGCCATGCCAAGTTATTAGACACTGATGGTAAATTCTGAGTAAGTCAGGCCTGTTGGCATCAGCCACAGGGTGTCAGGTTGTGACTCGTCCTAGTAAACACACTTGCGTTTCAAAGATTAGGCTTTGCTGGATTTTAGTGAAATTAACATGCGTGTAAAGCTGATTATTTTTGCAGGGATGATTCCATAGGCTCAACCCCCAAACAGGTCAAAGGGAAAAAATAAACCAAAGGAGAAAATGAGACTTCAACCCTCTCCACACAGAGAATCAGTTGTATAAACTCATTCAGTTCCTCAACTATCCTGATACTTGAAACCAATACACATTCTGTCTAAAAGAAGACAGAAATTTGGAAAAATCAAGTCATTCATCTAGATGCTGTTTGTAAAATCTCCAACTCCTGGAATTGTTGCTCCTCCTCCCCTTGTTATCACACCGTGCTCCTCCTCCCCTAGTTATCACATGAGCTCCTCCTCCCCTAGTTATCACATGTGCTCCTCCTCCCCTGGTTATCACACCGTGCTCCTCCTCCCCTAGTTATCACATGTGCTCCTCCTCCCCTAGTTATCACATGTGCTCCTCCTCCCCTAGTTATCACACCGTGCTCCTCCTCCCCTAGTTATCACACTGTGCTCCTCCTCCCCTGGTTATCACACCGTGCTCCTCCTCCCCTAGTTATCACATGTGCTCCTCCTCCCCTAGTTATCACATGTGCTCCTCTTCCCCTGGTTATCACACCGTTCTCCTCCTCCCCTAGTTATCACATGTGCTCCTCCTCCCCTAGTTATCACACCGTGCTCCTCCTCCCCTAGTTATCACATGTGCTCCTCCTCCCCTAGTTATCACACCATGCTCCTCCTCCCCTAGTTATCACATGTGCTCCTCCTCCCCTAGTTATCACACCGTGCTCCTCCTCCCCTAGTTATCACATGTGCTCCTCCTCCCCTAGTTATCACACGGTGCTCCTCCTCCCCTAGTTATCACACCATGCTCCTCCTCCCCTGGTTATCACATGTGCTCCTCCTCCCCTAGTTATCACACCGTGCTCCTCCTCCCCTAGTTATCACATGTGCTCCTCCTCCCCTAGTTATCACACCGTGCTCCTCCTCCCCTAGTTATCACATGTGCTCCTCCTCCCCTGGTTATCACACCGTGCTCCTCCTCCCCTAGTTATCACACCGTGCTCCTCCTCCCCTAGTTATCACATGTGCTCCTCCTCCCCTAGTTATCACACCGTGCTCCTCCTCCCCTAGTTATCACACGGTGCTCCTCCTCCCCTAGTTATCACACTGTGCTCCTCCTCCCCTAGTTATCACATGTGCTCCTCCTCCCCTAGTTATCACATGTGCTCCTCTTCCCCTGGTTATCACACCGTTCTCCTCCTCCCCTAGTTATCACATGTGCTCCTCCTCCCCTAGTTATCACATGTGCTCCTCCTCCCCTACTTATCACACCGTGCTCCTCCTCCCCTAGTTATCACACCGTGCTCCTCCTCCCCTAGTTATCACATGTGCTCCTCCTCCCCTAGTTATCACATGTGCTCCTCCTCCCCTAGTTATCACATGTGCTCCTCCTACCCTAGTTATCACATGTGCTCCTCCTCCCCTAGTTATCACACCATGCTCCTCCTCCCCTAGTTATCACATGTGCTCCTCCTCCCCTAGTTATCACATGTGCTCCTCCTCCCCTGGTTATCACATGTGCTCCTCCTCCCCTAGTTATCACACCATGCTCCTCCTCCCCTAGTTATCACATGTGCTCCTCCTCCCCTAGTTATCACACCGCGCTCCTCCTCCCCTAGTTATCACACCGTGCTCCTCCTCCCCTAGTTATCACATGTGCTCCTCCTCCCCTTGTTATCACATGTGCTCCTCCTCCCCTAGTTATCACACCATGCTCCTCCTCCCCTAGTTATCACATGTGCTCCTCCTCCCCTAGTTATCACACCGTGCTCCTCCTCCCCTAGTTACCACATGTGCTCCTCCTCCCCTAGTTATCACACGGTGCTCCTCCTCCCCTAGTTATCACACTGTGCTCCTCCTCCCCTGGTTATCACATGTGCTCCTCCTCCCCTAGTTATCACATGTGCTCCTCCTCCCCTAGTTATCACATGTGCTCCTCCTCCCCTAGTTATCACATGTGCTCCTCCTCCCCTAGTTATCACATGTGCTCCTCCTCCCCTAGTTATCACACCGTGCTCCTCCTCCCCTGGTTATCACATGTGCTCCTCCTCCCCTAGTTATCACACCGTGCTCCTCCTCCCCTAGTTATCACACAGTGCTCCTCCTCCCCTAGTTATCACACGGTGCTCCTCCTCCCCTAGTTATCACACTGTGCTCCTCCTCCCCTGGTTATCACATGTGCTCCTCCTCCCCTAGTTATCACATGTGCTCCTCCTCCCCTAGTTATCACATGTGCTCCTCCTCCCCTAGTTATCACACCGTGCTCCTCCTCCCCTAGTTATCACATGTGCTCCTCCTCCCCTAGTTATCACACCGTGCTCCTCCTCCCCTGGTTATCACATGTGCTCCTCCTCCCCTAGTTATCACATGTGCTCCTCCTCCCCTAGTTATCACACCGTGCTCCTCCTCCCCTAGTTATCACACCATGCTCCTCCTCCCCTAGTTATCACATGTGCTCCTCCTCCCCTAGTTATCACACCATGCTCCTCCTCCCCTAGTTATCACATGTGCTCCTCCTCCCCTAGTTATCACACCGTGCTCCTCCTCCCCTAGTTATCACATGTGCTCCTCCTCCCCTAGTTATCACACCGTGCTCCTCCTCCCCTAGTTATCACATGTGCTCCTCCTCCCCTAGTTATCACATGTGCTCCTCCTCCCCTAGTTATCACACCGTGCTCCTCCTCCCCTGGTTATCACATGTGCTCCTCCTCCCCTAGTTATCACATGTGCTCCTCCTCCCCTAGTTATCACACCGTGCTCCTCCTCCCCTAGTTATCACATGTGCTCCTCCTCCCCTAGTTATCACACCGTGCTCCTCCTCCCCTAGTTATCACATGTGCTCCTCCTCCCCTAGTTATCACATGTGCTCCTCCTCCCCTAGTTATCACATGTGCTCCTCCTCCCCTAGTTATCACATGTGCTCCTCCTCCCCTAGTTATCACATGTGCTCCTCCTCCCCTAGTTATCACATGTGCTCCTCCTCCCCTAGTTATCACATGTGCTCCTCCTCCCCGAGTTATCACATGTGCTCCTCCTCCCCTCGTTATCACATGTGCTCCTCCTCCCCTCGTTATCACATGTGCTCCTCCTCCCCTAGTTATCACACCGTGCTCCTCCTCCCCTGGTTATCATATGTGCTCCTCCTCCCCTAGTTATCACACCGTGCTCCTCCTCCCCTAGTTATCACACCATGCTCCTCCTCCCCTAGTTATCACACCGTGCTCCTCCTCCCCTGGTTATCAAATGTGCTCCTCCTCCCCTAGTTATCACATGTGCTCCTCCTCCCCTAGTTATCACACCGTGCTCCTCCTCCTCTAGTTATCACACCGTGCTCCTCCTCCCCTAGTTATCACATGTGCTCCTCCTCCCCTAGTTATCACACCGTTCTCCTCCTCCCCTAGTTATCACACCGTGCTCCTCCTCCCCTAGTTATCACATGTGCTCCTCCTCCCCTAGTTATCACACCGTGCTCCTCCTCCCCTAGTTATCACATGTGCTCCTCCTCCCCTAGTTATCACATGTGCTCCTCCTCCCCTAGTTATCACATGTGCTCCTCCTCCCCTCGTTATCACATGTGCTCCTCCTCCCCTAGTTATCACACCGTGCTCCTCCTCCCCTGGTTATCACATGTGCTCCTCCTCCCCTAGTTATCACATGTGCTCATCCTCCCCTAGTTATCACATGTGCTCCTCCTCCCCTAGTTATCACACCGTGCTCCTCCTCCCCTAGTTATCACACCGTGCTCCTCCTCCCCTAGTTATCACATGTGCTCCTCCTCCCCTAGTTATCACACCGTGCTCATCCTCCCCTGGTTATCACATGTGCTCCTCCTCCCCTAGTTATCACACTGTGCTCCTCCTCCCCTAGTTATCACACCGTGCTCTTCCTCCCCTAGTTATCACACCGTGCTCATCCTCCCCTAGTTATCACACCGTGCTCCTCCTCCCCTAGTTATCACATGTGCTCCTCCTCCCCTAGTTATCACACCGTGCTCCTCCTCCCGTAGGTATCACATGTGCTCCTCCTCCCCTAGTTATCACACCGTGCTCCTCCTCCCCCAGTTATCAAATGTGCTCCTCCTCCCCTAGTTATCACACCGTGCTCCTCCTCCCGTAGTTATCACATGTGCTCCTCCTCCCCTAGTTATCACACCGTGCTCCTCCTCCCCTAGTTATCACACCGTGCTCATCCTCCCCTAGTTATCGCATGTGCTCCTCCTCCCCTAGTTATCACATGTGCTCCTCCTCCCCTAGTTATCACATGTGCTCCTCCTCCCCTAGTTATCACATGTGCTCCTCCTCCCCTAGTTATCACATGTGCTCCTCCTCCCCTAGTTATCACACCGTGCTCATCCTCCCCTGGTTATCACATGTGCTCCTCCTCCCCTAGTTATCACACTGTGCTCCTCCTCCCCTAGTTATCACACCGTGCTCATCCTCCCCTAGTTGCCATGCTGAAAGCTGGTGTTGGCCAGCAGAGGCCCTCGCATGGGAGCATGTGGAGGTGGCTGTTCTCAGTGCGAAAGAGGAGGAACTGACCTATTCTTCCTTAGGGTACAATTGGAGACAACTAAGGGGGTGGGTGTCCATGCTGTAATTCCCCCAGGGTAGCCCCCCAGGGTCCCCAGGTCTGTCCCATGCAAGAAGGCACTTCTTCCCAAGGGTCCTGCCCCAAGAAGACCTCAGCCCGCTTAGAGAGACGCCTGTCATTGGAACTGAGGACCGAACTGGTTTCCACAGTGAGCTCGTGTGGGTGTTTTCTTATTCCTTACATCTGCCTGCAGTGACAGTGATGTTTTTTACATGCCGGGAAGCTTGGTGAGGGTGAATCCTCAGTGAGAAATACCTTTATCCCAACAGATATTAACATCTTGAAAAGCAGTTGTTTCTCCGCTTACAATAACCTGTGTTTCAAGAGGAGCCTTGAAAGGTGGGGATTTCCACAGAGCTGTGATAATACAGTGATACTTATTTCAGGTATGGAGCCGCGAGGAAATTCGTAGCGAGGATTGTCACTGCACTTGTGCTTGGGTGACAGCGACAGCCTGTGGCACCGTGCGGTTGCCACCTGAAAGTCAAAACGAAGATGACCGTGCCGCAGCCCATGACAGACGCAGCCGGTGTCAGGGGAAGCAGGGGCAGCCCCGGGGAGCCGGTTCTGGTTCTGCCACTTTCTGATGTGTGTCACGCGCTCGCCGCATCTCATCCAGCCTCTCCGTTCCATTGTTAACAAATAATGGAGTTATTATTGCTATTTTAAAATATTTAAAATTTTTCTGTTTTAATTCCTAATATGGTAAAACTTGACATACATAATTTACATATATACATTTTTCTTGGAGAAATCTTTCAAAACCAAACGATTAAATGGGGGTTGGAGCTGAGAGAAGGCTGGGTGTGCTCGCCTCGCTTTGTACCCTGAAGGTCGGGCTGGACGGCCGATTCTCGGCTGAGGAAGTGGTTCTGACAGCATCAGGAGCCTTGGATTCGGGGCCTTGGTGTGTCTCCCGGAGCTGCCTTTGCGGCTGGAAGGGGACAGCCTCTCCTAAGCAACGCTCCTGCAGGAGCTCCCTCAGGCTGTTTTCCCTGCAGGACTTTTGAGCTCAAGGACAAAAGCTGAATTTAAGTAGCAACACCTAATTTACCCATGTATAGGTCTTATTAGAATGCCAGATGAGCTAAGAATCTCCTCTTGTAACTCAATACATTAATGTTAAACCCCTGTATGTTCTGAAATCCAAGATGGCCCGTGAGTATTCCCAAGTAATTCAGAAATTGCAGTTTAAATGCGGACTCTCAAGAGCATTAGAAATTCCTCTCTTGAAGGTACTAAATGCAGATGAACTGGCCTTACGTTTGGGTTGCCTGGGAAAGGAGGAGACAAGGAGAGGAAGACAGGGCATGGGACCTCCAGAAGTGCTGGTTGGCCAGAATTTCACTGCAGCTGTTGCTAGTGGCGGACTTTGGAGCTGGTCAGTGCTATTCACACGACAGCTGCCACCCTTTAGTATTTCCGACGCTGTCCCCTAAACTGATGACTCTTCACTTCTGTTTCTCTTTCATTGATCACAGTTCTCAGATGTCTCACAGAAGTTTTAGTCATTTTGCCTTATAGACCAAAATACCCCACAAACTAAAACTTGAAGAAATGTATTTAAAGCTTAAAACTGCATGAGGGCTTTGGGACCCCTTCACTTCACACCCAGGCTGCAACAGAAGGTTTACCAAACCCTCTTGCCAGGTCCCCGCGCCTGCTATCCACACTGCTGGGGTCCCGAGGCCCCTTCAGGGGGCCCACAGAGGGAAAACTATTTTTATCATAATGCTAAGCCTTTTTTTTTTTTTAACTGTGTAGATATCCTATTGCTGGTGTATAAAGGCAATAGTGGGTGAAACTACTCAATCCCTAACCTGAAACAAGCTGAGTGCCAACCACACAAACAGCTGTGGTCTTCTGCACCACCACCCACCTGCAGGAAAAAGAAAAGCCGTTTTCACCTAACAGTGTCCAGAATCAAGCAGTGAGGCTCATTATTAACTATTTAGCCTCAATCCGTGCAGGCTTGTCTTTTTAATATTCTGCACCATGAAGTGGGAACTGGATGAAGCATTTCTCCACATCGGAGTCACGTGATCACTGTTGTGGGAAAAGCAGAGGCCATCGTTCCAGTTACCTGTTGAACTCGCTGTTTTGGTTATGTTTTTTTCTTTACGTGGAACACAGCTTTTACTTGAAAGAACAACTGATAGACAAACTATGGTATTCAGACCTAGCTAATTAACAGCCTGTTCCTCCAAGGGAAAGAACTAGTAGTATTTGTGGCTCATGATAAAATCTGAGCGTTTGAGAAACGTTAGAATTTTGGGTCACTTTTATTCATCACCTTGAGCTTGACAGTTTTACAATATATAGAGGCTTTTTTGGTGAGATGGGTGGCAATATTAACAACTGTGGTTTTTTTATAGTGTGTAATTTAAGTGTGAAAATAAACAAAGACCAACTCAGTGGGAACACACAGAGGCTGTGTATTCGGGGCTTGCTGTGGTGGGGGCGTCGGTCACCACTGCGAGTGTTCAGCACAGGCTCAACGGCAGGGGTCCGGGGTGTGTGTCCAGCAGAGGCTCAAAGGCAGGGCTCCAGGGTGTGTGTCCAGCAGAGACTCAAAGGCAGGGGTCTGGGGATTTATGATGAGAAAACGGAAGGTCCCAGGTGAGCCCTGCCGGAGGCTGCTGTCTGGGGACACTGGAGGCGAGTAGCTGGAATCGGAACATCCTATGGAACTGGCCAGGGAGTGTATTCAGCTTTCTCTGGTTGGTGCTAAGTGGGAAGCACGGAAACAGTGAAGAAATCTGTTAGTTACTGATCAAGCCCTGCCATCTTGGGTCAGCTGTGGTGGGGTCCTTTTCCCACCTCCTGCAGTCCTGACTCCTGGACAGCAGGCTGGCCTCTGGGGCTGGCGTTTGCAGATATTAGGTTAGGGTCAGTTTTCCTGGGCAGGCTGATGCAGGTGTGGGTCAGAGTTGTGGCTTTTCTGTGGTCTACCCAGCGTCCCTTCGTATATTCAGTCTCTCGGAGACGTCTGCATTTGGAATTTCTGCACGTCTCAGTAAACCGATATTTTCCAAATGGTGAACACATGAAGTTACAAAGTTAGGCCTGGGTAAAAGGCCCATTCAAAGGGCAAGATAGACAAATGAATATTAGTGTAGGAGAGAAGGAAACGTTCACCAATGTGGCTTCGGATTCTACGTGGCCATTAATCATTTTAAAAACTATCACTTTTCAGGTTTTTGTAAAGATTAAAATAAGAATATCCATAATAATCCAAAAAAGTTCTAAAAATATTCTTTTCTCCCCCTACATATATGTATGTACACACACACACACACGTCTGGATTTTCCTCATATATTCCCCAAAACACACCGTAACAGGTGGAAGGCAGAGGCAGCTGGGTGAGTCCAGCTGTCTTCCATTAAAGCCAGACAGAGACTGACACACATGTAGATTAATGCCACTCTTCTCAGTGATTTCTTTTCTCTTTTGAAAAATATAGTTGGTTTTAATAAAAATATGTTAACACATAATGGATTTATTATTGTTATTTTAAAATGAATTAGAATATTTAAAACATTTTCTGTTTTAATTCCTAATATGGTAAATATTGACATATAATTTACATAAATAATTTGGGGTCCTTAATGACTGTTATACCGTAGGGGGCACTGAAACCAAAGTCTGGACCCACTGTGGGTTCCACACAGCCTGAGGTTCTAACCCAGTCATTTTATTTTTCATCTTAGACCAGCATTGCTGAACTTTGGCTGAAAAATTGAGTCATTTAGGAAGATTTTTAGGAAAATGCAAGTACCTAGAGTCTCCTCCCGAAGTTCTTATTCAATTAACCTGTGTTGTGTCCTAGGCACTGATACTTTTTAAAAGCTCCTTGAGTAAATTTTTAGTGGTTAGCCAGGGTTGAGAATCAGTGCCCGAGGCCAGTGTTACTTGAGGTGGGCGCCATGAGCTCGCTGACACCGGAGTCTCTGGAGGGCCCCAGGAGCCTGCGTTGTGAGTAACGCCCCCAGCGAGTCTCATGCGCAGCGGTCTGGGAGCCAGTAAGTTCCGGGCGCAGGTGGTTTGGCAACTGGTGAGTTTCAGGTGCAGGTGGTTTGGGAGCCGGTGAGTCTCAGGCCCAGGCGGTTTGGGAACCGGTGAGTCTCAAATGCAGGCGGTTTGCGAACCGGTGAGTCTCAGGCGCAGGCGGTTTGGGAACCGGTGAGTCTCGGGCCCAGGCGGTTTGGGAACCCCTGAGTCTCAAGTGCAGGCGGTTTGGGAACCGGTGAGTCTCAGGCGCAGGCGGTTTGGGAACTGGTGAGTCTCAGGCTCAGGCAGTTTGGGAACTCTTGGTTCCACGTGAATCCACTCATCCGCTCTGTGCCTCTCACCTGTCAAACAAGTTCCTCATCAGACACAAGCAGCCCAGACGACTTTTCCATCCTGGGAAGAAGCGGGTGAGCCTCCAGGATCCTGCCCAAGATAGGACCCTAGTGCGGAGGCCAGTTGAAGAGGAGCCCTGAGGGAGGGCCTCTGACTTTGATCCAGGTGCCCGGAACAGACCGAAATTACCGGACAGTAGCAACCGCAGAGATGCTCAGATGCAGGGATGTCGGCCAGTGAGGCTCGCCCAGGTGGCCACTCATGATTTTCCCACTTCACAATCATTGCATCTAAGAGCACTTCATGGAAACACTGAAGCCAGGGTGATTACTGTCAGTGTGGTTCCTTGACTTGCCCTCCGCTGTCCACTGCCCTCAGGCCCATGTGACAACCGCAACTGCCGGCGCCCGGGCACACAGCCGACTTAGCGCCGTCCGGAAGCAGAGCACGTGCTTCGTAAAAAATGAAATGACTCTCTGCACTCTGAAATCTTTGAACATGTGCATCTCCTGAGGCTTGGCTGTGGTTTTAACTTCTATATGCCTTAAATTTCCCAACAAACGAATAAAATTATGAATATAAAAATAAATGGAAAAGCGCTAGAAGTGGTCTTCCTGTCTATGTTGTTACAGAAGGGTTTTGAGAATTAAGGTTTGCAAGAGATTTTTAAGGTGAAATGTTGGCAATTAGAGGTCTCTGGGGCAAAAGCAAAGCAAGGGACACGTTCATTGCTTTAACCAAGATCCTAGACAGAATACAGGACTTTGTGATTGGAGCTCTGGTGCTCCTGGATTTAAAAACTAGTCAAGGCTCATAAGATTAGAAGCATCGCGTTAGGGACCAGAGCTACATTAAGAGGGTGGGGCTGGGCTCCCCTCTGCTCATTGCTGGGGCATTTAGGATGCAGCCACGGCCTCGGGACCTTCATGCACTAATTCTGGCGGTAAATTTGTTTTTAAAAAATCATTAAACAAACAGGCAGTCTTCATATTGAAATATTTAACAGGAAATTGTGTCTTGGATGAAGGTAGTATAAACAAAAGTACTTCCTCATCAATTAGATCATCATGAAGCCATCAAGTCAGACTTTTACTCAGTTGGAAGCAGACAGGTGGAGGTCACTGAGAAAGATTGAAGACAGCCAGTGCCTGCCCTCCTCCGGCTTCTGTAATTAAATCCACACCCTGAAGCTAGTTCGGGGTTGTTACTGCTGCTGCCACAATTCAGGTAAGCCAGCTGCTCGGGTCCCGCGCCGTCCTGCGCTGTGTGTGATGCCAGAGAAGGTCTGCGCAGTTGCCCAGTTGTCGGCCCCTGTCTGCCAAGTCAGACGGGCACAGCCGACTTCACCTGTGATTCATTTAAATGTGTGTTTTAAAACATCCCTGTTACTAATTGTACTGGCCAATACGGTAGTTACTACCCGCACGCGGCTATTTAAATGTTAATTAAAATTACATGGAATTCAACATTCAGCTCCTTGGTGTCACTCACTTCATCTCCAGAGCTCCGTAGCCACGTGGGAACAGCAGCTTTGGCATGGGACGGCGCCACGAAGGAACGCGGCCTTCAGTGTGGGCTTCTGTTAGCCTCACTTCCGCAGTGACTCACACAGATTGGGGTTTAATGAATGACTCCAATGATGTAAGGTTGGGGTAGTGACGGCATACTACATATGTGAAGGTGAAAGGTAGAAAAAAATAATAAAATATCATCTAGAATCTGCCACCTCCCCCACCTGGTGATCTTTCTATTAATATATGTGTATTTCCTTTATGGAGACTTTCTTTTTACAAAAAAAAATGAGATCACACACACAATCCTGCCTTTTTCCACTTCACAATATTAGATAATATCTTGCATTTATTAATATCTTGAACTTATCTCCAGAGGCAAGAATCAAGACTTTGTTTCTAAAACTCAGGTGGGAGTGAGTGTGGGGCGTTGTATGGACTGAGAATGAAACAAGAAACTCTGAGGCAGACAGACCCGCATTCGAATCCCTCCCCTGCAGCTACCAGCAGTGGGCCCCTGGCCAAATCACTTTGTATCTCCAAGTGCCGCATTGTGAATGGCAACAGTAAATTTAAGTGATATCACGTAGATGAAGTGGTCCCTCGAAACTCAACAGTTAACATTGTTGGGCAAAGTTGAAAAGGAAAATTAGTGTCTTCAGTTTGGCAGGGAGGATACAATTTCACACTGGGTGGAGCGGCTCTGAATTCCTGCTCCCAAACAATGTGTGCTTTGATGGATTTCTGCGGTGAGTTTTGATGCATTTCTGTGGCGTGTTTTCTTGCTTTCCTTTTAACTGTGCAGGTTGAAACCTGGGTTTCCCAATTGACTCAACTGCTTACAGTGTCTTGTCTATGAAAGTCTATTAAGTTATTCATCTGAACCAAAAAAAGATTGTGTGAACAACAGCAGGGCTTTGCTGGGCAGATAAATAGAAATAAAAACATATAAAGACAAGCAAATGGCTTTTGTGACTAAAGAGCTCACAGGTTCCTAAAACCAGGTACTCGGGACCTCCCTGAGCCATCAGAATAACTCGGATGCTTCAGGCAGGGAAAGTATTGGCCAAACTTTTAATAACCTTTGTTCAGCTTAACTGGGAGAGCTGCCATGGGGCTTCTCCCTCCCTCCCCAGTGCAAGGGGCCATATTCAAGCCCACGCTGGATAATATGGTGCTAGCACACAGCGAAACCAAGCCAGGCTCTGGACATGTTACTGCGACATCAGCCTGCACATCCCCAGGAGCCAGACCGAGGCACAGCCTCAGAGCTCCCCTCCAAGGCTGAACCCTGCATCTGCTCCATCGCCTGCACCATCTCCCTCCTCTCTTCTGGACCTCATAATTTCTTACTTTCCTATGCCTGTAAATGGTTTGCTGTGACCAGAGAAGAAGAAGGAAACACGTTGAAGTCCTTGTCCTGGAAGGCCTGAGTCTGGAAAACTGTCTCAGCAAAGCAAGAGCCAGTGGTGAGATCACTTGGCATTTTCCTAGTTCTCCTCACCGATGTCAGAGTGAATGCAGGTGGTCTGAAGCCTCTTGCACATTCTGTGTGTGTGTATGTATGTGTGATTCTCTACATGTTCAATTGAAAATAACAAAAAAGTACATTATTTTGTTTGTTTTGTATGTAAGGAGTTGAGAACTTCGGAATTTAGAATTCAAACATAAGCCAAAATATGATGGAAAGAAATGCTCTGGGCCAAAAGTCTTACAAGAGAAGGGTAGCAGGAGGTGGAGGAAGAGGAGAAGGAGAAGGAGGGGGAGAAGGAGAAGGAGGGGGAGAAGGAGAAGGAGGGGGAGAAGGAGAAGGAGGGGGAGAAGGAGAAGGAGGGGGAGAAGGAGAAGGAGGAGGGGGAGGAGGAGAAGGAGGAGGAGGGGGAGGAGGAGAAGGAGGAGGAAATTCTTTGCTAAGGCTGCTCAGGGAGGAGTGGGAGGGGTGGGTGAGGTAAGAAGCCGTGAGCAGTATAACATCTAATGCTCATAGCATTTAGCTGTCCAGCCCATTCTGCAGGACAGAGGCTGACAGCTGTTGCACCTGGGTCAGAGTAAGTGCATGCAGATGCTGTGATGGGAACGGCAAGCCTTGCTCCCCTTCCTGAGAGAGGTCACGTCCCAGTCCCAGCACCTTCAACAACAGAAGTGGGGCCTGGTGCTGATGCAATGAAAGGGTGTCACGCTGGGCGGAGGTGTCTATTTGGTAGTTGTGAGTTGCTATAGCAATAACAAACATGTCTGTCTTATTTTGAACAGAAGGGACACACTGCGAAGAGCAGGAATTCTTCCGTCATGATCCACAGTCTCTGTTGGGTTGCAGTAGTCACCGCGATGCTCATAAACTGAGAAAAAATATATATATGTCTTTTTCACTTTATTGGCAAATATTACATAAGTATATAAATTTCACTTTTTACAGCTAAAGGCTGCATAGCCATAACTTCTGAGCAATTTATTAAGGTTGAATAAAATTGATATAAGGAATCATTTTATAAAATAAAATCTTGTGCAAATGTGTATGTTTTTATTTTATAAAGTGCATAGCTAGTAAATCTGCGTCTGCCCCACACATCGCTTTCTCATTCCTTGTTATTCCGGCATTCAAGCACACACACGCACCAACATGCACGTGCACACATGTGCCCAAACACATACACATATTTATGCATGTTCACACATACACGGACGAGTGCACAGCACACCATGCCTCACTACCGGACAATGAGGTTAGGTAGGTCGACCGCACAGGAGTTTCTGTACCATCTTACGTGTCAGCCCAAAGACCTAGAGGCCACTGAAACAGAGCAAAGTGGCATTGCTTTTATTTCACGTGAGAGTCTGTTTTTCCAAATACGAAGCCTGCCCCCCTTTGATTGGATTATCGTGTTTATCACTCAGCTTTGGCCACATTTGGGCAGCCTGTCACCCTTTTTAAGTTGTATTCTTGATGTAGATTTTGAAAAGATGGAGTCTATGATGATAGGTTTTAGTGAATCAGCTGAAAAAAGTTTGATATATCATTAAATAAGAACACAATTCAGGAAACCTAACTTCAGATACACCAATTGCTGAGACCCATGGAGAGTGGTTACTATGCTGGCCTCAAAGTTGCAGGATGAAGATTGGTCAGGTTAAAATGAAAGGAAACGTCTCAGGAGTTGGAGACAAACAGAATGGTTAGAAAAACAATTTTTGCATTGTGTCGAGTGACCTGGCTGCCTGCTGGGTCACCGTGTACTTTTCACTCAGGTGAGTCGCATCAAACCATGGTGCCACTTATGGAGCCAGACCCAGCCGCCCTCCTCAGACCTCGGGGGACTCGGGGTGAGGAAGCTTCCTTGGTGCATGGCATCTGGGCTTGCTGAGGGACTCCCACATGCTTGCTCTGCCTCGGTCCTCATATCTGTGGGTGACCGTACCCTTATTTCTGCTCCATGCCACTCCAAGCACTCCCTGGGGGCCTGTTTCAGCTGTAATCAGAGCCTTTGTGGACAAGCCTGCTCCATTCTGCATGATTCTAGTGGGGCTGCCCACCAATCCCACTGTCCCTGGGCACAGCCTGGCTGTCCAGAGAACGCTGCACCCCTGAACACAGCAACTGGGCCAAAAGGCAGTGCATGTCTCAAGCAAGCCAACTTCCTTTTTCTAGAATTGATACAAACACTGGAACAAATAGAACCCTTCTGCTTCTGAGATTATCAGTTGTACACATTACATCTGCCTGGAGTGGTAGGTGGGACATAGAAACAGCCTTCTAAAAAATGAAGCCAATGCAAAGAAGAACAAAGGCAAGAGATAAAAGCAGGAATATGCCTGGGTTGAGCACCTAGATCCAACCATGCCTGAAGTCCATCTTCTTCTTAGAATTCTCAGTTACATGAGATAATAATATTTTTGCTTGAGCTAGTTTGAATTGAGTTTTTATCACGTGCACAGGAAGAATTCTTGCACTTTTCCTTAATCCCCAGACATCATTTGCAGGAGGTATTATTTACAGGAGAGTTTTACTCCAAGTTCAAGGGCTTATCACACAGCATCAGAACTAAGAGCTTAAATTTTAGGAAGACTTATCTTACCAAGCTCTTTGGCTATTTCTATTCCTCCAGCCAGCTCCTCTCTGTCCCCTTTCCATGTCCCCAGAATAGCCAGGCCACAGCCATTCCCATTTTTAATGTGACAACCTCTTGAACAGAGATTGAAAGCTAAAGTCACATCTCCCATATGACTCGGCAGCTGTGATTGCAGGTAGCATTTACGTTCTCTCCATCAGAGGCACCTGTGCCAGACTTGCAAGGTGGGATGGGATACAGGCTGCTGCAAGAACAGTCCCCAAGGACACAGAGGAGGTTCTGGGGCCCAGGCATTGGCTGCATGAGGCTGTGTAATTCCAAAGTTGAAAGCTGCAGCATCAGCCTCCTGGGGACCCAGTTCTGGGGTGACAGCCCCTAATGCACCAGGCTCCTGAGTGAGGAAGAGGCAGCTGCTTCCTTGGGACCCAGTTCTGGGGCAAGGCTGTGGGAACTGTTTCTAAAAGCTCAGTGTGAATTCTACTTCTTTAGCTCCTCCAGTGCCTCTGTAAGCCATTGAGTGCCCCCAAAATAAATACTCTTCTGCTTAGAAGTGCGGATTCTGATTCTGTCTTCTGAGCCTCAACCCCCAACCAGCAATTCCCACAACTTAGGTGGCTCAGGACCCTCTCCTCACTTCAATGTCCTCCATTCCCCCATAGCTCCTGCACTGGTCCCTGCTTATTCCTTGTGTGGGTTATTTAACCCTCTCTGCCTACCTCGATGAGGCCCTGGCGGTCACCCTCACAAAGCCAGTTTTGGCCCTGGAGAAGTTTTGCTGAATCAAGCACCTGGAGTCCCAAAAGCTGTGCCGCCAGACCGGAGCTACCCACACTGCCTTCCCGCCCCACAGCAGAGGCCTCTGACATCAGTGAGGAAGACCAGATGGAAGATCTGAGGCCCTTCCCCGCCACCACCCTCTCCCCTTTCCCACCCCTTCCTGCCACCACTCACCGACTCTACCCTTTGCTAAGCACTGAGTGGGCATTATTTTCCTTATCCATCAGCACGAAGAGGCAAATATTCTGGCAGTGTTCCAACAGATGGTGTCTATTCAGGGTCACCCGAAAGAGTTCCCACTGTCACCTCCATGCCTTCCGCCCTCTGTGGCTGCCCAGTGGCAGGGGCCCCTCACCCCACACTCAGAAGCTGGAGCTCTGGGGTAAGCCCCAGCCTGAGGGGGAATGATGTGAGGAGCCTGGAGAGCACCGGGGAGATGCTGGGCCCAGAGAGGCATCAAAGACAAAGCCGGGTGAGCACAGGGCCAGGGAGGGCACCATTCGCTGATGGCAGGAGGAGCAGGTGCAGCCACCACGGCCACACCTGAACCTGACTCCAGCCGCCTCCCCCTAACAGGAGGATGCTAAACCAGGGCATCTCTGGCTTCCCTGTTGGCCGGACACTGAATAGTGGTAGGGCTGAAGGATTTCAAAGGAAAATAAAGACCTAAGCCCAGCCATATGCTTTGTGTTACATAATTTTCAGAAGGGATGCGTTGACAAACAGAGGTACAGAACCCTAAAAGAAAGGAAAAGACTGGTTTAAGGCAATAGATATTGGCAGCAGAAAGAAACTTGCCAAGAGTGAGCCAGTGAGCAAAACACTGAACAAAACCTGAAGCCGCCGAGTCCAACATTCATCAAGTGCAGGCCCTAGAGGGGCAGCATCGGGTTCCTGACCGAACGTGCTCTGTGGGCCTCTGGACAGCACTTCCTTTCTCTTCCCATCCTTCTGGAAACCTCCCATCTCCCACCCATCCCTGGCATCCATGGCCTGTGGCGATGCCAGCTGGGCCCCCTGCCCAGACACATGTGTGCACTGCAGGGCCCTTTGGCCTCCAGGTCCATGCTCTTTCCACGGCTCCTGCCAGCAGCCCTCTTTGACCTGGGGCTCACACCGCAGTGCACTCTACCCTCAGAAGGAAGATCCACTGAGGGGCTTATGCAGACCCTCAAGGGGCTCAGGGCTTGGTGAGTAGGGAATTCCTGGGCCCAGGATGCCTGGCCAAATCTACAGAGTGAAGCAGGCTCCAGGGCTCCCAGGGACACACCGTGGGGTGGGGCTTGGTGGCCCAGCAAGGCCAGGGTGAGGTCCTCCCAAAAGCAGGCCCAGAGCATGGCCCTCTTGGCTAGATCTGAGGGCAGAACTAAGAGGCATGTCCTGATGGGGACGTTCTTTGGCAGCCTGTGAATACTGGAGGAGAAATCAGGTTTAAATATAAGGAGCTAGAAACAATCTATAAAGAATTCTTCCAGTCATCGAGAGTGTGAAACTGTACACGGTGGACTCAGGTCGCATTGCCTACCCAAAATAAAAACGCAGTCCTCCAGGATTGCTACTGATAACACAGCATCTACAATGAACAGTACATCAGGCTTTGCTTTTCTTTACTGACATGAACCATGCCAAATAGAGTTGATCAGAATTCCTGTGTGTGTGGTGCAAAACTGTAGCTGGGTTACACACAGCAGGTGACTCTGTGTGTGGTTTATGTGGTTATGTGGTTATGCGGTTAATTAACCATGTCTCAGGATGTGTTACATCTTGTCCTCAGAAAGTCTGCAAGCACCTTGCACTCATACACACTCAGACTATACATACAAAAGAATGCATAAAAGAAAGAGGAATTGCCAGTAGAAGAAAACCATGGGCTCCTGAGCTAGTTGGTACAGAAGAGTTACTCATAGGAACACAACGGACAGTGTTGACGTCGAGTTTCATACATAATAAAAATGAGGGCACTAAAAGCAAATTCACTAATGGATATGGCCAACTTAAAAGGGGTCGGAGCAGAGGAAGACTTAAACAGCTCTGAAATCACATCGTTATGGACAAAAGCAACTTGGTAGAGGTTTTCCCAAAGGAAACGAAAAAATTATAAAAAGTTGCATGCTATTACAACGAAGTTTTCTATATAAAATATTTCCTAAACTCAGTAATAAAAATCAGTTTTGGTCAGGCATGCTGGATTGCTGAATTAACTTTTAATTTTCTCTATACAAGACTTGGCACATGAAGAGTCAACCAAAGGATACACAGACAACAATTACAGGGGAATAGTACTTTAGAGGTGTGTCAGCAGCTAATTAGTCAAAATATGTTTTTTTCTGGAAGTTTAATATGATTAGCTTTTCATTAATTGGATTATCAAATAGTCCGTGAGCCCATGTATTTCTTCTACTTGTAATTATAGGAAGGAGATGGGCTGGAAACATGGCACCACTACCTGTCCTGGGGGTCCAGGCTGTGCACCTGCCTCCAGGGAGCCCCAGGAGCTTCAGATGCTTCCTAGGAGGAGAGGCTGGGAGGAGGAGGTAGCAAAGCTCTTGAAAGTGATTGACAGTGGGGGCAACCCATCTCTACACCAAGTCACATTGATTCCACAAAGGCCTTAACATAAATTGAAAGAAAACACTAGAATGCAGACATCCTGTTTATTGAATATTATATTTCTTAGGATCTTGGATCATTTGTATTTTTTATCACACAGTGGACCATAACAACTATTTCCCCAGATGTGATATTGTTGATTTTTCTAATCTAAAAGCATTAGATCATAAATAATTGGTATGACTTTCCACAGAACGCCAGCTGTGCCGCTCCTGATATCTGGGTGTCTCTGAAAATCCAGGGTCCATGGGAACAAATGTCTTTACATTGGCTCAAAAACCCACAATGAAAAGCCAGAGCGCTTCAGCCCTCTGCGTTCATCCGATAACACGCCCAATGGGAACGGATGCAGAGACTGGGGAGAGGCAAAGGGGACTCCGCCCATTTCTGAAGGTCCCACCGGGCACACTCTGTGTTTTCTGTGGGCACCATGGCTCATGCTGTGGTCAGGGTACATTTTCTGAAATGTGTATGATGCACCCAGCATAGCGCTGGGCTCTGTGCAGAAGCTGTTTCATTTACTCTTCACAAAAGAGTGGCTGAGAGGCAGAGGCCAGAGGACCCACCAGGTTCACAGTTCAGGTGACTTCTGGTCTTGCCCACTGGAAGCGGAGATGGCTCACAGCATTCCTTGTACATAGACTTTCTCCCTGGCAGGCACACAGCTCTGTTCCATGTCACCTGGGTCCCTCTTGCCGTTGTCTTTCAAAGGGCAGTTGAGATGGGAAATTCTGGCTCTGAGCCCACCAATCACGGCCCCACCAAAATGAACATTTCCGGTTCCAGAAGCAGGAGGCCTCTGGGAAAGGGCGTGGGGTGAAGGGGGGACCCAATGGAGGGCCGAGCCCAGCAGTGGAAGGCTGCGATCCAAGGCTGTTTCCAGATTCCACCTCCAGGACTGACCAGGCAGAAAGACTCCAGGTCCCCAGACTGTATTTGGTGAAATTCCTAAAACCCAGGGGGAATTGTGTAAAGCAACTCTCACATTCACTTGTTTTTTTAAGCATTATATCAGAAGACATTCTTACAAGATGAATATGCTGAAATCATTTCCAGAAAAGTTTGATTTCCTTCTGCTAACCACTCCTCATCCCTAGAGAAAGTGAATATTTCTCTTAGTATGAAGGGCAAGCATGTTAATGCTGCCTCAGATAGGAGCTGGTTCAGGCCTCCCAATGCTTAGCATTGAAAAACTCAGGTTTAAGTTGAGTTTGGCATTTGAGTAAATCCTTGCCTATGCAAGATACTTCATGAACGTTACACTTACCAGTCCTTTTCCCAGGGGTAGGGTAAGAGAGATTAAAAAGTCTGCAGTAACGGTGTCTTATGAGCAAGCTAGTTGATTTATAAGCAGTAAGCTGCACACGCTGTTGTGCACCACCTATGCATCCTGTGCAGTGAGCTGGTGAAATCTGACGAATCAAGCTGGGGCAGGTGAGCGTTGTGCTACCATCGTGGTGCTTGGAAAACACCCCAGAATAGAAACAGAAATTTCCGCAGTTTCTAAAACAATATCACGTTGCATAGATTCCAGACTCATGCTTTTGTTTTTCTAGTGAGAAAGGGAAGCATGAAGGTTGCTTTCTTCGTTCTCTGCACAGGTGATGAACAAGGCACGTCTTCGCCGTGGATTCTGCCTGCACAGAAGACCTGAGATGCGCGATGTCAGGCCCGTCCCTAACAGGAGGAAATCTCTCCATGTCGCCTTCATTTAGGATTTTTTTAAATTATAGTAAGTATAATAAAAAGAAAAACAGCTGATTTGACTCCATCCTCTTCCAAATGAACTATTTCTGTATATCTTTTGCTTTGGTGCTTAATCGGAAGTGAAACTGTTCACGGCATTGAAAGGAAAACTAAACTACCCCCCAGGGAAGGTGCCCTCCAGCGGGCACTTGCCGGTCACAGGGTGGGTCAATTCCACTTTCCCTGAAGAAGGTGGTACTTTTGTTTAGAATCATAAGAGACAAAGGACTCTCAACTGGATTTGCATGACGTCTCATGGCAGGGTTCCCAGACTTTCTAAGGAGCTGTTTGATGTCAGAATACATTGTGCTGGCTGCTCACGGGTAGCACAGGTGTTCTTACTGTCCACTAATTGAAATGAACAACCAAAAAAAATGACAAAAAGCCACTGTGAAATCAAGAGGACTCTGAAAACACATCTCTACTTTGCCAATCTCATGTGTATCTACAGATATTGACATCACAGGGTTAAGTGTCTGAATGAGGTGTTGATTCTTCTGCAGGTTGTGATGTGCACTTGGGTCCCGGGACTCTTGGGAACCCTGGCTCCAGGCACCACTAGCTCAGGGAGAGGCCTGTATTATAAATATCTTACATCAGATGTTTTGCACGACTTATTTAGTTGTGTATTTTATAAAAGTAAATCTTTCCGAGGCTGAGAATATTTATAGGTATTATACTGTACTTCCTAAATAGGCTGATTTCAGAAGAATAAAAATTAAAAAGAGAAGATACGAAGGTCACTAAAACAGGTGATGGGAAAGGCAGCCTGAGGTCCTCAAAGACCCCATCCCTAGGAGACATTTGTAGGTGCCTGGAGCCACTCCGGACCCTCTTCCCCCTACCTCGGGGCCACAGCAGTTCTCTGCCTTGCTCCATTGTGGCTTGGGGATGTATGAATGAAGGAGGCCACGCGAAGCTGCTGACGAAGGGGTCTGGGGAGCCCGGGCATCCCACACCCCACAGTTACCCCAGCAGCCTGGCATTTTAAAGCTCTTCCAGCCCACTCCCAGGCACCCCTTTTTCATCAGGACTTCCCCCCAGTTTCCCAAACAAGCGCGAGCGACAGCCTTTATCCACCGAGCTTCCCGGGCACATGCGCTCCTGTTCCCACCAGCAGGAGACCTGGAAGGGAAGCGGCCGTGTCCTGCCCGTGACGCGCGGCCTGGCTCGCCCTGTGCCCTCCCTCACCCTCCTCTTCTGCTGAACCTATGAAAAGTCCCCCGCCCCCATCACCCACCCAAATCCCAGGCTCCACATGAACTCTGTCCACCCTCGACAGGGCAGGTGTGATTTCTGTCCTGTGCCGCCTCTGGAAAGCGAGGGTCATCCAGTGAGGGTTCCTGACCCTTCCCATCCAAAGGCCGATCCACATGCAACCAAACAACTCACTTCGGAGACTAAGCGGAGACGCAGACACACTGGGAGGAGGCCAGGTGGGCACTCCATGCTGCCCTGAGTTCACCTTCAATTCTATCGGGAAGAGATTCGGTGCAGACATGCTAGAAAATTGTCCTAGTCGATCATGATAAGCCTCCACCAAAGTGAGCACAGTGACGAGGAAGGGGCATTCAGTGCCTCTCCACCTCATCACACAGGCAAGCTTGCAGCAGGGTGCTTCTTGCTGCTAATTGTTCTACCCACTGTCTACAGGAAAAACAGCGGCCTCTTGGAATGAAAACCACATTCTCCCGCCCATCGCAGTAAGTGCGGCCATGTGTGTAATTTCCGGACAAAGGATGGGAAAGAAATGGGGGCACGGCTCCGGGAGCCCTGCCCGAGGCTGCGTCCTGGCCCACAAATTCCCAGAGCAGTCTGGGCTCTGTGACCAGCCCCGAAGTCTCTGCACCTGACCTTCAAGAGAGACAGAAATAAACTTCTGCCCTGTTTAAACTCCTGACATTTTGAATATCTGTAACGAGAGCCAAACCTAATTTTTAATGAATGCAAACTCCATCTGATGGTGAGATGAGTAAAAAGGAAAATTTATTTATTCAACAAATATTTATGTATCAGGCACCTGAAATATTGCTCTTTAGTGTAGTTATACACAGTGATAATGTAAACAGACAAAAGTCCCTGTCCTCACGATTCTCATGTTCTGGAAGGAAAGAAAGATGATAGGCAAATGAAAGCAGAGAGTTGCAAATGATGGGGCTGCTGTGAGGAAAGACAGCAGGGCGAGGTGTTTGGGGTCTGGACGCAGACAGCCCTGAGCCGACAAGAGGTTCCCATGCTGCTCCGAAAGAAGCGAGGTCCCTCAGTGACCACCTGGGGTCAGGAATTCCTGAAGAATTCCCATTTACTCTGTTACAAATTAGGTAGTTCATTTAAACTGTGCTTGAAGTCACATGTGTTATTAGTGAAAAAATGTGATCAAAGAGAAAAGACTGGAGGTGATTAATACAATATGCTAATATGATATCTAAGATGCAGAGCATGAAAGGAGAGAGCTTTGTTTCTCTCAAAAACTAAGGTGAATGCTTTGGAAAGATAGAAACTCTGTCTGCTTTACAAAAATTGCTGTTGACTTAGGAGCAGATGGAGAAATCATAAAAGTCCCAAAGCGTGTTTGTCTCTGCAGGGTTGTGAAGTCCTCACCCTACTCTGCGGAAATGAGCAGAAAATTGTCGGAGTCATTCGGCATTTGTTCATGCAAGAAAGACACAAACCCCAGTGAGTTCCTGCCGGAGAAAAAGCCTGAGTCCCCCAAAAAATATTGTGTCTAAGTGGCCATGGAAATATTTAGTTAGTATTGTGTCTAAGTGGCCATGGAAATATTTAGTTTCTGTCGGTATTTCTCTTAATGATTTCCTATTTAATCGACAATGAGCCGTTTGGAAGATACCGAAAGGGAGGGCCCTACGGTGTCAGATGTAGCTCTGTCCAGTGGGCTTCCTGTTCGTGATGGGGTGGGGCTGTACCTTCTCCGATACGGGCAGGTGGGGTGCGACAGTGGCAGGTGGTTGGTGGGGGTCTCACCCCACACAGGGTGTCATGGAAGCTTCCAGAGGAGAGAGAGGGAGCGGGAGCTGCGTCATGAATGACACTGCGGTTGTCCACAGTAGCATGTACACAGAAGGAGAACATGAAAGAACTCGGAATCTTCTTAGGACGCTCATGTGTTCTGTGAAATGGAGCCCAGGGCTTCCCTGGAGGGGCAGGAATGGTGAGTGACTGGGCTGGGGAGGGGAACGGGTAGATGGGGTCAGATCAGCAAGGCCCTCGCCTGCCCATGCATCCGACCTTCCCTGCCACGCCCAGAGGATGTTTGGCAAGGTGGAGGACTGCTCACCTCTGAGTTTGGCGAGGTCCCTCTGGCAGGGGTGGAGAAAGGGTCGCCAGGCGGCTCGTGCAGGGCAGGTGCTCTCCAGGGAAGGTCATTTGGTCGAACTTGTGCTTGGGAGTTTTTGGTGCACAAGTGATAACTGGAGCCATGGAAATGAGAGGGAGAGGGAGGGGTCAGGTGCAGGGAGAGGGAGGGGTCAGGTGCAGGAACAGAGCCCAAGGAACACCTGCATTGAAGGGACAGAGGCCCCACAGACAGGAGGAGAAAACCCAGTTCCACCAAGGTCACGAAGCCTAGGAAGCCGGGATTTCCATGGTCAGTAGTATTGAGTGCTGCAGAGATGCTGAGTACGGATGTGGTTAAGCGGCTGGGGAAGGGTGAAAGGCACCCCCAGGGACCTCGGTGAGAGCAGTGTCAATGGGAGGCAGTGCAGAGACACAGGGCCCAGCGGCTTCCAGGGCAGGTGCCGGGAAAGGGTCGCCCGGCAGAGTGGCTGCACAGAGCTGCACCCGTGCACATTGCAAACGTGGACAAGAGTGTGAACAGCTCCCCTGGGGCCTGGCCACGTGCGTGTCTGCCACGGCGCTGTCCTGAGTAGACTCGCTGTGAAGGGAAGGCAAGAATTAGAGAAAGAAGGGGACCCAGTGCTGAGGGATAATTTTCTAACCACATATGAGATGTGACTATTTCTACGCACCCAAGGAAAGGCCGGTCACAGAAGCAAACGTGGAAACTGAGGGAGGAATCGCTGGTGGAGAGCGAGCCCCAGGAGGCCTGAGACAGCGCTCAGGCAGAAACGTCCGTAAGTCAACGAGCATCAATCAAACCTGCGAGTGACCCATGGAGGCATAAGGCCACATCTGCTGACCACATCAGACCAATACCCCTTTCACTCTCATTTGAGCTTGCTGAGATGAGGCTGGACAAGAACATCTACATGGAAAAGTGTTAGAAAGAGGAGAATTTTAAATCTTATGCATGACTGGCTATTAGAAAGTATAGCCTTGGGTTTTAGATCTATTTTCAAAACCTGACCTGCATGACTCCTTATTTCTTTTTTGTGACTACAGCGTCAGAAATGTTGGGAAATTGCTTATGAAGTGATGTAAGTGCAGTGACGGACGTTGAGTCAAACTGACATCATGATGTAAATGCCATGGCTGGTTCCAGGCAGGGGCACTCATCCTTTTTCTCCAGCTTCTATCGAATGGAGTAAGTAGTGCAAAATACGTCACAGGTTGTACTTGGAGACTTTGCCGCGTGCCTTTCCTTTTTGTTTTGTTCTTTTTTTTGTGAGACGGAGTCTCGCTCTGTCGCCCAGGCTGGAGTGCAGTGGCTCGATCTCGGCTCACTGCAAGCTCCGCCTCCAGGGTTCAAGCCATTCTCCTGCCACAGCCTCCAGAGTAGCTGGGACTGCAGGCGCCCGCCACCACGGCTGGCTAATTTTTTGTGTATTTTTAGTAGAGATGGGGTTTCACCGTGTTAGCCAGGATAGTCTCAATCTCCTGACCTCGTGATCCGCCCGCCTCGGCCTCCCAAAGTGCTAGGATTACAGGCATGAGCCACCGTGCCCAGCCCCTATTTTTTTTTTTAACATTAATGTGAAGTGAAGACACAACGCGGCTGTGAGAGGGGGCAGAAGTCACAGCTCAAATGATGGGCATCCCATTTTCCAAACCACTGGGGTGGGAAGTCAACGAGGCAGCTCAGCAGGTGCCTCGGGGAGAAAGAACCGGCTGGCGTGGCTCCGTCGGGGCTCTTCAGGCATTTGGACTTTGCAGTGGCATCTCCCATGGGGGAAGCCAACGCGATCCCACTCACAATGGGCCTGAGGGGGTGCTGCCCATCCGGATTCACCTGTCCTCCAGGGTCCACGAGGGGCTCTCAGAGCTTTCATCCTCAGATCCCCGGATCCGTGCTGCCCATCACGGATTCACCTGTCCTCCAGGGCCCACGAGGGGCTCTCAGAGCTTTCATCCTCAGATCCCCGGATCCGTGCTGCCCATCACGGATTCATCTGTCCTCCAGGGCCCACGAGGGGCTCTCAGAGATTTCATCCTCAGATCCCCGGATCCAGGCGGTGGCTCTGTCTGGGGAGGGGCTGACTGCAGAGAGAACCCCCTCGCCATGGAGGTTGAGAGACAAAATGACTGGTGAAATTGCCGGAACATGAACACTCAGTAGGCGCTCGGCATTGTGCGTACTGCTGTATCTCAGCTAAATGTTGTTTCTTTTTTCGGAAGCTCCACCCTATCTCAGCCTCCTGCTCCAACTCACCACATTGGCCTGTCAATTTCATCTCTGAAACTGAAAATTTCTCAAATCCGCTCATTTTTCTCTGTTTAAGCTGCAGCCTCCAAGATCCGGGCCCTCACCCAGCCCCAGGCTGATCCTCGGTCCCCCTGGGCATGAGGACCCACATCAGGTCCCCGGCCACCCCAGAACCACAAGGAAACCTCCAGAACCCCAGCAGGAGGGTGGCATTTACACCTTCAGGATGAAGTCCGGAGAAGCCTCCCTGACCCTCCAGATGCCCACGCAAGTGTAGACCCCGCCCCCACCCCACACAAGTGTAGACCCCGCCCCTGCCCCACGCAAGTGTAGACACCACACAAGTGTAGACGCCGCCCCTGCCCCACGCAAGCGTAGACCCCGCCCCCGCCCCACACAAGTGTAGACCCCGCCCCTGCCCCACGCAAGTGTGGACCCTCCTGCTCCCTGCCCCCTGCCCCCCACGCACGCTGTGCTACGTTCCAAACTGGGGATCTCCAGACGTTCCAAACTACGTCTCCAGACTGGGGATCCTGCAGCGCCTCTGCCCCTCTCACGCCTTCCGGCCCTGCCTGCTGCCCCGCTGCCCCCCTGGCTAGCCAGTGAGCACCAGTGTCCTCTGTCTGTTGTTCTGTATTCTCGATGGGATAGGCACCAACAAAACGCTTACACAGTACAACGAGGCAGTAACGAATATCCTTGCCCCGCCACCCAGCTTAAGAAAAACAACTCTGGACCCAAGGCGGGGGTCCCACCACTGCCCTCCCCTCAGAGCTGAGCCCTGCCCTGAATTTGTGCTCATGACGGCCTTGCTTTGTTACAGGTTATAGCATAGGGCTGTGCCCCAAATATGTTCATAGTGGGTTTTGTGAAGTCAACTCCACTAATTAAGAGACATTCATTAC
The DNA here is from genome assembly GCF_000001405.40 of Homo sapiens. Lineage (NCBI taxonomy): Eukaryota > Metazoa > Chordata > Mammalia > Primates > Hominidae > Homo > Homo sapiens. Next base: position 168,212,112 of record NC_000006.12, on the reverse strand, counting down.
AGAGTGGCTTGATAATCTAACAGTTCTCATACCAGTAGACAAGGAATAAAAATTACATTGATTTGCTAATTATTCTCCTGGGCCTGACTCTTAGAGGTGAATTCTGTGACTATTTGGTTGAAGTCAAGGAAAGACGACAAACTTGCAGAGACGCTGAGATGTGCTTGTGCTTCTCGCTTTGGTTGTGTGGGAAAGGCCTGGTGGATTCCCTGAGACCTGAGGTTCCCGAGGCCACGCCCCTGATCTCTGATGAATTCAGGGTGGCAGGACTAGGTCACACTTCATTAGAATCGTGAATTCACGTGGCCATGTTATTGTTTGTAAAATAAATAAAGACAGCTTGAATTCTTGATTTAAAATTTGATGTTTTATTTTTGATTTTCTTTTTTTATTTCAAAACTCAATTATGTCTAAAGATACAAGCAGCATAAACAATAATCGTGGGACCCACTGATCTGAGGTTCCCTAGTGGAGTCAAACCACAGAGACAAAAAGGAGGGTGAGGGCTGCAAGGAGCTAGGGAGAAGGAAGGGGAGTGAGCGTTTAATGGGGACAGAGTTTCCATTTGGGAAAATAAAAAGGTTCTGGAGGCTGGGCAAAGTGGCTCACACCTGTAATCCCAGTACTTTGGGAGGCAGAAGTGGGTGAATTGCTTGAGTCCAGGAGTTCGAAACCAGCCTGGGCAACATGGTGAAACCCTGTCTCTACAAAATTACAAAAATTAGCTGGGTGTGGAGGCACATGCCTGTCGTCCCGGCTACTTAACAACAGAAATTGTTTTCTCACAGTTCTGGAGGATGGAGTCTGAGATGAAGGCGTGGGCAGGGCTGGTTCCTGGAGAGGGCTGCCTCCTGGCTTGCAGAGGGCTGCCTCCCTGCTGTGCCCACACAGGTCTTTCCTTCTTCTGTGCACAGAGAGAGAGAAAGAGAGAGCTCTCCAGCATCCCTTCCTCCAAGGACACTAATCCCATGGGGTCAGGGCCCACCCCCATGACCTCGTCTAACCTTAATGATCTCCCTCAAGGCCCCATCTCCAATGCAGCCACACTGGGGCTTAGGTTAGCCTAGGGATTCTGGGGCACAGAGTCACTCGGGGCACCAGGGAACAACGGGGCAGGCTGTCACCGCACCCTCTGCTGGCAGGAAGCACAGCGCCAGGCAGGACCCAGCAACGCTGGAGGGTGGGATCCGCGGGGCATGTTTGGGGCTGCAAGTGCACACCCAGCTGGTGGCCAGGGCCCCCGTGAGGAGGAGACCCCAGGCTCGGGCACACCCTCCCATGGCCACAGGTTTTTTAGGGCCCCACCCTCACTGGCCTGGTCATCTCCAGGGGCCCGAGAGCAGCACGTGGAGGGGCCTGGCTCCAGTTTCCACCCAGCACCCATTTTGCTGCTTCCTGCAGCAAAAACACAGCAAGAAGAGCTCCTGGCACGGGCTGCAGAGCTCAGCTTTCAACTGTGGGTCAGGGCAGCATGAAGGCAGCTCAGCGGGAAGGCTTGAGCAGCAGGACCCTGCAGAGGCGCCTTCCTAGGGAGCTGCCACATGTGGCAAACAAAGCAAGGTCTCGCATGCACACATGCAACCTGCACAAACACACACAGAGTGTACAGACACACATGCACAGACACACATGCACACACATAGCATACAGACACACATGTGCACAGACACAGAGTATACACACATGCACAGACACACACATGCACATACATGCACAGAGTGTACAGACACAGGCACAGACACACTCATGCACATACACATGCACACACACATAGTATACAGACACACGTGCACAGACACACACAGAGTGTACAGACATATGCACACACACATAGCATATACACATGTACACAGACACATAGAGCATACACACACACATGCATACAGGGAGCATACAGACATGCACACACACAGGAATATGGAGACACATGCACAGACACACACATGCACAGATACACACAGAGCGTACAGACACACAAATGCACAGAAATACCACACACACAAAACACAACACACATATACACACAAATATGCAGCACACAAACACACAGGGACACACAGCCACACACATAACAGACACACGCCCATATCACAGACACTGAAGATGGAGCAGAATGTAACCTCCAGAAGGGGAAGCTGTGACCCAAGCACAGCCTCATCTCTGTGGGGAGCAGGAGGCCGGGAAGAAACGTGCTCAGCCCCCGGAAAACACGGAAGGATGAACGCGAACTCCAAGCTTGCACCAGAGGGATTTGAGGCTGTGGCTGTCAGTGCTGGTTTAGTAAGAGTTGCAGAGCCAGTGAGTGGTGAGCCGAGGCCTCTCCCACCAGGCCATCCCTGCTCCCACTCAGGTCTGGCTGCCCCAAGTCAGGCCCTATGGTGGCAGGGGCCCTCCAACATCCTGACTGTCACGGCGGAATCTATAGTGGCCTGTTCCATGGAGCCGTCACAGGCACACCCGAGGCTGGTTCTCCAGGGGCAGGGCTGAACAGGACGGCCCTTTCAAATGCCAGACCCCTGCCCCGTCTCCACTGGCCGTGGTGAGGAAGTGAGGCAGTGTGTTCCATGCCTCCGAGAGCAGTGGGGCCAGGGAGGCAGGGTGGGCTGGGCTCTGCACCTTCCGCTTAGTGATTGGATCCCCCCAACCTCACAGGCCTAGCCCACCATCCCCAGGAGGCCAGGCTGCCTCTGAAGATTTGGACGAGAGAGAGACAGAGACAGAGATGCAGAGAGACAGAGAGAGATCGAGGCTGTTTACTGGTCACTTGGGTCCAGGCCCCTTCAGCCCCTGGCCAGTGGCAGGGGTGTCAGGCCCAGTGCAAAAAGTTTAATAGGCAAGAAAGAAGGAAGGAAGAAGAAAGCAGCTCCCCTGTACAGAGCAGAGGGAGGGGGATTCAAACAAAGAGAAAACCCCCGTGTGGGGCGGAAAAGTGGCTGCTTATACTGGGACGCTGGAGGAGGCGGTGTCTGGTTTGCATAAGGCCGAGGGGATTGGCTTGACCAGGTGTGTCATTTACATAGCCTGAGAAAAACCTGGCCCTCCCACCTTAGCCCTTTAATATGCAAATGTGGGTCACCATGATGTTCCCAACACTTGGTGTTATCTGGAGGTGGCCATGAACTTGGTACACGTGCTGGCAAGGAGAAGACAGCGGGAATTGCCATATTGAGGTATCCAGTTTCTAATGGTCGGCATTTGCATATCAAAGCTTGCCAGTCCGGCCCTTCAAGCCGCCTTTTCTGTTAGAAAAGAGATGGTTCGGGTGTTTTTTATTACAGGAAAGTTTACACCAAGAACCTTTACCTTTACTATCTGCCTAAAAATTATTTCTTAATAACTCCTGTATCACAGAGTCTTGGCCTCTGGAGCCAGCAGGGCTGAGGTTCCAAGGAGCTGGGAGCGAGGCCTAGCCTGGGACCCTCGCCTGGGCTCTATGCCCGGCCCCTGCTCACTTTTCTGGAGTCCTTCGTTGGGGCATTGGGAGACACAGTCAGCAATCCTTTAAATTCCCATTTTCCTGCGTGTGTCCCTCCTTGGCAATGGACCCTCATGGGGCGGGAGAAACAATCCCACGTTGGAACCTGGCCCTTGGCATCCTTGCATGGAATATGAACATTGCTCCAGAATCCACAGTGATCAAAGGTGGTACCATGTGTATTTTACTTTAAATGATCTTTCCTGCTAATAAGCAGCGTTTCCTTCAAGTTAGTTTGAGTTAACAGTGCTTTACTGTAATTTATTTGTTCAAGCTTATAGAGGTAGATTTATGCTTTCATTTTTCTCTAGAGATGTCTGTTTCCTAGAAAGGGTTTAAATCCCGAATTAAAAAAAAAAAAAAAAGAAAACTACCTACCAGATGAAGAAATGATGCAGGCTACCTCCAGCCTGGAATTGAATAAATGAGATTTTTGTTAAACCTCCAGTGATGGTGCAAAGTCATGAGCAAGTTGCCCACAGGGACACACCAGCTGCCACGTGGGTTCCACCCTGAAGAGGCATCCACTGTCGCGAGTGATATTTATATAAAACAACCCTCAGTGCCGAGCAATGAACAGAGCGTTCTCCTGGGAGCGGTCGCAGCGGCTGAGCGGGGACAGTTGGGTGGATGAGGGGAGTCAGGGATGGGACGTGAGGGAGGGTCCACCATGCTAGGCCATAGCAGAAGCTGGGCAGAAAGGCCTGGAGCCTGAGGCTCGCTGTGGCCACAGCTCAGGACGTGCCAGAGGACATAAGCCAAGGACAGGGGAGGGGGCTCCAGGAAGGAGAAAGGGACTGTGTTTCTCTCCCATGGACGCCGAGACAAATGGCACTGACTGGTGGCCTTAACCAGCAGATCTACCCGCTCACAGAACAGCAGCCAGAGACCCATGATCTCGGCTCCAGGTGCAGGCAGGGCGCACAGAACTGCAGCTAGAGACCTGTGATCTCGGTTCCAGGTGCAGGCAGGGCGAGCTTCCCTGAAGGTCCAGGAAGGCTCCTTCCAGCCTCCTGATGCTCTGCGGGGCTCTAGGCCTCCCCTGGCTGCAGCTGCACCTCCCGGCTCCATCTCCACACTGCCCTCTCTGTGTGTCTGTGACCAAACCCCTCTGCCTTTCTCCCACCCCGAGGCCTGTGATTGCATTTAGGGCCCACCAGGCAAATCCAGGATCAACTCCTCCTCAAGAGATCCCTCACCTAATCTCATCTCTTACCATGTAAGATATTTATCACAGGTTCTGAAGATTAGGAAGTAAAAATATCTTGGGAAGGGTCACTTTTCAGGTCTCCACAGTGAGAAAATGAAAGAATTGGGCTTCTGCCCCCTCTCCCTTCCTTAGAAAGATCAGATACAGGAGACCACAGTAAGTGGTCCCTGAGCGGGTAGAGTTCTAACCCTCCTGTTCATGAGTGAGCACAGGACTTACGTTGGTTCAGAGCCCGTGTGAATCACCCGGCAGGTAGAGGGAAGAGCTTACTGGTTCCATGTCAGAGCAGCCTTTCCTGATGAGCTCTGCAGGAAAATGAAAGGGCTGTGGCCAATGGCCCTGGCTCACCCGTCATCCGTCATGCCTGCTTAGCAGGATGCCGCAGAGGGCCCTGGCAACCGTGCAGAATTGAAAGACTTGTTACATAAATGCTGATTGTGTTTTTTTTTTAACTCAAAGAACCAAACAAGTCACTGGACATTATCCCAACTCATTCTAAACGTAAACCCTTGTCATCCTGACCCAGCACCCGAGGTCCTCTGAGGACGTGGCCTCTTTCGACTGGAGCCTCTGTCCTTCCTGTGCCATCAGGTTGGTCTTTGCCAGCCCGGCTTTGTGTGCCTTGGTGATTTTTCATGCATAACTCATGAGGTGCCTGTGCTGTGTTCCTTGAATCAAACGCTTTCTTCCGAGCAGCACTGAGGAAGGGCGGTCTTCCCAGGCCTCAATGGGGTCACAGAAGGCAGCTCCTAAGTCACAGGTAAAATCCCCAGAGGCACTAGATTAATTGCTCTGGAAATTGAATCCCTTCATTGCGTTTTTCCAAAAGAAGGCAAGTTTCTCCACTCCTGGTAATCATCCCCCCTGCTCTCCAAGCAGGAGAGAAACTTAGTCATCCTGTCAGTGCCTGGATGCTTCCAAGACACTGGCCACAGCCATCTCCAGCCAGGAACTGGCCTTGGCCTTCCCGAGAGCTCTTAAAGCCACGCCACCCTCCCAGGCATCTGGAAGTGAATGCCAGGGTAGGCCAGGGGTGCTGACCTGCTGGTCGCACTTGGCTTTCAGCTACAGATGGCCTGGAAACCCTAAGGTGGCCCCACCCCGTCCCTGCCCAGCCTGAAGCCTGACTTCATGCCTGAATCGATGTTTGAGTCACTCGACGCTCAGGCTCAGACAGAGGCCTTAGGTCACTGACTTGCCAACACCATGATTGAGCTCGTGGAATTAATTATTTAACTGGTGTTAACATCTGCTAGAAACTGTTTGCTCTTCCGATCCAAATCACTTAAATAGAGAGATCAGGTTGGGAGGGACTATCCATTTTTCCTCTCCTGACACATTCTTCTACCTTCAATGATTTATTTTGTTGTTGTTACTACCAAAGTATCTTCAGTATTTACACTGAGGGCACAATCAAAGAGCTTCGGGGATTAGAAACGGGCTGAACTGGCTTAAAGAAGAAGGAAACAGGCTGGGCGTGGTGGCTCACACCTGTAATCCCAGCACTTTGGGAGGCTGAGGTGGGCGGATCACGAGGTCAGGAGATCGAGACCATCCTGGCTAACATCCCCGTCTCTACTAAAAATACAAAAAATTAGCCGGGCGTGGTGGCGGGCGCCTGTAGTCCCAGCTACTCGGGAGGCTGAGGCAGGAGAATGGCATGAACCCGGGAGGCAGAGCTTGCAGTAAGCTGAGATCGCATCACAGCACTCCAGCCTGGGCGACAGAGCCAGACTCTGTCAAAAAAAAAAAGAAAAAAGATGAAGAAGGAAACACTGATAAATTCTCTCCAAATGCTTTTCTCACCTCACAAGCACCTAGAAGGTACAACTCTGTGCTGGTTCCAGAGCTGCCAGCCCTTGGTGGGGTCTGATCTTGGTACCATGAGGACGAACTCACGCTTACCGCCAGGGATTTTAACCTGCAAACATTCATAGCAACTCTACTTCAAAACGTTATTTTTACCCCACTTTGCAGATAAGGAACTGGAGACTCAGAAAGGTTATTCCAAGTTCCCCAAGGTCATACAGCAGGTCCGAGGTGGAACTGAGATTTCAACAAGGCCCACCTGACTTGGAACCCGGCTCCTGGACCACACCCGCACCCATGTGTGTGCGTGAGCGTGTGCTTGCACGGGTATGGATGTGGTCTGCGTGTGAAAGTAGATACTAGGAAATGTACCATCCTGGCTTCCTATTGGAGAGAAGTAGGGATATTTGAGGAAGAGATAAAACATGTTTAAAAACAATAAATTCACATATCTCAATGTTTTTTGTCTTCACAAAAATCAAAGAAAATAAAGGTAAATACTCTTAATGGTTGTTCAGAATCCAATAGTTTGTATCTCTACGGTCAAGAAGGGTGATTTATCTGTACCTATCCTTGTTTCTGAATCATTCCGCATTTGGACCTGTGTTTAAATATCTTTCTGTCAAAATTTCAGTCATGCTTACATCGAACAATTCTCAAGGCCGAATCCATGTTGCAAAGAAATCTTTCAAAGAGATGTACTATCTGCTGCTGTCTTTATTCGAGGCATGAATCGTGAATAAAAGGAGAGTCCATTTATTTGCAGCAGGGAGCCACCACACAGCACCCAGTTGGGGACACAGTAGTCAGAGGTTATCAAGGTTCCCAAGTCCTTCTACCCATAACCTAAACAAACAGAGGAGTTTTCTAAAACACAGAAAAGTTACAGTATGTTGGCTCCTGTGCGTGCATGTGTATGTGCGCACACACATGTGCATGTGGGAGGGGTGTGTAGGGGGGGGGATGGTGCATGCATGTGTGGGGGTGTGTGTGTGTGTGTGCTGGGCTGCTTTCTTTATTCTTTGGCCAGGCTGCTCTTTTTAAATCAATAGAGGGAAGGAAAGAGAATGATCAGGTCTGTTGGTAATGAAAACACATGTGAGCACCAGGAAACAGCTTCTGATTGAATTCAGATGCTTTAATCAATAATCATCCCCACCAGGAGGCACGATCTTCTGCTGCAGAGGTGTGGAGAGGAGGTGTCACCGTCCTGCCCCGTCAGGGCCTCCCTGCTCCTGCATCAGCCAGGGCACAGATGTCAGGCCAGAACCGAGGTGCCGCCATCCTGCCCCGTTAGGGCCCCCCATCCCCCTGTATCCTCTAAGAACCATCATTCTACTCTCTTCTCCTATGCATTTACCTTTTATAAATGTCACATATAAATAAGATCATGCAGTATTTGTCTTTCTCTGCCTGGCTTATTTCACTTAGTATAATGTTCTCCAATTCCACCCATATTGTCACAAGTGACAGAATTTCTTTCTTCTTAAAGGCTGTATAGTATTCCATTGTGTATATATAGTAACATTTTCTTTATCCATTTATCTGTTGGCAGACGCTTAGGTTGATTTTAGAATCTTAGCTACTGTAAATAATGCTGTAATGAACATGGAGTGCAGATATGTCTTCAACATACTGATTTCATTTCCTTTGGATATATACTCAGAAGTGGAATTGCCAAATCATGTGGTTGTTCTTTTGTTAATATTTTGAGGAAGTTTCATGCTGTTTTCCACAATAGCTGTACTAATCTACATTCCCACCAACAGTCTACAAGGCTTCCCTTTTCTCTTCATCTTTGCCAACATGTTATCTTTTTGATAACAGCTCTCCTAACAGAAGTGAGGTGATATTTCATTGTGCATTTTCTTGATGATTAGTGATGTTGAGCATTTTTTCATATACCTTTTGGCCATCCATATGTCCTTTTGAGAAACGTTTGTCTTCTTTTGAGAAATATCCATTCAGGTTTCTTGTTCATTTTCTAATCAGATTATTTGTTTTCTTGCCACTGAGTTGTTTGAATCCCTCATATATTTTTGATATTAACCCATTATTGGATGCATAGTTTGCAAATATTTTATCCTGTTCCACAGGTTGTCTCTTCACTCTGTTGATTATTTTCTTCACTGTGCAGAAGCTTTTTAGCTTGATGTAATCCCATTTATCTATTTTTGCTTTTGTTGCCAGTGCTTTTAGGATTCATATTAAAAAAATTCATTGCCCTGGCCAATGTCATGGAGGTTTCTCCTTGTGTTTTCTTATAGTAGCTTTACAGTTTCAGTTCTTATGTTTAAGTCTTTAATCCATTTTTAGTTGATTTTTGTGTCTGGTGTGAGGTAAGGGTCTAATTTCATTCTTCTATATGTGGATATCCAGTTTTCCCAACACCATTTATTGAAGAGACTGTCCTTTCCCCATTGTGTGTTCTTTGTTGAAAGTCAATGAACTGTAAAAGCATGGATTATTTCTGGGCTCTCTGTTTTGTTCCACTGGTCTATATGTATGTTTTTTGTGCCACTGCCATATTGTTTTGATTACTATAGCTTTAAAAAACTGTTAGAACTAACAAACAAATTCAGTAAAGTTGAAGGATAAAAAATCAACACACAAAAATCAGTAGCATTGCTGTATACTAACAATATATTTAAAAAAGAAATTAAGAAAACAATTCAATTTACAATAGCTAGAGAAATACTTAGGAATAAGTTTAACTAAGGAGGTGAAATATCTGTACACTGAAAACTATAAAACACTGGTGAGAAAAACTGAAGAAGTTTTTATAAAAAGATGTAAAGATATTCCATGTTCATGAATTGAAAGAATTAATATTGTTAAAATGTCCATACTCCCCAAAGTGATTAAAGATTCAATGCAATCCCTAACAAAATTCCAATAACATTTTTCACAGGATTAAAAAAAACCCCTTAATTTCTTATGGAACCACAAAAGACCCCAAGTAACCAAAGCAATCTTGAGCAAAAACCACAGAGCTGGAAAAATATCACACTACTTGAATTCAAAATACGTGGAAATTAAACCATACACTCTTGAACACCACTGGATCAATAAATCACAAAGGAAATAGCAAATCCCTTAAGGAGGCCGCGACCTGAGCCACAGGGTCCAGGTAACACCTTGATCTTGTACTTCTAGTCTCCAGGACAGAGACAGGAAGTTTCCATTGGATAAGCTGCCCAGTTCATGGTACTTGGTTGTGGAGGCCTGAGCAAGCCAGGACAGACCTCAAGTGCTCAGATATGCTCTGATCTCTCCTTTCCCTCCCCTAGATTATCCCTCTCTGTGTTAGCTCTCTTCTGAGACCACGCCTCTCTTGTCCCTGAAAAATGGCAGGACTACATCCTGCTGCTTCACTCAGTTCACACCAAAACCCCAGAATTAAATCCTGATTCTGATTAGTCTAACTTGAGCAAAACATTCATGGCTGAACCAAACCCTTTCTTCAGAGGATTCCAGGCTTGACCTCTTGCTTCCCTGGAGATGGAACCCGAATCCATTCCACTGAACCTGCATGACCTGAGAGTGGGAGCAGGAGGAATCCCCCAAAAGAAGTCAGGGGCTGCCAGGAGTCGGATTCGTGGAGGCCAGGCACCAAGAAGCCACACGTCCATTGCAGTGCAGGAAGGTGGATTCACAAAAAGGCAGGAATCTTGACTGAGGTACCACAGCTGTATTCACATTGCAATTGAAGGACCACTTGGGACATGGAATTCCAGGGAGGCCACCTAGGTCTGCCACCCACATTCCCCTCTTTCTTCGTGGTAACTAAATCAGTATTCAGCTGTCAGCTATGGAAGGAAAACGGTGCCTGAATATTCCAGTTCTCTTCCATTCCTAGCTTACCTGATTGACCCAAGTTGGGTGGGGGTCTTGGGTTTGAGGCCTCCCCACGGGCCTGTGGAGAAGAAGTTTGGATACCAGCAGAGACAACTTGGTCCATATGCGTCTCTGAGAGGAGGGCATCCCCCGTCCACACGGGCGAGGCAGCAGGTGGCCACCTGGCTCTGAGCTCTGAAGCCTCGCCTGAGTGCTGAGGTCCTCTTGTGGCCATCATAAAAACAGGCCGAGTCCAGATGAGGACAACAGTAAACAAAAATACATGCAAGACTCCACAGCCAGCAGGGGCTTTTGACCTTTGGCCACACAAAACTGCCTGTCATTTTTGTACCTTCAAAGATAAAAGGCCACATCCCTCCCTTGGGGGGTCTCCTTCACAATTTGTTCACAGGGAAATTCCTTGTGGGCCCCACGATCTTTACCCTAAAAGAGTTCTGTTGAATTTCACCCCGACAATGTAAATTACCAGTTTATCTTCACAGGTACAGGAGAAAGACGGGACCAGGAGTCATCCCTCCGCCCACCTGAGACAAATGCCTATTAGTGCAGGTTCACAGAGTGAGACAATGTGTAATTGACTATTCCTCTGCTGCCTCCTATGTAAAATGTGGATTCAGTGAATGCTGATCAAGGCCTCGAAAGAATACAGCCATTGCCCCTTTTTCCTATCCCCTCCCAACTTTTTTTCCCTCTTTCCCCTACTGCCTTCTCTTTCCACTTTAAATATTGAAGTCCCCAAACCCTGCTTGGACAAAGCAGAAATCTCAGATGTTCCTGTGGTTTTGTGTTCCTTTTTCCCAGGCACATCCTCAGTCTTGGCAAAATAAACCTCTACATTGATTGAGACCTGTCTCAGATACTTTCTGTTTATGGTAGGTTACAACTGTGCCTTATGATCTGTGCACCAATGGTTCATTTCCGATACGTCATCGTACTTGCAGCAGGATTGCCCAAGAAGGTCAAAGGGCCTTTGCCCTGGGCTCAAGGGTAACCTGCAATGTTTTGCATTTTTCCAGGAGTTTGGTGGGAATAACTCGGACAGCCCCGTATGGGCCTGGCCTGGCACTGTGTCAGCCGCATCCCTCCCACTGTCTGCCTTAGACTCCTTGGAGTCGTCCATTTGCTTCTGTCCAGGACTGTCCCTCAGATTCAGAGCTCACAGCAGCCCAGTTGCCACAGCCCTGCCTTAGGAGTGTCAATGAAAACAGCCAAACTCTAAAATATTTGGAGAGATTTATTCCGAGCCAAATGTGAGTGACCATAGCTCGTGACACAGCCCAGGAGGTCCTGAGAACACATTCCAAAGGTGGTCGGGGCAAAGCTTGGTTTGTATGCATTTTAGGGAGACAGAAGACATCAATCAGCACACATGAAGTGTACGTTGGTTCAATCCAGAAAGGTGGGACAACTCAAAGGGCAGAGAGGGCTTTTAGGTCATAGGTGGATTCAAAGATTGTCTGATTGGCAATTGGCTGAAAGAGTTTATCCAAAGACCTAGAACCAATAGAAGGCAGTGTCTGGGTCAGGATAAGGGGTTGTGGAGACCAAGGTTCTTATCATGCAGATGCAGGCTCCAGGTAGCAGGTTTTAGAAAGAACAGATGGTTAGTGTTTCCTATCAGACTTAAAAGGTGCCAGACTCTTAGAGGATTCTTTCCTGGATCAGGAAAAAGACTTGGAAAGGGAGGGGGGTTCTCTAGAGAATGTAGACTTTCCCCACAAGAGAAAGCTTTGCAGGGACATTTTAAAATATATCAAAGAGGCTGGGCACAGTGGCTCATGCCTGTAATCCCAGCACTTTGGGAGGCCAAGGTGGGTGGATCACTTGAGCTCAGGAGTTCAAGAGCAGCCTGGGCAACATGGTGAAACCCTGTCTCTACCAAAAATACAAAAACTTAGCCAGCTGTGGTGGCACGCATCTGTGGTCACAACTGCTTGGGAGGCTGAGGTGGGAGAATTGCTTTAGCCCAGGAGGCGGAGGTTGCAGTGAGCCAAGATTGCACCACTGCACTCCAGCTTGGGTGACAGAAAGCGACCCCATCTTAAAAAATAAATAAATAAATGGTAATAATAAACATCTGTCAAAGAAATATATTTTGGGGTAAAATACTTTGATTTCCTTCCTTTCTGAGGCTGCTTAAGACCCCATCGTATGTGTGAACTGCACCATGTTAATCCATCCACCCACCCACTCGCCCACCTATCCACCCATCCACCCACCCAGGAACACGGGGCTGCTTCCACCTTTGGCTGTTGGACACAGGGCTGCGGTGAACACGGGTGGACAGACATCCTTCGAGTCTCTGCTTTCACTTCTTTTGGGTCTACGCCCAGCAGTGGAATTGCTGAGTCAAATTGTCATTCTACATTTAACTTTTTGAGGAGCCACCATCTGGTCTTATGCACCGTCTCGCAGCCTGTGTAGCCCAACCTCCAGGCTGCCTCTCCGTGAACACTGAGAAGCTTAATGCCACCAGGAACGCGCAGTGCTCAGTGTGGGTTTTAACTTGTCTCAGTTGACGGAGGATTACTTTAACTCAATGCCAGTTTTGACTGCACAAGGGGGCCTGCCCTCTTCCTTTCTCTCCGGCATGGAGACCCAGCAGCTGGGTCCCGGCTTCTCCAGCCCCAAAAGGCCTGAGCCACTGCCCTGGTCCATCCCCTGGTGTGGCGGCTAAGGAGGGCACGTGGATGAGCTGCACCACCGGGCCCTGGCCAGGGCCTCCACCCCAGAATGTCTCAGGGCGGGGCCGCTTCCACTCAGCACAGCCATCTGTACTTTAGCGATGTCAAAGAGAAGCCACCAAGCTCAGCAAACACCCTGCCTGCCTTTCACACAGGATCCCTGAGCGACACCTGTGCTGGGAGCGAGCCCTCCTCTGAGACAGCGACACAATCAATCCTCAGCCTTTTAGTCCAGGAAGATATGTCCTTAAGGGATCACCTCCCCAGGTGTCTGACGGGGGTTGCAGAGCAGCACCGAGGCCTGTGTGTCCATGGGCAGTGTGGACGAGTGGAAGAATTCTAAACTCCCAGAGGATGCCTGGGGTGAGGCAAGCCCTGGGGGTGAGGGAGAAGGGAGCACGGCCAACTTCTCTACCTCTTTTCCGTGCATCCTCTGCAGGCAGCTCTTGAAGGCAGGAGCTGAAGGCTTAGTGCTTTGCAGGACCAGCTGTGATGGTCACTGGCAGACAGCACCAAGGGACCTGGGCACAGGACTGAGGGAGGCCACTGGGCAGGGCTGAGGGAATCCCACGAGGGCCACCCGCACAGGGGGTCCCTCACAGACCCCTCAGCCCTTAGAGTCCCAGTAGGAGGGTCTTCCAAAGAAGTGAGGGGAGACACCAGAGGTGATGGTCAGGGCATGCACAGCACATGAGCTGTCACCACGGAGGGCAGCTGCCGTTTTGTGGGAAGGGTGGGCAGTGCTCCAAGTGGGCTCCTCCCTGGCCACGTGTACCTCCATTTCCCCATCTGAAAAATGGGCAAGACAACAACAGCCCCTTCCTCACAGGGTTGCAGCGGGGATTATCCGAAAAGCACACACTGCCACTTGTAATGAGTGAAGGGGCCAACACACCACAAGCCATGGCACCTCCAGCCAGCTTCCCTTCTGCAGAAAATTCACAGGACATGAGACAAGGGAATCAACCCAGTCCCTCTCCTGCTTTCTGAGGGCAGCTCTCCCTGAATGCCGGTTATCCGGTTATAATAAGATCGGTGAGTCCCCTCAATCACAGAAATATAAGAGACCATGGACGCCACAGGGCCAGTTCTCTGCTTTGCAGTCTTGCAGTGGGCAGCAATGCTGAACACCATGGAGCAGGCTGAAATACATGCGCACTGAAGCCAGGAAGAGGCTGATCTGTTCCTGGGATTCCTGGACTCAGCAGGATGAGGAAGGGACCACAGCAGAAGCTCCTTCCCACCCTCCCCACCCCCACAGGCCCTGCTCGGGTGAAGGGGTCACCAAGCTGCTGGGGCCCTGCTGGCCCCCAGGCTGGCTGGGCTGTGGCCTGTACTTGTGAGATCTCAGAGAGTGGGTTATTCATGTCACCATGGAGGGTGCAAATCTGCAATGAATCATGTCGTCCTCAAGAGCCTCCACCCCCAGATCACAGCGAGAAGCAAGTTTGTTTGGTCCACTCACTCAGCTCACTGCGGCTGAATCATCTTCACCTGCTCAGGTAGCATGGGGTCCTCAGGTAGATGCTCACCATGTTCAGGTAGCACGGGGTCCTCTGGTAGATGCTCACCGTGTTCAGGTAGCACGGGGTCCTCAGGTAGATGCTCACCGTGTTCAGGTAGCACGGGGTCCTCAGGCAGATGCTCACCGTGTTCAGTTCCACCTGATGCATAGGGAAGGGGCTTCCAAAAGGCAGAGGGGTGGCATGGACTTGCCAGGGTCTGGTGTCTCTGGTCTCCTGGCAACATCTTGCCAGCCCTTAAGCTCACCTGGGCATTCACAGCCAAGCACAACTGGAGGCCATGCGGCCCATTCCCAGGTCCAGCCTGGGCCTGTGCCCACGGAGCCCCTGGCTGCAACCGCATTCCACTCAGACCCTTGCCTCCCTGCTCCTCCCCTGCGTCCTTTCTTCTTGAAGCAGCTTTTCCTCCCCACGCTACCTCCACGTGGTTTCTTCTTGCAGCAGCTTTTCCTCCCCACGCTACCTCCACGTGGCTCCAAACCCGGTGGGAGAGTTCCCAGCATCGCTCTATGCTTGTCTAAAGTCCACTCAGTTCTGAATCTCGAACTCTGAATCCAGAGTTACTACGTGTTTGGTTGCCAGCCAGCCCAGGGCAGGGGGATGCGTTCACCTGTTCGGGGGAGGAGATGGGGTCGCTGCACTCAGCCACGTTACGCGGAGTTCATCTGGGGAAGGAGACAAATTTCTCCTCAGTCTGGGAGTTTTCTGAGGGAAAAAAGTTTTGTGCATATTGTTCTTCGTATTGTAATTCAATAGAAAGTCGAATACTTTTTTAACAACGTGAAAACTTCCGTCACGATACTGCAGGTGGATCTCTTGCCCTCTTCCTGCCTTTCCTTTGGGATGGCTGTCAGGAAGTCACGGCCAGCTTCACGTCTTTGTGCTGGGTAAACACACGGGCTATTTGTGTTGGCACCAGCAACCGTACCTGCCACAACCTCAAGTGATCTAAAGCCCTCTGGGTCTTCTGGGCACAATGCACTATTGACTCAAAACTCTGCCTAATAACACATCCTGCCTAGGTAGAAAGCAAAGTTCTAAAAGCCAAATTCACAAGCACGGATTGCTCAGCTTCACGGGCTGTTATCTGCCCTGTACGTTAAAGAAAAGCTGGTGCCATTGAGCAATAGCAAGAACATGATCCGTTTAAAAATCAAGCTGTTTCCGTAAATAAATCAAGAGTTTCAGTAAATAAATGACATTTTGAAACTAAAAATTTAGTAATAAAGCTTTTATAAGAACGTGCCCATCACATCACCATGCTTTTTTATCTGCCAGCAATTTAACATCTATGGCAGAACAAGGAAAACAATTAAAATAATCTGGAGACATGGATTAAAATCTCAGCTTTGACTCTACCAAGCATTTGATCCTGGCCTTTCAGTTTCTGTAAAAGGGGGTGATGGTGCCCACTTCCAGGCAGATGTGAGGACTTAAAGAGACGGAAGATGCCAGCCCCCGTCCTAGGGCTCAGCATCTAGAGGGTGCCCAATCTGTGTCTCCTTTTTAAGGTCTTAGCAGACAAAAGCTGTGGTCCCTGAAGAACTTGCATACCCCCAACAGGAATCAGCCTCCAATTCTAACTCACAGAGGAAGATGGGGACCTCGGGGTGACCGGCAGACGTGATCCTGGGGGACCTCGGGGTAACCGGCAGATGTGATCTGGGCTCGCGGGAGCCACAAACCCGCAGTTCTTATGTTTCTTGGGGAGCCAGAACCCTTTGAGAATTTGATGAAAGTGCCAGACTCTATTCCCAGAAAACAATAATAATAAGTATGATAATCCACACATCCAGAATGGGGGGCCTTAGAGACCACTCCCCACATGAAGGCTTACCCCTGGAACAAGCTCCAAGCTGTACCTTAGGGGGTTCACAGAAAGGTTCCAGAGACCATGTGGCCCACCCCACCTCATTTAAACAGTGAGCTGGAAGTGTGCTCAGGGCTAGAGAAATATCACGCAGAGTCAAGACGAGATTCGGACTTCCTGCACTTCATCCATGGAGCAGGGGGAGGAGGAGGGAGGAAAACCATAAGAGAATGTTGTCGGCAAAGCCAAAGAGAGCCTGTTTCTGTCACTGGAAGGAGTGGGGGCTGCCATGGTAGGGCTGCTGGGAGCACTTGCTGAGCCCAAGGTCCACCCTGAGCCTGGCACTGCCCTCACCGGGAGGCAGAGGACCCACTCAGACGCTGCCCGGCCCGTGTGGAGCAGAGACTGTAGCAAAGACGGGACACATCACCATTTACTAAGTAACTCATTATGCAAGCCGGTTAACAAGTGACATCAAGGAAAAGTTGCAGGAGCTATGAGCGTGTCTAACAGGAGATTCTGACCCCAGGGGGGTTTAGGGCTGGAATTCACCTTACGTTAACCAACCCTCAGGAGGTCACTGAGGACCTCAAGGGGAGCAGCTCCAGGGGGCTGCAGGGATGCCACATGGCAGGGTGGGGTCATGGTGGATTTGCAGAGACACTGCATGACAGGGATGGGGCGAGGCCATCATGGAGTCACAAGCCACCAAACATCTCACGTGCAAACACTCTGTGAGGTGTCGGGGGCACGGTCAGGAAGAGGCCCCAGGGTGCCTGGCCTTGCGGTTTACAGGTGGGTGTCGGGGCAGATGTGCCAGGCAATCAAGGAGGAGGCCCAGGAAGGGGGTAGTGAGGAATGTGGTGTGAGCCGACTGCTTGCTCAAGTCGGCTTCCGGGGAAAGGGAGAGGCTGTGCCAGCAAGGGGGACTCATCGGCAGGGACCCTTCCCATCCTGAGGATGCCATGGCAGGTGGGAACTGGGCACTGAGGTGTGGAAAGCTCCTCTGAGGCTCTCGAGCCCCCAGAAGCTGCACCCCCATTTCTCTGCCTTACCTGCTTGTACCTGGCTGAGGTTCGAATGTGTCCCCTCCAAGACCCAGGCGTTGCCGACGTGATAGTGTTGGAGGATGACTAGCTCCAGGTCTCCTCCCAGTGAAGGGGATCAAGGCCGTCACACAAGAGGCTTCCTGCGGCCTCCAGCGCCCTCTAGCCTCCAAGAACACAGCCAGGAGGCCCCGGGGACGCCGGCGCCTTGATCTTGCACCCCCAGCCTCCAGAAATGTGGGAAGGAAACTTCTGCTCTTCCCCCTCACCCAGGCTCAGGATTCTACTGCGGCCACACAGCAGACTTGGCCACCAAGGCTCCCCCTGGACCCACTCGACCAGAGGTTTCCCTGCTGCAGACTGCCCAGGGCTGCTGCAGAGAACCGCGGCCTCTGAGGACACCACTCACGGCAGGGACGTCCAACCTGGCAGGTCTTCAGCCCGATACACGCACACCGCAGCACGTCCCCAGCCGCCAGGCCCGCCAGCTTCTCACACTCTGAGGAGTCAGCCTCCGATTCCAATTCACAGAGGACACCGGGGACCCCTCCCTGCAGGGCCACCTGGAGCTGACGGCGGCAGTGTTTTGGAGTTGCCCGACGCAGGTCACATTTGAACTTGTGGGAACTGCACGGCCTTGGGAAAACGACCTGTCTAGGAGACTTGCTCTCCTCACCTGTCAAATCACAACATCCCCCGTGGGGACTGAAGGAAAATGGGCAGCCCCTGGGCAGTGCCTGGTGGGAACAGCGGTCACCGTGGTGGACGCTCCAACTCCGGCCTCCCCTCTCTCCTCCCTCCAAGGCTCCGGCCCGGCTCCAGGTCCTTCCTTCCTGAACTTTGCGCCTCGTCCTCCTCCCACGGCACGGGCCCTCCTTCTTCCCAGCAGCTCTGCCCCCTGGTTCCGGGATGCCCTCCTGCCCACCAGGCCCATATCTTCTGTAGGAGTCCCCCAACTCCACCTTTCTCTTCAACACCAGCTCCCCGCACCGCAGGGATTCGCCTCTTCTCCCGCCACAAACTCTCCCTGGGCAATGCCTGACCGTTTCCTGCCCCCGTTCCCAAACCCTGTCTCCAGCCCAGACTGTCTGCTGGGTTCCGTCCCAGGGCGTCCCCTGGTTGCACCCCGGCCCCTCTCAACCACCTGCGGTGCTCGTCTAGGCCACAGCTGAGTTCCCCCCTCCCTCGGCTCTGCTGAGGTCCTTATCGGGTCCGTGGCTTCAGAATCACTGCTCTGTTAAAAGTGGGGTCCTCCCTCCTTTCTGCTTCATGTGGAAGGATCAGCGTGTCTGAGCTTCCTGCCTTCGTGTCCTGATGGTCACTCACGGAGACCTTCCTCCCGCTCCTGCCAGCCCATCTCCTGCCACACAGGACTCGCCGAAGTCGGACTCGCCGAAGTTGGAGGCTGCCCATGTGATTTCTTTGTTTTTAAACTTTCAGTGGCTCCCATTTTCTGGCTGAGAGGGGCCTCGCTCTCCAACAGGGCATCTCATCTCAGATGCCTGCAGCCCCACTGCCCGTCCCACCCGTCCTCTCTCCCACCCCACGGCCAGGCCAGGCCCTCATCCCTCCGGCTATCCTTCCCTTCCCACTCCCGCCGCCTCTAGGAAGCCCCCGCAGGACCCCACGCGGCGCCCTCGGGAGCTTTCGTATCGCTCTGGACCCACCACATGGAGAATGTGTGTGCGCGTCTGTTTTCCCAGCGCGGCCGCGGGCACCCAGCATTACGCTGTCACAGGGCGGGTGCTCCTTGACATCTTCTATGACGTTTTGTTAACTAACATATTTCCCATGACATTAATTAGAGATTCAAACATGCAACAGGGATGAGACATCTACCTTTTTAAATTAATGCGGAACTCCTAGATACACTGCATTGGAATCCATCGCTGCTGTGGCTTTCCAGGGTTCCTCTTGTTTCCTGGGAACAGGAAACGGTTCAGAGATGCGTGGACACCGCTGGGGGCTGCACCCTGGGCTTTCTGGAAACAGGCAGGTGACACCTCCCTCACACAGCACCGAGGCAGAGGCCCCCATTGTTTTCCACGTGACTTTCAAGTACAAATCTGCTCTTGTGGCTTAGCCTGAGGAAATTAAGTTTGTTCTTGTTAAGAGAAAAATATACTGTTAGGGTGTTGGTATTTTTTTCCGTGGCCTATAATTAAAGATGTCTTAGGCTAATGCAGCACTCCCAGTGAGAGAGAAGCACGGTCTTTAGAGACCTGGGTGCTTAAAAACAAATTTCCGGTGGGATGATCATCTGAGCACTGCTAACAAAAGGCTCATTCTTAGTGGAAGGGAGTTGGAAGAGTACACTGTAATTAACGATGCCCACGGTGGGGAGGGCGGGGTCCCAGGGAACCGCTTCTTCATGCCCACAGCTGCTGAACTCCAGCAGTACCGAGCGTGTAACAGATGGCAAAACTCTGGGAAATTAAACACACATGTAAATATTTTAAAGATAATTTAACAACAACAACAACAACAAAAAAGCCACATAGCACTTCAGCCCCAGAAGTCCTCCAAGGACCAAAAGGTTGTCTTTAGGAGTCGGAAGAGAAGAGGCACAGCAGCCCCCAAAGTCATCAGCCCCAGGCACTCCCCTCAGAGGTCACAGCACTTCCCTCCCAACCTGGGACTGTGCAAAACCTGAACTTAGGGTGGGGATGGGAAGGAGGTGGAGTTTGCTTTTTATTCCCAATGGAGAAGAAAGAGTTAGTATGTATTCTAATTTTTTATAATGAAGGGACTATATCCTTCTGAGCAGTATTTAATCATATGGTGTGCCTGGGAAGCCTCAAAAGGCAGATTTCTCACCAGCCAAATGCTGGTATGGGGGTGTCACTGTGGCCCACACTCAGGACACAACCATAGCCTGTCAGCTTTCAGCTCACAGAACACCTGCTGGGCAGAAACCCCAGGTGGATGGCTGCCCACCTTCTCCTCAAGGCTGTGAGTCCCGAACATCTTATGCCCTCCCCAAGAAGCCTCCCCAGGCACTAAGTCACCCCAATTAAAGGAGGCTATTCATTAGGTGAATATATGATTCAAATTTATCCTCATATCGTTCCTATTTCTCCCTCTCTCTCATACACGCGTACACACACACACACTCACCATAGTTTTGGTATCTGAAGGGGCAGAATGCCTGGACCATGCACACCTTGTAATAATCCTCCAGTTAAAAAAAAAAAAAAAAAAGCGAACCCTCCCATTTCTCTCCACAAGCCCAGTGATTTTAAATCGAAAAGAGTTCAGGGCTCCTGAGTCCATCGCAGGCAGTGGCTTGAGCCCTGCATGGAGCCTGACCCTGGAGCTCTGCTGAGGACCTGCCCAAGGGCGAGGGGCAGGGGCAGAAAAGCCAACTCAGGACATTTACACAAAGTTTTAAAACCAGCACCTTAAACACAAACCATTTACAATGTGGTGGCTCTTTTCACTTCATCCTAACAGTTACCCCCTCGAGTGAGCACAGGGGTAACCACGTGGCTTCCGGAGTCACGCAGGTGCCACTGACATCCAGCCCCACCTCCTGCGAGCTGCCTGCATGCCCCCAAGCCACCATGTCTTCCTCTGTCACGGGGGACTGTGGAGATAATCCCACCTCCCTGAACCAGCATGAGCCCTCCATGAGAAAGTGACAGTGCCAGGCAAATGCCATGCTCTCGCTACGTGTTGGCAGCCTTACTCTTGGCATTTACTGAGCACCTACAGCTAACAACATACTGTCTCAAGGCCTGCCTCAACTATCACCTCCTCTAGGGAACTGGCTGTGCCCTGACCTCAAGGTCCGCCTGCCACCTGCCTGCAACCCCTCAGTCTCCCTCCTGGATGGTGGCATGACTGCCAGCCTGCCAGATTCCTGAATTCCAAACCTTTCTACCTGCACCCGGCCCAGCCCCCGTGCCATGGGACTGGAGCTGATTGAACACCTACAATGTGCCTCCCAACACTGGCTGCCAAACGTGCAAAGTTGAACAGATCGCAGGACGCACGTGGAGGCAGACCCTCGCAGGCGGGACGTCAGGTGCACAGCGCAGGACACGTGAGGCGGCCGACCCTCGCAGGCGGGACGTCAGGTGCACAGCGCAGGACACGTGAGGCGGCCGACCCTCGCAGGCGGGACGTCAGGTGCACAGCGCAGGACACGTGAGGCGGCCGACCCTCGCAGGCGGGACGTCAGGTGCACAGCGCAGGACACGTGAGGTGGCCGACCCTCGCAGGCGGGACGTCAGGTGCACAGCGCAGGACACGTGAGGTGGCCGACCTTTGCAGGCGGGACGTCAGGTGCACAGCGCAGGACACGTGAGGTGGCCGACCCTTGCAGGCAGGGACGTCAGGTGCACAGCACAAGACACGTGAGGCGGCTGACCCTTGCAGGCAGGGACGTCAGGTGCACAGCGCAGGACACGTGAGGTGGCCGACCTTTGCAGGCGGGATTTCAGGTGCACAGCGCAGGACACGTGAGGTGGCTGACCTTCGCAGGTGGGACGTTAGGTGCACAGTGCAGGATGTGTGTGGGGGCAGAGCCTCGCCGGAGGGACGTCAGGTGCACAGCACAGAAGTATGACAACCAGGAGGGAGTGAGGGCTGAACGAGGTTCCGGAGCCAGCTATGCAGTGTAACCACAGCCTCGGGGCCTCAGGGAGAAGGTCTAGAAAAGCCAGTGTGAAGTCTGGGCAGAACCCCAACCCACAGCACCCTTACAAAGCTTCTATCACACCCCGGTCCATGGGAAGGGGCTTCTGCCTGGGTTTCATGAAGTGTGTCCAGCTCCATCCTGAGCCCCTAATGCCAGGACAAATGCACCTGCCGGGGTTCCTGCCTCCCACCTTCCCAGCAAGTAGCTGGATTCCACGCCCATCCAGACAGCCGTGAAGCACCGCACACATACTCATCATGGGTCCCCACTCCCCGAAACTCCTGCCTGCAACAGCATATCCCCTCAAAGGCAGTGCTGGCCCAGGTCAAGGTCAAGCCAAGGTTGCATGGCCTCTGGACGTGGCTGCCCTCACCCTGGATGGGCACACTGGGCCCAGGGCCACCTAGCTTCACTGTCCTGCTGAGGTCCCTGGCCACAAGGCATGGCCTTTGAGGGGGGGCCTCTGCTGAATATCCACACCTGTGTGTGCTCCATGCTGCCCTGTCCACACCGCAGTCTCTAGTTACTTCTCTGTCTGCAGCACCCACTCATGGGCAGCTGAGAGCAGGGAGGATCTGACTTGTCTTTGGTCCCTGACACCTGGCAAGCAGCAAGCCAAGGGTGCACCCCATCTGTGTGTCAGCAATGTTGTGAGACTGTTAGCCTGATGTCATTTTGTACCCCCTAGACTAGGACACCCTGGTGCTCCCACCTGTGAACTCAGGAGGCACTGGTGGCTGGGTAAAGGGAGGGGGCACCGCTCAGCTGGGGAAGTAAGAACTGAACTGTGGTTCTGAGTGCGGGCACAGAACTCCAGGATGGGCTTCCTGACCAGGGAAAGTGACTTCTTCCCTGGAAATGGCTCCCTTACACCAGAAGGACATCTGGATACTGGGACAGACTGAGGGAGCACCAGAAATGCCAGGGAACTCTGCACCCAGCGAGCCGGCAGAGGAGAAGGGGCAGAGAGGACGGACTGAGGGGCTGCTTCCTCCAGGGCCAAGGCCTTGCCAGGAGCAAGCTGGCATGGACCCTTCTGAGCCATCTTTGTCTATAAGATGCTGCTCACAGGTGTCTGGAAACCTAAATGCCATGCAGGACGTTTCCATCTCACACGTCTACACCAAAGAAATCACTTTATTTGGGATGACTTCTGGAATTGTATAAGCTTAGTGTGTAAACAATTTGGACTTTTCCAATGATCCTCAAATTACGTCATTTACTCCTTCAATTCATGAGGCCATCCTCCATCCTCCCACTGAGGACACTGCTGACATTTTTCCTGCAGATATTAATTATATGATTGGTGACCCAGTCCTGTGATTTCCACATCAGTGACTGGAAAAAGCAGCCTGGGGCGTCCACTCTATGCCTCTTCCCAGCAAGCTCTGAGTCTGTCCCTGTGGCTTTTAACATAATCTGACCTTCAGCTGCTCCCCCACCCATCCCCGCTTGCTGGCCATGCCCCATGGAGGGCGGGGCACGTCATGTCTTTCGCCAGCCTAAGATGCACAGGATTCTTCAGAATTGCACCTGCGTTTCTAGCTCCTCATTATTCTCCCTTCACCTGAAACGGCCTCCCCAGCTCAGCCCCTTCTTCACCAATAAGACCTAACACTGCGGACCTGGAATCATTCTTCAGACCAGCCCAGATGTCCCCCCGATGTGCCCGCCCCCGCCCCAGCTCACATCCTTTGACAACAGTGAGCCCAGCCACCTGATGGCCCAAGAGCCCTGCCAAACATGAAACAGAGCAATGGGTTTTTCTCAGGACGTTTCTGCAGCCACAGGGCCCAGGCACAACACCCAGCTCCTGGCAGTTAATCAGCAAGTGTTGCTGAATGCATTTTTAAATTTACAAATGTAACATAACATCTCATAAATCTTGAAAATAGATCATTTACAATAACCAATAATGTGGTCACCTAAACACAGCTAATATTTCTATAGGTTATTTTAGAATCATAATCTTTATATTAATTAAGATAATTATGTATTATCTTATTACATAATTATTATCCTTTTGCACATAAAGTCTAGGGATAGATAGGTTTTTATGGGAAGTTGAATAAGAAACAAAAGCCATTTCTTTCAAAGATTTTCATTCAAGAAAGAAAAAAACAATAGTGTATGAAATAATGAAACTGCCTCAAAAAGCTAAAAAAAATGACTAATAGAAATTCTTGATTTTATAGGATGACAGATTAAAAAAAAAAACTTGAGAAATACAAGCCCTCCCTCCACTCATGAGATGAAGGAGCTGGTGAAAACGGGCTGAGCCCAAATGGCCACTGGAGTCTGTGGAGAACGCATGTGCTGACATCACAGCCTGAATTTCCACCATGGGTTTCATGCTCACTCCTGTGAATCTGCACATGTGACTGAGGAGGTAACATGAAGAGGTGACTGCCTGATATGGCTAGGCTTTGTGTCCCCACCCAAATCTCATGGTGAATTATAGTCCCCATAATCCGCATAACCCCCACGTGTCAAGGGAGGTAACTGAGTCATGGGGGCAATTTTCCCCAAGCTGTTCTGGTGACAGTGAGTGAGTTCTCATGACACCTGATGGTTTTATAAGTGGCTCTTCCCACTTTGCTCAGCACTTCTCCTACCTTCCACTTTGTGAAGAAGGTGCCTGCTTCCTCTTTGACTTTCTCCATGATCGTAAGTTTCCTGAGGGCCTCTCCAGCCATGCGGAACCGTGAGTCAATTAAGCCTCTTTCCTTTATAAATTATCCAGTCTCAGGAAGTTCTTTATAGCAGTGTGAGAACAGACTAATATAGTAAATTGGTACTGGGAGTGGGGTACTGCTATTAAGATACCTGAAAATGTGGAAATGACTTTGAAACTGGGTAACGGGCAGAGGTTGGAATAGTTTGGAGGGCTCAGAAGAAGACAGGAAAATGTGGAAAAGTTTGGAGCTTCCTAGAGACTTCTTGAATGGTTTTGTCCAAAATGCTGATAGTGATATGGACAATGAAGTCCAGGCTGAGGTGGACTCAGAGAGAGATGAGGAACTTCTTGGGAACTGGAATAAAGGTGACTCTTGCTATGCTTTCACAAAGAGATGGGCAGCATTTTGCCCAGCCCTAGTGGAACTTTGAACTTCAGAGAGATGGTTTGGGATTGGAACTTAGGTTTAAAAGGTAAGCAGAGCATAAAAGTCTAGAAAACTTGCAGCCAGACAATGGGATAGAAAGTAAAAAAGAATTTTCTGAGGCGAAATTCAAGCCGGCTATAGAAATTTGCATAAGTAACAAGGAGCCAAATGTTAATTGCCAAGACAATGGGAAAAATGTCTCTAAGACATGTCAGAGGTCTTCATGGCAGCCCTCCCATCACAGGCTGGGAGACCTAGGAGGAAAGAATGGTTTTGGGGGCTGGGCCCGGGCCCTTGCTGCTTTGTGCAGTCTCGGGACTTGGTGCCCTGCATCCCAGCTGTGGCTAAAAGGGGCCAACATACGGCTCAGGCTGTTGCTTCAGAGGGTGCAAGTCCCAAGCTTTGGAGGTGTACATGTGGTATTGGGCCTGCAGGTACACAGAAGTCAAGAACTGAGGTTTTGGAACCTCTACCTAGATTTCAGAGGATGTATGGAAAGGCCTGAATGTCCAGGCAGAACTTTGCTGCAGGGGCGGGGCTTTCATGGAGAACCTCTGCTAGGGCAGTGTGGAAGGGAAATGTGGGGTCAGAGCTCTCACACAGACTCCCTACTGGGGCACTGCCTAGTGGAGCTGTGAGAAGGGGGCCACTGTCCTCCAGACCCCAGAATGGTAGATCCACTGGCAGCTGCACAATGTGCCTGGAAAAGCCATAGAAACTCAATGCCATCCCATGAAAGCAGCTGGGAGGAGGGCTGTACCATACATAGCCACAGGGGCAGAGCTGCCCGAGGCTGTGGGAGCCCACCTCTTGCATTAGTGTGACCTGGATGTGAGACATGAAGTCAAAGGAGATCATTTCAGAGCTTTAAGATTTGACTGCCCCACTGGATTTCAGACTTGCATGGGGCCTGTAGTCCCTTCATTTTGGTCAATTTCTCCCATTTGGAATGGGTGTATTTATCCAATGCCCATGCCCCCATTTTATCTAGGAAGTAACTAACTTGCTTTTGATTTTAGAGGCTCATAGGCGGAAGGGACTTGCCTTGTCTCAGATAAGACTTTGAACTTGGACTTTTGGGTTAATGCTGAAAGGAATTAAGACTCTGGGGGACCACTGGGAAAGCATGATTGATTTTGAAATGTGAAAGAGGCATGAGATTTGGGTGGGGTCAGGGGCTGAATGATATAGTTAGGCTTTGTGCCCCCACCCAAATCTCACCTTGAATTATAATCCCCATAATCCCCATATGTTAAGGGAGAGACTAGGTGAAGGTAATTGAATCATGGGTGTGGTTTCCCCCCATGATGTTCTCATGATAGTGAGTTGTCATGAGATCTGGTGGTCTTATAAGGGGCTCTTACCGCTTCACTCAGCACTTCTCTCTCCCACCTCCATGTGAAGAAGTCCCTTGCTTCCCCTTCACCTTCCACCATGATTGTAAGTTTCCTGAGGCCTCCCTAGTCATGCTGAACTGTGAGTCAATTAAACCTCTTTCCTTTATAATTTACTCAGTGTCCAGCAGTTCTTTACACAGTGTGAGAATTGACTAATACCCTGCCCAGGCCCAAGGACTTTCCAGACCTCCCTTTTCCTTCTACCAGTCACCTGCTAATCCCAGGATCCACCCAGTGAAATTTTTTTAATAAAATTACCACCATGAAGCCAGTACGGAAAGGCAGATATGAGCTGGACGACTTTCAATATCAAGCTTTTCTTTTCTGAGAAACCCGGCATCATAGTATTGGCTTCTAGCACATCGTGCAATGAGCCCCTTTTACTAGATACCAATAGTAGGAAACTTACAGAAAGCAAAAGAGCCAATTTCATGGCACAAAATTATATGAAATAATTTGTCAACTAATTCAGTTTGTTTTGCATACAACAAAATGAAAAGGTCTTGTCCCTCTGACAATCTCATTTGGAAATCCTGTCTTGTCCTATATAGGAAATGTGAGACTGACATCAAGAAACACAAATCCATCACAAGGTGATGTCAGAAACGCACCTGCCAGGAGACAGGAGGCCGTGCTCCCATGGATGAGGGGAGGCAAGGCTGGGCTCATTCTTCCTGCCATGGAGGGTGGAAGTGTGGACAAATTGGCTCTGCAGGAACAGGCCACCTTGAACCAGATGCTCTGTAGAACAGCTAGTTAGGGAAATGTTCACTTTAATGGAGCATTAATATTAATAGACAGGCCGGGCACCATGGTTCACACCTGTAATTCCAGCACTTCGGGAGGCCGAGGCAGGTGGTTCACTTGAGGTTAAGAGTTCAAGACCAGCCTGAACAATATGGTGAAACCCCCATCTCTACTAAAAATACAAAAATTAGCTGGGCATGGTGGTGCACACCTGTAATCCCAGCTACTTGGGAGGCTGAGGCAGGAGCATCGTTTGAGCCCAGGAGGCAGAGGTTGCAGTGAGCCCAGATTGTGCCACTGCACTACAGCCTGGGCAACAGAGCAAGACTCTGTCTCAAAAAAAAAAATAGTAACAGATGACAGAAATATTCCCTAGAGAAATGAATTCCTCCCCCACAGAATGGGAGGGGGAAAGTGGCAGCAACAGCTTTCATGTTTTATCCTGAATGAGTTCATTAACAACTCCTCAACACTGACTGATCTAAACATCCACTTCTTTATCCAGGGGTGTGCAGAGACAATTTGGTGAATAGCCACTGCTTCAACTAAAGGGCTGAAACCAGAACATTCTCTCGCATTTTTAGGAGAGGTTGAATGAACTCTGGGCAAGGGTTCCTTCAGTTGGGTTGGGCCCCATGGGTGGTGAGTTCCCCCCAGTCCAGGGCCAGACCTTCCTCCTTCTGGTCCCAGAGCCTGAAAAATGAGCCCTGGAGTGGATTTTCCCCTCAAAGGCAGACTGGCGTTAGCCCAACACAGAAGCCTGGTGTGGAGAACTGAGTTCCAGAGGAATCCTTTGCACTTGGAGAAATAAAGCAGCCGCTCTTCACGGAAGGTGGCTATCAGAGCACGTGGGGCCAGGACACTGCTGGCTGTGCAATGAATCAGAGCTATGTGGAAAGTTCCATGATTTAAACATTTAGAAATAAGAAACACAATTCTCTCAAACTAAGCAAAAGGTGGTGAGAAGAGAACGTAGTGCTTGATCCAGCCCATCTCTCCACGCCCAGTGCTGACACCTGCTGCCGCCCTGGGCATCCCTGGCAGTCGACTGTGGCCGGAAGTCCTTTTTTTGTGCTTATTCTAACAATGTCATCCTGCCACATCCTCCCCCAAGTCTCTCCCAAAAGACAAAAACAATTACTCTTCCAAAAAGAAACAACTTTAACCATTAAAAAAAAAATGATCAGCAAATTGGACGTAAAATGTTGGCACATACTTGCAATTAATTTGCCTGAGGGTTGGGTGACAGTGATGTCAGGCTGGGCAGCATCGACCTTCACAGCAGGGCTGTGCCTGGGTGGCACCCCTGCCAGGGCAGGCTCAGAAGAGCCTCCTCACCCCCACCCTTTCCGTCCTTCCGTGAGTCCTTCCCTCCACGTGCGCCTACGCTCCGGGGTCACTCCAGTGTGCTCGGTTAGGTGACGGCCTGGCCTGGACCTCACACATCCTGGAGCCCATGTGCCTCTTAGGCTTTTCAGGCCCAGTGTCAGTACGTCCTTGAGTCTCACTTTCAAAGGCCATCCGTTTGAAACCCTGCCCCAAAGAGTTAAAGAAACCAACGACTAAAAGAACTTCTTGAGTTTACGGGATGGCAAATAAAAAAGGAAACAACTTACTGAAACGCTGCCACTCCCTCCACGTATGCAATGAAAGAAGTAGCCAAAATCAGCTAGAACCGAACGGCCCACTGGAGTCCGCAGGGAATGTACTTGCTGATGTCACAGCCTGAATTTCCACCGCAGGCTTCATGCTCACACCCCCGAGTTTGCACATGCCACCCTTGAGGCAGTGTGAAGAGCTACTGCCCAGGCCCAAGGACTTTCCACCAGTCACCTGCTAATCCCAGGATCCAGCCCCCGAGCCTTTTCTAATAAAATCACTGCCATGAAGCCAGCATAGGAAGACAGATCTGAGTGGACTCGTGTCTCCCTGGGAGTTGATTTTCAACAGCAAACGTTTCTTTTCTCAAAAACCCAGTGTCATAGTATTGGCTTCCAGTGCATCAGATAGGGAGCCCCATTTGCTCTACAGGGTCCTTGATTTCAGGACTTTCAAAGGAGGCTCATCCTTCAGGGATGTGGGGCCGTGTTCCCCTGAGATCCCCCACAGTCTAGGTACTGATGGCAACCACTCGGAGGGGATTTTGGGAACTGGTGGAAAATGTTTCTGTGTTCAATTTCCACATTAGGATGGAAGTATTATTCTACTAACGAGATTAAGTTGTTCTCCTGCTGCTCTTTTGTTCCCTTTTCTTCCGTTTCCCCCAAGCACACAGCGTTGGTGGTTTGCAGAAACACCCCTGCGCCAGCTTCACTGCCCCTGGTTCCAGTTCCAGCTCCACCATTCGTGTTAGGGCCTGAGGCAACCTCCTCCGTCTCTGTAAGCCTCATTTCCTCAACACAAAGTGAGAAATAACAGGAGTTTGGTTCTAACATGATTCTGAGGAGTAAATAGAGAAATTGCATGTGAACCACTGTGGACCGTCACCCTTGAGGCAACGTGAAGCACTGGCCACTGTGGACTGGAAAAGTCACAAAATCTATAAATTTAGACAGAGCTTTACTTCTAAACGAGGGTAGCTCAGCCTGTGGGCCAGAAGCAAGGCCTCCAACCAAAACCGAAAAGCAAGCACTTCAGGAGAGGGAAGGAGGAGACAGGAATTCGTGCTGAACAGGCTGGCTGGGTGCACATACTCACCAGGCTGCAGGAAGAGCCATGGATATTCATGAAGGGGGGGTTGCAAGCGTGCGCAGTTGGCTAACACGTATGTTACATGAGACCCACGCTCATTTGGGTGTGGAGACTTAATATTTAACTGTATTTCAATCAGACCCTGTCCATCAGAAGGTGAAGCGGGGACAGGAAGATACTCAGCACACAGCCTCCGTAGAGGGCCAGAGCCACTCCGAAGTTGGTGCTCTCTTGTCGGGAAGGGACGCTGGTCGGATGTTTAAGTTCGCAGTGGGGGAGGCTTTCCAAGGGGCCAGTTACTGTGTAGTCCTTAAGAAGCCTGATGGTGTTAGAGAGTGGGGCAGGGAGGAGGCAGAGCGAGGCATTTCTTATAAGGTTTCTCAGGGATCCCCCTGGCCAAGGGGGGTTCATTTAGTCAGCTGTGGGGCTTAGAACTTTATTTTTATTCCTCACCACCTGTGCAGGTGCTCAGTAAATGCTGGCTTTACCTGGCGTGAGTTCCCCCAGGTATGTAGGACCAGCCTTGGACTTCAGCAGTTAACAGAAAGGTTTTCGGTTGTAGAAAAGCAGCCCCAGGGACCCGAGGTGGGAGCCCAGGAGCACAGGCCTGGGGGCGTTCCTCTCTCCAGGGGCTGCTGCCCCACAGCCACACATGTGCCACGTCTTTGACATATGTTCCCTCAATCCCAGGATTTAAAAAGCAGGGAAGTGGAGCCAGGGTGGAAATGAACAGCCAGGGACATCACATCCCTGGGGTCCACAGCACGGGTCCCCATGGCCTGAGGTCTGAGAATCCTGCTCCCATGGGACTTCCCCAGCCCCAGGACATAGAGAGATACAGGGAAAACCCAGGCTTCTAAGTCCAAAACTCTCTAAGTCATAGCTTGGCCCCTCATATCCATGGGATCCCAGGCAAGTTAGTCAACCTCTCTGGACCAGTTTCCTTAGCTGTAAAATCCGGGTGATACCAGCATCGTAGGCTGGTAATCAGGATTTAGGTGAAGTGGATAAATACACAGACAAAAAAATAAATGAGCGCTCATCAAACTGTAGCTGGTCACTACTATCAGCAAGAGAAAAGTGTGGGGCTCGCAGGAAAGCTGGCCCCGCAGACTGCTAGCGCAGAGGCATCTTAGAAGCCGTGACCCCAGCTCATTCTCCAGAGCACGACTATGGATCGCCTTCCACAAAGGCGCACCTCTAACCGTGCTGCCAAGACGAGGCCCGCTTTGTCCCAGGCACAGGCTAGAGGCCTAAGGCACGTCTCGGTGGAGGGACTTCCCTGGACTTGGGCCGGGGACATGTGTGGCTCGGGCTCTGATGCCCGTAGGATTTACGTGAAGCCAGCTCAAGTCCAGAAATGACTCACCTGCTTGCTGGGCAAATTCTGATTCTGTCCACGTGGCCTCAGCCCTGATTGCAAGATACCAGTTTGAATCTGCACCTGCCTGTTGAACGGAAACAAAGCATCGGCCAGGGGCTATTTTAGGACATCTACTGGGACCCACAGCCCACTGAAACCTGGGTCTCCCTGGAGGCAGGAGGCAGCCCCGTTTGTAGGAACTCTTCTTTTGTGAATAGCTTCTCAGCAGGCATTCTGATTAAGAAAGAAATCCTTTTAAAAGCAGAAAAATCACACGCTAGGATTTCTAGGTATTCTCATCAACTCTGCTGGAGCAAATAGTTACAATAATTTACATATATTTAAATAGATTTAAGTTAAATACAGTTTAACAATTTTTAGGATTAGATTGGCCAACTCAGCTTAAAAGGCTGAATAGATGGAAACTATTAACAGTTGAAAATATTCTTAAATAATCGCTTAGCTGCTGTTGGGACTCAGAAGACAATCCCCCAAAATGCAGGCTTCAGCAGCGGCCTCAGAAGCAAAAGGTTTCCCCGACCTTCTCCTGCCGTCCCTGCCTCTCGGCCCCATTCTCCCCTGAGGCACCACAGAAACAAGAATCCCTGTTCCTCCAGGAGAGTCATAGGAACCAGGACCCTTCTCCCCAAAGCCAGCCATAAAACCTGGAAATAGGACTCCCACTTTCCTCCGCCTTTCTCTGTAAAAACTGGCGGTGAGGAAATTATCGGACATACCTTGTTTGACTGCAGGTCATGAGATCCCCGTTCCAGAGAGGGCCCCGCCCCACAAAGGGAAGGGATGCTCCCCAGAGGGGCCAAGAGGAACCTGGACAGATGGGCCCTGCCACCCCCTCCGCCCACCCGCGTTACGCCCTGCCGCCCCCTCGGCCCGTCCACGTTAGGCCCTGCCGCCCCTGCCGCCCCTGCCGCCCCCTCAGCCCATCGGCGTTAGGTCGGGCCCTTTCTATCCAGGCACATTCCTACACGGCCATCCACACTGCCTTGAGCCCAAGTATAGAGATGGCCAATTCCCCTCCAATTCCCCTGTGTCTTTGGGTCTTCAGTCCCAAGGCCTCTGTGTACAAGTTAATCAGTTTGTATGCCTGTTCTCCAATTCACCTGCCTTTTGACAGTTGATTTTCCAGTGAACCTTCAGAGGGTGAAGAGACAGCTTTCCTGTCACTCCACACCTCGAAAGGTCCTTTTTTTCCCCCAGGCCTGTTCTCTAGCTCTGACGCTGGGACTCGCAGCTGGGACTCAGAAGGCTCTTTGTTTGACCCAGAGGGGCGCGTTCCTCCCAGAGGAGAGAAGCTGGCACCGTACCATCTCCCTGGCCAGGTGGCCCCACAGGTGGTCCTCGCCTCAGCTGTGACTCCTTTCGAGGGTCCCGTCCCCGCAGGTGGTCCTCGCCTCAGTTGTGACTCCTATCGAGGGTCCCTCCCCTGTCAGTTCAGTGGCGGTGGAGGGGTGCATTCTCCCACAGTCAGGGCAAGCTGCTCATCAAAAACTCCCTCTGGCGTCAACCACAGGGTATTTATCCACCCCAGAAGGGAACAGAAGTCAACCCCGGAACCAGGTACTGCAGGGGCCCAGGACGGCCTGACAGAGCTTCGGTGCAGAGGGAGAGTAGGGCAAAGCCCAGAAAAGCTCACAGGTAGAATTCAAATTCGTTGGTGATGAATTGGATGTAAAAGTTAAGAAGAGGAGAAGGTCCAAGCTAATTTTCAAATTGAGACTTTGGGCAAAGGGGAGATTGTTCTGTGATCAAGAGATAAGCTACAGAAAGAGAAGCGGGTTTAGATGGACAGCAGGCCAGGGAGAGGAGAGAAGGGTGATTTCCATTTGTAGGCAACACTGGTTTTGAGCTGCTTAAGGAACATCTGGATGAAGATGCACTAGAAGCCATTGGATTTGTGGGTATTGAGCTCAGGAATGAGGCTGACCCGGAAATACTGCCAATCTGCTGCACAAATATTCACTACGCCGCAGGCAGGCGCTGCGTTAGAAACACAAGAGCAGGCAAGCAGACGTGACTCTGTGGGTCAGATAAAAGAATAACAACAACCACCGCTTCATTTACAGGGAGCTTATAATCTTCCCCCACTGGGCTGACTGCCTCATTATTTCACGGAATCCTCCCACAAACTAGCTGAGGTCCAGGACTGCTTTACAGTCGAGGAGACAGAGGATTGGAGTCATCTGCCCAGCACACAGTGAATAAGTGGTAGAATGGGAAGCAGATTCCCGACAGTCTGACCCCAGAGATGTGCACAGCGCTTGTGGTCAGCACCATTGGCTGCTCACGAGGAGTCTAAGGAGACAGAGACCGAAAGCTGCTGAGCTTCGCCACGTGGATCTGCTGTGGCCCCCAGGGGGAGGGTCGGGGGGAAAGTTACTTATAGTGTGAAACCATCAGCTTCTCCTGGTTTGCGATTTGAATGGGCCCACAGGTCAGGGCACGCTTAGAAAAAGTTGGGCTGGGCATGGTGGCTCACGCCTGTAATCCCAGCACTTTGGGAGGCTGAGGCTGGCAGATCACTTAAGGTTAGGAGTTCGAGACCAGCCTGGCCAACATGGCAAAACCCCATCTCTACTAAAAATACAAAAGTTAGCCGGGCGTGGTGGTGCGCATCTGTAGTCCCAGCTACTCGGGAGGCTGAGGCACGAGAATGGCTTGAACCCATAAGGCGAAGGTTGCAGTGAGCCCAGGTCATGTCACTGCACTCCGTCCTGGGCAACAGAGCAAGACTGTCTCAAAAAAAAAGAAAGAAGGAAGGAAGGAAGAAAGAAAAGAAAAAAGAAAAGAAAAAGAGAAGAAGTTTGACTGTAAGAAAAGAAGAGTTTGGGGCAGCATAGATCATAATGCTGGGCCCCAGGGAGAAGGTTTCTTTCTTTCTTTTGGAGGAAGAGATGCAAGCAGGTGAGAAGAGGAGCAATGGGAAGAGAGAGGGTAGAGACACAGAGGACATTTGGTGGAGACAGTCTGAGAAACTGGGCTCCAGGTGCAGGAGACAAGGAGGAGCCTGCGTGGGGAAGGAGGCAGGAGGGCGCAGGTGTGCCAAGGGCAGCCACCGGATGGGGCAGCCAGGCAGGACTCTGGGCAATGGGGTTATCTTGCTGCCCTCAGTGTATCAAACAGCACTCAGGTTCCCCTAATGACAAAGGACAGATCAAGGTGTGTCAACCTAAAAAGCACACAGTGAGAGGCCCTCTAAAAGCAAATGATATTTATTCGGGGATAGGGCACTGCAATGGGAATAGCATGCCATAGTAAACTATGTGTGTATTCCGAAGGATGAAGGAAGACAAAGTTATTAAAGGAAAAATGAGAAGGATTATATCATTGTTTTGAGAGAATTCTCTTTGGCTACTGGGATCAATAAAAAGAGGGGGCCAGTCCAGGGTTGAACAGGCACTTGCTGTGCAGATGTGCCTTTTGTGTAAGCTGCAGTGGGCCTTTGTGCAGGCTCGCATCGTTCACAGAGTCTATCGTGATTGTTTTCATGCTTAGGAACCCTCCTTTCATGGCCTTTTCCTGTATTATTTGTCAGAGTTTTCAACACAAGTGACTCCATTTTGGTTCTGGTAACTTTCACATTCCTCTTTTGATCAAGATCTTTCTCTGATCAACCATCCTGCAGTTAGGTTTTGATTTTCCCTCAGTGTAAGGATGGACCTGTCTTGATTTGGTCTGGTCTGCTTCTACATTGGAGGGAGTGACTGGTGACAAGGAGTCAGTGTTGAAATCCATTCAGCCACATTTGAGCAAGAAGGGAGGCCTGGAGGGAGTGGTCCTCAGACTAAGCCTGCTTGGAGTTCAATTTTGTTAAGTTGTTATTAAGCTCAATTTCATCTGTTCTGTAGGTGTTGGCTATCAACTCAAAGTGCTGGGCCAGCATCCTTCTGCTAGGAGTTGTCCTTCTGCAGAAATTTGACAAGCAACAGAGACAAAATGTAAAAAGGACAATAGAGATTAAAATTAAGAGTAATCTCTCAAACCCAGGTTATATCATGGTTTTGAGACATGAACGTAGGCTGAAAGGCCACCAATTAAATACATTAAATGACCACTATTCGGTCAAGTTTAAAAGGCATTAAGACAAGTAAGAGTGTCATTGCAACATAGAGTCTTGTTTCCATAATCTTATGAAAGACTATCTATAGTGTGAAACCATCAACTTCTGTTGGTTTACAATTTGAATGTCTCTGGTTATGGCATCAGGAGGTTTGGTGAATTTTTTTTTGACTTATACATTGGGTATCGGACTTGTTCCTTAAAATTAACCTAGGTTCAGCTTACAGGACTTCAGGAATGGTTTCCATTTTTAGTACCTTTATGGAAAAAAAATTGGATTGGAGGAACCTAGAATTTAGGATTTAGTCTAGTCTATAGGTAGAAACAAGAACTCTAAAACAATGCACAGAGCTGTAATCTAATAACAGGTGTATGGGCAGGTTTTCTCAGAAACATAACTTCTTCTCTCTACATTAATCACACAGGAATCTCAGATTTTAAAATCTCTTGAGGCTAGAAAGTCAAATTAATACTGACTGTAGATTCCACCTACTGTCTCGAGGTTCCTGGGCCTGCCAGAAAGTGACAACTTTAGTGACTATAAGATCCTACTAACCCTTACAAACAGGCATTCTATGCACATCCCCAAATGTGATATTTCAGACAAAACCTTGGCAATATAACCAATGTTTTCAATTGTATCCTCTTTGCAAGGGAGAGTGAATTCATATTGAAATTATGCGAATAGCCATATTGCCAAAAAGTAATGAGAATAAGAATACATCCTGACAGTTTCCACTCCTGGCAGAATCAATTAGGGAGAAAAAGGAAATACTTCCATCTTTGTTCACAAAAGTATACTTCACCAAGTTATCATAAGCTGTAGATAGCTTAAGAGAGAAAATTTCCTTAAGTCTGGAAAACAAAAAAATTTCCAACAATGTCCCAGATGAAAGTCATAGAAATATTATTTCCATCAGTTATTCAGCTTATGTGATTAATTTTTGTTCTGCTTGATCTCCATTATCAGCTTCATGAACCCATCCATTTCCTCATTAACGTTCTAAAAATCTTTAGTCTATTGATCTTAAAGTTATAAGAAAACTGTAATTAAGAGTACTTATTGGAGTCTTTTCACAAATCTGACTGCAGATGCTTTCAGACAGAGACTTAAAACAGTAACTGTGAATCACAGAGAGTTAGAATAGCCATGGTTATAAATCTGAACGAAAATTTACCATTATCAGAAATTGACAAGAAAACTTGGTTAATTTGTGGCATACAGCATAAAAAAAAACAGAATTAGGACTTGATGATGTCCTAGACTTCTCAGAGTTTTGTGCAATTTTGGAACATTCGTATCAATAACATACCCATCAATGTAACTGAAGGAATCTCTAGCATCTCTCACCATCTGACAGTGCTTACCATGCAATTTGCCAAAAAAGCCTTATCATTTAATATTTCTACAAGATGAGAGAGACATCATTTTAGACTCCCTAAGGGCCTGAATGGACAATCTATAATTTTAGGTCAAAACTACTTAATTTAGAATTTTGATATTGGGGGAGCCCATCAAAGATACCAAAAGTGTTGAAACATTTGATAAAAACAGAATCACAAGTCATTGTGGAAGTAATAGTCATTCATTTAACCCTCGTGATAGAGACTTTAATAGCAATACAGAAAGTTACATGGATTTATAAAGAAACCTTAACCCTTTCAAAGCACAGTTTGTCTAAGTAATCAAAAACTAATAAAGACAACTGAGGAAATTATCTTGATAACATGTAAAATCTTTGTTTCTTTAGGCATGTTACCAAAAAGTTAAAGAAAATCCTCCTGCAATGTGATGGCTTCTTGGAAGCCCATTTTGATAAACTAGAAGTCAAACCTGATGGAAAAGCTACTTGAATTTAATAAGACACAGCAAGAGTGTGTGTCCAAGGTCATTAGTGTAGACCATGGAACATGAACAACATCGCTAGTATCTTGAGCACGGGAACACATGGCCTCTAGTAACAGCATGATGAGCTTCCTGTTACATGGAAAAATTCAGACGTACTGAGAAAAGCCAGGAGTTCAAGTTGTACTGAATTTATATGCCTTTCTAGGCTTTCAAGACAGAATTTTCAGTGTCAGGTTATAACAGCAGACAAAACCAGAGAAAAAAGTTATAGGAGCTGACAAAAAAATTAAAGGAGAGAGTCACTACCGGAGCCTTCTCAGGGGAGAAAGAGCTGAAGGCAATGGTGCATGGCTGGCAAATCACATACAGCAAGAAACAGCAGAAGGGAAACTTCTGAACAGGAACCTGAGAAGCTTCTGGAGAGAAATTCCACCCTGAGAAATAAAATCATTATTCTCAATGAAGAAAACAGCATTCCTAAGCTGAAACTAGGTACATTAAATGGATCTCAGAAAAAAAATTGGCAGAAACATTAACTAAAACAGGAAGAAGCTGCCCTTCAGGAGATGGTTGAAAATGTAAAGAAATAGACTTCAGAATTAGAAATCAAAACCTTTTGCAATATTTACCAAGAGCAGATCAATATTTTTGTTTAAAATCTTGTTGTTCTAACATGGGGGGAAAATTTTAGCTTTGTATCAGTGTATTTTTTTTTCTTTCCCCCTCGTTAAAAAAAAAAAAAAAAAAGAGGTAGGAGAAAGGAGAGGAGCAAAAAAGATAACTATTGGGTACTGGGCTTAATACCTGGGTGATGAAGTAATCTGCACAACAAACCCCTGTTATATAACAAACCCTTCCATGTACCCCTGAGCCTAAAATACAAGTTAAAAAAAGAGACAGATATTGCTATGTTGCTTAGGCTGGTCAAGTTTTGTATCAGTGTATTTTTAATATCAAATCTCAATCTTTAGATGGACATATAAATAATTTTCTTTTAATTATAGCCAACTTGATTACACACACATTCCCTTCATAAATCTATCCTTCATGAACCATTTGTGACCTGCACAGACCTCCCACTACACACTTAAGACTTTCTGCTCTGCCCCATGCATCCTCTTTCTTACATAACCAGTTATTTTACTTTAAGACAAAAATGCACCACTCAAGATTCTTTCTCCTACAAAATTACTCTCTTTTTAAACTTTTTTTTACCATAAATACAATTTTATGTTTAAAACTCTTTTCATATCTTTGTCACCTATTTACCAGTTTCTATCTTGCTTCTATTTTTTTCTTTAATCCATACTTTGAAACAACCTTTTAAAATAAGCTCTGAATTAGACAGAATTGCTCTTTTTTCAATAAAAAACACACTTTATGCCTTCCTCATTTTTGTCATTAAAAGCACATCTTAAGTTTTGGCACACTTTCTATATAGAATCATATATATATGCACACACACATACACACATAAATATATAAATCCAAATTTTAACTCTTAGTAACCCTAATTTTTAGTTAAAACCAAAGCAATTTTGAACTGTCTGTCCAATATTAACATTTTATCTTATTTGAGAATCACCCAGACATTTTATGGGTATCCACAACTTAATTTAACATGACGTTAAGACTTTACATGCAAAGCTCATTCGTAAATGTTTATCCCATTTAAATTTACCTAATTTGTTTATTTTTAATGGTTTACCTATATTACTTATGAAAACTAAGATATTAGACAAAGCTAATCATTTTGTTATTTTCCTAGTAACCATTTTTCTAGCCTATGAATATAATGTACTTCACCTAAGTAAGAAACTTAAAGTAAAATACATGGATATTTTGGTGATGACTCAGAAGATACAGCTAATTTTCTTAAATCAATAACATTATATTAGCCTTATTTATCAAAGAGTTATACAAACAAATATTATTCTGCTTTTAGGCTGAGTTTATAGTTTTATAACCTTGGTGTCAAACCGTGACGCCTTAAGTGAAGACAAATATAAAACCGTCTGGCCAGCAACCTCAGGTAAAAATGTGTGCTGACAATTTTAAAAACATTTCTATTTTTATTTTAACAACAATGTTAAAACCAGCTTATTTATCAGTTACTGAAGTCATGTGAACTAAGAGATACTTAATTACTATATAGTTTAACAACTTCTATGAGCACCTATTTAAGCCAAACTGAATAAATTTTCTGAAGGAATTTTTAGCTGATTATGCCAGATTTTACCATGTAGATGTAATATATAACATCATACATGTGGATACATGTAAGTACACCTAAACACACGTGTACACACAAAGATCTTACAGTTTGCATTTTAGGATTTTAGTCATGATACGGTAAACATACCAACTCATCAGTATAGAAAAGACAGTTAGACCCAAATTATGTTTCCGACAAATTGGGACACCTTCACGTGGCTAAACTTTTTTTTCCCTGACAGATAATCTAATGAAGGTGGTGGACCAACGTTTTGGGTAAAGCAGTTTCCATAGCAGTTTGACTTTTAAAGAAAACTTTGTTCTTTTTTACCGTTTGTTCAGTTTCAAATGAGTTTAGGGTTGAATTTTCAGTGTTGACATTTCTGCTAGGGCTGGCTGAATTATATACAATAAATTCTCCAGGTGGCCTTGGACCCGCAATAAATCTATCTGGTTTTACCAGTCTGGTTTGGTTGACTAGTCTATGCAGGCAGGGAACCATTTTAGCAGAGTTTTTTTACTTTTCTGCCCCTTCATGGCAAGACAAAACAACTTTTATGCCAGACAGAAATATTTTTATATTTTTTCTGTGAACTCAAGATTTTGACCTGTTTGATCTTAGGGCCTAATTTTATAAACAATTTCTACTACTTTTTCTTTTGTAATGTCATTCCTTCAGTTAACTGTTCCATTACTCTAAGCAATTGTTAGTCAGGCAAACCTAAATTTACATTTCCAAAAGGTGTCTTGGTTGTTGTTGGTTGCCATGGAGGTGTGGTAATTTGTAAAGTCAGTAATTTGAAAGCCCGTTAAGACTTTTTTAAAACCTTGTCTGGCATGTGATAAGCAATGAATTTTTTCTCAACATCTGCAGAAGAGTCAGCAAATGCAAAGTAGGAAGAAAAAAATATGTATATATATATAGAGAGAGAGAGAAAAGTTAAAAGACTCTACAAGTTAACTCTGTAGCTGTAGCCTGAAGGAAAAATGAGCTTGGGGAGTTCAAAAGATCCCCATTGCTGGAGCGGTAGCTCACGCCTGTAATCTCAGCACTTTGGGAGGCCAAGGCAGGCAGATCACAAGGTCAGGAGTTCGAGACCAGACTGGCCAACATGGTGAAACTCCGTCTCTACTAAAAATAGAAAAATGAGCTGGGCATGATGGCACGCGCCTGTAATCCCAGCTACTCAGGAGGCAGAGGCAGGCAAATCACTTGAATCCAGGGGGCAGAGGTTGCAGTGATCCAAGATTGCGGCACTGCACTCCAGCCTGGGCAATACAGCGAGACTCCATCTCAAAAAAAAAGAAAAAAAGGTCCCCATGATGACCAGTGATGTAAACACATGCGCCGGGAAATGCTTGTAACCATTTGGAGTCCCAGAAATCTCGGTGGCCTTAGTATTTGAGAATTCCATTTCATTTCTTCAAGAGCCAAGAAAAGCCCATAGATCCTGTGGAGCAGTGTCAGGAGCTTGGGTCAGTGTCTTAGACGGCGGCAACTGCTGAGTGGCTTCTAGTTAGCCATCCCACACCCACCATGAAGAATGTTTGTGTTTGCTCTGGGAAGATTTTTTAGAAACAGTCAAGGGGAAAAAGAGCCAAATTATTTACAGATGCACAAAACTAAACCAAAATGAGCCAACATCAGAGCACTCACAAAATTCTAACTAGACACTCCGATCCAACAAAACATTATGTTGGGCAGAAAGAGTCCAAAGTCAATCCACCCGAGAAGACAAGAGCCTCGGAGGCAGAAGGTAAAATCCACAGGAAGCATGGCACTCAAACCAGAGGGGCACTGGCCTTTATACCCAAGAGAACTTGCCAAGAAGGCAAAAAGTCCCCCATTATCCCAGAAGGGGTGTGAGCTCTTTTATTTCAGGTGGTCTTATAACCCAACCAAATCCCAGACAGAGTAAAAAAGCTTGTACCGAAATGAGGGCGGCTCAGCCTGAGAGAGGACTCACCTAGGCAGAAGAGGTGATGGAATCCCCATGGAAACAGAGAGCTCAACGGGGTCCAGTGAGAACTGCACACAGGTCCAAGAACAGCCCATCCTTCCAGTCGTGATGTTTCTTCAGCTCCTGCACTGAGCACCATCTTTGTCAGC
Organism: Homo sapiens; assembly: GCF_000001405.40. Lineage (NCBI taxonomy): Eukaryota > Metazoa > Chordata > Mammalia > Primates > Hominidae > Homo > Homo sapiens. The sequence goes on along the minus strand of NC_000006.12, from coordinate 168,170,503 downwards.
CTAAAGAACAAACAGAGACAGGCTCTCTAAAAGAAAATGACATTGATTTGGGAATAGGCATTGCAACGAGAATACGTCTGCTATAGTAAACTATGTGCATATTCAGGGAGGTAAAGGAAGATGGAGGTTTTTAAAGGAAAAATGAGGATGGAGGTCACATCATTGTTTTGAGATAATTATTCTTAGCTACAAGAATCAATAATAACAAAGGTGGTGCCAGTCCCGGGTTGGACAGGCAGTTGCTGGGCAGATGTCTGTACTTTTGTGTAAGGTCGAGATGCTCTTGTATGAAGACGTGGGTTTTGCAGAGTCTTTTGTGACAGTTCCTATTGTCAGGCATTCATACATAAGAACCCTCCCTTTACAGCCTTTCCTGGCTCTATTTTTCAGGGTTTTAACGTAAGTGACTCCATTTTGATTCTGACAACTTTCACAGCGGAACTGCTTCTGAAGACACAACTTAGTGAGCACGTCACTTCCACGTGTCATCTCTGACCCTTGTCTGTTTAAATCTAAGCAGAACCTCATGGGTGATTGGGAGAGACCATGGGAGTGAATCCAGCTCCGGACTGTCACATCAGAGAAGCCCAAGAGTAAACCCTGTCCAAAGAAGGAGGGACCAGGGTGGCCTGGGCCTCCCTTGCTACACCCCAGGGATTCTGCAGAAAAATCGCAGGCCATAAACACCCCCAAAACATGCGAGAATCACCAACACGCCATTCAACCCACGTGGAAAATCACCAACACGCCACTCAACCCACGTGGAAAATCACCAACACGCCACTCAACCCTCGTGGAAAATCACCAACACACCACTCATCCCACGTGGAATTCATTTTCCTGAGACAGAGTGGTTCATGGGGACAGAGGACACACACTGGCCCTGCCGAAGCTTTATTTTTAAGTCAGTGAATCTTAACGTTCACCTGAAGAAAACTTTACATTTACTTCATTAAAGCAGTTAAGCTTTTCCAAAATGAGGATCTTTTTCTTAGCACACATTTCCTCCACCGAGGCGAATATTTTGTAAGTGCACCACACTCTGCCCTCCTGTTCTTCTTCCTCCCAGGCTGTAATGCAAACATCCAGCAATCTCACCTGCTCACATTCATTGCTCAGTGTTGAAATGTGATAAAGCAAAGTGTGATTGTAACCACAGGAGTAATGTGGACCGGTGTCCTGAGAGCCAAGCTACAAAAGGCTACATCGACCTGGGGTGTAGGGAACTTTGCATGGAGAAGCGACATCTGTGCCAGACTTGGCTCTGGGAAGTCTCTGCTGGAACACCTTGCTCTGTAATGGGCAATGCCCCACGTGGATTCAGTTTCCCATTTCAGTCCTTGTCCTGTGCCGTATGCCTCAGTGGGTGACACAGCCACGCCCTAGCAGTGCAGGCTAAAGCCTGAGCATCAGCCTTGATGAGCGACACAGAAAGTCCCCCGCTTAATGACTGTATTCAGGAAGTCCCCCGCTTAATGACTGTATTCAGGAAGTCCCCCGCTTAATGACTGTGTTCAGGAAGTCCCCCGCTTAATGACTGTATTCAGGAAGTCCCCCGCTTAATGACTGTATTCAGGAAGTCCCCCGCTTAATGACTGTATTCAGGAAGTCCCCCGCTTAATGACTATTCAGGAAGTCCCCCGCTTAATGACTGTATTCAGGAAGTCCCCCGCTTAATGACTGTATTCAGGAAGTCCCCCGCTTAATGACTGTATTCAGGAAGTCCCCCGCTTAATGACTGTGTTCAGGAAGTCCCCCGCTTAATGACTGTATTCAGGAAGTCCCCCGCTTAATGACTGTATTCAGGAAGTCCCCCGCTTAATGACTGTATTCAGGAAGTCCCCCGCTTAATGACTATTCAGGAAGTCCCCCGCTTAATGACTGTATTCAGGAAGTCCCCCGCTTAATGACTGTATTCAGGAAGTCCCTCGCTTAATGACTGTATTCAGCGCTTTCTATGAGCAACCCTTATACAAGCTTTGCAGATACAAAAGCTAAGAATATCGACAAAATCATCGTCTTTGTGGAGCTTACATTCTCTCACCCCCGTGACTCGTCAATCCCCAGGTCCTCTGGACTTCACTTCCTAGGCCTCCCTCAAATCTGCCCCCACTCTCCAGCTCCAGGGCCACGCTGCAGCCACCGCAGCAGCTCCCCAGGCCTCAAGGTCCCAGCTGAACCCTCTCAAATCCATTTCCCATGTTGTAGGAAGAGTAAACTTTCTGTACAGAGGCTTGTTCATGTCCCCCCAATGCCTTCTCAATGAAAATCAGCCCTTCAGTGAACCCCCCTGGGTCCCCTGAGGCTGGTCTCCTGCCTACAGCTCTGGTGGCACGTCCTGCCCCTGGCTGTCCCGCCCCTTGCTGCTGGCTGCTTCACTGGCCTCATCTCTGTTCCTCAGATGCTCTGTCCCTTCCCACCCCAGGATGACCCAGCCCAGCCCATCCTCCTGCACCCCCGCATAGCAACCTCCTATCCCTCACACACAGCCCCTGTCACCCCTGGAGGGAGGCTGCCCCTGTTACTCATCCTCTATGTACTGAGCTTTGACAATTTGTCTAGAATGTCTCCTCCCATTAGACTGCACAACCACAGCAGCCAGGACATCACCATTGCTTCCCTGGGGCTCAGCCTCGGGTTCCCTGGAAGAGCTCCATTAATATGTGGGTTATCGTTCTGTTCCTACAATTGTTGGACTGATCATCACCCCCCTCGTCGCTGCCTTTAGAAGCCATGCAAGAGAGAATGGATACGCTAATGTGACTCCATCTGGGACCTGAATGGCCCACCTGACAGGTGGAGGCTGGGTGGAATGTCCCTGGAAATGCTTTCTAACTCACTTCCAGAGCACTCACCCCAGCACACTCACCTCCCCTGCACCTGCCCCCAGCGCACCGCATGTATCTCATCCTGATTCTGATTCCCGCTGGCTCGGCTACTCTATGACCCTCTGTCCTGGGATATCCTAGCTGAGTTTAAGGAGAAAGGTCTCTGTGAGGTGGCCTCTCCCTTCCTCTCCACAAGGCTGGACAATTCATTTGGCTGTTTTATTAAAATGGTGATATGGTTTGGCTCTGTGTCCCCACACAAATCTCATCTTGAATTGTAATCACCATGTGTCAAGGGAGGGGCCTGGGGGTGGTGATTGGATCATGTGGGCGGTTTTTCCCTTTCTTTTCTCATGATAGTGAGGGAGTTCTCATGAGATCTGGTTGTTTCATAAGTGTCTGGCATTTCCCCTGCACACTCTCTCTCCTGCCACCTTGTGAAGAGGTGCTTTCTGCCATGATTGTAAGTTTCCTGAGGCCTCCCCAGCCATTCAGAACTGTGAGTCATGTGTTTATAAATTACCCAGTCTCAGGTAGTATCTTTATAGCAGTGGCAGAAGGGACTAATACAAATGGTTTTATCAGTTGTTTTCACATTATGGAGACACAACCTTGGGATGAGTCAAGGCAAAGACTCCGTTGAATAAAAAGCCACTTTACGTCCTCATGCAGATTTGCCTGCAGGTTGAGGTCACAGGCAGTGGTGCTCTGGGCCTCTGGCTTCACCTGTGCAGCATGGGGAATGGGGCCATGTGCCTCACGTTGGGATTTACAAAGACATCATCCTAAGAAGGCCACCCAGCTAGGACAGATGCCTGTGTGGGGCACTGAAGCCTGCTTCTCTGAGTTTGCCAGGGCTGTCCTCACACAAGATCGCACACCAGGTGACTTAAACCATAGAGAGCCATTGCCTCACAGTCCTGGCCGCTGGAAATCTCAGATCAGGGTGTCGGCAGGGTTGGCCCCTTCTGAGCCTAGATGGAGAATCTGTTCCAGGCCTCTCTCCTTGGTGTGTAGACGGCATCTTCTCCTGTGTCTCTTCCTTGCGTGTGTCCAAATATCCCCTTTTTATCAGGGCAGCAGTTGTACTGGGTTAGGATCTACCCTAATGAACTCACTGTCACTTGATTACTTCTGTAGAGAGACCCTATTTCAAATAAGGTCACATTCGGAGATACTTGGGGTTAGAACTGCAACATATGAATTTTGGGGACACAGTTCAACCCATCACAAGGTTGGCATAATAACAGTAATAATACCCCGATGGAAGAGGGCCTGGATTTCAGTTCTGAGCTCAGTACCTCTGTCTCAGTCTCTCCTATATAAAATAGGCCTAAGTATATCTATTATACGCGATTGGAAAGACAGATTCATAAATGTTGCAAAAATGTTCTGAGCTGTTTGAAGCCCTGTACAGCTGTACAATTCACAGCATACCTGGCTGCCTTGTGTAGTCCCATTGGCAGTCCTGGGTCTGTCCTGGACTTGGAATACAGAAGACACACAGCCACCATGAGCCACAGACTCTGGTTGAAGTAAGACCCCTGCCCACAGCCACCCAGGCTGAGTGGGTGCCAGCGTCCGAACAGGGCTCTCCAATCACGGAGCCCCTGCATGGCGGAGGGTCTGCCGAAGCCCCTGTGTGGTGGATGGTCTGCCGTGTTTCTTCACTTCTGCTTTTTTAATGAGAATTGAATCAAAATGAAAGGAAATTAATTGCATGTTTGAGGCAACAAACCATCCAATCTTCAGCAGACTTTAGTTGTTGATTTATTTTTAGATAATTATTGATATGGGGACAGATAAAAGACACATTTATCATAAGGAGCCAACATCAGGAGCAACACCAAACTCAGGCAAAATGATCACGATATAGTGACAGAGGTGGCTCTTAGAGCACTTTGGTTTCTGTGTGCGCTTCATCCCATGTGCCACACCACGCCACGCACTGAGCCCTCCATGTGGTGACCACATGCTGTGGAGATTCGTGCATCCCACCCAGGGAGTGGGCAGGAAAGTCAAGCATGAGGTCAGTTCTTGGGTCCAGGATGATGACGAGGCCCAGCCCTCCTCACAGGAGCGGCAGGAGGAGTTTCAACATATGATGCCAGCGAGAAAACATCCCTCATAAAATAAAAATGACATAACAGAATGATGTGGTCCTGGTGGCTGAAGGGAGTGACTCTCTTTCCAAACACTCTTCCATGCTCTCGGGAACCATTAGTCATGGCCCATCATCTCCTGCCATCCACCCTTTAATTAAATTTGCTCTGCTGATGGCCTCGTTAACAAACATGACAGCAGGTTAAAAGAGGGAAAATAATTATTAGAGAGTCAATGCTTTCACAGTAACCCAAATAAAAGCTTATATTTGTCAGAGAAGCTTTCACCAAATAGACAAGATCCACCTGACCACAGGAAGAGATGCATGATGTTGTTTCTCCTCCCTAGAGTCTGAAAAAATAAGACCAAATCCACAAAATGCCAAATCCTATTTAGTATTCCAAAAACAAAGGTGCCTAATTGCTACCTCCTCTGTCAAAACATATTCTGCTCTTAGTTTTCCAAGCTGTATTGTCACACATGTCATTTCAAACTCTGGAAATCCTCTATGACATGCACCAAATGGACCTACCCGCCTTCAGGTAAATCGATGTTCATTCAGCTAATATTTCTGTGTAGCTTCTATGTGCCAGGCTCTGGGCTAGACTCTAGAAACACCATGTCGAGAAGACAACACACTCCCAGACCTCAGGGTGATACTTGAGTTGCAAACATCTCGTCTTTAACAAGGGAGCTGGGAGTGCAGTGCTGAAGGTTCAAAGCCTGATTTCCACCCCCAGCTCTGCTGCATTCCAGCTCTGCAGCTGTGGGCAAGATTCGGTCTCACTGCCTCAGCTTCTTGGTCTGTAAAATGGGGATAATAGTCCCTGCCTCATAGAGGTACTAAGGGAATGAATGCGCTCAGACATATGAGGCACTTGGAATGATGCCTGATGCTTGCCAAGTCATGAATAAATATCAGTTATTCATCATCATCATCATCATCGTTGTCATCAGTGTTAGCTTTCCAGCATCGTAACTCTTTTCACAATATTCAATGGAGTCCTGGCAGCAAAGAAAATCTAGAAAGAAAAGCTGTACTAATATGGCTGAATGGAAATAATTTCAACACTTCATTTTAAAAAGCCAAGTGCTTTTTTAAAAAATCAGGCTTTATTTACCTATCAAATGATTTGTAATCGAATTTGATTACTCATTTTTCCCATGAATGAGATAAAAAATGCTTACTTAGAAAGCAATCTTAAAATTATTTGTTTAAAAATCTGAATTTCATCAAATAACCCTGGAAGTAACTCTCAAAATGAAATAAATTTCCAGAAACTTTTTACCATCCATGCAGAACTAAAGAAAGTATTCTTTCAATTATGCCAATTTACGTGTGATAAGTAAATGGCAAGAAACTCTGTGAAAATGTGCAATGCTTTTCTGACGTCTGCATAAAACGTGATGGAGGGGGCTCTTGAAGTAAATCAGTTTCTAGTTCCCCTAAGTGATAACGACAAGAGGTAGACAACCCTAGAATTAAGAACTTTGAATCACTGACCCCTGAAGAATTCACTGATACCTGAAGAATTCACAGAGCCTAGCCCATTTACCATGTTAGTCTCCAAAGCCCTGACGTGACCTATCCGAGGTCAGGGCAGCAGCCAGAGGACCTCCCTGGGCTGTTTGGAGTTTTGCAGACAGTCCTGCAGGTCTTTCTAAAGCTCAAAGTTATCCTACATTCCTCTGTGAGGGGACTGAGTCCAGTCACAGTCTCAAAGTTTACAATTGTTTGTTTTGATCATATTTCTGGTGCTTACATGAAATTAATTTAAAAAGTACCGGAAAGTAACCCACAAATTTAGGTTTCCAAAGAACTGTACAGAAACTATTATGTTTCAATCAACAAATCACTGGAAGTTGGGAGTTTTACGAAGCACTCTGTTACATCAAAGCTGATGCTGCCCGAGCCCTGTTTTCTCCACGCCAGCCTCTCTCCTGCCTCCCGCCGAGGGCACTGCCACAGAGCAGCTTCCTCAGTGCTTTGACCTCAGCTGGTTTGTGCGGCCCAGCAGCAAGCCTTTATCTGGGGAATCTCCAGCTGTCAGAGCACCAGCCCTGGACACAGCAAATGCGTGCCAGAAGAACCAGCTGACCTACATACTCTAAAAGCAATGTGAGGGTTCTGATGTGTCAAGCCATTAAAAAGCCCTGTTTTCCATAACTTAGCCTTTCCCAGTCCTCACCATGGGCTGTTGAAATCTCTTCTTGCTCCAAACACCAGTAGCCACGTTTGCCTCTCCCGTCTTTCCAGGAGAATCTGCTGCATGTGGTAGGTTGTTAGACATTCTCCTCCCACCGTCAGCCAGCGAGCCCCTCAGTGCAGCAGTGAGATTCTGCTCGCCTCTCGACATCTTTCTGTGTCAAATACGAGGCCCTGAGTCAACAAATACCAACTGACTTGAATTTTACTTAAAAACAAGCAGGCCAGGTGTGGTGGCTCAAGCCTATAATCCCAGCACTTTGGGAGGCCTTGGTGAGCAGATCACCAGAGGTCAGGAGTTCGTAGACCATCTTGGCCAATATGGTGAAATCCCGTCTTGAGAATCGCTTGAACCTGGGAGGCAGAGGTTGCAGTGAGCTGAGATGGTGCCATTGCACTCCAGCCTGGGCAACAAGAGTGAAACTCCACCTCAAAAAATAAGTAAATAAATAAAAACAGGCCAACTCTTGACTGACCCAAGGTGAACCCACTCGTTCCTTTTCCACTCCCAATATCTTCCCTAACTCTCAACATTCCATGCTCCTCAGTTCTGGAAAACAGAGCCAAAAAGAAAAAAACTCAACCTTAGGAATAAGCAGAGGTGCCTCTGAGCTCAGAGGTCTAAAAAGAAAGTCACAAAAATGTGTAATATATCCAAGTAGAAAAGAGCCACTTTCATTCTGTGTTGGAAATACAAACATATAAACACACGCTTGAATTTATCTTGTGTTAGACAAACGGAAGTGCACACAGATCAGTGTTTGTGAACATATCAACCTCACTAGGTCTGAGACTTGAGCCAGGAATTCAGCGTCACAGCTGCATCTGAGGGAACCGCCCCACTGCTCACCTCCATCTAAATGAGTGTCCTGCTAACCGCAGGGCTGGAGCCACTTCAACCTGGGCAGGCTCAGATTTTCAGTTCAATCTGCACCAGCCATACCAAGAAATCATCACACTTTCCTCTTGAGAATGTGGATCGGTGGCCAACTAGTCTTACCTGGAAAAAAATATTTTAATATCTTTTATGTTTGAGTGATCAGGAGAGGCAAGGATAGGGCGATTCTAACAGTGAGGGCAAGAAGATTGCCTGGTGCATTCAGTAGCTCGTTCCTTTCCTTCATTCTCATTTGAAGGGAGCTTTTTAGATGGAGCAATAATGTATTTCCCATAGCCTTTTCAAGTTTCCATCCCGACTGATGGAATTTAAGGTGTTAAAAAGCATCCTCTAATGGTTAAAACATCACTGAGATCAGAGCACAAATTACCACTTCTGCCTGGAAGGGATAGCTGTGTTTAACCTGTAAGCCTTCAGTCCTCACCACAGGTGGGGCGGATAGACCCTCAGAGAGAGGAAAACCGCAGACATAATTGAGAACATGGTGCATACCCGTGCGGCAGGAGAAAGCTCTGTTCTTGGGATTGGCATTGCCTGAGACACAAAGAACCTCCTCGTTCATATTCTAACGACATTCACGGAAAATCAGAAGCAAAGTTGCCAGGCTGAGGAAGACTCATGGTTCAGGACTCAAAGAGAACTTCGAAACTCTCTTGAAAATAAAAATAATTCCTCATCATCGCTTAAATAATTGATATGCCCCACGCTTCGGTTGTCAGTGTTCAACATGGGAAAGCAGCGGGCACCAAAGGCAGTCTTGACCAAAGCAAGTACCCGGCCCGGGATTCCAAAACGAAGACCTGACCCCAGTGTCAGTGCAGAGCTGAGGCGGGCAAGGGTCGCTGGGGGGCCTGGCAGGGGCTGCTCCTCCCACCCCGCACCCAGAGAAGGGCCTGCCAGGCTGGGGGGTAAGGGGAGCACTGGAGACACTGGGGAGGAGCAGCATGGGGAGGGGAGAGGCGCAGCCCACCGAGGAAGCCGCCCCGTCGGGGGATGGCAGGACGGCCAGGGTGACAGTGGGGCTCCTCACAGACCAGGTGGAGTTGCCACGCGTCATTGATTATTAAATCTACGGCATTCCCAACATTCTGGCCTCTCTAGAGTCAGGCTGCTTGTTATGGACTATGGGGAGGCGGTCGTGACTGGACATCCTTGCCTCCTCACGAGTGACCTCGGCCATGCTGCCGTTACTGCCACTGAGCCATGGGCTTCGCCTGGCAGAAGCCTCAGCCCGCAGAGGAAGGGGCCTCTCAGGCACTTGAAGATCAAAAAGAAGAGCCACGGGGTGGGGCCCAGCACAGGCCCCTGGGCTGGAACCTCTGGGATAAAGACTTCTGCCCTCCGGGTGCTCCAAGGTCTTGGCCCCAAGGTAGGAACAGGTGACATGGTTGTTACCCCATAACTCCTTCGCCAGACAACCACGCCCCCCAATGCTTTCACCCATAAACCGCACCAGACAACCATGCCCCCCAGTGCTTTCACCCACAAACCGCACCAGACAACCATGCCCCCCAGTGCTTTCACCCATAAACTGCATAAGGTTTAGGAAATAAAATGTAAGTCCTGGTTGTTGGCTGAAAGCATTCGGTGGATGCCACCACGTAAGATCGAAGAAAGTGAACATCACACCTGCGAAACTGTTGTCAGGGCGGGAAGGAAACCCTGGAGGTCAGGCAGGTGCTCTAAGAAGTGTGTGTCGACCAAGCCTTCAGGGACATGGTGGACGGTGTGCAGAAACCACCCCTCACCCAAGATGGCCCAGCCTCCCAGCTTCCCAGACTGTCCCTGTTTTAGCACCGAAAGCTCCTCTGTCCCAGGCAATCCAGACGGCTGCTCACTCTGTCATCAGTGACTTTAAGGAACGAGGACAGGGTCTCCGACCATGCTTCAGGGAACCCTTCCGTTCCCACCACTACAGTTTCCTTTTTATGCATTCACAAGGATGACATCTGACAATCTGGGCCCGAATTAGCCCTTACTCCTTCTGTAAGAAAAAATGTAAAAAGTCTAAATGGTAAGAAAGATTTGACTCGATTTAATTGGCACCATTTTTTGTAATGAAATAGGAAATTGTGGTGTCCATCTCCCCATCGATGGCTCTTAGCTGCGGTCATATGTAGGACTCACTCCAATTATCAAAGTAATTGGGGCTGAGGAAGAAAAGACTCCTCCTTCAGAGCTTTCAAACTGCATTACTTTAATTGAATATTCTCCTTTAGTCCAGGAAAGGGGGCATGATAAAAATAACAAATGTATCAGAGAGGAAGAAAATTGAAGAGATTGAACAAAAGAAGGCCGAGGGGAAAAATGCATTTTCCTATAATAACAACCAAGACTAACATTAATACAGCCCTCTAAGGAAGGCACTATTACCCTCCTCATTTTATAGATAGGGAAACTGAGGCACAGAGGAAGTAAGCCATTTGCATAAAGTCCCAGGTCCGAACGAGATTGGTGTCACACACAGGCTGCCTAGAGCCAGTGCTCCCAACCCCAGGAGTTCACCCCAAATGGCCCAGAAGAAAGTGTTCTTCCCCACACCACTGGCTTTGTCCTGGAGGAGCCCCTGAGCTCACCTCAGTGGAGGTGAGCATTTGGAAACTCACCTGCTAATGGAGCTTCCAAATCAATATTCAACCAATTCAATCAATATTTGTTACAGGAGAAAGCGGAGCGAAGCTTGCAATTGTCTCTCTGTTGTGTACCAGATGCTCTCCTGACACTCCGTGCAGGCCTCACAGCCACTGTGGAGCAGATGCTGTTTGCTCTCTTTGTGTATAAACAGACTGGAGAGTTTAAATGGCCCAAATTTACAGAGGCACTGAGTGGCGGAGCTGGAATTTAAACTTAAATCCATCTTGGCAAAGCCCAGATCTTTACATCACATCAGTGGTCTTCAGCCGGGGTCTTCAAACATAGCACTCAGAGTGATGAGTGAGAAGATAATCACGTGGCCGTGCGTGGTGGCTTACACCTGTAATCTCAGCGCTTTGGGAGGCTGAGGCAGGTGGATCACCTGAGGTCAGGAGTTCAAGACCAGCCTGACCAACATGGTGAAACCCCATCTCTACTGAAAATACAAAATCAGTCAGGCATGGTGGCACATGCCTGTAGTCCCAGCTAATCGGGTGGCTGAGGCAGGAGAATGGTTTGAACCCGGGAGGCGGAGGCTGCAGTGAGCCAAGATTGCACCACTGTACTCCAGCCTGGGTGATACAGTGAGACTCCATCTCAAAAAGAAAGAAGATAATCACGTGTGTGTGCGCGGGTGTGTGTGCATGTGTGCCTGTGTGTGCGTGTGCATATGTGCTTTGTGTGTGTGCGTGTGTGTGCATTGTGTGTGCACACATGTGCGTGTGTGTGTGTGCGTGCATGTGTGTGAGAGTGCGTGTGTGTGTGTGTTCACTTCACTGGTAGTTTTTTTAAATTAGTGATTATAAAGATGAAACTTTTGATGTAAACATTTACAGTTGAAAGACATTTTAATAGACTGGCTTTTTAAAGTCAGTGTTAAATTTTTTTTTAAGTCAGTGTTTGTCAACATTGAACCCATTTTAAGCGGATTCTTACATGACTCAGCTTTGAGACTCCAGGCACCATTGCACCTGCCCCACGTGCTGAGGGCTGGCATTCAAAGACTTCTTCGAGTGTTTGTGCAGCCAGCCCCACCATGCCAGGGAGAAGACAGACACGGTGAGCATTTCCGGAGCTCCACCTCTTCGCCTTGTGGGAACACTTCATTTGGAGAATCAATAAAATCCAGCATTTTGCACCTACTTCCTTTACCAAGCCCATGCTCCGGCAATGATAGGAGAGGGTTAGCTGCTTTTGTAGAAAACTGTTTGCTTAATCAAAAACAAAAAACAACTAGATTACTAAATCACTTCGCGTCTTGCTGGGCGGCAGAATCTGTCACGGCAACGCCAATTGATTTTTTCCAGAGGGCAGATGTGTCCATTTCAGAAGCGCTGGGATTTGGTTTTGTCGCTTTCCTCTGCCCTGTGGGGGCTGTTGCTTTAGCTGCAGAAGCTGGAAGCGGGTCTAACCCATCCCTGTGGTCACGTAGCAGTCTGTGGAGTCTTGGCTCCGTGGGACCCTCTGCTTGGCGACACCTTCCTGCTTGAGGGAAGATGACCAAATTAGGAGCAGCTGCTTCCACTTCCAATATAACAATGTAGGAACATGTTCAGCCCACTGTGTTTCACGGGCTTGCAAATATCTGCCTTTGTTAAAGGAGACAGAGGGGGTCAGCCCCCTAGTGAAGTGATGTTACAGTGATGAGCTTTATGCAGTTTAACCAAATGGAAGGATGACTGGGTGAAGTATGTTGACTTAGAAATCAAACAGTTTCTCCAGGTTTACCAAGGCTCCTGAAAATGTGAGTGTTTAGCAACCATAGACATCTTTTCTCCAAAACGCCTACTTCACTGCCTTTAAAGGAGACCTCTCTTTTGAAGTCTCTGCAGCTTTTATTCTAGGTCGTCATGTAACACTGTTGGCGAGCCCTCAGGCAGGTGGGTAGGTCCTGCCTTGAATACCAGAGCTGAGCTCTGGGAGCCGGGGCAGGGGGGACCCTGGGCCCTTCTCTGGGGGAGTGGAGAGCGGCAGCCCGTGCTGTGCTGGCTATGCACTAGTCAGCACAAACCCATAAATGAGAGATTAGCCATCTGACAGCAAAGCTGAAGAATAAATCTCTGGTGTTTACAAGGACGTTTTAGAACAGTGAGTAATGCAGAAGTGTCTGCTCCTCTGAGTCAGGAAGACTGACCCGCAGGGAGCCACAGCTTACAGACACGAAAGCAAAGGACCGTTGGCAAGCACGGATCAATACTACTGCTGGGTGGGCGGCTCGTCCCCAGGTTATTTTTTTTTTTTGGCAATGCCTGGCAAGAGCTTAAAGCAGTCAGAAGAGAAGATGGCCTCATCTCTGTAAGTGCCAGAAAAAGTGCGTCAAATGAGTCAAGTTTAAAATCACACCTAAGGTATGTTTCAGGAAGTGACTGTTGTGCTTTGTAGGATGTTAGCCTCCTCTCGGTCTTCTAAACCCTTCCTCACCAGGCCACACTCCAGCTGTATGAGCTGCAGTCAGACCTCATTTTAGCCTGGGAATGAGAGGGCTGCCAGACGCTCTGATAACCTCCACCTGCCAGGGGCCACCGAAACGTGGAAATGTGGCTACTAATTCAGGATGTTTTCAGTAATTTGAGTCTGGCTTATCCTACTGTACAACATTTCCCCCTGGAACTGCCATTTTACACTGAAAAGGCTGAGGCTTAACATGGAAATGACTATGGAATTCATACCTGAAGAGAGTAGTGTATCTGAAAGTAAAGCCCAGGACTCCTGAGGGACAACATTTTCCTGGAACTCATCTCATCTGGGCGGATTCCTGGGCACTGATGCTGTTGGAGGGTGGATAAATCTCCATGACGGTGCTTCGGGATTGACAGTGATGTATGTGTTGTTAGGCCCGAGGGCTCTCTGTGCACATGGCTTAGAACATCTGGACGGTACATGCATCAAGCATCTGGGCTTCTGAGCAAGGCATACCTCCTGGTCACAAGGTGGCTGCAGCCTGCTGACCACCATGTCGGCAGCCACCCTTCCCCATCACCTTTGCCACTGCCCCGCCCTGTGCCCGTGGCCTTGCTTTTCCTCTGCCCGGGATGTCCTTTAATGCAATTGCAGGTGCTGAATGTAGACGGGAATTGCTTCCCGAAATCTCGTGACTTCACTTTGCCAAAAGGAGACAGAGGTGGAGATTATAATATCACTTCTCTAGGGAGGCTGAACCCTCTGCCTCCTCCTATAAGAAAGGCAGACATTTGCAAGCTCATGAAAGCTATTTAATTCATTTTGAGAAGTTGAATTGCTTCCTGAAGTCTCATGACTTTACTTTGCCAAAAGGCAACAGAGGTCGGCAAAAGATGAATCGTTTCTCTGTATTCAGCTGGGACAGGATGGAGGAGGAGTCCTGATTTGAAGCATTTGTCAACTTTCAGGGTGCAAATTTTTCTCTCATGACCACTTCAAGCTACCTTAACATCAGCCTCTCAAACTTCCTGAATGTTTAGCTGATAGGAGCCTGCTCCAGTGCACCTGACTTTGCACTGACCCAGGAACACAGTACTCAAAAGGCAGGATCCTCCACCTGCCAGCTGCCATGGACGGCTCCTACGAGGCAAGAACTGCAACACAGCGTGTGCACCAGGGGGATGCGAGATGCAGCAACACAGGGTGTGCACCGGGGGGATGCGAGATGCAGCAACGCAGCGTGTGCACCGGGGGATGGGAGATGCAGCAACACAGCGTGTGCACCGGGGGATGTGAGATGCAGCAACACAGCGTGTGCACCGGGGGTTGGGAGATGCAGCAACACAGCGTGTGCACCGGGGGGATGGGAGATGCAGCCTGGGTGGAGCCCGGGAACCCAGGACAGAGTCCAGAGATCGGTCTCGCCACATGAGCATTTGATAAACAAAGTCACACTCGGCTTACCGTGCGCATGGGCTGTTTGACCAACACAATCAGTGTCCTGTTTTCCTGTGAATTATCATTGAATTCTGATGACATAATTATTTTACAATCTTTTTTGTTCTAAAAATGATATTCGTCTTCAAAGAAAGCAAAATGAGATCACAAAAACATAGAAAACGCCTTCTTTATGTTGAATATCACCAAATAAAAGGCGTGCTTGGCCCTTATTTTAAACCACAAGGAGTACATGTCCAAATACTGATGGATGTTTTCACTCTGCTATATGAATTCTTCAGGAGCCGACAATGAAATTAGATCACTCCACTTCATTTGAAACATCTTTCACAGACAGCAAAGCAAACACACTGATTGTTTTTTTTTCTTAATGGAATGTATAATGTGTTTTGTTAAAATCAATTGAAAACATCTATGTTCACAACATATAACAAGACAACATGTGTTCAAAACACATGGCAAGATGTCCTTCTTCCTGCAGTGGAGCTTCTAACCAGGCTTCTTACCAGACACCTGAGTGGGAAAAGACTTTGAGGATGAGAATGAGTCACTGTGACTCTCTGGTGAACTGTGCGAGGCTGGAAGAATGTTTGGGAGTCCTGGGATCCATCTCTTGCCCAAACGCTGAGTCATTGTGAGGCTCTGGAAAAGGGGGCACACATGCCCCCCTGTCTAGTTTCTCCATCTTCTGATGGGCCATGGTCATCTCTGTTCATGCAGGTTAAGGAGCGGAAGGTGGTGCGCTACAGAAAATCCCCAAAGCTCACTGAAACTGGAGGCCCCGCCACCCATGACTGTTGTCAGGGGCCTGGACAAGGGAAGCTACTAAGGTGAGGACACAGCCCACTCTGAGCCTGATTCCCAAAAGGGCTTGGCTTCTGTAGGACTTAATCATTGGAGGGAGTAACACAGTGGCAGCGATACCCCAGACCTGTGAGAAAGAAAAGAAAATGCCTCTGTCTGTGGCTTCCCCAACTTCCCACAGAGGTTGCAGTCATGCAGATGAACAGCTCAGCATGTCAGTACCCGCTTTGAAGAAATGGGAAGAGTTCTTGCATCTGAAAATCACCCAGTCCCCCAGTTACCATTGCACTGGCCCACCATGCAAACCCTGCAGTTACCATCAAACTGGCCTGCTATGAAAAATCCCCAGTTACCATCGCACTGGCCCGACATGCAAATCCCCCAGAAACCATCCAGCTGGCCTGCCATGCAAATCCCCCAGTGACCATGCACTGGCCGGCCATGCTGTCCCATCCTTCTGCCTTGTGCATGCCCACACTCGCCTGCTGTGACTTTTTCAGCCACAGGTGCTGCCCTGTGCACACACACTCACACGCTATAACTTTCTCATTCATGGATGCTGCCTACACACTCTGCACTGTGTTGAATGAAGTTTAGCCTAAAGCTGCCTTCTTACACATTTTACATTTGGCCTGAAGGTTTCTGTGTACACAGCGAACTGTCACCTAACTGGACATGGAAACAGACCTAACCCACTCTTGTACCAATCACAGAGTTTCAGCCAATCACAGGCAGCAAACTGTTCGAACTGTGTTCAAAAGGGCAAACACTGAGCTGTAACTGACCAGCTGTTTCTGTCCTTCCTCTCTGTTTTCTGTGCCTCACTTTGCTTTTTTGTCCATAAATTTCTTTCCACCCCAAGGCAGTGCCAGAGTCTCTCTGAGCCTATTCTTGATCAGGGGCTGCCTGATTGGTGAAGCATTTTTGCTCAATTACTCTCTTAAATTTAATTTGTCTATGATTTTTCTTTTCTTTTTTTTGAGACTGAGTCTCACTCCATTGCCCAGGCTGGAGTGCAGTGGCACTAATCACAGCTCACTGCAGCCTCGACTTCCCTGGCTCAGGCGATCCTCCCAACTCAGCCTCCCAAGTAGCTGGGACTACAGGCGTGTACCACCACACCACGATAATGCTTTTTTAAAAAAAATTTTGGAGAGACAGGGTTTTGCCGTGTTGCCAAGCTGGTCTCAAACTCCTGGGTTCAAGCAGTCCTCCCACCTCAGCCTCCCAGAGTGCCAGGATTACAGGCATGAGCCACCGTGCCTGGCCTTGTCCAAGGTTTTTCTTTTAACAGTTGTCTCACAGACATAACACCCATAATTAGGAACATCATTCTGAAGCATAAAATCCAATTATATGAAGTGAAACTTAATTGGAAATAAGACGTTCATTATAATCTCACTGGGATAGTCTGGGCTTTTTTACAACGTGCGGTTTATGTGCTTAGGAGGCCATATTTTTTCTTTTTCTTTTAAACAACCTGCTCATCACTAACAGGAGGGGCCAGAACCGCTGTGGTGAGAACCGTGTCACGAGGGAGAGATGCTTCATTTTTCCACTAGAACGAAGTTCTCAAGAGAAACCACATTCACTGCCGTCTAATCCACGAGCACACGTGTCATTTCATTGTTGTAGGTTCACCCCTGCAGATGATCAGCTTAACACTTTGCTGAAAGGCCCTGTTTTACGTACATATCAATGGTGCCTCTGTGGAAACAAGTCTAAAATATTTGTAAGAATTTAAAATATACTGCATTGCACTAGCAAAGCCTAGTTATCATGGCAGTGACTTTTGTTCTGACGGGCAAAGAAAGAGACTTAGACATCAAAGTGTAAGTTGGATCCTTACCTAATGTGCTCCCTTTAAGTAGTTCTCCCAGCTGTGAGCAGGAGCTACACACTGTCCATTCACTAGAATCGCTGTCTTCAAGGATGGCCCTAAAAGCTGGTCACTTGCAGAGGTTCATAGAGCATCTGTTCCAAAGCTCAAGGTCAGGAACTCACTTCTTCAAAGCTGAAATGCTCTGTCTAGTGCTCTGTGGTCTTCGGGCTATTCATTAGCAAGCTCACGCTGTTCTGTGGGGCCAGGGCTGGGTGTTTCCTCTTCAGTGTCGTTTAACCCTGCTGGGTTTCAAGATCCTCACCTAGAAAATGAAGGAGTCATTTTACGTGGTCTCTAGGATTCCTCCTACCACAATTTGATGAAGTTAAAATTCTGTCTGAGAAAATGCAACTGGTGGTACCTGAGACAGGCAGCAGGTCATGATCGTGGAGCTGGGGTGACACATGAACACCAGTGTGTTTTCTGGCACGGAGCGGGCCTCGGTAAGCAGGCCGAGGATGGGGAGAAGAGACACAAAACCTCCCTCGACACGCTCCTGCCGCTGGCGCTTCTGCCAGCTGAAGAGAGGGCATCGCCTCTGGCAACAACACCTGTGATTTCAGGGATGCTCCTGAAAAGATAACCCCAAGAACCTCATCAAGTAATCCGAGCAACTCTGCCAGGAAAACTGCAAAGAAGAGAAAGCAACCCACAAGACGGCAGTGGAGCCCGAAGACCCTCCAACGTGCGTTAGAAAGCTTTCAGCTTGGGGTCCCCACATAGCTGTAAATTCTCTGCTTGTCGTGCTTCCCATCTGAGGTCATAAAATCCCAGGATGAAAGCCAGAGCTTTGATTGATTGCCAAGCTGAGATGATGTGGAATTCAGTAAGAGAGAAAACATTCCTTTCCTTGCCCTAAACGTCCAGGGCAGGACAAATATTTATAAGATTTAGCACTTAACCCATTTCCATGGCTCAAGATGCATTATTATGTCTGTCCCAAGTAAGACCACATGTTGCTTTGTGACATTACTAAATCGTGGGAGCCCTATGAAGCTGAAGTTTAAGGAGAGACGATGACCCATGTCGTTGGTGTGAAATGATGTGACCCACTATATGTTGCATGGTCTAGACCCCAAATCCAAGGCCTAATTCACCATTCACCTCCATTCTGGTTTGCCTGGAAGCTCTCTGCCAAGCAACAGAGCAGGAACGAGGCAGCGTTCCCTGCCTCCACTTCCCAGTCTGTAGAGAAGGAGGCCACATGTTATCATAGCCCACCTGCCTTTGAGTCTCTACACTTTGTTGTTATTTCAGACAAATTCTGCAATAAACATCTCTGTGCAAATGGGCTGAGTTGCTGAGTCAAAGAGCAAAAGCGTTCATCATTCTAAAAGATACTGCCAATTGAGCTCCAAATATTAGGCCAATTTACCCTCCCCCAATGGTAAATGAGAGTCCCTTCTTGCACCTCCCCTCGCCAGTTATGGGAAGGGTTTACCTCTCTACCAATGGATGCATGAAGACTGACTTGACGTCATTTGAACAAACTATCCTTAATCATGTGAGGTTCAGTATATTTTTAAATATTTAATGGCTCTTCGTCTCTTTCTCTGTATCTTTGGCCATTTTTCAATATTTCATTCCTTATTAATATGTATGTGTATTGGAATCATAAGTCTTTTATTTTCTTATTTGTTAAAATATCTTTTGCTAGTTGAATGTTTGTGTTTGACTTTGTTTACACACTTCTTCCTGTCAGGAATGTTTTTATTTTTATATGGTAAATGTTGTCAACTTTTTCTTTTATGTTTTTTGGGATTTGGGTCATACCTTCCCTACCCCAATATTAATCGTATATTTTTGTTTTCCTTCTAGGATTTTATGGTTTCATTGTTAAAAGTTACACCGTGATCCAGTCAGACTTAGTTTTGGTGCAAGGAATGAAGTATGCTGAGGTGTTATCGGAACTTATAACATTTACTTCCTGCAGTTGTAAGAGTGTCAAGAAAACTGTGAGTTTTTGAAAGGAAAAAACCAAGAAACTACAGATTTTCTATGATAGATTTTTTTCCCTTTTAATCAACTCAGAGAACTCAATGAACAATTCCCTCCTGCTAAGAAAAGTCCTGTCTACACGGTACCCTGGGAGGTGCGGGTCACCCGTGTATGGGACTCAGAGCTGTGCCTGGGCAGGGATCTCCGCCCACATGGCACCCAGGGCATGACAGAGGCCTCAAGACGCCCCCTCCTCAACTCGACGTCCAGCCGTGCCTCAGGGTGCCATCTGCAGGCTCAGACTGCCACCTGCTGTGTGCACAGGCAAAACAAGCCGAACCAAAACAGGTTTCGCCTAGAACACCTTTGACTATAGATAGAAATCATCACTACCTCTAAGGTTTTTTTCTGCTTTAATTTTTTTGCAGTAAGAACACTTAGCATGGGCTCAACCCTCCTCACGTAACTGTAAGTGTTGACCTCACGGTGCTGTTCGCTCTGGGGACAACGTTGCACAGCAGATCGCAGAGCGTGTGCACTCGCGTCCCTGACACTCACTCCCACGGAACAGCAGACCCTCTCCTCCCTGCCCCTGCCTGGCTCCCGCCACTCCACGGCTGCCTCTGTGGCTCCGGGGACTCTAGGGGCCTCACGCAAGAGGAATCACACAGTGTTGGTCTGTTTGTGATTGGCGCATTTCAGCAAGCAGAACGTCCTCAAGGTTCACCTCTGCAGGTGACATGGGTGAGAACGGCCTTCCCTTTTAAGGTCGAAGCATATTGCATTCTCTGTCTGAACGTTTTCTTGATCTATTCATCTGTTGACACAGGTTGATTCTGTATCTTGGCCACTGTGAGCAGTCCCACATTGCACATGGGAGTGCAGACATCTTTCTGAGATCCTGATTCCCATTTTTTGGATAAATTGGAACCTTTGCACACTGTTGATGAAGCCACTGTAGGGAGGGCGATATGGAGGTTCCTCAAAAAATTAAAAACAGAGCTAACAAATGATCCAGAAACTCCATTTTTTGTATTTTGAAACCTACAATGTGCCAGGCACTGTGGTAAAAACTCTCCCGGCTCCACAGCAACCTCTGTAGGTGGGTTCAATGGGGACCCAGCTCGGAGTCCTCAGAGACTTTCTGTGATGCCACAAAACCCTGTATTTTAACATTTAACACCATGTCAAAGGACACAGAGATCCCATTCAGAAATGGAAATGCTGGGGAGAAAATCGATGTTTGAGTGAATCTTGCCACCAAGAGGAATATCACCCTGTGTCAGATGAGCACGTGCCCCACCCAAGTGTAAGGACAGATGCGCAGGTATTAATTCTCCCATCAATTCCTCATCGCTCAGTTCTGCGTCCAATCTGCTGTGAGACTGAGATGTTTTAAATATCCTCAGAGAGAGGCTCACAGTCCCATCATCTGCTAATCCCCAGCAAGCCTTCCCTCCTTACGCTGCGATTAAGTGCACGGTGCTGATGACAATGGAAATGACGTTGGTGACAAAGTCGGCTTCTGTTCATTGAGTGCTCTCACAACCAGCCGACATATACTGTGTCATTTAAACCTCGTAACATCCCTATGAAGGAGGTGGCCCTGTGATTCTCTTCATTTTACCAATGAGGAAACTGCCGTAAAGAAATTAAGACCTTTACCCTGAGATACACACATCTAGGAGTGACCGCAAGAGGTTAGCCATTTTAATCATTCCTTTGCCACATTTAATCCTGGACATCTTATACTTTCCATAGATGTGTGGCTCAGAGAATAATGAGGCTTCAAATATTAAGCCAATGAAGAAATTATGGAAGATATTTTTTCAAAGCAAGGCAAAAATTACAGAATGCCCCTCAAAGCCGAATGTGAAAGGCATTCTTACTTCTGTTACTTAGGGTGATTCACGCATTGTTCTCCTTCAGAAGAGATATTTGGAATTTCGTTCTAGAATGCTTCCCTAGTCTTCTCCCCATTTCAAAGCGCAGCACATAACACGTTTCTTAGTTCCACACCCCCTTCAGTGTGAGAGGTTTATAGTGCTATGTCTCATCTACATCCGCCACTCCATCTGGTCAGGAGAAGCCACTGCGTTTGAGGTGATTTGTTTCAACAGCCGTGGGAAATGCATCCAGCAGGGCCAGGTCCGGGTGGGGCTGGGGCCAGCGGCTGCTCCATGTTCCCCCGGTGATTCTGAGATTCCACGTGGAGACTCCAGGGCTGGGAGACCTCTAAGCCTGTGTTAAACTTGTATGATCCGTGTCATTTGGAAAGGAACATGATACTCTCGACTTGGAGACGAAAAAGCACCTATGACAGGAACCCGTTTTTGGAATCTGTATTTCTATCACATCACTTTTTTTTTTTTTTTTAGATGGAGTCTCACTCTGTCACCCACCCAGGATGGAGTGCAGTGGTGCGATCTTGGCTCACTGAAACCTCTGCCTCCCGGGTTCAAGTGATTCTCCTGACTCAGCCTCCTGAGTAGCTGGGACTACAGGCATGTGTCACCACACCCAGCTAATTTTTGTATTTTTCTATTTTTAGTGGAGACGGGGTTTCTCCATGTTGGCCAGGCTGGTCTCAAACTCCTGACCTCGTATCACGTCACTTTTGACTTATGTTGTTTGTGTTTCTCTCACCTCTTGCTAGGCTCCTGAACTCTGAAGTCGGCAAGACTTCACATGTGGTCTGTGCATGTGCTTCAGATGCAGTCGGCACTCACCACATGCGTGTTCAACATGACAAATATTAGTTTAGTGTCTACCACAGGCTGAGCATCCTGAAAATTCAAAATCCGAAATGCTCAAAATCCCAAAATTTTGTAGCACAGATATGCCGCCACAAGCAAAGAATTCTGCATTGTCTTCATGTGACAGGTCACAGTCAAAACACAGGTGCAAAACACACCGTTTATTCAGCAAGGGGGCTCCAGCGTATGGTCACCTTTTAACCAAGCCCAGCACTGTTGGTGGATACTGAAGATGCCGCTGTTCCCTGCAGCTGCTGTCTGATGGCTGATGCCACCATGCTGCTACTAACCCTGGACTCGTTACTCTTCACTGTTTTAATGGGATGGAGTGTTCCTTACTGTCACGTACTCTGTGTAAGTAAGCGTGAGGAAAGGACTGCTTATTGGTAGCAGATAAATTCAGAGCCAGGAGAGATGGTGATGTGAAATATTCCCAGCTTATCCGTATATGTGGCTGAGATAGTGGCACCTTTGCTTCCTGATGGTTTGATGTACATGAATTTTGTTTTATGTCTCAAATGATGTAAAATGTATAAATTTACCTCTAGGCTATGTGTATAAGGTGTACATGAAGCATGCATTTGGGCTATGTGTACACGGCGTACATGAAGCATGCATGAATTTCATGTTTAGACTTGTGCTGGACCCTCAAGATATTTTACTATGTATATGCAAATATTTCAAAAGTCTGAAAAAACTCTGAAATCTGAAACACTTCTGGTCCCAAGCATTTTGAATTAGAAGTTCTCAGTCTGTATGAGGCAGGATTGGAAGAATGAGTCCCGGATATTCTGCACACCATTTGGGAAACCTGATCTTCCACGATAGAAACCACCTCCCTGAGTCTGCGTGAACCTCTGGTAGAAAATGTATAGAGGAAGAAAAATAGATGCAGTGCTTTTCACATGCGGTTATCAAAGCTTCCATCCAGTCCACCCAGAGAAAGTGGGCAGTCCTGCCTGGGAACGCCCATCACAGCCACTCCAAAAGAGCTCAGTTTCCTGCTGCCCACATGTTCCCAAGAGCCAATGTTCTCCAGCCCCTAGAATCTTTAATTAGGCTCTCTAGATTGTCACAGGAAGAGTGATTAGTGGAGCCACCTCCCAAAAGGTTCCCAGTTCTCAGTGGGAATCCAATACTGTATATTTACATTTGGGGTGGGAAGGAGATTAGGTTAACCTCCTTTGATATTTTCACTTAATCTTCAAAGCAATCACAATATTATTAGATCATTCTCAAGATCACTGCTTTGCTGTTCTATTTAATCCAAGCAATTTGATTAATGGAAGGGTTTAGGATGGTCTAGGGCCTGCTGTGAGCCAGGCTGTTCATTTAGCGAGTGGAGCCATAATGGATATGCCTGCCAGGACCGAAGCCCTGGGGACACTTCCTCTCTTCTCATTTCCAAAGCAGGACTTCTCAATCCTGTTTGGATTATTAACTAGACACGAGTCTTTTATGGAGTTGATATTTTTTGCATATTCAGAAAAAATGGATCACCGTTGGGGGCTGCATTGCTGTCAGGAAGGTGCAGAATGAGGCCACTGCCGTCAGGAAGGTGCAGAATGAGGCCACTGCCATCAGGAGGTGCAGAATGAGGCCACTGCCATCAGGAAGGTGTAGAATGAGGCCACTCAGGTGTCCTCAGGCATCTTTCCTTGGCACCGTGGTGAACCTGCCCTTGAATAGACCCACATCTGAGATCAAGGCTGCTCCAGCTCAGCCTGATCATGTTGGGCAAAAGCCCCAGCCCAGCTGGAAACTCCACACTTTCCAGAGCTGTCTCAGCACAAGAGCACCGCCCTGAGGCAGGAGAGTTGCTTGAACCTGGGAGGTGGAGGTTGTAGTGAGCCAAGATCATGCCACTGCACTCCAGCCTGGGCAACAGAGCAAGACCCTGTCTTAGGATAAAAAACAAAACAAAAAAAAAACAACAAGTGCCCTGTTGAAGGACGTGGTCCAAGTAGGAGCCATTACCTACTGACAGAGGAGCCGTTGGGCCCTGAAGGAGCGGTAGAGATACCCAGGAGTTTCAGGCCTTGGGTGAGACTCAGAGACGTGCTGGCTTCAGGTGTGACCTGGCACATTCCCAGCTGTGGTGGCTACAGGGCAAGACTCCTTCTGCTTGAGAAAAACAGAGAAAAAATAAAGGGGACTTTGTCTTGCACCTTAGGTCCCAGCTCAGCCACAGTGGGACAGAGCACCAAGCGGGCTCTTGGGGTCTCAATTCCAGGCCTTGGCTCTCAGGCAGCATTTCTGGACCTGTCCTGGGCCAGAGGGGAGCCCCCTGCCTGAAAGGGTGAGTGCCAGGCCAGGCAGCATTCACCACAAGCTGACTGAAGAGTTCCTGGGCTTGAAGGGAGCACTGGCAGCGGCCTGGCAGTATTCCCGTGGGTCTGTGGTCGTGGTGGCCATAGGATGCAGTTTCTCTCCCTGCAGAAAGGGCAAAGAAGAGGGGGAAGAACTGCATCTTGTGTTCTGAGTGTCAGCTCAGCCACGGCAGAATACAACGCCAGGTAGACTTCTAAGGTTTTCTGTTCCAATCCCTGGCTCCTGGATAGCATCTCTGGATCTGCCCGGGGCCTGGGAGAACTCATTGCCCTGAAGGGAAGGACACAAGCCTGCCTGGCTTCACCACCTGCCGATTGCAGAGCCGTAAGACCTTGAGCAAACATAGGCAGTAGCCAGATAGTGGTTATAACAGGCCTTGGGCAAAACCCAGTGCTGTGCTGGCTTAAGGTCTGACCCAGTGCCGTCCCAGTGGTGGTAGCCATAGGGGTGCTTGTGTCACCCTCCTCCCAGCTCCAGGTGCCTCAGCACAGAGACAGAGAGACTCCATTTGTTTGGGAGAAAGTAAGAGAAGAGAATAAGAGTCTCTGCCCTGGTAACCAGAGAGTTCTTCCAGATCTTATCCAAGACCACAAAGGCAGTACCTTTGTTGTCTCTAGACAACAAAGTCTATAATAAATACCTATCTCTTCAATGCCCAGACACCAATGAACGTTCACAGGCATCAAGACCATCCAAGAAAACGTGACCTCACCAAACAAACTAAATAAGCCACCAGGGACCTATTCCGGAGAAACAGATATGTGACCTTTTAGAGAAAGAATTCAAAATAGCTGTTTTGAGGAAACTCAAAGAAATTTGAGATAACACAGAGAAGGAACTCATAATTCTATCAGGCAAATTTAGCAAAGGGATTGAAATAACTAAAATTATTAAAAAGATTCAAGCAGAAAATCTGGAGTTGAAAAATTCAATTGACATACTGAAGAATGTGTCAGAGTCTCTTTACAGCAGAATCAATCAACCAGAAGAAAGAATTAGTGAGCTTGAAGCAGACTATTTGAAAATACACAGTCAGAGGAAACCAAATAAAAGAACAAAGAAGAATGAAGCATGCCTACAAGATTTAGAAAATAGCCTCAAAAGAGAACATCTAAGAGTCGTTGGCCTTAAAGAGGAGGTAAAGAAAGAGACAGGAGTAGAAAGTTTATTCAAAGAGATAATAACAGAGAAATTCCTAGACCTAGAGAAAGATATCAATGTCCAAATACAAGAAAGTTATAGAACACTAACCAGATTTAACCTAAAGACTACCTCAAGGCATTTAAGAATCAAACTCTCCAAGGTCAAGGATAAAGAAAGGACCCTAAAAGCAGCAGAGAAAAGAAACAAATAACATACAATGGAGCTCCAATGCATCTGGCAGCAGACTTTTTAGTGGAAACCTTACAGGCCAGGAGAGAGTGGCATGACATATTTAAAATGCTGAAAGAAAAAGATTCTACCTTAGAACAGTATGTCCAGCAAAAACGTCCTCTAAACGTGAAGGAGAAATAAAGACTTTCCCAGACAAACAAAAGCTGAGGGATTTCATTAATACCAGACCTGTCCTACAAGACATACTAAAGGGAATAATTCAATCAGAAAGAAAAGGATGTTAATGAGCAATAAGAAATCACCTGAAGGTACAAAACTTAGTGGTAATAGTAAGTAAACAGAAAAACACAGAATATTATACCACCGTAACTGTGGTCTCATCTTAAGTAGAAAGACTAAAAAATAGATCAACCAAAAATCATAACTACAACAACTTTTCAAGACATAGACCAGACAGTAAGATATAAATAGAAACAATGAAAAGTTAAAAAGTAGGGAACAAGATTAAAGTGTGGAGTTCTTATTAGCTTTCTTTTTGCTTGTTAGTTTGTTTGTTAATGAAAGCAGTGCTAAGTTGTTATCGGCTTAAAATAATGGGTTATAAGATATCAAGCCTCATGGTAATCACAAATCAAAAAACATACCACAGATACACAAAAAATAAAAAGAAAGAAATTAAATTATACCACCAGAGAAAGTCACCTTCATTAAAAGGAAGACAGGAAGGAACGAAAGAAGGAAAAGAAACTACAGAGGAGAAAACAAGAAAGAAATGAAACAGAAAACAATGAAATGGCAGGAGTAAGCTCTTTCTTATCAATAATAACATTAAATGGAAATGGATTAAACTCTCCAATCAAAAGACATAGATTGGCTGAATGGATAACAAAAACAAGACCTGATGATCTGTGGCCTGAAAAAAAAAAAACACACTTCACCTATAAAGACACACACAGACTAAAAATAAATGGATGGAAAAAGATATTCTGTGTCAATGGAAACCAAAAAAGAGCAAGAGTAGTTATACTTACATGAAATACCGGGTATATTTTGAGACAAAAACTATAAGAAGAGACAAAGAAAGTCATTACATAATGACAAAGGGGTCAATTCAGCAAGAAAATATAATAATTTTAAATATATAGGCACCCAACTATGGAGTACCCAGATATATAAAGCAAATATTATTAGAGATAAAGAGAGATAGATCCCAATACAATAATACCTGGAGACTTCAATACCTCTCATCCATCATTGGATAGATCTTCCTGACAGAAAATCAATAAAGAAAACATTGGACTTAATCTGCACTAAAGACCAAATAGATCTAATAGATATTAACAGAACATTTCATCCAAAGGCTGCAGAATACACATTATTTTCCTCAACACATGGATCAGTCTCAAGGATAGATCATGTGTTAGGTCACAAAACAAGTCTTAAAACATTAATAAAAAAGGAAATAATATCAAGCATCTTCTCTCTGATGATAATGGACAAAAAAAAATAGAAATCAATACAAGAGGAACTTGGGAAACTATACAAACACATGGAAATTATACAAACACCATATGCTTCTGAATGACCAGGGAGTCAATAAAGAGGTAAGAAGGAAATTCAATAATTCATTCCTTGAAACAAATGATAATGGAAACCCAATATGCCAAAACCTTTGGGAAACAGCAAAAGCAATACTAACAGGGAAGTTTATAGCTATAAGTGTCTACATCAAAGAAGAAGAAAACTTTCATATAAATAACCTAACAATGCACCTTAAAAACTAGAAACGCAAGAGCAAACCAAACCCAGAGTTAGTAGAAAAGAAATAATGAAGATCAGAGCAGAAATAAATGAAATTCAAATGAAAAAAACAAGGCAAAAGATCAATGAAACTAAAAGGTGGGTCTTTGAAAAGATAAACAAATTGACAAACCTTTAACCACACAAAGAAAAAGAGAGAGAAGACCCAAATAAGAAAAATCAAAGATGAAAAATGAGACATTACAATTGATACCATGGAAATTCAAAGTATCATTAATGGCTACTATGAGCAACTATATGCCAATAAATTGGATAATCTAGAAGAAATGGATAAACTCCTAGATACATACAACCTACCAAGACTGAACCATGAAGAAATCCAAAAGCTCAACTAGCCAATAACAAGTAATGAGATTGAAGCCATAATAAAAAGTCTCCCAGAGAAGAAAAGCCCAAGATCTGATTATTTCATTCCTGAATTCTACCAAACATTTAGAGACGAACTAATACCAATCCTTCTCAAACTATTTCCAAAAAGCACAGAAGGAGGAAATACTTCCAAACTCATCATATGAGGCCAATATTACCCTAATACCAAAACCACACAGACAGATTTTAAAAAAATCTACAGGCCAATATCACTGATGAATATTTATGCAAAAATCCTCAACGAAATATTAGCAAACCAAATTCAACAACACATTAAAAAGATCATTCATCATGACCAATTGGGATTTATCCCAGGGATGCAAGAATGGTTTAGCATATGAAAATCAATCAATGTGATACATCAGATCAACAGAAAGAAGGATAAAAACCGTATGATCATTTCAATTGATGCTGAAAAAGAATTTGATATAATTCAACTTCTCTTCATGATAAAAACCCTTAAGAAATTAGGTATAGAAGAAATATACCTCAACATAACAAAAACCGTATACAACAGATCCACAGGTAGCATCATACTGATTGGGGAAAAACTGAAAGCCTTTCCTCTAAGATCTAGGTCACGGAAAGGATGCCCACTTTCACTACTGTTACTCCACATAGTACTGTAAGTCCTAGCTGGAGCAATCAGACAAGAGAAAAAAATAAAGAACATCAAAATTGGAAAGGAAGAAGTCAAATTATCCTTGTTTGCAGATGATATGACCTTATATTTGTAAGGAAAAAGAACTCCACCCAAAAACTATTAGAACTGATCAAGAAATTCAGTAAAGTTGCAGGATACAACAAAATCAACATACAAAAATCAGTAGAATTTCTATATGCTAACAGAATAATCTGAAATATAAATCAAGAAAGCAATCCTGTTTATAATAGCTACAAATAAAATTTAAATCCTAGGGATTAACTAAAGAAGTGAAAGATCTCTACAATGAAAACTATAAAACATTCACGGAAGAAACTGAAGGGGACACACAAAATTGAAGGCTATTTCATGTTCATGGATTGGAAGAATCAATATGGTTAAAATATGTATACTACCCAAAGCAATCTACAGGTTCAGTGCAATCCCTATCAAAGTATCAATGACATTCTTCACAGAAATAGAAAAAAACCTAAAATTTATATGGAATCACAAGAGACCCAGAACAGCCTGAGCTATCCTAAGTAAAAAGAACAAAACTGAAGGAATTACATTACCTGACTTCAAATTATATGATAGGACTGTGGTAATCAGAATGGTACTGGCATAAAAATAGATACATAGACCATCAGAAAAGAATACAGAACCCAGAAACAAATCCACACACCTACAAGGAACTCATTTTTGACAAAGGTGCCAAGAACATACATTGGAGAAAAGACATTCTCTTCAATAATTGGTGCTGGGAAAACTGGATATCCACATGCAGAAGAATGAAACTAGACCCCTATCTCTCACCATATGCAAAAAAAAAAAATCAAAATGAATTAAAGGCTTAAATCTAAGACCTCAAACGATGAAATTACTAAAATAAAACCTTGGGGAAATTCTCCAGGACATTGGTCTGGGCAAAAAATTCTTGAGTAATACCCCACAGCAAGGGTAACCAAAGCAAAAATGGACAAATGGGATCACATCAAGTTAAAAAGCTTTTATGCAGCAAAGGAAACAATCAACAGAGAGACAACCCACAGAATGGAAGAAAAGATTTTCAAACTACCCACCTGATAAGGGATTAATAGCCAGAATGTATAAGGAGTTCAAACAACTCTATAGGAAATAATCTAAAAATTCTATTAAAAAGTGGGCTAAAGATCTGAGTAGACATAGAAAAGAAGACATATGAATGACAAACAGGCATATCAAAAGGTGCTCAATCAACATCATTGATCATCAGAGAAATGCAGTAAAACTACAATGAGATACCATCTCACCCCAGTTAAAATGGCTTTTATCCAAAAGACAGGCAATAACAAATGCTGATGAGGATGTGAAGAAAATTGAACCCTTTTTCACTGTTGGTGGGAAAGTAAATTAGTACAACTACTTTGGAGAATAATTTGGAATTGCCTCAAAAAACTAAAAATAGAGCTGCCATAGGATCCAGCAGTCCCACTCCTAGGTATATACCCAAAACAAAGGAAATACCCAAAACAAAGGAAATCCGCATATCGAAAAGATATCTCAGCTCCCATGTTTATGGCAGCACTATTCACAATAGCCAACATTGAGAAGTAATCAAGTTGTCCATCAGCAAATGAATGAATAAAGAAAACATGGTACATATACACTATGGAGTACTATTCAGCCTTAAAAAAGAATGAGATCCTGTCATTTGCAACAATGGATGGAACTGCAAGTCATTTTTAAGTGAAATAAGCCAGGCACAGAAACACAAACTTCACCTGTTTCCACTTATCTGTGGGAGCTAAAAACTGAAGCAATTGAACTCATGGAGAGTAGAAGGATGGTTACCAGAGGCTGAGAACAGTAGTGAGAGGGTGGGGTGGTGGGGCAGGGGGAGTTGGGATGGTTAATTGGTACAAAAAATAGGAAGAGTGAATAAGGCCTAGTATTTGCTAGCACAACAAGTGACTATAGTCAATAATAATTTAATTGTACATTTAAAAATAATTAAAGGAGTATAATTGGATTGTTTGTAATACAAAGGATAAATGCTTGAGAGAATGGATACCCTCATTTACCCTGATGTGATTATTACACATTGCATGCCTGTATCAAAATATTTCACGTAACCCATAAATATATATACCTACCATGTACCCACAATCATTAAAAAATAAAAAATAAAAACAAGTGTCCTATATTCCAGGAGAGAACCCAATGTTTGAAAGAAAATAATGGAGAATATGAGACTTGAGAATTATTCCGAGCTTTGAGGCCATGTAGCTACCTGGATGCCTCAGAAGAATTCACTCTGTCGTGCAGCAATCTCTCCCATGTGTTCTCAGCATTTGGGATAGACCAGTGAGCCGAGCAGTCATATCTGCCACTTGGAGCTCCTCTCTAGCAAAGAAAGAGAAAATAAACAAAGGTGTAATAAATAAGCAAGATTATTATCAGAAATTGGCAAATAGAGTAAGAAGTGATTTTCCTGCCTTTCCTGCACAAATTGTACTTCAACATAACCAAATAACCCTGGATGATGACACTATTTCTTTTTTGAAAATTAATACCAACTAATAACGATGTTGAAGGAATAACAGAAGTAAAATATTTCCACTTCTAATTTTAAAAATATTCATTCATCTATAGATAAAACCACTGGACAATAGGTTGACACAGAGCCTCATAGCAGAGAGCTCCAGCTGTCCCAAGAGCCCAGTGCCAGCCCCAGCGTCCCTAAGAGTGGGCCCACCCAACATAGGGTGCTTCCACCCTGGCACAGGGGAAGATCACAGCCCCAACAGAAGGCGTTCTTGTCAAAATGTTCAGCCCGAGTCTCATCAAGCCTTTAGTGCTAACTTCCAGAAATCGGAGTTACAGAAATGGGGGATAGAGGAACAAGCTGAATGACCCCAAAAAAGGGAGCAAACAGAAAGACCCAGAAAGTGAGAACTTCCACAGTACAATTGACCAGTTATCAACACATGCATGGCATAAAAAAAGGAGAAAAGGGTAGGGCAGCTCGAGAGGAAAAGAGACTTGTAAGATTTCACGTTAATGCACCTGAGGGCTGTCAACATCCAGACAGTTTTCAGCCAAAGATGTGTGGAACACACTGTGGTTGAAAAATGAGTTTATTACTTCCTGTAGGAAGGGTGACCTCTCACTGGTTGGGGGTGGGAGTGTCTCAGTGAAAGGGTGTTAGAAATAACCTGTCACAGGATGGGACTTTGCTGGAGTAATTTGGGGAGGGTCTCAGGAAGATGAGGCCCTTCCCCGCTAGGTTAGGTGCTGTCAGGAAGTGGAGGCAAGTCTATGAGTTGGGGGGGCCAGTGAACCTCCTCCTAAGGAGGGCAGAGTGGAGTAAGGGTAAGGCTGGAGCCAGCACTCATTTAATCAGAGAGGAGCATTTGATGTCTGTGGGTTGCCGAGTGGCCGGGCCTCACATGGGTTTCTGTGAGCCTCTGCCCATCCACCAAAGCAGCAGGTTCAGCTGGGAGCTCCGGGGCAGCTCCTGGGTGCTTCCAGCTGCTTTTGTTCTTTCTCAGCACCAAGTTTAAAAACTGAATACAATTGTTAAAAGACACTTTTAGTTCATCAAAAAAGATATATTATGGGCCGGGCACAGTGGCTCACACCTGTAATCCTAGCACTTTGGAAAGCCAAGGCGAGTGGATCACTTGACTCAGGAGTTTGAGACCAGCCTGGGCAACATGGCGAAACTTAGACTCTACCAAAAATACAAAAATAGCTGGGCATAGTGATACCTGTAATCCCAGCGGCTTGGGAGGGTGAGGCAGGAGAATTGCTTGAGGCTGGGAGGTAGAGGTTGCAGTGAGCTGAGGTCGTGCCACTGCACCCCACCCTTGGCAACAGAGTGACACTCTGTCTCAAAAAGAAAAAAAAGAAAAGAGAAGAGAAAATAAAAGGTTGATTATGGACGAATTACTAGATATAAAAGAATTGATAATGTTACCAGGTGTGATCATAGCAATTTGTTTGTACAAGAAAAAGTCCATGTCTTTTAGAGAAGCAGATGGGCACATCACAGAGCTCAGGTGCCCGACCAGCAAACGGGCACATCACAGAGCTCAGGTGCAATCCTGAAGTTGGGAAGACATCGAAATATGTGTTACAAGGGAGTAAGCAGCCCAAGCTCTGTCATGAAAGTTTCAGTCCAGCTGCATGAAGGGTTAGGAGGGGCGTGTCTCAGACAAGGTTTCCGTAAGGTCACAAGCCACAGTTGTAAAGAGTTAGAGGTTATGAAAAGAAAAGCAAATGAGCCGCACTCTCTCCTTTTAAAATCTTGACAGATGAACCTTTATAATAACAACATTTTTAAAAAGTATTTAAAGATATAGGTTTCATATAATTAAAATGTTGATAAAATATCAAAAATGACTAAATTTAGTTATTATAGCACAAATCTGAATATTTTGTTGAGCAGTTGGTGATATTTGGATAAACATGGGGGCAGATAAACATAATAATTATATATTTATTCTATACTCTTTCTTGCCTTTCTTTCAACAAATACTAATTCAGTTGCTGTAATTAAGATGTTCACACAATCTGTGTTCCATTGAGAGTAACGACAAATTAGACAGCATTTATGGAACCATTGTATTTCTAGATGGATTTTGCTAATTATCATAGAGAAACGGTGCTCTGTTGAAGCAGTAGCAATGGAATTGTCAGTGAAATTGTTAAAGCAATACAGTCAGGTGCCACCTCCTGTTTTGGTGGCGTATGGACTGCATTTAAAATGGCGGTCCCGTAAGATGATACACCGCATTTTACGGTCCCTTTCCTATGTTCAGATGCGTTTAGATACACAAGTACTTACCGTTGTGTTACAGTTGTCTACAGTGTTGAGCAGCCACACCCTGCACAAGTATGTGGCCTGGGAGCAATGGGCTGTACCGGACAGCCTAGGTGTATAGAGGGGGGCTGGGCCTCCCAGGTTTGTGTAAGCGCACTCCATGGTCTTCCCACAAAGACAAAATTGCCTAATGATTCATTTCTCAGAGCATATCCCCATTATGAAGTGACTCCTGACTGTATTTAGATTGAGAGATACACAATTTTTTAATTTTTGTGATAACTGACGTAATAATTTTGCATATTTATAGGACATAACATGGTATTTTGGTACATGTATACATTGTACAATGATCAAATCAGGGTAATTAGCATACCCATTATCTTAAACATGTATCATTTCTTTATGATGAGAACATTCAAAACCCTCTCTTCTATTTTGAAATGTACACTGTTGTTAACTTTAGCCATCCCGTCACGTGACATCAGAACTTATTCCTCCTAACTGTAGTTCTATGCCCTTGCTAATCTCTCACCACCCCCACTCCCTACAACCCTCCCCACACTCTGGTAACCACTCTTCTATCTCTCACCATCCCCACTCCCTGCAACCCTCCCCACCACCGTCCCCACTCCCTGCAACCCTCCCCACCACCGTCCCCACTCCCTGCAACCCTCCCCACCACCGTCCCCACTCCCTGCAACCCTCCCCACCACCGTCCCCACTCCCTGCAACCTTCCCCATGCTCTGGCAACCACTCTTCTACTCTCCACTTCCATGAGAACAACTTTTTAGCTTGCGCATGTGAGTCAGATCATGTGGTATTTGTCTTTCTGTACCTAGATTATTTCACATGATGCAATGTCCTTCTTGTTCATCGTGCTGCTTCAGATGACAGGAGTGGAGTCTTTTTACGGCTGAGTAGTATTCTCTTGTCTATACATATCCACCACATTATCTCTGCCCACTCCTCCAGTGTTGGACATTTGGGTTGATTTCGTGTCTTGGCCTTTGTGAGTGGTGCTGTGGTGAACGGGGGAGTACAGGTGTCTCTTTGACGTGCTGACTTGAGTGGTGCCCAGGATGTGGCCTTGTGTGGGAGAGACTGGTCTGTGAAGGAGAAGTGCGTCACTCACTCAGTCCCAATCGCCAAGCTGTACTCAGGGCCTGCCACCTGCTCTCCAGGGTCATAAACCTCCCCTAAAATAAAGTTGTAACACCACAGGGATTTCAAGGGAAGGTTGGGTCTTCCTTGCTCACACACTGCTATGCGTTGAGTGTATGTGTCCCTCCAAAATGTAGATGTTGGAACTTAAGCCCCAAGATGATGGTATTAGAAGATGGACCCCCCAGGCTGGGCGCGGTGGCTCACGCCTGCCATCCCAGCACTTTGGGAGGCCGAGGTGGGTGGATCATGAGGTCAGAAGATCAAGACCATCCTGGATAACACGGTGAAACCCTGTCTCTACTAAAAATACAAAAAAAATTAGCTGGGCCTGGTGGCGGGTGCCTGTAGTCCCAGCTACTCGGGAGGCTGAGGCAGGAGAATGGCGTGAACCTGGGAGGCGGAGCTTGCAGTGAGCCGAGATCACACCACTGCACTCCAGCCTGGGTGACAGAGCGAGATTCCATCTAAAAAATAAAAAAAGAAGATGGACCCCCCCAAAGGGGATTAGGTCATGGGGGCTCTGCCCTCATGGGTGGGATCCGTGCCCTCGTAGGAGGGCCTGAGGGAGAGAGTTCGCCCCCCTCTGCCCCTCCGCCCACTCTGATGTCAGGACACAACCACAGGTGCCAGCTCGGAAGCAAAGAAGAGCCCTCACCCCACACTGAACCTGCTGGCACCTTGATCCCGGACTTCTCAGCATCCAGAACTGTGAGAAATCAATTTCTGTTGTTTAAAAATTACCCAGTCTAATGTATTAGGAGTGGGAATGGATGGAGACATACACATCACTTACTTCACTTACTTCACTTCCCTCACACCCAACCCTGTATGACTCCCACCCCTGCATCCCCGAGTCCTGTACATACACCCAGGCTGGGCGGGCTTGACCCACTCACCCCTGCACCCCTGAGTCCCGTACATACACCCAGGCTGGGCGGGCTTGACCCATTCACCCCTGCACCCCCGAGTCCTGTACATACACACCCAGGCTGGGCGGGCTTGACCCACTCACAGTTCTGGCCCAAAGTCAGAGAAGCAGGGACTCTCAGGCTCCAGCCCTGAGATCAGGCCCAGCAGGGGGCTGCACGGTCATCACAGGGACTGATGGGGCCTGCCTGACCACCAAGTGGCTGCATCTGACGACTGGACGTCCACGCTGGAGCACCTCCTTCCAATCACCCGCCACAGGGCTCCTCTTCTGCGCCAGCATGCACACCCTCCTGCACACCCTCCTGCACACCCTCCTGCCTCCCCTGCTCTCCTTTCTGTAGGGATTTCACTTGCCTCATCGGGAGGTGAGGAATGGAGGATGTGAGCATTCTTGCAGGGACTGCTTCTGGCAGGGGGGAGCACAGCTGCAGGACCTCGCACCAAGGCCACGGCCGGCCTCTGGTTAAAAGCAGTCTGTAAACCAATTTGGGTTCTCGCCTAACCCAAACTTCTCCAGGCTTTGCCAGTGTTTAGGAACAAACACGATCGTGTGAACAGCAATCATTAGAAATGCACCTGCCCTATCCCCAGCAGCTGCAAAGCCCTCCCCTGGGTGCTCCTGGGTCCTGGGAAGTGTGGAGAGAACACGTGCAGATCAGCCCTGCAGGTGCAGACACTTCTCCAATCCCTGTGGCCTCAACCCAGTGGCTGCAATATGCATCCCTCACTCGGTCTACGTACCAGCAGCTGCAGTGTCCACCCCTCACTTGGTCCACATCCCACGTCCCAGAGCCTCGTGGGGACACAGCTGCACATTGGCCTCTGTCCAGAGTGTGCAGGAAGAGAGGAGAGTGTCCGGTTGAGGGGCTCGGCCCCTGTGACACCCTAGAGAGGTACCTGAGGCTGTGCTCCACCACACTTTCCAGGGTTCAGGGCATTTTCTAGGATGGGACTTTGTGTCACCTTCAGCCCTCTTTGCTTAGCATCCCAGCCATGTGTCCAGAGGACAGATGGGGGCTGGATTTCCACCCAATGCCTACTGGTTCAGGGGCATCTGGTCTGAGACCTCAACGTGTCACTGAGTTCTCCAGGCACGTGATACTCAGCGGCCAGCAAGGGCTTCATGGACCCAGGGGCAGCTAGCAGGGCTGTGACACCGGGAGGAGGCCATGCCTTCAGGGACTCCAGCTCTGAGTAGCCAGGAGGAACATGCAGTGGACTCCTTCACGGATGCTGGTGCAGGAAGCAGAGCTGAGAACCAGCAGGTCAGCAGGGGACAGCTCCGACAGCACAGTGAACATGTGAAACAGAGAGTCACCATTGCAGGTTCATCCGCTCTGCCTGAGGACATGAGCACGTGTCCCCAGCAATAACGTCCACTGGACCCTAGACAGGCTTTCCCAGTATTCACTATCAGATGAGAGTGTGCAGGTTAGAGTTTGCCAGCAGAAGCTGTTCTACACAGTTGAGATTTGGTTCCTTTTTTTTTTTTTTTTTTTTTTTTTTTGACACAGGGTCTTGCTATGTCACCCAGGCAATTATTATTGGAAAATTACTCTTCCTGCGGAAAATGAAACTGCAGCTTGGGTTCCACAGCCTTCTTCCCGCGCTGCCTCCAGGTCTGGGTATCTGAGTCAGAAGAACAGCTTGGCCTGCAGACCTGACCCTCTCTTAGTTGCGTGTAGGCATCTGCAGGCTTATCCAGGGGGTCAGGGGGGCCCTGAGCCTTTGGCTTCCTAGCCAGCTCCGGACGGTGGTGCTGCCGGCAGGCCCAGCGGGCTGCGCTTTCCTGACTCAGCTGCTGGATGGCGGCCTGCAGTCTGTGAGCCGCGCCGGATTGACGGCCCTGCCAGTGAGCTCCATCTGACCCCACAGCTGCTTCTTTAACTCCTTCTTTTTCAGTGACCATGCAGTATTTACAAGGCACGTTCAGAGTTTATCTTTGAGACCAATTGCAAATCAGAGCGGTTATATTTTAAATGTTTTAATTAATTCTTCTAAAGTCCCTTTTCCTGAGTTACTGTCCGTATCAAGGCAGAAAGGCACCCCAGCTCGCCTGGAATCTCAGGCATCAGACAATGGTTCTGGGACAACCCAGTAAGTGGAGAAGCACCGAACAGCCACCAGATGGCAAAGTTGATTCGACGAACAGGACCGGGCACAGGGGCCGCCAGACAGGCGACGTGACCGGCACCCTGATGTGCGCCGCATTGCTCCTGCGGCCCGGGCAGGCGTCCGATCGCCTCGCATCCCACCAGTCGTCTTATCACCAGGCGGCTCCAATGTCTCTGAGGCAAGCAAGGGGTGATTCATACTGTGCAGCTTTCAGCAAATCCTCCCAGCTTGTTCCCAAGCCCTGAGTCCCGGCGTTGAAGTTTGAGAAACAGCCGCAAAGCAGGATGAAACGGTGCAGCCCATGGGCTGGACGCGCTGATCTTACGGGGATCAGCCACGACTGGAAAACACAGACGTGCTGTTTCTCCTCAACAGGAAGCCCGATTCTGGGGAGTGCCTACAGCCCCGAGTGGGGACAGCAGTTCCAGGCGGAAGGTGCAAAGTCGCCCTCTGTGATGCAAAAGCACTGAGGTCAAACCTTAGGATCCCAGCGCAGCTTGAGGTGAAGGTCCCTGTTCCCTTCCAGCCTTGAAAGGAGAAATTCCCAGGAAGACACAGGAAACGAGTTTGCATCTTACAGGAAAAGAAGCTGAGCCACCAACAGCCAACTCCTGCTACAGAATCCTGTATCCCTCATGCATCTTTACTGAGTGCCTGCTGTATGCCAGGCAGCTTTGGCAATGGGGTTACCGTGAGCAGAACAGCCCTGGTGCCCACCACTGGGGAAGGCGAGACAGCCCACAGGTAACTCCAGGTGTGGTCAGTTCTAGGAGACAGGATGCAGGGTCAAGGACACTGAGTGGGCCCTCCTCCAGCAGCCAGGTGACCTGAACTGCAGACCTGGGGACTCAGATCAGCTGGCTGAGAAGGAGGCAGGAAGAAGGCTTTCCAGGTGGGGGGATGGGAGAGCCAGACAGAGGCCAGTGCGGCCGGAGCTTAGCAGGCAGGGAGGAGAGCAGCAGGAGCAAGGCAGGCAGAGAGACAGGGCAGACAACTATCCCTTCCTCGGACACAGGAATCTCCTAACTTCTCTCCTCCAAACTCTTCCCCAACCCACTCCTGGCCTCAGCCCCCTGCCCACCTGAACCCGCTGCTATCAAGGTCACAGTGACCTTCTCATTACAGCAGAAGCCTCTCTGTCCACATCTATGTGACCTCTGGTTACCTTCCCACTTGCTGACCATCGGCTCCTCCCCAAAACACACCTGTCTCAGCTGCCCCAGAAGATCCCACCCTCCTGCTTGCAGAAGGAACCAAGCTTCGCCTCCACCTGGAGACCCAGAGCTCCTCCCCGCTCTGCCCTGATGCCTGCACTCCGTGAGCCACTTCCATGAGCCTCCTTTCCATTTAAACGCCTTTGCTGTGAAATGGTGGCGGGAGCGTCGAGTACGAGCCGGGCACAGTGTGAGACCTCGGTCCTGACCCGGGAGCTTACGATCACAGGAGGCAGGCAATCAGCAGAGCAGCTCCCAGGCAGCATGATGGGCCCGGAGCACAGGTGGAGAAGCAGGGCAGGAAGGCTCACAGAAGGGGATGTTTGGGCTGGGTTTTAAAGGATGTGTAGGAGTTCATTGCTCACAGGAGGGGCAGTGAAGAAAAAGAAGTGGCAGGGACAGGCCCAGGGGTGTGAGACGGTGGGGGTTAGGGAGGGTGCTGTAGGAGCAACTGGGAAGATTGGGTGAAAGGCACATGGGGTCGACCTGGAGATGAGCTTTGGAGCCAGGACACAGGTCCTGAGCTGGGCTCTGGCCTCCTGTGAGAGCTGCCTCCTGTGCTCCCTCCAGCCACAACATCTCAGCAGGTCTCCTTTGAGGAGGGTGGGGCTATGGTTAGACAAGGGTGCATATCTCCCACGGACAAGGCATGATGCTATGTCTATAGGGAGCATGGCACAGCTGCTGGCACCCGGTCAGGTGCTGCTCTTCTCACAGGCACAGCCCTGCTAGCTCCCACCGCTGCTCCGCACCTCCCCTGCGCCCTGGAGCTCCTCCAGCACCGTGCTGCTGCTGAGGAGATGAACTCCCCACAGGACGGGACGGGACCCTGAGGGAATCACCTTCACTTCCCCAGCACAGGGGAGCATTACAGGTGCTCACTCACTGCCTGATGAATAAATGAAAGACGGTAGGAAGCCCTGGGGAGGCTCCAAGCTGCAGT
This sequence comes from Homo sapiens, assembly GCF_000001405.40. NCBI lineage: Eukaryota > Metazoa > Chordata > Mammalia > Primates > Hominidae > Homo > Homo sapiens. Next base: position 168,130,920 of record NC_000006.12, on the reverse strand, counting down.
GTGAGGCCCAACGTGCAGAAGTTCCCGCCAATTCCCTGCTGCCCCAGCACAGGCAGGACAGGCCCCCGCCTGCCTCTCCCCCAGCTCAGATGCTGACCTGGGGGTTAATTGCTTCGGGTCTTTGAAGTCTTTGAAGTTGAAACACCTGAGCCTGCTGTGGAGCCCAGTTAATCATGGCCCTTGTCGCTAACTGCTGTGAGCACACAGATGGCCAGATAAGAACTGGGAAGAAATGCCAGGGTCTGGGGGCTGTACATACCCCCACCTCACAGGCCTTGGCAGGTGCCGGTGGATGGTTTCCTTCAGGGAAGGCTGATCGCAGCCACGTCACCAGATGGTCCCAGCCGGGACGGCCCCTGGCGTCAATGCTGTCAGGGTTGCCAACCAGTGGTCTTCTCGTGGCCGACCGTGTGCCCCCCACACTCAGCCGCCAATATGTCCACATTTCCTGAGCCAGGTGCTTTGGGAGAGGCCATCTCCTGGGTCTCTGGCCTCGCAAGTTTCTGGGGCAAACCCTCACATGCGTCCCATCCGATCTCATTGGTCAGCCCAGGCATGCCTGCCTGGGTCAGGTTCGTGCATGGTGTGAGGGGGCAGCAGCCAGAGAGCTGGAGTCAGACCAGCCAGGGCCTGGCTGCCTGTCCTGGCTCTGGGACTTTTGGCATCATCGACGCAGGGAGGGAGCAGAGACCAGAGCTCAGCACGGGGACTGCGTCAGACACCCAGAGGCCTCCATCAAGGAGAGTGGCCAACCCCTGCTCCTCAGAACTCCAGGTTAAAGTCATCAATCAAAGCCTGACGTTCAAGAGGAAAGGGAGAGACAGTCTCTTCGCACCTGTCTCTGGGGAGAGAAGGACCCTGCCCGCAGCCTGCTGGTGGTGCCTGGGCGAGCTCTCCTTCACTCTCAGAGAGAGAGAGAGACAGAGACCCCTTCTCTCCATCAGAGGCAGACAGGGGCACCGCCTCGACGATCAGCTTCCTCAGCCAGAGCTGGGGCCACCTGGAAATGAAGCCCAGGAATTTGCTCCTCGGTATTTTCCAGGGTAGCTGTTCTTTCAACTCCTGCGACACTTAACCACGCATCACAAATAACTGATGACCACTAACGGTTGGATTGTAAAGCTGACCTGCGTGGTGGCCGGCCCTCAGCCACCCCTGACCCCCGTGGTGGCCGGCCCTCAGTGCCCCCGCTCTGTGGAATCGGTGCCCTTGTGCCACCCCCCTCATTTGGCTTTTTGACAAAAAGAATGCAGCAAAAATAGCTTTGGAGATGAAGACATGAGAGGCCCTGCCCGGCCTCTGGAACGCTGTCTTCGGGGGAGCCCATGTGCGGAAACCACCAGGCGTGAGGACGTCCAGGCAAAGGAGGAGAAAGTGCTGGTCAGGCGCGCGGAGGCAGGGGCCCAGCTGAGGCCTCAGACACTCCAACCAAGGCCTCCCCGTAGGCCTCCAGCTGGGTCAAGTGTCCAGCGACCCCAGCCCCGGCCCCGGCCGCCATCTGACCATCTGACGGCAACCACATGAAGGACCTCGAGCGAAAACCGGCCGCTGTGGCCAGACCAGCCACACACACGCTGGCAATTAATGAACCGTGTTGAAGCCGTGGCACTTGGTGGCGGTTAGAGTGCAGCCCAAGGTAACTGGAACAATGATGGATTCACTTTTCTAAAGTAAGAGGCACGTGGCAGAGTCGGAACACGCTTCCCACTGAGAGGCGAAGTCTGTGTCCCACACCCCGCTCTCCTCGTGGACAGGCCTTAGCAGCTGGCCGGTGCCCGCAGGGGAGGTGAGGCCACCTGACCTCCGAGGCCTAGGCGGGGCCGGAGAGGCCAAGTCGCTTCCACCTAGTTTCCTTCAGGTGTGGGAAGTCTGACTGCCTGGGGGCGCCAAGCGGGAGACGGCTCAGCTGGACAGGGCTCAGCTGGACAGGGCTCAGCTGGACAGGCTCGGAGCACACCGCCGCCGGCCGCCAGCCTAGACCACCAGCACTCGCGCTCAGCAGCTGTGCTCCAACCCTGCTTCTCCTCCCCTTTGTTCCCACTGCTGCTCGTCAATATGCACCGTCCTCCCACACTGTCCTCCTGCGTTTCTCTCTGAGAAGCGAGGATTATAAATGGGGCATGGGCTGAGTGGCAAACACCAGCTTCCCTAGGCCTGACATCTGCTGCAGGCAAAGCTTGTTCCAGCAGCCTCTGCACTCACATTGCACCTGGAAAACCACCCACCTACTATTCCTGCATTTTCATCTCAGAGCAAGTGGGACCAGGGAGGGGGCCTAGATTCCCCCGGACTCAGCCCCCCATGCCACCCTCTCTGTGGAGAGTTTCCCCATTTTGCCCCACCCTGGGGGTAAAGCGCCTGTGAATCCCAAGCCGGGGATGCCCCTGGGCTGCTGCTTAGAGGAGCGTCCCTTCTCCAGCAGACGGGCTCAGCCGGGCGCTTGGAGGCCAGAGGCAGGGTCACTGCTGGGGATGATGGTTCTGAGACTTCGGCTCTTGCAGGCGTCCTAATGGGAGCTCACGCTCCTCGAGAACCTCCTGTTCCCGCCACACCCCTCGGTTTCATCTAGTGCTTCTGGCTGGTCTTCCAGTCACCCTCTGCCTTCTTCCGGGCTCTCAGACACCAGGCAGCTGTCTCTGGGAATAAAGGGATCAAAAGAGCCCCCCAGCACCGCCAAGGCCGGGATCCCCAGGCTCCACACGGAGTCTGCATGGATGGCGTGTGCCCAGGGCCCCTCTAGCCATCCCTGGGGACCCTTTGCTTTTGTCACCATGGGAAGTGCCCTCTCCCACTGTGAGGCCCCGGGCATGGTCACTGCACATCAGCTGTACGATGTGGCCTTGCTGACATTTCCAATCCTCTGAGGGCCTCCCTGTGTTTTTAGGGACTAAGGTTTTATGACAAATGAAAATCCCATTGTGTCAAAATGCCCAGGAGGCACCCCGGAAAGAAACTGCTGACGAGAGAGCCGATGGGTTGACCGCAGCTGTGCAGCCACCACTGCATCTTTTAATCAACCTTCTGGAGGAGCCATTTCATAGATGAAGAAATTACAGAGGGAGGTCACTTCTCACACCTAGAAGAAGCCAGAGGCGAGACACCAGCCCAGGGCCAAGCAGCCGCAAGGAGGTCCAAGCTCCCTGCCATTGGGCCAGGGGGAATGTTGCCTGTGAGTCTGTGATGGTCCCATGCATGCACACTGCATGGCTGTCTTTGCTGGAGGCCTGGCTGTGCCGTATTGACCCTGATGAGTGTGGTGCACAGGGTGCTATGTCCCTGTCTTCACCCACTCGTGTAGCCCAGAGCCAGCGTTGGCATTTGTTGAAGGCACATTTTAATCTCCACCCAGGCCCACACTTGTGCTCCAGGGAAGCAAGCCAGCCGTCTAGAGTGACGGGCAGCTGCCTATGCACCTTGGCAGGAGGTGTTTTTAAACTTGCAATTTAAATTGTAGCTTTGCTGGAGGCCCTAACGTCAAACAAGCCCTTGGAGACACGCTTCCTTGTGAGTTCTGAAACCCTGCAGACTAGCACCCGGCCTGCATCAGCTGGGGAGTCCCTAGACCTTCCTCCACCTAAAATGGGAGCAAACAGGGGAGCAGATGAGGCCCCACCAAAGAGGAGCCCCCTTTAAGAGGTATCATCGCTCACTGCCTATCCCTCATCCCTCAGAGTGCTCTCCCAGGCCGGAACATTCCAGAGCATGCCATTGACCACCCAGCTCCCCCACTTACGCCATCTGAGAGCTAGCTGCTGTAGGAATGGGTCCTCTTTGCTCACCTTGAAAGTTCTCAGACCTCCACTGGCACTCACACCCGAAGCGAGGGAGTTAGGGAGCAAAACCACACAGGCCATCTCCCTGGAGCCTCCTGGGGGTGGGCGGTGCAGGCCTCCTGCATCTGTGCAGAGCTAACTGCACAAGGTGGGCCAGGGGGCTTAGAGCCAGTGCCTTCCGGAACAGAGCAACACACCCGTCTCCCAGGTGAGACAGGTCACTCCCAATGCAGCTCCTCAGAAGCCATGCCAGGAGCCAGCCTTGCTGCAGCCGGATTCAGGACGTCATGGCGTTTTCTGCCTGGATAACAGGCCGCTGCGTGTGCATCACACTTGGCTCATCTGTTCCCCTGTTGGACGCTCGGGTCGCTCCCACCTTTCGGCTGCTGTGAATGGTGCTGCTGTGAACACGGGGTGCAAGCATCTGTCTGCACCTCCATTTGGATGCTCGGCTCGCTCCCACCTGTCGGCTGTTGTGAATGGTGCTGCTGTGAACACGGGGTGCAAGCCTCTGCACCTCTATTTTCCATTGTTTGGGGTGCACACCTAGGAGGGGAATTACTGGATCATATGGTAACTGTATACTTAATTCTGAGGTGTTGCCAAGCTGTTTGACAGTGGCAGCTCCATTTTCTGCTCCCATCAACAATGTGTGAGGTCACCAACTTCTCCACATCCTCCTCAACTCTCGCTGTTTTCCATGTTTTTGATAAAAGCCATTCTATGCTGAATGAAACAAGCCAGACACAAAAGAACAAACACTGTGTAGTTCCACTCACACAGGCACCTGGAAGAGTCAGATTCCTAGAGATGGAAAATAGAACAGAAGTTCCCAGGGCTGCAGGAGGGGCAGGAGTCAGATCCATGGGGATGGAGCTCCTATTAAGGCTGACGAAAACGTCCTGGAAAGAGATGGCGGTGAGGGCCACGCCACACTGTGAATGTACTTAATGCCACTGAGCCGCACACATAAAACGGTCGACATGGCAAAGCGATGTACATTTCGCCACACGAGCAGAAAGTTAAAAGAAAAGTCATGCCAAGAATTCTCCACTGGCGAATTCCCTCCCTTTCCTCCTGAGCCAAGCCCACTACTCATCGTGAGTTCAGAGCTGCGTCCTTCCTAGAGGGGCCTCCCAGGGCCAGGATTGAGCTGCAGACACAAAGTCGAGAAGGCTCTGCAGCCCTGGCCTGGCTCTGCCACCCACCTTCAGATTCCAGGAAGCGTGAGGACTCCTGGGCCCAGGGATTTCGGTGAGCCGTCTGGTCACGGTGACTGGCACGTGCACTTTGATGCCCTCCGACCTGGGACTTCGCATCTTTCTCGAGTTTTTCTCAGTCAAGCCTCCTGTGCCCTGTGTGTGCCTCTGGAATCTTCCGGTCAGTCCCGCCTTTGCTTTCAATGAACCATGAAGGTGTGGCCACGCTCACCCCGGGGGGCTGGATAGGAAACTCCTATCTCAGAAAAAACACAGGGTTAGGAGGTCCTGAGAGGCAAGCGCTGTCTGGCTGTGACCTCTCCCTACCTCGCACCTGCCCCGGCGCTCACGATTCTCTCTGTGAATGTGTGCAGTGTGTCACCACTCCACCAGAGAACTGTGGGGTTCTGGGATGCTCCTAAAAGAGCCTCTTTCCCTTTTCAAGGCTTTCGGGATGTGAGAACCAGAGACAATCGGGCCAGTAAGCCAGGACCTATGTCCTCTCCCCCGGGGAGCCGCAGCCCCTGCTCAGGGAAGAGAAAGGGGAGGCGTGAATAGTGGTGGGGGGTGCTGGGCGCCGAGAGCCGTCAGGGCCTGGGACAGTGACCCCCTCCGTCCAAATAACCTGAACCTCTTGTTCACTTTCTTTCCCTCACGAATTAATGAACTCCCCTTCTATAAAGTAGGAATCCCAGTCATGGTCTCCTCTGAATACCCCAGTGTCACGTTTGGCCACCCTGCCCCTCCAAATGCTCCTCCCGCCAGCTCCAGCCACAGCCAAGGAGGCCTGAGGACTCACATGCGGCTTCGCCAAGCCAGGAGAGGCAGGGTGGATGGTCGGGGTCATCCATGGACTCCTGGCCTGCGTCTGAGGTGGGTAGTAGAAGTTCCACCAGATCACTCCGTCCCCTGGGTGAGGGAAGGGTACCCCCAAATATGTTTGGTGAGGGATGGGAGGCATTGTTTATCCCGGGGCCATTTGAACATCGGAAACCCATGCATGGAGACAGACCGGTGGAAAGCCACCCCTTTGCTTCTGCAGTTCGTGGGTCCCATGCTCTCACTGTCATCTTTGTACCATGTGAACAATGTATGACTCAGGTGAATCACTGCAGTATCATTTACATCAGCTCAAGGTGGAAATGAGCCACATGCCCATCAAATTCACAAAGATACAGACAATGCACTGACACAAACATACCGCTAAGATTGTGTTAATGCCGACAACAAGAGTATATGTTTGTGTTTCCTTATACCTGTATAAATCACCCTGGAAGGTTCAGAAGAAACTAATAAATGCGGTTATTCTAGGGATGGGGGGGCAGGTGAGGGGGGTTTCACAATGTGTATCCATTAATATCATTTTTATTTTTGAATCATGAATATATTACCTATTCAAACATTAAATTCTTTTTTAATCCTGTTAAAATAATCACCTTATACAAACTGGTTCTTTTCTGTTTGGGGCCCGTGTGGATTCTGAGGGTGAGGAAGGTGGCAATACGATCCTCGCTGGCGGAATGTGTGTGCGTAAGCTGGGGTAGGCTTATTTGTTTATCTGCATTTTTATGCAAAGCAGCTGCACATTGCCAAACCTCTGGGTTCATTTGCATAATTGAAAACCACACCATGGAGAGCATGGGGCAAAGTGTCAATAACCAGCTCACTCTCCTGTTGTGTTTCTTCTGGAAATACAATTTTCTAGAAAAACTCCATCAGATTAGGAAAAAATGCCTGAGACAACCATCAGCGTTTACACGTAGTGCTCTGAAAATCAACAGCCTCCTTATCTTTAAAGTCAACAGGCTCAGGTAAATTGCCTCAAATGCTCAATACCTGGTGAGAATAGAATGTACATATCATCCCATATATAAATACATCTATGTATCAGTATAAGTAAGTGGGTAAAACCCACAAATATAAGTGGCTGTAGCCCATAAGCAAAAGCTCTCTGGAGCCCCTGATACATTTGAAGAGGACAAAGGGATCCTGAGATCAAAAAGTTGGAGGCCTGCTAGAATAGTGGATCTCTAAGTGTGATCCAAACCCAGCAGATCAGCCTCACCTGGAAGCTCGTCAGAAAGGCAAATTCCCAGGCCCCGTCCAGCCCTCTGACCTCCCGAATCAGCCACTCTGGGGTGGGCCTAGTCATCTGCACTTTAACAGGCCCAGCAGGTGACCCTCTTGAAGGCTGAAGTTGGAGAAACACCATCCAGAGAAGCACCTCCCACACTGAACCTGATAGGAGCCCCAGGAGCGGGGGCTTGTTAGGATGATCCTGACTGGGTCTGGGGTGGACCTGAGAGTCTGCATTTCTAAGCAGCTCCCAGGGAAGCTGAGGTTGCCAGTCCTGAGACCACACTTTCAGTGGCAAAACTCATCAGTGATAAAAATCCTCCCAATTTGAAGGCGTGAAAAGACAGTTTGTAACACCTAAGAGGACTCACAAGCCCCAGTCTATAATCCCCAGATGGGTTTAATCCCTTGAGTGAATCAGGCTAAGATGAAAGCTTGGGTGAGGTTAATTCACTCCCCCTAAGGGGTAAATGAACTTAGTGATCGCTCCCCCATGCTGCTGTGCATTGGGACTGAGTGGATGGGTGACCCTGAGCCAGCAGGAGTCTGGTCTTCATTTCATTCCCTGAGTGCACCATGATGTCAGAGGGGTGAGAACACCGGGGTGCTGTCCGCTGTGATATGAGTCCATTCTCACACTGCTATGAAGAACTACCTGAGACTGGGTAATCTATAAAGAAAAGAGGTTTAATTGACTCACTGTTCTATAGGCTGTACAGGAGGCATGGCTGCGGAGGCCTCAGGAAACTTACAATCATGGTGGAAGGTGAAGGGGAAGCAGGCACATCTTCACATGGCAGCAGGGAAGAGGGCAAAGGGGTGCTATCCCCTTTCAAACAACCAGATCTCATGAGAACTCACTATCGCAAGAAGAGCATGGGGGAAACTGCCCCCATGAACCAATCACCTCCCACCAGGTCTCTCCCACAACACATGGGGATTACAATTCAGCATGAGATTTGGGTGGGGACACAGAGCCAAACAATGTCAGCTGTTGAAGAACTGGGGGCCGTCCCAAACACGGCCATGGAAGCTGGTGTGTCTCTAGGGCTCCCAGCTGGCAATGCAATCAGTGATCAGATCAGCCATCACCCTCGGACTGAGAAAGGGTAAGAGTCACCCCCAAGCACAGAAAAGGCCACAGAGTCAGGACTCAGCCATAAGCAGCGGCCAAGGGGGATCCTGGCTGCTGTGTCAAATGCGTCTCTGGACAAAGAGGGACAGCACAGGGTGCAGCATTAAGTGTTCAAATCATCCAACCAGCTCCCGCCCATCAAGAACGTTTCAAATCAGAATGACCTCAGAGAAGGGGACAGAGGTGAGCTCGTGGAGGGCACACCACGACAGTGGTCATCCTGGGTACGGAGTGTGCCAGTGAGTGGCCACGAGAGGTTAGAACCAGAACCTAGGCCCCAGGACCCTGACTGCAGCTTAATGCCACTTCCATAGTGTGACATGGTGTTTCCACGCGAGGCTTAGAAAATCCTATAAGCGGAATATGGAGTCTAAGCACAAAGTCTCCCAGACAAGGAGGTGTGGGAGATTCTTGTGATTCTCTCCCAGCCTCAACCTCTCTCCAGCCTGGCCCAACCCTCTTGACGTCCATGAAGCCATGGGTGGCCTTCAAAGCGACAGCACCAACTTGAACCGAAGCCCTCCTGAGACAGGTGGCAGTGCCGCCGCGGGACCCAGACCCAGCTGGCAACGTAAACCCTGTGTGAATCCCTGCTGGGAGGTTCGGCGATGCTTGACGCAAATGCTTCTCCTCTAAGAGATGGTTTAATTTCCAAAGACTGGGTTAAAATCATGGCCTCAGTTGGTCGCTAATGAAACTGAGACCTGTTGGAATCCTCTGCAGCACACTCGGCTTTGCATATGCATTGATCCCTTTCCTTGAGGCAGTTAACAGAGAATCTCTCTCTCTTCTCCCGTCTCCCCACTCCTTCTCCCTCTCTCCCCCTCTCCCTCCCCCTACCTCTTTCTCTCCTTCCCTCCTGCCCCTCTCCCTTTTCTACCTACCCTGCCCCTTCCTCTCTCCAACCCTTCCTGTCTATTAATCCAGATGGGGTAGGCTTATGAGGCCATTAAAAATGACCACAAATTCTCAGGGGCTTGAATCATTACAAGCTTATTTCTTGTTCAACCAAAATCTACTGTGGGGACAAGTGAAATTGGAGAAACTCATTTTTGTAGCAACCTTGGCCCCAGGTGGTTTCATCTTTCGGCTGCAGAATCTCACCGTCAGGCTTCTCCATCTAGGAAGGAAGGGGGTGCGGGTGCGGGACAGTTCTGTTCCCCTCATGGTGAACTGCATGGCCTGTCCGCTGTCAGGGGCTAAGAAGCTTCAGTTTCCAACGGATGGGAAACCACCCTGATGCAGCGGCAAGCCCAGGCTCACCACAGGCCAGCCGCCCCAAAGGTCACCACAGAAGGGTGCCCACAGATGAAGACACCCATGGTGAGACAGGCAGGAGGTGGGGCTGGTCTCTCTCTGCAGGCTCCAGGACAGAGACACCCACCTGCAGGGAGGGCTTTGTGGGAGAGCTGTGATTTTATTTGCATTTCTTAGGCAGAACACAAGTGGGCCAGAATGAACGGTGTCCACAGTTGGTGCTGAACGGGTCACAGGTTATCTGGCGACCTGAGGCCTGGTGCAGAATCTGCCCGGCCTCCCTTCACAGCACACAGATGCTCCTCTCCTTCCTGGCTGGCTTCCATTCTTACATCTCTCTCTCCTCTTACTCATTTCTTTCAGTTTCCGTGGCAGAATCGAATCATCCCAGTACTTTGGAAATACAAAGGCGGCGTCTGTCACCGGAGCTGAGGGCAGGGGCACTCAGAGGCACCCCAGGGCTCCCCTGGCCACCCACGGCCTCTGGGCTGGAGGGGAACCCAGCACCAGCACCTCAGGCAGGGCCACAGTGTCATGGCCACCCACGGCCTCTGGGGCTGGAGAGGAACTCAGCACCACCACCTCAGGCAGAGCTGCTGTGTTGTGTGCTGAGTCCCACCACCCCATTGCCCTCCCTGTCACAGTCAGCTCCAGACAGGATCTGAACAGCAGCGGGGAGGTGGGGAGGACCTGCTTGATCTGCTCCAAACCCCTCATTTGACTGATGAACAGGCAGGGCCACAGAGGCTAAGTGACGTGACCAGCTTCAGAGAGTGAGCCCCCAAGAGGGCTGGTTCTAGCACACATTGCTGGGCCCACACCCAGGTGCCTGATTCACAGGATCCAGGCTGGGGCCTGAGAATTCACATTTCTGATTGTACCTTCGTGGGTGGTGCTGTTGCTGCTGGCCTGGGACCACACCTGCCAATCACAGAACAAGAGGCCTGGGGCTCAGAACCCAGGATGCTTAACTCCTCAGCCAGTGCTCTTTCTGTTCCACAATACACGTCTTCTGATTCAGAGAACAAAAATTCTATTAATAAGTGAATTTATAGTATTAAATAAAAGGTTTAAATTTGAGTAAAGAGCCAACGTCACACTGTTTCCATAGAGGGTTTCTCAAACAAACCACTGGGGCTCACAGACTAACACTGACTGGGTGCATATTAGCCATCCTGCTAGGCGTTTTATATGCACGGTGTCACTTCAACTGCACAAAGCCTCCAGTAGGGAGGCACTGTTCCTATCTCCATTTTAAAAATAGAGAAACTGAGGCAGATAAAGTTAGCGGTACAAGAGAGTGCAGTGAGGAAGAGTGTACACTCTGGAAGCCACCACTGAAGCTTAAATCCAAGCTCCACGATTCATAAGCTTTCTTTTGATAAAAATAATGATGATGATAATGGTAGTGGTGATGGTGGTGATGATGATGGTGGAGATGATGGTGATGGTAATGATCATGATCATGATGATGGTGATGGTGAATGATAGTAATAGTGAAGATGGTGGTGAAGATGGTATGTTGAAGATCATGGTGGTGATGATGGTGATGTTGAAGATAATGGTGATGGTGGTGAAGATGATAATGGTGATAGTGAAGATGGTGGTGAAGATGGTATCTTGAAGATGATGGTGATGATAGTGATGTTGAAGATAGTGGTGATGGGGTGAAGATGATGATGGTAATAGTGAAGATGGTGGTGATGATGGTATGTTGAAGATGATGGTGGTGATGTTGGGTGATGTTGAAGTCAATGGTGACAGTGGTGAAGATAATGATGGTAGTAGTGAAGATGGTGGTGATGATGGTATGTTGAAGATGATGGTGGTAATGATGGTATGTTGAAGATGATGGTGGTAAAGATGGTATATTGAAGATGGTGGTGGTGATGATGGTGATGATTAGTGATGATACTGCTTTGAAATGAAAGCTGATGGTTACAGTTAGACACTGTGCTCCTGGGAAAACTTACTGACCAGAGGTATAAGAACATTACTGAACCTTTCCAGAAAGAATAAAATATTAGCAAAGAAGATGTCTGGACCCAGAAGCAGAGCTCTATCAGTGTTGGACATAAAGGTACCTACAAGTGACATGCGTGGTAGACAACACTAGACGACCATCAGAGGGCACATGTACATTTCCCAGTGCTTGGCTTTGCTGGTGAGAAACAGTCCAATGGATGGTTTCCACGGCAGTGGGCAGGCTTATCCTACCATCTCTGGTTGGAGCCACCTGTCTGTGCCTCAAAAGAGCTGCTCTAATTAGAGGCCAATTCCCTGACGGTGGGTAATGCAGACTGCACTACAGCATACCTGAGTCTTCTGGGCAGGTTTCAGCTGGGGTGGGAGCCATTCCTGGGTTGCCAAAGGGTGAAGTGAGCACGAAGCTGGCGACTCTCTTTGGAAGGCAGTGCAGTGCAGGAGTAGTGTGCCAGTCCACAGGCCTAAGGGAGTCAGAGGCGGCTCCCCAGACACGTTCCCATGGGCTGCTGTGAAGCTGTGGGTGCAGTCTGTCTTCGTCTGTGTTGGCTGCTGTAATAAAAAATCATGGACTGGGCAGCTTAAACAGCAGAGATTTATTTCTCACAGTGCTGGAGGCTGGAAGTCCAAGACCAAGGGGTCAGTAGATTTGGCGTCTGGGGAGGGTTGCTTCCTAGACTTTTCCTTTTTTTCCTGTCCTTTTGCTGTAACCTTGTGTGGGTGGAAGGGATGGGGGAGCCCTCTGGGTTCTCTTTCGTAAGGGCAGTCATCTCATTCACGAGGGCTCTGGCCTCATGAACGAATCCCCTCCCAAAGCCTCCACTTCCTAATACCATCCCCTTGAGGGTGAAGATTTCAATATATGAATTTTGTGGGACACAGACATTCAGCCCACAGCATAGTCCTAGGTTAATTTACAGATACCTATTTAATACACGATGAGATTATTTAAAGTGGAAGCTGATGTTACAACAATGATAGTATTACAATGAGAAAATATAGAGATAGCAAAGTGCGTATTTATTTTGCAGGCCAGGAAAAGAAGCAGGCCTGCTCATATGGCATCTAAGCCACCAAAATCGCAAGCAGGCGCAGGCATGCCGAGGGTTCAGAGGCTTTTAACCACCTTCACTCTGCCAGTGTAGCTATTTCTTTTCAGAGCTATTTTCCTTTCTCTTGGCTCAGATATTCTGCATGACAAGAGGTGGAATGTGGACAAGTAGGAGAATGCCATTGCCCGGCAGAAAATGACTCCACTGTGAATTGTGGAGAGGAGGAAAAGAAGATTTTGGTACAGGGACACCAACCCAAAGAAAGGAGTCAAAAAAAACACATGGGGCAGCTCTGCATGCGACCAACAGAGAGCGCCATGAGCCCACCCAGCTTGGTGGCTCCAGGTAATTTGCAAAATTAAATTAAAATATAATTAATTTCTGGGTGTAACAGGGCACTGATAATTCAGTTGTTCGGACCTCAATGTGATACAATCTTGTCTCAAAATCCCATAATTCCATAAAAAAGTGATTATTTTTGAAAAACATACCTTTGTGACCCTAGATTAAAATGCACTTTTTAATTTGTGATTTTTTTATTCAATGGCAATCTGTATTTTATTTTCAGTCACTCAGACTCTCAAACTGTCTTCATTTCAATTTCCAGATCACTCTACTCGACCTCAGAATAAAACATGTTTTAGCTCCAACTGCTGCCCTCAGAAGACTTCCCATGTGCTGGGAGTTTCTTGTCTTGCCCTGCATGGTCTGTGGTCCCAGGAATCCCAGGTGCCTGGCTGAGTCGGGACAGTGGTGGAGGAGTTGCCCCCTGCCCTGCTTATGATGGGGCCAGCCCTTGGCTGAATCTGCCTCTCTGGAAGAGAACCTGGTTCTGTCTTCTGCTGTCCTGGATCCATGGGAAAACAGGACACAAAACTGTCAATAATCGCTAGACATGCTGGGCAGGCTGGAACCCAGCGCCCTCTGGCCCCACGGCAGCTCTCCTAAGCTCCTATCACATCGCAGATGGAGCTGGGGATGCTGTGGAGTCCTCACAGGCAGCCGGCCCCTCCCATACCACAATCAGATCCAAGGCTGACAGCCACGGAGGGAAACGCAGGCCTTCCTCAGCACGCGGAAAGCACAGGGAACACGTGAAGCCCAGCCCTAAACAGGCCACTGGAAAACAACGTGGGAATATGTAACTTGTCCTACTAACTTAGTGTATGTGCACACTTGAAAAACAGGGCATTTCCTGTGCCTTGGAGGGACTGACAAGCACCCGGGCTCACTCGTGGACTCTGCCCATCAGCCGCTGCTGCTCACGGCTGACTCACTCTGAAGAGCTGACCTTTGACATCTGACTGGGGGACCAATCAGATTCCTTGCCCTCGGGTCCTTTCGTTTGCTCCCAGCGTGAAGGTGGTTTCAGCCTTGCGGTTTCACAGCACACTCTCGGCCTGTGGAGAATGCATGGCGTGGCGGGAAAATCCCGCTGTGCATCTCTGGGCACCGTGAGCTCCAGTCCCAAATCTTGGCTCTGTCATCCACAAAGTGAAAACTGCGGAACAACCACCAGAATTCGTGCTTGGAGTAAGTGTGACTGGCTATTCATGAGCTCTGAGCATCATGGAATGGCAGCAAAGTCACCTGCTCCACCTCTGTCCCACCATCTCAGTGGCCAGAGACCATGAACAATGCCTCCTCTTCTCAGCTCTGCTCTGCGAGCTGCCGGGCCCAGCGTGGACAGAGACCATGAACAACGCCTTGTCTTCTCAGCTCTGTGGGCTGCTGGGCCCAGTTGGGGGACACTCTCCCAGGTTTCTCCTGGGTTGCCCGCAGTGGGTGATGAACGTCCAAGACAGTGCCTTCCTCGAGTGGCCTGGACTCCAGGAGGCAGACGTTGAAGCCACGGGCTTGGCCTTGCCAGGGAGCACAGTGCTTGGGGACACCACCAGTATCCCCCTTGAAGATAGGACCAGTGTCAGGACCCTGTGGGTCCCCCACCAGAAGAGAGAGGCTGATATCCCTCCAGTGGAAGCCCTGTCTGGGTCAAGAGGGACTTGGTCATTTGTAGCAAGAGTGAAGTCTGGGCTTCCCTGAGAGAGATGCATCCGGCTTGGGAGGGAGGTGCTGCCCCTGCCTGCTTGAGCAAATGTTCCATGACCACAGGGAAGAGGACACTGGACAGAAGACCCCGACTTTCTCCCTCACAAGAGTGGGGGCGTCCATGACCCAGACTAGCAGCACAGGTCCCCTGGCTCTGACACCTCCTGAACAGTGGGGGTAATCACACCTGTCCTTCCCTTCAGCCTCAGAGACATTTGGAGACCCACATGAACTCCAGAATCCTGTGGATTATGTTAGATCCAAAGGGATAGATCCTACATGAATTCCCAGACAAAGAGACAGATGATAGACACATGGCGTATGATAGACAGATGGTGTATGATAGACAGATGGCATATGATAGACAGATGGTATATGACAGACAGATTTTTAAAATGGTATATGATAGGTGGCATATGATAGACAGATGGTATACGATAGACAGATGGTATATAATAGATGGTATATGATAGACAGATGGCATATGATAGACAGATGGTATATGATAGACAGATAGATTTTAAAAACAGTGTATGATAGACAGGTGGCATATGATTGATAGATAGATAAATGGCATATTATAGATGGTTAGACAGACAGATGACATATAAGAGATAGATGATAAATGACATATGATATAGATGAAAAAATGGCATAGGATACATAATTGCATAGATACATGACATATGATAGATGGATAGGTGACTAGATGAATAGATGATATATGATAGATGAATAGGTAGGTGAGATAATAGAAGACACATGATAGATTGATGCATAGATTATATATGATAGGTAGATAGATGACATATAATAGATGGATGGATGGATGGATGGATGGATGGATGGATGGATGGATGGATGAATAGGTGGATGGGTGGATAGATGGATGGGTGGATGCATGGATGGGTGGGTGGGTGGATGGATGGATGGATGGATGGATGGATGGATGGATGGATGAATAGGTGGATGGGTCGGTGGGTGGGTAGACAGATGGGTGGATGGATGGGTGGGTGGGTGGATGGATGGATGGATGGATGGATGGATGGATGGATGGATGAATAGGTGGATGGGTCGGTGGGTGGGTAGACAGATGGGTGGATGGAAGGGTGGGTGGATAGATGGGTGCCTAGATGGGTAGATGAGTGAATAGGTGGGTGGGTGGATGGATGGATGGATGGGTGGATGGATGGATGGATGGGTGGATGGATGGTAGGTGGGTGGACGGGTGGATACATGGATGGGTAGATTAGTGGATAGATGAGTGGGTAGATGGGTGGATGGGCCCTGCAGGCTGCCCATCAGTCTTTGTCTCTCGCTCTCTTTTCCTGACCTGGTCTCCTGGATCACAAGGTGGCAAACAGGAAGACAAACACAACACTTCCAGAGAACAGTTATTCCCAGTATCATCACCAGGTTAGACGTCTTGAAATGATTCCCCATCCCATTCTCCGGGAGCGCAGCGGTACCTGTCCTTCCCCAGAATGCAGTGTCTGCCAGCCATCTTCCTTCACTGGAGACATGGACTCTCTCATACCAAGGGCAATTCTTCCCATTTTGGAGATGATATGAAATTGACATGAAATTGTCCAAATGGCACCGAGACACTTGCTGCTGGGGCATTGTGACCACGCGCTGTATGTTTCTCTCATCTGGTTTTTGCACCGATGTTATGAGGTCTTGGTTTAGGGCTGGTTCTTGTTGTTATTTTACTCTGTTTCATCTTTAACAGATCTTCTCTGTATCTTCTATCAAACTCACTTTTGTTCAGGGTGAAAAAAGATAAAACGTAAAAGGCCTCAGCGAAGGTTGAGAATGATGTGTGTGTCTCTGCACTCCTCTGACACACCCCACATCATGGGTCTAAAGGCTTCCTTTCCTGCCACAATGAACAGAAGTCGTTCTGGGATCCAAGCAGATCTTGTGGCTTATGCAAAACTGTAAATAAATCTGCATAAATACAAAATTTTGAGAGATGGAAATCTCTACTGGTAAATAAGAATCACTCGCCAGTGTTCCTGCTGATGAGGTTAAACACTGCACTCCTCACAAGCTCGGGCAACCCTCTGTTGGTCACTTACAGGCAAAAGCTGGCAGAGCACACATCCCAGAGCCGTGGCAGGGCTGTGGCAGGTGCCCTGGTTATCGGGATCAGGCACTGCCCAATTTTCTGAGTCGAGTCTCGGCACAGTGATGTGCACACAGTTGTCACAGGTTTGCTGTAGCCATGGTTCGGCAGAAATCACATAGAAAGGTCTCTAAGTCAATACCCACATTTCCATTTGACAGCAATTGTTTGGTCCACACACACGTAGAGAATTCTAGATCCAAGGCCATCAGTCATCCATTTAAGCCCTAAGGAAACTTTCAACACCTTAATGGGAAGGAGGCCGATTTGACTTCAGGACTTTCCTTTGTTATAAAAGTAACACAGAAAACAAAATTCTATGTTCTGATCATGACTGCTAACACTTTAATGTATTTCTTTCCACTTATTAAACATAAAATTTGGGTTGTATGATACTTTTATATCCTGTACTTTCATAAAATAAAAATTTCCCATGTGAAAACAAGGTTATAAAATACAGTTTTTACAATCTACAAAAATATTCTATCATCTTGATGCAAAGTAGTACTTTAAAACCAATTCTCCATTGTTGGTTGTCAATATTTTCTCTACCTCTATAATCATAAAAACAGCAATGCAAGAAGCATTCCATGGAAATATCCAGGTGAATGTGTGTTAAGGCCTTGAACAATGTCTAGTGCTCCTAACTACCTTTCATTGTTCTGTGGCTTACTTTTTACATCTTTAACTCTTTGACTACGATGGGAATTATTTTAGTGTATAGCGAGAAGTAAGAATCTAAGTTCTTCTTACCCTCAGTGGGCCTCCTGGCACTGTCTGTTGCATGACCCCCTTCTGAATGCTTCGCCCATCATGACCTTCCACACAGTGGATTCGTTGACCTCGGGACCTGCACCTTCTGCCAGTCAGCCGCCGCCCCATCTGTCTGTCCTCTGCTGATGTTGTGCCCTGTCCACCTCCTCCAGCACTTCCTTGGCTATTTTCATCTGTGTGTTCATCGTTAAATGTTTTAATTGGACATTTTAGTTAGAAATTCAGTATACCTATGAATTATTTTTTTTAAGGATTGAACTCCTTACCATATTTAGGTTTTTATTTAAATAAATGATTATATCACCTGCAATCAGTTATATTTTTGTGTCTTCCTTATTAACAGTAGTGCCAATAACTTCTTTTTCATATTTTATGGTGTTTCTAAAAGTTCCAGAACAATGTAATATACCAGTAAGAGTCAGGGGCACACTATTTTGACTTTAATGGGTCTATGGCCAGTGTCTTCCTGTCAAGAATGATGTTTGTTGGTTGAAAGAATCTTCTGTTTAGGAAAGCATCATTCTATTCCAACTCTATCAAATATTTCTGTCATGAAAATATTGGGAGCTCTTACAAGTAATTTTAGAGCAACTGTCAAAACACCCTATAACTTTAATCCTTTGCTCTGTTGAGAAACCGTATTCGATTAAGGGATTTCCCAATATTAAGCCACATAGATAATCCTAGAATGGGCATAGTTAGTAATTCTTTTCATGTACTGCAGGGTTCTTACAGACACTTCATTGAGGGCGGTTGCATCTCAGTCTGGCAGGAGGAGAGTCTGTAGCAGGTGTCTCTGTGTGTGTGTATGTACACACACACGGTTGTTGTGTGTACACATGGGTGTGCTTATGTGCTCATATGCATGTACATGTGTGTGCACTTATGTGTGTGTGGTCCAAACCTCCTCTTTTATAATTGTATAGGATTATTCATTATAAATTATATAGTGTTTTATAAGTTATGATAGTCATTGGACTAGGACCCATCTGAAGGACCTCATTTCCCCTTAATCACCTCGTTAAAGGCCCTATTTCCAAACAAGGCTGCATCCTGAGGTCCCAGGGGTTAGGACAGTTCAGCCACAGAGGGACAGCTCTGACTGCTCCCTCCACCGTCTCGCCTGCCTCTTTATCATCTGTCACAACTGGAGGTTTAAACCAGAGCTTTTCTCTTTCCATCACATCCGGTCAAACCCCCTTCATTTTGAAGCCAGGGTTTAGGGAAAGTTCCACAAACCCCAGGAACTGAACAGACCCCTCCCTCTTTGACTGCATAGGCATCCCCTCGAGACACCTTCCACAGGACTCCCATGTCTGTGAACCACTGTCCCCCTCACTCCCCCGAGGCCCGGCGATTCCCACTCACCCTGAGAGCCTAAGTCCTCTCCTTCCAGAAGCTTCCCTGCCTCTTCTGCCCCCTTTGATGGCTCCTCAGGGAACATCTGAGGGGTAGCAGCCACCTCCACTGCCATATTGGCCACATGGAGGGAACAGTCGTGGGGTGATGAGGCCTCCCCAGCCAGGCCCTTACTACCAACCTTCTCCCATCAAAATGTATGTGGTCCAGGGGTCCACCCAGAACATTGAACGCTGCCTCTAGTTGAGTTATTGGATATCTCACAAATGTCTTAAAAGTAACATAAACCAAGGTGAACTCCAATCTTGGAATGCTCATCCACCTGGTATTCCTCATGTGTTCCTCACATCAGCAAATGGCTGTCTACTGGTCGCCCCGTCACTGAATTTAGAAAACTGACTCATCCTGGCTTCTTCCCTGTTGACCTCCATGGATTGAGCCCCTCAGTGGTTCCTGGTGACCAGCCTTTCCTGGGGCTGGACTGATGTCTGCTGGAGGCCCGCAGGAAAGAGACCGGACTCTCGGGTATGTAGTTCTCTAGAGAGTGGTCTATATGATTTCATATTGATTAGATCCAGGGTCTGTGGTCCTCTAGAGAACGGTCTACACCATTTCATATTGATTAGATCAAGGGTCTGTGGTCCTCTAGAGAGCAGTCTACACGATTTCATATTGATTAGATCCGGGGTCTGTGGTCCTCTATGAGAGTGGTCTACACGATTTCATGATGATTAGATCCGGGGTCTGTGGTGCTCTAGAGAGCAGTCTACACAATTTCATGTTGATTAGATCCAGGGTCTGTGGTCCTCTATGAGAGCGGTCTGCACAATTTCATATTGATTAGATCTGGGGTCTGTGGTCCTCTAGAGAATGGTCTACACAATTTCACATTGATTAGACTCCAGGGTTCTGTGGTCCTCTAGAGAGTAGTCTATGCAATTTCATGTTGATTAGATCCGGGTTCTGTGGTCCTCTACAAGAGTGGTCTACACAGTTTCATATTGATTAGATCCGGGGTCTGTGGTCCTCTATGAGAGTGGTCTACACAGTTTCATATTGATTAGATCCGGGGTCTTTGGTCCTCTATGAGAGTGGTCTACACAATTTCATGTTGATTAGACTGGTGAACTCATTCACAGCCAGAGTCAAACACCCATTTTCTACAACAAATCTAAGTAAGTTCCAACAGTTACTTTCCATCGTAACTTTCTACCAATTTTCCTCCCAGCATCACAATTTATCAATAATACATTCGTTAGTTCATCTATGCCAACCTTCTGTCATTCAAATGTGTATGGTCTGGGGTCCAGATATTGCCCCTTTTGCTGGGGACACGGTGGCAAACAGTGAGTACTCAATAAATAATTGTTGATTGAATTGAATGAATCTTCAATTTGATGTAGGATTTGGATGGGAAAATGCTTAACCTCACCCAAAATTGCATTCTGTTTTCCCAAACACACCTTCCTAAGTATGACGACATCTGAGTATGACACTTAGTCACGCTGTATAAAGTTTACAGAGTTATTAAATAGAAAACAATATAAAATTTTAATTTTTAACCACAGTAATTGGGAAGTCTAAGTCACTGGGATATAATAATCTGTTATAAAAATGTCTGGCTTTTACTGAGACATCATTCTTT
The DNA here is from genome assembly GCF_000001405.40 of Homo sapiens. Lineage (NCBI taxonomy): Eukaryota > Metazoa > Chordata > Mammalia > Primates > Hominidae > Homo > Homo sapiens. Next base: position 168,110,490 of record NC_000006.12, on the reverse strand, counting down.
AAATTCATTTTATTGCTCACTTGCTTAAATCCTGCATTTCATAACAGGTTGGATTTGAGTCTTTTTTGAGACACTGTAGGTGACATGTATCCTATCTGAAAGTCCCTTCTTGGAGAAGCTCAGCTGTCCATAACACAACAAAGAATTAAGAAGTGGGCTGAAAAGATCTCCCTGAATAATTTTTCTAAAGGCCCCAAACTTCATGTACAAAAGTCATTCATTTTCCTCAGCTAGCAATGGCTGGCCATTTATGCAGAGCCAGCTGACCATTACCTAAGGTTCCATTCTTACAGCCTTTCTTGAGCTGCTTTGCCATGGCAGACTGGAAAAAGGAAATTAAGGGGGCAAGAGAAGAAATATTGATCATGTCAAGAAGTGATAACTGATGGGCTGACAATGAATGGAGAAGAAAGTTAAAATGAAAGATAATAGGAATTTTTGTTCATGTAACAGCATCTGGAGCCCTTAGGGTGGGAGCATTCAGTGACAGGCACCTTATTCATCCTGAAGGCATCACTGTGCAACATAGCACATCTTAAAAACTTAGCTCCATCAATTAAAAAAAGTAAAATATAGTCATTATACTAGAGGTAGCCAGAAAGGCACGGTGCATATACTACGGAGGTGCCCGTCTATCACAGACAGTGTTCTTAAAGCTTTGCAGCTGAGTGACTGCATATCTGTTACCTGGGCACTTGCTGACTTCCCAAGGCTGCGTTACTGAAATCTCCCCACTCTAGATCTCAGCATAGAGACAATTTCCATCTGGCTTGATTCCGAGCTCAGCGAAACCTCAGACACTGGTTCCCACTTCCTGCTATTCTTTATTTGATAGAAAGACAATTCAGTGGGGTCTCCATCCTTCCCAGTCACTCCACCTTGGGCATGTGGAAAGCTTGGCTTCATCTCCCTAATGCGGTGCTTAAATTTCACTTTGAGCTCTTTCCACTGGAACAAGAGCACTTAACAGTATTTGATGGCGTTGATAATGTCACTTTGCTGCTGAGCTGGAACTGTCACCCTACATGGCTTATGGGGCCCATAGAAAAGGTAAAGTGAGGCGTCCCTCGTCACCGATGCAGGGCCAGCTGCCTGTTAGGCCTGAGTGCCATCGGCTGGCGGCGGAGTCTTCTTACAGTGAATATCTTGGCTCAGGTGGGTCAGAAGGCAGGTATGTTCCTAGAAAATATGGCCAGAAAGTCGATCTACTCTGGGAGAACCCAGGGCCCTCCACCCGTGGATCAGTGCTACGAACTCCTGCATTTACCCTAGAAACAAGCAGCACGCATCACATTAGCCTGGAAAACGGTCTTTCCTCTCTCCCTCTGCTCTGCTCTTCCTCCCTTTGACCCTGGTCCTGGTGACAGCAGCCCCAATCTCGAAATAAAGAATCACTTGTCCTAGGGATGTATCATACAGGTTGAACTCTGTCCTCTCCCAAAAGAGCTGATGTCCTAACCCCCAGGACTTCAGGATGTGTCCTTGCTTGGAAATGGGGTCATTTCAGAGATGTAATTAGTTAAGACGAGGCCACCTGGAATAGGGTGGGTCCTTAATTCAATATGATGGTGTCCTTATTAGAGAGGAAACGAGACAGAGACTCACAGAGAGGACCACCCGTGATGGGAAGGCGGAGCTTGGACCAACATGTCTGCAAGCCAGAGAGGACCAAGCATCACCAGCAACGCCAGGAACCAGGAAGAGGTAAGAAGGATCCTCTCCAGAGACTTCGGGGAGCACAGTCCTGCCCACACCGTGGCTTTGGGCTCCAGCCTCCAGAGCTGTGGGACAGTAGAGTTCCACTGTTTTAAGCTGTCAGTTTTGTGACTTTTTGTCATCGCAGCCCTTAAGAAACTGATGTCGTGGGCAACTTGCTGTGGCTTGTGTCTGTGAGGCAAAAAGCCAAGCCCTCCGCACAAGGCCAGGTGTCCCCTGGAACACTCAAGGAAGGGGCATTGTTTATTGACTTTTTGGAATTAGAAGTGTAACCCCCTCTCTCTCCAGTTTAAGACACACCCTAGCTGTCTGCTGGAGGCTGGCCAAGGCGCCTACTACCACCCTGAGCAACTCCCCTCCACGGGCCTTGGACACATGAGGAGGGCGGTCTCCTGAAGCTCATGGCTCCAGACAAAGTGGACCATCACTGAACCTGGCCCATGTCCCACAGAGTGAACTGGCCCTAAGGGTCCCAGAGCTCCTATAATCCTCCTTCCCTCCCTCCCTCTCTCTCTTCCTCAAGAACACCGGGGAAAATGTGAGAGCCTTTTCAAAGCTGGATCACTACGAAAATTATCTTTGTGCAGTGTTCTAGAGGCATGCCTCTACCTTTCAAGACAATATTTGCAAAGACTCAGAAGGTTGCTGTAGTTAATAAAAATATTTTTTACTTTACTAATCAAAATTAGTTTGCAAAATCTTGCTTCATTTAAGATTTAAAATCTTAATCTTAAGTTTGATTTGCTTAAATGTTAATTTTGATTTGTTTAAATGTCTGCTTAACAGTTAAATTTTGAGGTGAGATTAACAAATTAGTAATTAGAAAGAAAACACTGCTCACATTCTGTTACTAAATGTTAAACTCACACAAAATTTTTAATCTTCCAGACCTAGTGCAATGAAGAAATGGTGAAAACACTTGTTACATATTTCCTGGGAACAGAAATACATGGCTGGATGTTTTCCAAATATTCAAAGCCTCTCTCAGTCACCAAGGGAACTGGCTTATGCTGACAGCATTTGGGACAAACTGCAGGTGGGTAATATAAATATAAGCAGGCAGATATCACCAGGACACTCCACATCCTGACTGTGTCAACCTGACCCAATGCTAGGAAGAGAGTTCTCTCAAACCCCCACCAGCTTCCACATTTATTGTTAAGAAAGGTCAGCATGAAATATTCTCAGAGATTATTAGGCAAATAATTGGATTTTTGTCAAACAGAAGCCTTATTGCGTTGGGGTGACAGCATGCCTGACTCACAACACAAAAATTCAGAATTGATGGCAAGTGGGTTCTTGTTGGACTCAATTTGCAAATGTTCCCTGAGGGGATGCTCAGATCAGGGTGGGTGCATTGGGCATCCTGCCAGCGGCTATTCGGGAGCAGGACGGGGTCTGGCCCGGCCAGGCCTCAGGGGGCTGCAGATTCCCACTTCTCATGGTCCTCCCCCACTCCCCAACTACCTTGTTTTTTGTTTTTGTTTTTTTAGACTGAGTCTTGCTCTATCACCCAGGCTGGAGTGCAGTGGCGCAATCTCAGCTCACTGCAACCTCTGCCTCCCGGGTTCAAGCGATTCCCCTGCCTCAGCCTCCCAAGTAGCTGGGATTACAGGCACCCACCACCATGCCCAGCTAATTTTTGTATTTGTAGTAGAGATGGGGTTTCACCATGTTGGCCAGGCTGGTCTCGAACTCCTGACCTCAAGTGATCTGCCTGCCTCAGCCTCCCAGGGTGCTGGGATTACAGGTGTGAGCCACTGCGCCCAGCCCCTTGTTTTTAAATTCTGCTTAAACACAGCTCATAGGGTGGTGTCATGTTACTTGCCCGTCACCCAGCAAAAACATCCCACAAATGACAAGTAAGAAAACTTTTGTTACCAAAAGAATGGCAAAGAAATAATAATTCTGACCTTTGCAAATTGTTGAGGAAATAACTCATCATTTTTCAAATTACTGGATTGTTAGTGCTATGCTGTGAGAAACTTTTGTGAAAATTCCAGCCATCAGGAATGACTTCAGGACCTGCTCCATCTCACAACAGACGAGCTCCTACAGCCTGCTTGTTAGGGATGCGTGAGAGGAACATGTTTCCTTCATATGTTCTTCCTTATATCATGGCCTTCAGTGGTGGGTGCAGGGAACTGTGTTTGGAAAGACTTTAAGTTGTTTTGATGTCATCTTTTGAAAATGAAAGGGGGAAATTTTCTCCCAGGAGCCACCAGACCTGACCCAGCACCCGCATGGAGTGTCTGGCACAGCCCCACCCTCGTCCCTCCTCCGTCCTCCATTCCTGCCCCTCCTTCCTTCACGTGTCCTCCCTCCCACAGAGATCAGCCCCAGCTGAAGCATGCAGCCTCTGCCATTCACACCTCCTTCCACCCCTGGAGCAAGGGTGCCGCCTGCCTGGGCTCCCTCTGCCTGGCTGGAACCTGCCTATGGCCCAGGGAGCAACCATCAGGAAAAACCCTCAGACAGCCCCATCACTGTCTATTAACTCATCTTCAAGTCTTCAAAATGTCCCGTCTCTACTCCTCCCCCACCCCACCCTTTTTTTGTTGTTGTTGTTTTTTTTTTTTTTTTTTTTTTTGAGACAAGATCTGGCTCTTGAGGAGAGCAAAGATCGCCTGGTGGGCATCAAGCAGGCCATCCAGAGACAGCACTCCTTATCTGAGAAATTCAGAAGCCGTTAGGCTTCCCTATTATCTAAAGCCAGCATCTGGTTCCAAGCCTCTTTCCAACAAGTCATCAGTAACTAGGGTTTCTATACATCTCTGGAACGCATGCATGTTGAAACTCACTGGGCATCCCTTGCTGACGTCAGGGCAACAGAACCTCTAAAGATGTAGTCATTTATCACGACCTCCGTGGCTAGTGTGGCCCAAATTACCCTCAGTTTATCATGACCTCCATGGCTAGTGTGGCCCAAATTGCCCTCAGCTCCTGCTTTAAGGTCCATAAATGCCCCTAAGAAAAATCGACCATCACACGCTCCGTCCCCTCACTGAGACACTCACTGCACTCCTCTGCAGCGTTCTTTTTCTCCTTTTTCAAACCTATGCCATTGTCCATAAATTCTTCTTACTACCTACCACCCGTGAGCTGACTGTTTTTCTGATGCTGGGGCTCTGACACCTCTCCTGGCAGCTCTGTCGCCCAACCTGGAGTGCAGTGACAGACACCTCAGCCTCCCGAGTAGCTGGGTCTACAGGTGTGAGCCACCACGCCCTGCTAATTTTTGTATTTTTTTTTTTTTGTAGAGATGGGGTCTCACCATGTTTACCAGGCTGGTCTCAAACTCCTGGGCTCAAGCAATCCATCTGCCTCCGCCTCCCAAGTGCTGAGATTACAGGCGTGAGCCTCCACACCCAGCCAATTCCTCCCTCCCTAACTCTTACTCACAGGGACAAACACCCTTGGTAGCTAAAAGTACAACATCCTACTCCCATTTTTCTAATAGGCTTTATTTTTTTGAGCAGTTTTAGGTTCACAGAAAAAATTGTGCAGAAAGTACAGCGTTCCCATGTACCCCTCTCCACACCCCAATTTCCCTTATTCTTGACATCCTGTGTGGCTATAGCACAGCTGTCCTCACTGGTGAGCTGACAGTGGGATGCGGTTGCTGACTGAAGTCCTCAGTACACACTGGGGCTCAGTCTCCGTGTGCGCATCCCTGGGTTCCAACAAACATGCGATGACACATCTCTACAATGACCATGTCATAGACAAGAGTTCCACTGCCCTAAAAATCCTCTCTCCTCCACCTATGCATCCTTTCGTCTCCCCAGGTCCCGGCAACCACTGATCTTTTCCCTATTTCCATCTTTTCGCTTTTTCTAGAACGTCACGTCCTTGGAATCATGCTGTTGGAAGCATTTTCAGGCCGGCTTCCTTCACTGAGTGGGCCCTGCCTGGAAGGCTCCTCCACACCTTCCCGTGCTCCGTGGCTCCGCCCCTTCAGCTGCTGCACAGCACCCCATTTTTTTGGGGTCCCACGGTTTATCCATTCACCCCCTGAAGGGCATCAGGGTTGCTTGCAAGTTTGACAATAATGCATAAAGCTGCTATAAACAGCCACATGAAGGTTTTGCTGGATCTAAGTGTTCATTTCCTTGGGGTAAATACCAAGGAGTGTGATTACTGGATCCTGTGGTCAGAGTACGTTTAGTCTCGTGAGATGCTGCCAAACTGTCTTCCAAAGTGGCTGTGCCATTTTGCCTTCCCACCAGCAATGAGTGAGAGTTCCTGTAGCTGCCCTTTAAAAAGCAAGACACCAAAAACAAAGAAAAAAATCTCTTCACAACTGTTCCATTTAAGAGAAAACTCACATGGTGAGGCATGGCAGCCAAGGCCAGTGTCGGGAACATGGATTTCAGGCGGGTGTGGTCCAAAGACAAAGCTGACGTTCAGAGAAGGGCAATGGGAGCCTTTTAAAGCAACAAAATACAACACACCTGGGGCCAAATTTTACTGCAGGAGCGCTCCCCGAGGAGAAACTGACACAGGTGCTTTGGGGCGAGTTACTCAAGAAGCTGCTAGAGACCAGATGACTGACAGTGAGAGGCTGCACCTCTCCTGGCCGCAGCAGGTATGAAGAGCCAGGCTGCTGGCTCCTGGTCCTAAAGCTCTGCTCCGTTTGCAGCCAGAAATCAAACACAGGGAAACCACCTTGTTTCCTAGAATTAAAACATTTACTTTTCAGCAAGGTTGTTTTCATTTTTTTTTTGTTAATCCTTATTATACAAATAACTATTTGTTTTTAAAAATCAACAAGCAAAAAAAAAAAAAAACAAAAACAAAAAAAACCTGGACATCTTACTCCTTTTGATGTATTTTAATATATTTCCCTCCAGACACTTTTCTCTGTAAATATTAAAACATGGTTTTTTCAAATTGTCTTCCTTGTCTTCTCCATTAAAATTTGAAGTGATATCCTTGTCCTCCTCCTCTTCCTCTTCCCCAGGCATAAAATTTTTTATCTTTTTCTAGGGAGAAAGAAGCATTAAACTCCCAATCCGAACAGTCAAGAGCCATTTGCTGTTTTATTATACAAATGTCACATAAAACGTCCCCTCACGCCAGGGAACCACGTCTCCAGGTGGGTGGCATCACGGCAGCACCAGCAGCTGTCATTCTAGCACCTTCTGGACACATGAGGATTGACGAGTTGTGTGTCCTGTAAGTTAGACCAGGCAGGGCCATTGCTGCCGAGTCGTTGTGACACTGAAGAGGCTCCTGAGTTAAATCCCAATTCGCTCTCTCCATCAAGTCGCTGCTGCCATGTGTGATAACTCTGCGTACACTGACACACTTATGTACTGGACATCAGCAATACCTGTTATTTCAACACCCTTTTCACAAAGTAACCTCGTAATACTCACATGCACGTCATTTTGTGGCAATGCAGAGAATAAAGAGGTCTACAAGGGAAAGAGGCAACGCTGAGATGTGATTCAAAGATGAGATCACAGCCAGCTCCAAACAGCAGGCAGGCTGTCATCCGGGGCTATGTGGAGGACCAAGTCCATCTCCACAGAGCACAGGACCAGACGCAATGACTGAGCAAGGGCCCCATGGAGATCAGAGTGGACCAAGAGTGGGCTCACTGCCTGGGTGAAAGGTGTGACGAAGAGGCTGCTTCCAGACTACCCGGGCAGGTGAATACAGAAGTCGTCACCTGTCTGCTACCAGCTTATAAATAAACAAAAAGCAAAAATCACCCAGGGCAGATACACAACACCCAGGCACCACAACATCAAGCCCGTCTTAGTTTCTGGCTCCTGCTGGTCTGTGACCTCTTGATTCAACCCTCGAGCTCTTTGCCACCCAGTTGTCCTTATTGTGCAAGTGTGTGGATGGCATGAACCACCTTCATTTAAATGGTGCATTGCTCTGTTCCTGCTGGAGTGCAGAAGGAAGAGGAGGAGAAGGGAATTAAATCCACGTAGGAGCTACTTCCCCTAAGGCAAGGTGCCAGGTGCGCTGACATGACTGAATGGAGTGGGAGGACTCTACCTGAGCTGCTGTATTTGATCTGGGCCCTGATACATGAATTATTCATTCCGCCAAGAACTCTCCAGTGCCAGCAGCTCTTGGAGGTGCTTGGGTTTCAGCAGTAAACAAAACAGATAAAAAATATCTGCCCTGCTGGCACTTAAATTCTAACTGGGGGAGGCTGTCAAAATGAATGGCTAAATAGTATTATATGCTGGAAGATCAGCACTGAAGGAAAACTGGGAACATATGAGGCCTGGGGCAGGGGGAGGAAGGGGAAGGAGAAATCCAAACCAGGACGGTAGAGAAACGCCCCGAGCCCTGATGCTGGGCGGCCTGGAACCTGGTTCCCCAGAGTCTCAGAACACAGCCAAGGCTGGGTTCTGGGAGCTCAGCCTCAGGGGTCAGGAATGACGCCCTCTCTCCCTCTCTTTGCTCTCTCTCAGCCCCCAGCGTGCCTGGGGCCTCTGCACTTGCTGGTCCTCAATTTGGGACCCCCGACTTCCCCCTAAATATCCAAGAGGCCTCCTCCCTCGTTCCTAAAGGTGTCTGCCCAAATGTCACCCTCAGACGGGGCAAATCGCCCTGGGCCAGTGAAGCTTCAACTGCCCTCCTGGGCGGTGGTCTGGTTTTGCACGGTGATAACATCCATCCCTTCCTAGAGCTCCACCGCCGCGTCGTCTTCCCGCTCTCGGGGCTGGAACTGTCCCATCACCCATGCAAACCCCAGGACCATCCCCTCCCCGCCACTGTGCCCCAGGGCAGGTCTCCCCTCCGCGCTCCGCACTGCCCGCCCCGGGTCCACCGCATCCACCGACAACGCAGGCAGCGATGGCTTCAAATGCATGCCGCCGTTCCGAGTGTGCTGTCCAGGCCGTGAGGTCCGGGGAGAAACCCGGCAGCGGGGTCGCCAGCAGCCTGCAAGGCGCCGAACCCGGTGCGTCCGCGCAGGGAGCGGCCCGTCTGGGGTGGGTGGCGCGATCGCCTCTGCAAGGCTGGGATGCTGCAGCCCTGGGCCGGGCAATCGGGGGACGTGTGACCCGGGGATGGAGCGACCCTCCGGACTGGGCGACCCCTGGGACAGGCAACTCTGGGGCCGTGTGACCTCCAGGACGGTTCGACCCCCGAGACCCTGCACGGCCCGCGCTCCTGCCGGGGAGGGTCGGCTGGGCGGGGAGGGGGCGGGCGGCGCCGGCCAATCCGGACCCCGGGCCGCGTCACCCTCCGGGGTCACCGCTGCCTCCCCACGTGGTCCCACCCGGAGGGCACAAGAGCGGCGGCCGCTTCTACACCGCCGGCGGGACCACGGCCCGGAGCCTTGAGCCGGACGACGAGCCGGACCTCGGCCCCCGGAAGGTGAGCGCGTGGGTCTCCGCGGGCGGGGTGCGCCCTTCTCCAGCCGCCGCCACCAGATGAGGGGACCCCGGAGGCGGGGAGTGGCGCTAACTGTCGAGTTTCAGGGGTTGCACCCCAGGGCCCAGAGCGCAGGGCCCAGGCGGCTTCCGCTGTCGTCCCCTCGGGGTTTCCAGGACTGAGGCGGGTCTAGGAGGACCCGCCGGCCCATGGGGGTCCCTGCCCCGGGCTAAGTGCACCCTGCCTGCCTTCTGGAAGGAGCCCTGGCCCTACCCCCCCGCCCCCACTTCCCCCTCACCTCCTCCCACCTCCTCCCTACCTCCCGCTATTTCCCCCATCTCTCCCCACCTCCCCTCCAGTCCAACACCCCCCCCTTCCCCTGTCCCCTCCCCTAGCCTCCTGTCTGCCCTCCCCGCGGCTCTGCGCTCAGAAGCAGATGCTGGCTAAGGGAATCGGAAGCTCTGCCTGCCTTTACGCCCTTCCCCACCCCACCCTCACCCTGGTGTGGGCTGGAATTTGGTTTTTGGAGCGTGTTTCTAGAGGGCTTTGGACCCTAAAAGGTGCCCACACAGGCCTGGAGGATCCTGGAGTCAGGCTCTGCTCCTGCCTTCTACAAACCAAGTTTTCTCCTCTCCCAGCGGCAGTCCTAGCTGTGGCTGCTTCCAGAGCCAAAAGGCTGGCACCCGAGATGAGGTACCGCCAGTGCTCGGAGCAGGAGGTGCAGACCCTGGCCAGGGTGCAGGTTTGAGTGATTTGTGTGCTGCAGGGGCAGGAACAGACATCAGGTCACAAAATGACATCTAAGCATTTAATTACCAAAGTGAAGACATCCTCACCTTTGTTCCATGAGGTCGTCCAAAGCTCCCCCTTTCTCCCGTCTTTGAAAGTAAGGCTGGCGTAGGAGGTGAGCGAACGTGGGAGCAGGACCTCCAGAAGGGTCTGGAAGGGTCCGGAAGGGTCTGGAAGAGCCTAGGTGGTGATGTTTCCTGAGTAGACTGAGCAGGGGTGGTGGGGAAGGGGCGCCGTCGCTGGGTGGCCCTAAATCTCGTCTCCCCCGACCCATGCCGCCTCTCCCCACCCATGCCTCTTCAGAACTTCAGCCCTCCTCTGTGGGACCTCCCCGCCCCAGCCCCACCTCCCCCACCCCCTGCCCCATTAAGTATTAAGGAAAAGACGACTGAAAACCAAAGTGGGCTGTGCCTTCACCTACCCTATGTGCTCCCGCGGGCCAGGGCAGGTGTAGTCTGTCTTTCTGCAGAAAGAGGCAGACAGAACGGGAGCTGGGGAGGAGCCGTCCCCAGCACCAGCCACTCCAGGTGGGGCGGGGAGTGCAGCCTGGTTGGCCGGGGGCACAGGGGGCTCTGTTAGTCGTCCCCCACTCAGCATCATTTGTGTCTCCTTTATCCCCCGTGGGCTTTAGAAGGTTTCTCTGGTGCCCAGGATTGCAGCACAAGAGGTCACCAGGCACCCCGGGCTTGGTCACACAATGGGGAGGCCTCTTGAGACTCAGGGTGCATTACAGGGCCCCTTCCAGTCTCTGGGCATGGCTAGAATGGCCTGGTGGGCTTGTATGAGCTCCACAGTTGGGAACACATACCCCGGAGGTGAGCAGGGGGTCCAGACCCATGGAGAAGTTTCCAGAGACAGCCGAGTGGTCATTGGGGTGCCAGTTATCCAGGATTCTGGCCTGGCGCCTGTCAGACCCCTTCAGATATGAACTTGAACTTGAACTCAGGAAACCTTAGGCCCCGAGAAGACTAAGGAAGTCAGGAACCTGAGGACCGCAGGGTGTTCTCTGCAGGATGCAGCAGGAAATGTCTCCCCGAAAGCCAGGCCAGGCGGGGCCGCCTGCCACGGAGATCCAGTTTAGCCAGGACGTATCGGCTCTGCATTGACTGTCTTTGGTGAAGTTCCTCCGCTGAGACCCCACAGCTCCTCCTAAGCACCTGGAGAGCGGCTGCATCTCATTTCTTCTGGAGAGGGGGATTCCCAGACTCAGCCTCACAGATCACTGCTTTCCCGGCGAGGAGGTCTGTTCGGCCCCTGCTAAGGGAGGGGCTTCGGCCTTGCAGGGGTTCAGTCACTTCCTGCAAGTACAGCGACTGCCTCGCATAGCTAAGGAGGCACTAGAGCTGGTCTGCTTATCCACGCTGTCACTCGGGGCTTCTAAGCTTTTAAAGTCGGTGTTGGGAGAGGTGGCAGGGCAAGGTTGTTTACAATGCAGATTTTGTCTGATGTTTCACAATTTTGTTTGTTGTTTTAGAAGCAATAGGGTCATTTTCTTGACATGTACAAGGTGTCTGTTTGGAAGGCTCAGTATTCTAAAAGTACAGTGGCTTCCCAAGGACACAAACTTCCCCACCCAGAGTCACTGCCTTGAGCTTTGTCCGAAGCATCTTCACTGAGATGCAGACCAGGGTTTTGGATTTGATGGGAATTTTACCTTCAGTTTTGAAAACGGCTGTATTTTGAACAGGCTCAGGTCTCCCCTCCTCATAGGTGGACCCCAGGCCTGTCTTGCCTGGGGACAATCTCAGGTGGTGCCTGTCCCAGTGCAGCCATCACTGCAGCCACGGTCACCCTGCCTGGGCTGCTCTCCCGTCCCCTTGAGCATGTGGGCGAGGCACCAGGCCAGGGGCAGCGGGGGCTCTTGCTGTTGCTGCTGGCGGGGTCAGTGAGACCTCACCTCTCCTAGGGTCCCTCCGGGAACATTTGGAGGAGCACCAGGTGACAATGGCCATGGCCCCAGGTGGAATGGTGCTGGGGGTCCCATCAAACATCAGGAGTCCTGTCGGTGTCGCCTGGGCTGGGAACACCCATGAGTTCAGCACAGGATCTGCCTGGGCCCCGGTCACCAAGGCTGGTGGGGGGTCATTATCCACGGGAGAGGTGTTGCCAGCCCCACACTTATCACCCAGGGTGCCAGAAGCTGAGGGCCCACAAGGCTGAGGGCCGGCCGGGTGGGCTCCTTCAGTCCACGTGGCCTACAGGGTGCAGCCCCTGCCCCAGGCAGGCATTCCTGCTCCTCCTAGCCATGACTAGAGCCGGTGGCTCACCCAGACCCTGTCTCTCTTCCATCCCAACCCCACCCGGGGAGGAAGAGCAGGCCTAGGCTCGGTGGGGGGAGTGTGGGAGGGAGAGCAGGCCTAGGCTCGGTGGGGGGAGTGCCACTTGGAAGGCACCACTGAGGCTGGAAGGTCACTTCTTTCTTTGAACAAATATTTATAGAGCCAGGGCGGGCAGTGAGCAGGAGCGCGCCATCTCTGCTTGCGTCTCCTGCCAACTGCTGCCCGGTGGGCAGGCAGCCTGCAGCAGATTATCGCGGGCATGAGTGACACGGCACCGGCGCCAGGTGCTCTGGGAAGCATGTGGAACCATTTGCCTTTCAAGGTCAGACATTCAAATGACAATGGGACCTGCTGATAAACCCCTCCTAAGCCAAACATATTCCAAGTGCAGAAATGCATTTGATTCCCTGATAAACCCATTGTCAAGTCCAAATTTCCTAAGTGGAACAATTAGTCAGAGTCCATCTGTGTTTATGGAGTGGTGGCTGCCTGCTGGGGTGTCCTGGGCCCGGGACGGTGAGCACAGCACACGGTGGCAGACGGACTGGGGGTGGACAGCGGAGGGGCCCGGGCCCAGTCGGAGACTTCCAAATAGGCCATTGCCTCTCTTGATGTGTTCAAGACCCCTGGGGCAGCAGATGGGAGGGAGGGCACAGTCAAAAGAGGGAGAGGCTGCTGTGTCTGCAGCCCAGCAGGAGAGCCGGGGACAGCAGAGACCCAGGGTGGACAGTGGAACTGGCCAGGGAGGGCTTTGCTGCAAGGGAGGGTGGTCTTGCCCCCGTTGGGCTCCATGTTCTGGAGAGGGCAGAGGTGCAGGCACCTCCCCCATGCTCTCCACTGGGTGCCCCCAACCAAGCCTCAGGAGCCCACCTGGCCCCACCTGTCCCGTCAGCGGGGCTAGGGCTGCCTGGTGCAGGGCTGTGTGCCCCACCAATGACCCACGGCCATCCATTGGTGCATCATGGAGGTGTGCGCTGGTCAGCACTGGCTGCCAAAATGTCACATCCCAAGCCAGCACCGTGCATGGTGTTGTGCAGGGAAGGTGGCCTGGCGGCCTCGCACTTCCTACCGTGGACACACTGGGGCATGGTGTCCCAGTCGCAGTGTGAGCTGTGTTATAATGGTGGTGATTGAACACACGGAGCAGCCGGTGGAGTGTGGCCAGGTGCTCTGGGCTCAGCAGGCTGAGCTGGGCTCTGGCCTCGGCTCACAGAGGTGTTGGGACGCTGGGCAGTGTGCAAGAACCTTGCAGGTTACAGCAGGAATTAGGAAGAGGTGACAGTAAAGCACCTGTCCCAGCTCTGCCCCACATAGGAGATGCAAAATACATGGAAATGGAGCCTCTTCCGGGGTCTTACCTGTGTGGGACCCCCCACCCCCCACTCTCCAGGGAGCTTCCCCAACCCCCGCACAGGTGCCAAGGCAATTGTCACTGGCGCTGAACTCACAGGATGAATCTTCCTCTTGCTGCCTTTGTGCCCCTAGGCCTTCTGTGCCCCAGAGTCAATGCACAATTTTGTTTTGTGAGTGAACGAGTCAGAGATGGGCTAGGTCCTAGCCTCCACCCAGCAGCATACACTCAAAAGCCGCGCCCCCTCCATCCCTCGACCAGCCTCCATGGCCAGAGCCACTGGCCCACCGCTCTGATGCCACCTAGGAAGGGAAACATATCCTAACAGGAGGCTTCGGAGCATCTGGCCAGCATTCCTGATAAGGCCGAGGAGCCCTGAAGGCAACAGCCGCCTCCTCTCCCCTTCCTGGGAGCCGGGCTCAGGGCACCCACCCCAGTTCCTGGTGGGCCAGCCCTGTGTGGCCTGGACATCCCCTAGAGTCACATCTGCTCCCATCTGCAGGGTGCCCAGCAATGACCCAACGACCCAGGCATCTGAATGTGGGCAGCACACTGTCCCGGACCCCCTGTCAGGGTCAGCCTGGGCCCTTGTCTGTCTGCCCAGTGGCTGCTGCGCGCCCAAGGTCTTGCCAGGGGACTGGCTTGTTCATCTGATCAACCGGTCCTGCTTAGAGGTGCAGGCGGCCCAGGCTTCCCGAGTGGGAGGTGGGAGTGAGGAGCTGGCCTTTCCCCACCTGAAAGCAGCCAGGGGTCCTCCTCTTCCACTGTCCTTGTCTCAGGCCTAGAATTACCAGCGTTGCCTGCTCCAAGCTGATGGCTTCTCCTTCATCCAGGTGCACGTGTTGAAGTTACTGTGTCTTAGAACTCTTCCATTTGGGCTCTTGTGGAAAGAGGGTGCCTGCCTCTCAGTGCTGGCCCCGGAGATGGGAGCTCTTGGGGCTGGGCCGTCCTCACGGTGTTCCGTGTGCTGCCAGATGCACAGTTCTCTGCAAACTTCAAGGGCCTGGAGAAACCACATCTGTGCCTGGAAAGTGGACCAGGCCTGTGGACTTCAGATAAAGGGAAGGCGCCGGCCCCCGCCGGCCCCCAACCCCAAACAGCTGTGTTGTCCTTAAATGTAGCAAAATTAAATGGATGGCGGCGTGTGGGGTTTTAAATCAACCGGGTAGTGCTGATTGGAGGTTCACATATTTTAAATTGTTTTGGTGCCTTTCCATGAATAACACAATTTGGGCCAATGGTTTCCTTCAAGACTCTGGAAACGTATAGGGCACCTTCCAGGGTTTGTGGAGGGAGACCAGGCACGAGGCCCATTACTCTATCGATGTCACTGAGCATTTGTGTCTGAACCCTGGGCCCTGGGCCTGTTCCCCAGCGACAGGTGCCGGGTCCCGGGAGGCCTGGTAGGGAGCAGTTCAGGACTGTGACAAAGGCCCCTCTGGGGTTCTGGCTGAGCACACAGACAGAAGGACAGTCAGAGGACCCCGGTCCAAAGCCGGGGGCTGCCAGGGGTCTGGCGGGGGCTGGGTGGCTGCATTCGCCCTGTGGTGGGTGTAGAGGCTGAGAGGCAATTTGCTTTGTCCACGAGGACAGGAAGGCCCAGGTCAGGCTTGCATCTCACTGACCTCTGTGAGCAGCTAACAGGTCAGCTCCATGCTCCCGCTGCCTGGGAGGGAGGGAGCACTATGGTCCGTTGTGCCCGTCGGCGGAAGATGCCTCTTTTGGGCATCGGAAACTGCCACAGAACCTGGGACAGGCAAGTGCTGTCCCCAACATCCTGCCAGGTGGGCTCCGTACTCTGTCCCTGGCGGCTCAGGCACCACACTGCTGTGGTCATTCGGTGCCCCTTCTACAGTTTGACCCCTGATTTTTCAATTCATGATGTGAAGTACAGAAAAAACAGTCACTCTCCCTTCTGTTAGGTGAGCTTTGTCAAGTCCCTCTAAACACACAGGGGTAACTCCACTCTCTGCTGAGGGTCCAGGACACCTCTGACCCCTTGCACCCCTTGTGCAGGCACCAGGGCATCCTTGGGCCCAGAGCTTGCTCTGGCCCCTGGGGACACTGGACCTGCCCTGGGGCTCCAGTCCCTGGTGAGTTACAGAAGGGGTTGCGCGAGGGAGGGGCCGGTAGAAGTGGCACCTGGCCGGGTACTTTGGTTCTCATTTCTGTAATTGTTTCTTGGGCAATTTTTGTTTTGTTTTGTTTTGTTTTTTGAGACAGAGTTTTACTCTTGCTGTCCAGGCTGGAGTGCAATGACTATCTCAGCTCACTGCAACCACCTCCTCCTCCTGGGTTCAAGCGATTCTCCTGCCTCAGCCTCCAGAGTAGCTGGGATTACAGGCACCCGTCTTGGGCAATGTTTTTATTCCTCTTGGGCCTCGGTTTACTCCAACTGTGAAATGGGGGTAATGTAAACCCTTTGCTCGATGTGACTCTGTGTGTGAACACATCTGGAAAAGGTGTAAGCACCTTCACCCCGTTCCCCAGCTGTTCTGCTTTGGCTGAGAGTTGGGGACAGTGGAACCACTCTGAATGGCTGGCACCGAGAGTAAGCCCTGGTGTCACCATGGACTCTGGGTGACGGTGGCGAGTCAGCACAGGCTCATTGATTGTAACCCATACACCACTAAGTGGGGGAGGCCATGTGTGGGTGGGGGAGGCCATGTGTGGGTGGGGGGAGACTGTGTGTGGGTGGGGGGAGGCCATGTGTGGGTGGGGGGACCATGTGTGGGTGGGGGAGGCCGTACGCAGGTGGGGGGAGGCGGTATGTGGGTGGGGAGAGGCCGTGCGTGGGTGGGGGAGACCGTGTGCGGGTGGGGGCAGGGAGCACATGGGAGCTCTCTGCACCTTCCTCTCAATCTTGCTATGAACCTAAAACTATTCTAAAATATAAAATCTATTTTTAAAAACACACAGCTTGCCTGGGAAGAGGGGCAGTTGGACAGAACAGAGTGGGCCAAGCCTTGCTGAGCAGGGAGGGTTTCCCGAGTCGGCCAACCTAGAGAGGGGTGGCTCCCGGGTCATCTGCTAGGGAGAGTCTGGAGAAGCACAGGGGTCAGCCGAGGGCGAGGGTCCCTTACAAGCATCCCACACTGAACACGAAGCCTTGAGGGCCGCTGTTTAGAATCACTACTCCAAACCAACCACAGAGCAAAGAAACAAAAGAAACCTAGGTCTCATTTCACCTCGAACAAAAGAAGCTGCTCCCTGCTGGAGTCCACCGGTGCCAGAACCCACCTTGTTTCCTAAGGAAGAGGCAGAAGGTGCTGATCACTTCTGAGGAGCCGCTGTCCCTCAGCTGCTCAGAGGGTCTAATCATAAAGGTCATGTTTATCCTGCTCTGGACATGTGCTCAGTGGACAGTCTCCGAATAGTTCCAGAGGCTTTCTGGCCTCTAATCCCCATAGTCTGCCTACGCAAAAATCTGAGAACCTCATCAGAGGTTCCTTACAAAGACTGAGTTTGCCTTGATTTAAATTCCTAGGATGCTGCCCGGCAAGTGGGAGCCCCGGGCTCGGTCCAGGAAGCCTGAGTCTCCTGTGAAAGTTCAGCAAATGTCTACACTGCAGGCTGCTTGTCAGGTCTGGGGCGACATTTCCACAGGGCTGGCATGGCCGAGTGTGAGGTGGGGCCGGTCAGCTCACAGCCGTCGGTGGTACTTGCTGACAGGCCAGGCTGTGGATGTTTGATGAATGATGACCGTGACCTTGAGTTCTGAGAGCTCTGGATCCCAGGACCTGTTTTCAGTGATATGAAAACTGATATGGCTGAGCTGTGTCCCCACCCAAGGTTATTACCTTGAACTGTAATCATCCCCATGTGTGGTGGGAGGGACCCGGTGGGAGGTCACTGAATCACGGGGGCGGGTTTTCCCGTGCTATTCTCATGATAGTGAATAAGCCTCACAAGATCTGATGGTTTTATAAAGGGGAGTTCCCCTGCACACGCCCTCTTGCCTGCCGCCATAGAAGACATCTCTTTGCTCCTCCTTCACCTTTCACCACGATTGTGAGGCTTCCCCAGCCATGTGGAACTGTGAGTCCTCTAAACCTCTTTCCTTTATAAAGTACCCATTCCCGGGCATGTCTTTATGAGCAGTGTGAGAACTGACTGATACACCGACGTTGTGTGCCTGTCCAGGGTCAAGGCTGCCTCTGTCCTCTCGTCTTTGGCCAGGCCTGCTCACGGGGTGGCTGCCGCAGAGGTCACCCTGGTGGTGACTGGATTGGGACAGTGTCTTAGTCCTTTCAGGATGCTGTAGCAAAATCCCACAGACCAGGAGCTTAAACAACAGACAATCAGCCCTGGCAGTCTGGAGGCTTGAAGCCTGAGATCAAGGCACTGGGCAATTTGGTGTGTGGTGAGGGCCGCTTCCTTGCAGACGGCACCTTCTTGCAGTGTCCTCACATGATGAAGGGGTGGAGGGTCTCTCTGGGTCTCTCTGATAAAGGGCACTAATCCCATTCCTGAGGCCCCACCCCCATGACTGTATCACCTCCCAAACCTCACATGATGGAGGGGCGGAGGGTCTCTCTTATACAGGGCACTAATCCCATTCCTGAGGCCCCACCCCCATGACCACATCACCTCCCAAAGGCCCCGCCTCCTAACACCATCCCCCTCGCGTGAGAATTTCCACGTGGTGAATTTGGGGGACACAGACCTTCAGTCCAGAGCAGCCCAGTGTGCATTTGTTTAATGAGTCTTTATCGAGAACATTTTGCAAAGTCCTGGAGATGCACAAGGACTGTGGGGTGGAGGAGCTGCTGTGACACTGAGCAGGACACATGATAGATGAATAAGGAAGACCATCCTGGTCCCATCAAGCCTCAGAGCAGACGGGGCACTGTGGCACACAGGTGCATCCTTGGCGAGGCCCCTGGCTGAGTGGTTGGCAGCGCTCTGTCCACAGAGATGACATTTGAGCCAACAGATGAGCCAGCAGCAGCCCAGCAGAGGGCCAGGAAGTGCAGCGCTGTGGAGGCCGGACAGAGCCTGGCTCATTCAAGGACCTCACGGGGAGGCCGACTGGCCTGTGCTGGACACCTGAACGTGGGGCTACTGGTCACTGGCCACTGGCCACTCTTGACCATTTCTTCCTAGTGACACCTGATCCGGAGTGAGTGGAATGAAGGCATGGCTGGGCCCGTTGTAGTGAGTCTATTAGTCTGGGACCTGGGGTTGCAGAACAGAGGCCGTTTTGTTTCTGGGTGACTGCGTTTCGCTTCCGCGGAGTAGCATCCCAGCCTGTCTGTCTGAGGAGCTATGATTCGGTTCCAGCCCGTGGGCCTCTACTGGGCCCATGTGTCACTCGGAGGCCGTGTTCTCAGGGTCCCTGGGCCGGCAGCACCAGCACTTGCTAGATACACAGATGCTGGGGCCCCGCCAAATGCAGTTGCCAGCCTCTCCCAGGGTTTCTGCATCAAGATCCGCCCACCGGCTCCAGAGACACTGCTCTGTAGGGCGAGGACGCCCAGTGGAGATCCAACCTGAGCCATCCTGCTGACACCTGACCGAGGCCACGGAGTCCCCAGGAGCCTGACCCTGAGACAAGAGGAGGGGCGAGGACTTGAGGAGGACTCTGCTGGGGGCCTGGGGAGACAGAGATGGCTCTGGGCAGTGACACAGGTGGAAAGGACATTCCAGGCAGAAAAACCAGCTGGAGCAGTTTTGGGGCACAGAGAGCAGAGTCCGTGGAAGAGGATTCAGAGAAGGGGCATCTCCACCTGCAGCCTGGCCCTGTGTCGGGAAGGCGCACACTGCAGGGTCTCCAGCCCCGGGGCTCCTTGGCCTTTTATTATCGGCTGGCAGTAACCATTTTAGTTACCAGGAAGTTGGGTGGAACCAGGAAGAAGGTGTGGGCTATCTTTTGTCTTTTTGCACTAAGCTCTGAAAAGTTTGCAGTTCACATTCATGATCATTTTCGCGGTTCACATTCATAACCCCCCATAGTTTACAGGCACCTTCTCCCCACGGAGCCCAGGGCAGAGAGCGGAGCCGGGAGTCCGCTTGGGTGGCCAGTGAGGGCTTCCTGCCGACCTGAGGTCTCCAGCAAATGGCCTGGATCGGTGGGCAAGCCTCGAATGGAAACCAGGAGACCTGGATTTTGGAGCTGGCTTCGTGAGCCCCGATTGGCAGATCAGTAAAATGGACAGAGTAGCCCCCAAGAGGGCGGCTGAGAATCACATGGAAGCACCGTGCATGGTGGACGTGTGCCCTGGGTGTCATCTGTTTCCTCCAAACTTCAGCGCAGCACACATTGCTAAGCACGCGCCATGGCCAAGAACTGCTCTCAGCAGTGGGGAGATGGAAGGGAACAAAACAGCAGCAAGTAAGACCTTGCAGAACTTTCCTTCCAGGGAGAAACAGACAACAAACAGGCAAACAGGCAGGGGTCAAGTTACTCTAAACGCCGTATGCAGCCATGAACATGCAGGCTTGCGACAGGCCTCCCCATGAATGCAGCATCAGAGCCGGCAGTGAGAACAGGGAGAAGATGGGCTGGGCAGCCACGCTGGGAAAGAGCTCCTCAGACAGCATGTGCAAAGGCCCAGGGGCAGGGAGGCAAGGGGCTAGGGTGGCTACAGCCCAGGGACCCCTTAGTGGGAGCAGACGGTGAGGCCAGAGAGCGAACAAGTCCAGCCCACAAGGGACTTGAGATTGTGGTGGTTCTCAGGCCTCTAGCTGCTCAGGAGGGAGGTGGGAGCCGTCTGTGGGCTTTGAGCAGGAGTTCTCTGCTGTGATTTCTGTTCAGCATGATCACGGGGCTGAGAGCGTGGGGGGCAGAGGGACAAGAATGGCAGAGGAGACTCTAGAGCCCATTGCCAACATTCAGGAGGGAGACGAGCCAACCAGGGGTGGGTCCCAGTGGTGGACGTGGAGGTGGGAACGGGGTCAGATGGAGGCTGGGTGGGTTCTGGGGGTAACGCCGCCGGGATTGGCTCACTGTCTGGACGCGGGGTGGAGAGCCAAGCTGAGACTGAGAGACTGAGTCCCGCATCCTACAGCCTGAGCAGGTGGAGGATGGGCTGCGAGTGCTGAGCAGCTGCTTTTCCTGCCGGCGAGGAGGGCAGCACGTCCCTTAAATAAACGGATGACAGGGCACCACCAGCGCCAGCGGGATTCGTGCCCCTCCATGGGAGCGTCTGTTCTCACTGCGGGGCTCACGTGCTTTCCCTCACCTGCCCCGGCTTCCCGCTGATTTTAGGAGCAGAGTTCCATTTTCTAGTGAAACCTGAGCAGTGTCTCTGTGTAAAACAGAGTTGCTGTGCCCGTCCGCCTTCGATTTTCCGCTCCCCGCTGGGCGGCCCTCAGGAACTTCCCAGGGACCTGAGGACAGACGGGGCCTGCCCCAGTGCTGCTGGAAGGGGTGCACCCTCATAGAGAATTCAGAAGCAGCAGTGAAGCTGCTGATGGTCGATTATCTGTGCACAGTGACGGTAAACAGTGTGCGTGATAAACACAGCTGCCTGGAGGCGGCCATTCCTGCCTCGGTCCTCCTCCACCTGTGTCCTGGAGGTCAGCTCCCCATGGGAGAGGACAGCCGACCAGACCCCAGGCGCCTTCTCAAGGCTGGTCCCTGAACGAAGGAGGAAGCGGCCACAGCCTCCTGAGAGTCCCTCCAGGGCCACGGGCCTTAGAGGAGGAGCTGGTGTTGCTCCACAAAAACGTTCTCTAAAAACCACTGTGAGGCTGACAGTGACTGTGCCCCAGGGGCTGTGACACACCCTGGGTCCCTTCACCCACTGGCAGCAGAAGGATCTCCCTATACAGCTGAGGGAGCAAAGGCAACAGAAATCCAGGGACCCCCAGGGAACCACTGGCGGAGGCTGATTGGGTTTGAACCTGTGCCCGGTGTCAGGGCCCACTCTCACCACCCAGTGCAGCCCCCCAGGCAGGCTGCTGGCCCCTGTGTATGGCCCTGGTGTGGGGCCAGCCCTGGGATGAAGTTATTTTATTTCCCAAATTGTACCCTTCCCCTAAGCCACAGCTCCCATTCCCCAGGAGCCAAACTGGCGGGGAGGACTTGGGCTCTCAGCAGGGCACGTGTGATCAGTGTCTGAGAGCAGGCCCAAGGAGTGGGGAGGTTGACAGGCAGGCCGGTGGGTCACACGGACACAAGGAGTGGGGAGGTTGACAGGCAGGCCGGTGGGTCACACGGACACCTGGTTAGTAGCGCATGTGTTTATGAGAGTTAACATTTGCCTTGCAGTGGAAGGCTTGTGCTAGCTGGTGCTGTGTGCAGGGGACAGCAGTAAGAGGGTAGCCTGGGGGTTCTGTCTACAAAGCCCTCCTGCCTGGGACAGGAGTGACAGGGTAGCCTGGGGGTTCTCTCTACACAGCCCTCCCACCTGCCTGGCTGCAGCTGACCCTGCCTGAGCCTCTGGCCCTCTGGTCCTGATGGGTTCACAGCTCCTGTCTTCCTTCCAGGAGGTTAGAGCACTTTTTAGTGCTGAGTTAACAGCGGCAGCAGCTGAGGTCCCACAAGGCGAGTGTTTATGCCTGAGAAGATCAGATGCCGGGGGAGGCAGCAGGGAGAATTCCAAGCATCTGCCCTCTGGGTGGAGGGGAAAAGTCCAGAGCTGAGGCAGCAGTAGCAGCTGAGAGGCCTTTGTGCTCGCCTTGCCTCCCGGCCACTCCCCCGCCCGCAGTTTCTTTCCAAGAATAAAATCCAATGACTCTGGAGAGCAGGCACTGAACCCGAGCACCCAGGGGCCTCTGCCTCCCAGCAGGGGCAGGTGACGGCGGGAGGGTGGTGGCTGCAGTCTTCGGGCTCACATAGTCCCCACCCTGAGACCCCAGCCGGAGCATCCCAGAGGCAGCATGGGCCCTGACGTCCCCCACCAGCTTCTCTCAGCCCCGGCTTTCTTATCTCTAAGATGGGAACGAAGAGCGCCCTAACCCCCAGCTTGTTGTGGGGTGAGGGCCTGCGGGGGAGACTCGGAACCAGAGGGAGAGAGCCTTTTCGGGGCAGGGTCCCAGGGGCTGAGAGGCCCTGCTGGGAGCACACACAGAGCCCCGCCCTCACTGACACTCTGTGTCTGACCTGCTGGCTCATGCCGCCCCTCCCAGGTCCTGAGGTTCTCAATCTGTGATCTGGGGCCAGGGTTGGAAGCACCATGAGAGGGGTGGAAGTGTGAGGGTCCGGGGGTCTCCGTGCCCAGACGGGTGGTGAGGTCAGCGTCCTTGGGGACCCTGGGAACAGCGGTAGAAGGGGATGGACCTAGGAATGGGTCCTGCTTCAGCCCCTCTTTAAGGGACGTGACCCAGGAGCCCAATCTCCCCAGAGAGTAGCCTGAGAGCCTGGGAGTGGGATGTCCTCACATCTCACATGCTCCACACGCCAGCCCGTGCATCTCACATGCCAGCGCACGCATTGCACACGCCAGTCCACGCAGGTCAGAGCTCTGAGTGGTGGGAGGAGGGCCACTGCACCCTCACCTGGACAGCAGCCTGCGTTCTCCCCACAGAGCCGTCTCACGATGTGCGGCTGACAGGGCCCTTTAACCTCTCTGTGCACCTGGGTTGACTGACATTGTTATCGGAGTGGGAGACTCTGCTGACCAACATGTACCCCACTCTGTAGGAGGAATCATTTGCACTGTCTGCAAAATTTCTCACATAAAAAGGTGAAATAAGTTCGGGCACAGTGGCTCATGCCTGTAATCCCAGCACTTTGGGAGGCGAGGTTGGCAGATCATTTGAGGTCAGGAGGTAGAGACCGGTCTGGGCAACATGGAGAAACCCTGTGTCTACCAAAAAATACAAAACATTAGCTGGGCATGGTGGCTCCCGCCTGTGGTCCCAGCTGCTCAGGGGTCTGGGATGGGAGAATCGCTTGAGCCAGGAGGCAGGGGTTACAGTGAGCCAAGCCCACACCACTGCATTCCAGCCTGGGCAACAGAGCAAGACACCACATGAAGAAAAAAAAAAAAGTGAAACAAGACTGAAATCAGTGGTTGAAAACCAGGCCCAAGGGAGTGTGAGCGGGGAGAGGTGAGTGGCTGGTGAGCGCAGGGCTGAGGTGACCACAGAATCGGGGACTGCTCTCTGAGGCGGCTGGGTCACTCCATCAGGCCTCAAGGAGGAGGGTGGCTCACTCCAGGCAAAGAGCAAAGGTCCTGGCTAACAGGTGCCCAAGGGCACAAACCAGAGCAGAACGGGGTCACATGGGCTTCACCCCGGCCCCCACAGTTTCCATGGAACATCGTGCCATCCAGTGTGGGGAGACAGGGAGAAGCCCAGCTTGTTCCACAAGGACAGCAGTATGGGGATGCCGAGGGGGGTGACAGACGACGGCCCAAGGGATGCATGATCAGGCACAGCCAGTGGCCCATGTCCACAGTGGGAACATGGGCGGCATCCATGCTGGGGACATGGGTGTCCACACTGAAGATGTGGGTATCCATGCTGGAACATGGGCAGTGTCCACACTGGGCACGTGGGTGTCCACACTGAAGATGTGGGTGTCCATGCTGGAACATGGGCAGTGTCCACGCTGTGGATGTGGGTGTCCACACTGAAAATGTGGGTGTCCATGCTGGAACGTGGGCAGTGTCCATGTTGGGACATGGGCATCCATGCTAGGGGTGTAGGTGTCCACACTGAAGATGTGGGCATCATGCTGGAACATGGGCAGTGTCCACACTGGGCACATGGGTGTCCACACGGGTGTCCACACTGAAGATGTGGGTGTCCATGCTGGAACGTGGGCAGTGTCCATGCTGGGGACGCGGGTGTCCATGCTGGGGACGCGGGTGTCCACACTGAAGATGTGGGTGTCCATGCTGGAACATGGGCAGTGTCCACACTGGGAATGTGGGCATCCATGCTGGGACATTGGTGGTATCCATGCTGGGGTATAGGTGTCCACGCTGGGGACATGGCTGGCGTCCCTGCTGGGGATGGGGTGGCTCCAGGGCCGGAAGGCAGGCAGCATCCCACGGAGCCCTCATGACAGGGAGGTACGGGGCCACTCTGTTTAATGTGTGTGAATTCTATGTTCTACTCTTTGCACTTTTTCGCCAAACTTTGAATTTTGAAGTGATTCACCATTAGCACCCAGCACAACATTCCAGAAGTTCTGCCCTAGTCCTGCAGCTCTGCGGTGTGCCGAGGGACCACACGGGCTTTGGATGCTGTGGCTGGGCGATAGGGAGCCATGGAAGGCTTTGGATGCTATGGCTGGGCGATAGGGAGCCATGGAAGGCTTTGGATGCTGTGGCTGGGCGATAGGGAGCCATGGAAGGCTTTGGATGCTATGGCTGGGCGATAGGGAGCCATGGAAGGCTTTGGAGCAGGGACACCTGGGAGGCAGTTGCAGATCCCCCTGCAGTTCTCACGGTGGCCATGCTGGTGGCCACGCCCTTCCGTCCAGGCCTCCTTGGTCCCTTTGTTCTCACAGAGGTTGTGGCTTCATTGAAAGTGACCGACCTCCTCTGCACACCCCCTGGAGCCCAGTGGCCCGTCCTGGGGAGCCATGGTGGGGCGTGTGGCTGTGGGTGGCCATTCATAGAAATGGCAAGAGGGGCACATTCCCAGGGGCTGGAGTGCCCAGAGGCCCCCCACAGCTGTCCCAAGCCTTTGAGAGGGCTCCTCCGATGTCCCCGCCACAAGGTCTCCCTCCCTCCAGGCGGCCTCACTGTGGCCATGTGGAGGGAGGCTGGAGTGTTGGCCATCCTGAGCCAGGCGGCTGCCACTTTCTGGAAGGCCTGGTGGAGTCAGTTCCTGCAGCTTCCACACTGTGCATCAGGTGAGAATGGCCTGGCTCCCCACAGGCCCTCAGGTTGGGGCCTTTCTAGTTCTCTAGGATCCAGGTCACCCCTGCATCCTGGTCTGCAGTTAATGACTGCCTGGCTCAGGGACTCTATTCGGGGCCAACCGACTGCTCCAAATATTCCTTATAACCAGAAGCTGGGGACTGTGGAGCTCAGTGGTGGTGGAGGGACCTGCCAGCCCTTTGTGGGAATGTGTCTGCTTGGCACAGACCAGGAACACGGGAGGGAGTGACACCCACGTCCACGGGGCCTGCAGTGGGTCCCGCCCTCCCCCAGCAGCCCACTCCGCTGCTGCAGCCCCTCAACCTTTTCTGCTGCCAGCCCCCTGCTGTGGCTGTTTGGTTGCCACCCTCATTTGGGGCAGGCCTTGCTCTCTCCCTGTGATGGGGAGGAATGAGGTGGGAGGCGGGACCTCTCGACCATGGGACGCCTGCTATGTCCTGGTCTCAGAGTCAGTCTTGGTCTTGGGAGGATAACACAGAAGGGACAAGAGGGCTTTTTCCCTACAAAATTCCGCACACTTGTCATTCCAAAGGGCAGGTGAGTTTGAGCCAGCGGGGCTGCAGGCGCTCTCACGGAGGGAGCCGGGTCCTGCACGCCTGCCTTTGTTTGGGAGCAGCACAGGGAGGGCCCACGGGAAGAGGCAGTCTGGGGACCAAGCTCAATGCACCTCCCCCACGAGACTGCATCTCTGGGGTTTTCTTCTTGGTCCAGGGGCACCCCAAAACCCTGCCGTCCAGCCCCCTTCTTTGTGGGATTTGTTCTCCTCTAACAGATGGCAGGAGCAGCATGTCAGGGGCATTCTGTAATTGTTGGCTCTCTATGGCTTTTTTAATTCAGCAGTTAATGTGTTTAACTGAAGACACACAAATACACTGTCCATCATAATCCGACACGCGCAGTGCTAAGAAATAACTTACCTTCCCCACCTGCCCTGGAGGCTCCTAATCCTTTTTCCTTTCTAACTAAAGCATGGGTTTCATGCCTTCATGATGCCCCAGGCTTCCGTCTAATCCCTAGAAGCTGGGGAGCTCCCAGGGGTGAGCTGTTTCCAATAGGAAGAGGCAGACCCCTGAAAACGGGGTTCTCCTTCACCCCACCTGCCGTCTCTAGTCTTCTCCCAAGAAGACACCTCACAACTTGCACCTGGGAGGCCGTGGGAGTTGCTAGAAGCTGCAGGCTATTCTTCCTCAGTTTGGACCCACAGGACTCGGGGTACCCTCTGTCCCCAGGCCTGCAGTGAGGCTTCAGTAGAGGGGCCAGGTGTGGGAGACCCTCATTTAGGAAGCCTTAAATAAGATGAGACTTTGTAACAAGTAAATTGATTTACATTAAAGGCTGGAAAGGGAGAGATCTCCTCCCCATCTCATCAAAAAGAGAAGGAAATAAGCCATCAGTAAGCCATCTTCCTGCCCTCCTGGCTCTGCTGTCTTCCCCGGCCAGGGACAGGATGAAAGTCACACTTTCCAGATCCCAGATAGATGTGTGTTTGCCAGGGAGGCTGTCCACACCTGAAGGCTGGGGCCCCAGCCCTGCCGGCCCCATTCCCTGGGACTGGCCACCCTGTCTCCCAAGGGGCAGAGGGGCCTTTCAAGTCTGCTCTGTGCCCAGCCACCTGATGGGGAGTGCACAGCTGCCCTTCACGCCCTCCTCCCATGGAGTGTCCTAACAGGCAGACTTCTCCGTCATCTTTCCCGTTGGGGTTAATTTGTTGATTTAACCTCTCATTCAAGTCGATGGGAGATTGTTCTGGTTTCATGGCACTTAGTTCACAGCGGCTCCTTTCTCTGAATCACTTTTTGAAGTTCGGTTGGGGCGGTTCCTGCCGGCACCGCTGCCTCACCTGCAGGAATGCCTTACCCTTCCTGCTGCTAAGATAAATAAGGCAGGCAGGTCACGGCCTTTCCAGCGCCCATCCTGTCTGAGACAGCAGAGACACCCTGCAGTGCATCACTGACCTTTCTCAACAGCCAAAGGTCAGTTTGGAAGACCAAGAAGCTAGCACCACAGAGACGGGTGATGGGCTTGGGCCCTGCACCCTCCCACCCTGTTTACTGGGCTGAGGGTGTTCGTGGACCTTACGAGGTCTGAGCAGGTGGTGAATAAATACGGCCCCGTGGCTTCCGCAGGGCTGTCTCCAGCTGCCCTTTTCCTTCCTTTCTGGCAAGCACCTCCGGCGCTCCACATGTAAACTCACCACGGGTGAGGGGCTCCTCAGAGCATCTGCCCCTGGGCCAGGCTTGGATTCCTCAGCTCCTGTGGCTGCCTGGGACACTCACAAGCCACCCAACCTGGACCCTGCAGTGCCTGGGGAAGAACTGGGGTGGGGAGCACCCTGCCCACCTTGCCCCAGGCCCTGTACCCTGCTGCGCACCCCAACCCAGGCCCTGCACTATCCGCTTGGGCAGAGCAGCAAAAGTCAGATGATGCATCTCCCAGATACCAGCCTCAGTCATCCCAGAAGACGAGGCTTTCGTGGTTTGTTCATAAGAATGAACTCTCTTTTCTGAGATGATTTCTGAAGAGGGGGTCAGTAGATTCGGGGAGGAGCTTTGCGGTGGGTCTCGGGAATCCTGGAGCCTGGGGCCCTGAACAAGTCACTTAGCTGCTGTGTGCCTCAGTTTCCCTACTTACCAAAGGAGTAAAATGTGCTGCATCTGGCCAACATTCTTTTCTGGGAAAACATGCAAGGAGAGGAAGTGTGTTACTGAGCACGGCGAGAAGCCCTCGCAGTGCTGACGGACAGCAGGGACCTCCTGGGGACCCAGCGGGCACCCCTGGGCTCCTTCCAGCAGACACCGGGTTTCTTTTTGGATTTCAGCCAGGAGGGGTCGGGTGGCCGAAGGGAGAGAGCAGAGTACAGGCTCGATGGTGGGGGTGGAGGCTGAGCATGGAGCAAGACCCCGGCTGGCCACTCACTGAGCAGCTTGGCCTCTGAGCCCAGACTCCTCATCCACAGACTGGGTGTTGCGGCCATCGCAGCCGAGTCGGTAAAGGGCCTCGCCTGGGTCTGTGACGTGCAGAAAGGGATCAGTCGGTGTTGCTGATTGTGCAGAGGAGGACGTGGAGGAGAGGTGGGCAGCCCTAGCATTCCCGGACATGAAGGCTGCATGTGAACATACGTGTGCAAGCATGTGCCCACTCACATCCACACAGGCACACCCTCACACAGCACCCACGTGTCTCACACTCACGCCCACATGGTGGAATGGGTTGACCTATGGCGCACAGGTGCACTTCCTGCCGTATCTTGAAGGCTTTTTGCGTGACTGTTTTATAACTTGTGTATTTTAACAGCTTTATTGAGATATAGTTTGCATACTGTAAAATATATTCCTCTAAAGCGAAATGTTTCATAAACTTCAGAGCATTTAGGAACTGTGCAGCCATCACTGCCATCCGACCACCCCCAGAGGACACCTCGCCCCTCTGCAGTCCCTGCTGCCAGCTCCCTGGCCCCGAAGATGCTGCCTTTGCTGGATGTCTCGGAATGGAGCCCGGCCTTTTGCATCCAGCTTCTCCCTTGCAGTGGGATGTTTAGTCCTGTGCCTGTGTCAGTTCTGCCTTCCTTCTCACCACGGAACAGCATTCCCACATTGTTTTCCAAAACCTGTGCTTTGTGGACCTAGAGCTCCGAAGCTTGAGTTCTAGAATGTTCTCAGCAGGCCTCTATCTATCTCATGATAGAGGATGGAAACCAGCCGTCCAGAAGAAGAGAGAGTTGGGCCGAGGAGGACTCCAGGGCTCAGCCATGAGGAGATCTGGGCGGTGGTCTCCTCTTCCTCGCGGCCTCTGCCCGTCCACTGCCCGGCCCTGACATCACGAACGTGGCAGGCCAGCCTCTTCCATCACGAACAGGCCAGTCGAGAAGACAAGACATTCAGAGGTGGGGTCAGTGTTGGGGCCCGGTCACGCCTCTGCCTTCTCAGGGTGCAAAGTTGTCTTCTTGATGAGCTGAGGACAGAGGTTCTGGTGTCCCCTCAGTGCCCTGGCGGGAGGTACTCATGGCGACCACCCTTGCCTTGGAGCCTCAGCACGTTTTCAGGAAAAAGCCGCGCTCTCCCAGGAATACAACGGGGGCTTCCCAAGCCCAGCTCTCCCTGGCACTCAGATGGACGGCGGCCTTCACTGGAGGTCTGAACCTCAACGGTGTGGCCCTGAGACTCTGGGTGGGAAGGAAGGAGCTGGGGCCAGGGACGTCCTGCTTTGACAAGAATCCATTTATTGTGTTTATCAATACAAATGTGGAGTTTCCATTCCTTTTCCTTTTCTTCTCACTAATGATGTTTGGAGCTCATTGGCCCACGGTCACCTGTACACACCAGCGCCCACACACACCAGCGCCCACACACACCAGCACCCGCACACACCAGCGCCCACACACACCAGCGCCCGCACAAACCAGCGCCCGCACACACCAGCACCTGCACACACGTGGGGAACCATCGCTTTGATCATTAGTGCACCCAGCACAACTCCCCACCGTGTCCCCGGCTCTCCCCACCGAGGGGTCCTGGTGCCTGTTGTCCCCTCTGTGCTGTGTGTGCCGGTGGTGTTCTGCCACCCCCCAACCCTGGCCCCTGCCTGCCCTCTGCCACTGTCCTGCGCCCAGGCATCCTGAGAGGTGCAGCTGCTGCCGCCCTTCCTGATACGCCGGCACTGTGACTCCAGGCAGCGGCTGAGGGCACCCGGCACAGGGACGAGCTGCTCAGGCGCCAGTGGCACAGGGCCATGAGGATCCAGCCTCTGCTCTCTGGGGCTGTTTTTTTTTGTGGTTTTTTTGCCATTTTTAAAACTTTTTGTGCTCTCAGCTAAAGGGATCCCCACATCTTCCATAGTGAACAGCTCTACGTTTGCTGTGGAGAGAAAAGAGACCGCCACTGCTGTCTTGGGCACACATGTGTGGCCTCGAGGGTCTGGGAAGGGTCTGGATCTGAGCGGAGGGAGGGAGGGAGGGAGCCAGTGTCAGTCCAGGGTCCGGGGGAGGTGAGGCCTAAGCCTCCTAAATCTTCTCAACCCACCGGGCCGGGCCTTAGGGCGGCTGGAGTGCGAATTTCCTAAACCCACCGGGCCAGGCCTTAAGGCGGCTGGAGTGCGAATTTCCTAAGATGAACAACGGCCCGTCCGGAGGTCCAGACCCCTTACTAGAGGAAGGTCCCAGAGCATCCCAGACTCCATGGCAGGAAACTGATGGAGCTCACGGCTGAGGACAGAATTCCACAGCCCAGGCCCGTGGGAACTGCCTCTCCTGACCTGCAGCGCCCAAAGGTCTGGGTGGTCCCAGGGCCAGGCAGGATCCTGGGGTCCCTTCCCCACCTAACACTGTGCCAAAGAGCTCGAAGGCGTTGCTCATCTCTGCTGAGCGGCCTCAGGGGTTCCAGGCCCTGCGGGAGATGTCCCCACCCCTCGTGCTGATGCACCCGGCTGCTGTCCACGCAAGCCAGGACCCCCTTCCTGGCCTTCCAGCTGCTGCAGGCAGGAAGGGATTTGCTGGCCCTGGACAAGGAAGGAAGTGTCCTCAGTTTCCAGCCCCTAAAGGGAGCCAGGGTCCCTCCTGGCAGAACCTGTCCAGGAACGGCAGCTGTGCTGCTTCCTGAGGTCGATAACAGATGCCACAGGAGGTGTGTGGGGCAGGGTGCCCACCCAGGCTGCCTTCCTCCCGCCCTCCTCGTCCTGCCCTGCTGCTGCTCCATCTTCCCCAGCAGCCCTGGCTCTGGCATCTGTGCCCATGGGGTTTGCATAGCCCTCTCCACATTATAGAAGAAGGAGCAGGCACCCTGAGGAGATAGGGGTTGTCAGGTGGAGGAGTTGGGTCCTGTCTCCCCCAGCCTGGTTCTCACGGGGCCCACACCGAGGCTGGCTGCTGAGCTACCCTGCATGGGAGTGCTGCATGGCGGGTGCCCAGCCTGAGGTTGTTTATTTGCATTCCTGGCGCCCTCCACACACCCAGCTATTTGCAGCTCTGACCCTTGTCCTGGCTTGGCCATGCTGGATTCCCAGCCCAGGCTTCCCTCTCAATTCCCTTCCCAGTGAGAAGCTCGGCAAGGGCGGGTCCCGGAAAGCACAGCTGTGATCTGGGAGGTGCTGAGCACCCACCTGCGACCCATGGCGGGGGAGGGCCGAGTAACGACAGCATGGCGGTGCCCCCGAGAGGGAGGGGCATAGACCCCGCCCGGACAAACCCTGACACGTTCCCTCCTTCAGGGGCGCGATGTATGGAACCCAGTCCTGAGAGGCCTGCATGCAGTCAGCAGGAGCCGACCCTGGGAATGGACGCGATGGCCTCGGAACACAGGGATGTCCTCGTGCTGCTGCCCAGCCGGGAGCAACTGCGGCTGGCCGTGGGGGTGAGCAGGGCCCTGGGTGGCCGTGGGGGTAAACAGAGCTGTGGGGGTGAGCAGGGCTCCGGGTGGCCGTGGGGGTGAGCAGGGCCCTGGGTGGCCGTGGGGGTGAGCAGGGCCCTGGATGGCCTTGGGAGTAAACAGAGCCATGGGGGTGAGGAGGGCCCTGGGTGGCCATAGGGGTGAGCAGGGCTGTGGGGGTGAGCAGAGCCATGGGGGTGAGCAGGGCCCTGGGTGGCCGTGGGGGTGAGCAAGGCTGTGGGGGTGAGCAGGGCCGTGAGGGTGAGCAGAGCCGTGGGGGTGAGCAGGGCTGTGAGGGTGAGCAGAGCCGTGGGGGTGAGCAGGGCCGTGGGGGTGAGCAGGGGTATGGGGTGAGCAGAGCCTCAGGACACAGCCTGTGTATGGAAAGTCCCTGGACCGCCTCACTCTGCTTAGGCCAGGTGTCTGTGAGGTGTCAAGGGCCAGCCCTTTCACTGGGCCTGTGAAGGAAACATCCCTGATAGACGTTGCTGTGAGAAATAAGTTTATGGTTCAGCACATCCTTCCCGGGAGGGAGCGCTGAGGGAAGAGCGCCAGGAAGCCGGTTTCCAAGGAGCAGCTCCTGTCTTGTGTTCAGACGTCACCATCTCTATGCTTCTCTATTTCCTTTTCTTTTCCCTTTCCCCCATTTTGTCTACCTGTTTTAGTTGAGTTCATGGCGACAGGAGTTGAGATGGTACTTTCATTTTAATGATTAATGTGGATAATGAAAATGTGGCAATTAAAATGAGAGTGGTTTGTTGAAGAACGATGACTTTCTGCATAGCTAATGTATCATTGCTACCTGGAATGGAGTATGACTTGCTAGTAATATCCTGGTTCAAGTCCCCTGGGAATCTGGGAGTCTCTTGTCTGCTTCGGGATAGAGTTCTGTGTTTACGTAAACGCCCACATCTATGTTTGTGGCAAAATCTTCCCCAAGACTCTGTGTCCCCACCCAGCAACGAGAAGCTGGAGTTGAGCTAATGGGGGATGTCCTGTAGTTTCCTGGGGTCCCCAGCAGTGCCTCGGGCTGGGGGAGGGGTCATAAGAGGACCTGTTGTGGGGAAGATGCTGGGGCTTTGGCCCCCTACCCCATAAGAGCTGGAACTTTTAGGTTTCTTGCACGGAACTTCACGGTAAGATTTTAACTGAGGGATCATGCAGCTAGAACATAGTGAACCGCCTGTTCTGAACAGGTGAATCGTGCTCATCTGCTTTTGACGGAGCTCCCTGAAGTGCCTCTGCAACTCCTGTGGCCCCTGCTGGGCCTGGCAAGTTGGCAACCACAGAGCCACTTCCTATCGGGGTGTGCGCACATCTGTGTCTGCAGTTGGACAGGAACCCCTCACTGGGTTGTGCAGTCATCTATGTCTGCAGTTAGACAGGAACCCCCCCACAGGGTGTGTGCACATCTGTGTCTGCAGTTGGACAGGAACCCCTCACTGGGTTGTGCAGTCATCTATGTCTGCAGTTAGACAGGAACCCCCCCACAGGGTGTGTGCACATCTGTGTCTGCAGTTGGACAGGAACCCCTCATTGGGGTTTGCAGTCGTCTATGTCTGCAGTTAGACAAGAACCCCCCCCCATCGGAGTGTGTGCACATCTGTGTCTGCAGTTGGACAGAAACCCCCTATTGAGGTGTGCACACATCTGTGTCTGCAGTAGGAGAGGAACCCTCTATCAGATGTGCATGCATCTGTGTCTGCAGTAGGAGAGGAACCCTCTGTTGGTGTGTGCACACATCTCTGTCTGCAGTAGGACAGCAACCCTCTGTTGGGGTGTGCATGCATCTGAGTCTGCAGTAGGAGAGGAACCCTCTGTTGGGGTGTGCATGCATCTGTGTCTGCAGTTGGACAGGAACCCTCTGTTGGGGTGTGCACGCATCCGTATCTACAGTTGGACAGGAACCCTCTATTGGGGTGTATACTCGTGTGTATCTGTAGTTAGACAGGGAACGCTCTATTGGAGTGTGTGCACACCTGTGTCTGCAGTTAGACAGGAACCCTGTATTCAACCAAATATGTGTCAAGCCCAGTTATTCGAAAGGGATGGGCTGGGAAGACCCTCACTGAAGATCTGTGTTACCGTCATTGTGGGGCCTGCCCCTCACCAAGTTAAGCAGACAATAATCATATTAGTCTGTTCTCACGCTGCTAATAAAGACATACCCAAGACTTGGTAATTTATAAAGGAAAGAGGTTTAATTGACTCACAGTTCCACATGGCTGGGGAGGCCTCAGGAAACTTACAGTCATGGCAGAAGGCACCTCTTCACAGGGTGGCAGGAGAGAGAATGAGTGCCCAGCGAAGGGGGAAGTGCCTTATAAAACCATCAGATCTCATGAGAACTCTCTCACTATCATGAGAACTGGATGGGGGAACCACCCCCGTGATTCAGTCACCTCCCACCGGCTCACTCTCACAGCACAGGAAGATTATGAGAACTACAATTCAAGATGCGATTTGGGTGGGGACACAGCCAAACCATATCAATAAGGAAGTCAGTCTTACAGTAACTCAGGATTAACTCAGGATTAGTAAGCTGGATACTCATTTGACTTGAAACATGCAAATGAAGAATCGCAAAATGGCCTCCTGCAGATCCAGCTGCCCCAGCTGTGCCCTGCTGTGAGGTTTCCTCTTGGAGCCCCAAGTGAGGGTCCTCGGGAGAGTCTGAGAGCAGAGCGCACGGCAACCGTCCTGCACCCTCCGTCACAGGCTTGGCGCCCTGCGATTCTGCCTGAGAACGCTGCCTCTGCTGCCCGGTGACCAGGGATGGGCCCCAGCGCTGCAACAGACAGGACTCAGGAAGAGCTCTGCAGGGGATGCCCGCCAATCCCATCCATGCCGGGGCTGAACAGGCGTGAAGTAGTGTCACATGCGAGACGCCGGAAATGCGGACACGGGACACCGGAAATGTGGACACCGGGCACCGGAAATGTGGACACCGGGCACCGGAAATGTGGACACGGGACGCCGGAAATGTGGACACCGGGCACCGGAAATGTGGACACGGGACGCCGGAAACAGGGACACGCACCAGACGCTGGGTGTTTAGAGGCTGCCGTGAGAGGCTCAGCTGTAGGAACACTGTTGGGATCACTCGCATCAGTTGGGCGATGGATGATGTGAGACACCGATGCTCGCGCTCATGGGGAACCAAGCATTCATTTGTGCCGTGCGAGGACAGAGCCCAGAGGGCGGCCCTGGAGTTGACGCTGCATCGTGTGTCCCTGACTGGTCTCGGGAAATCCTCACACCAGAGACAGACAGGGATGGAGGGGGCAGCCCTGATCCACTGTCCAGAGCACCCCACCCCCTCCACCCTCACTTCCCGGCACTCACAGGTGCTCTGATGGGCATGCAGCGGTGTTTAGCTTTGGGAGAGAGTGAGAGACCCAGACCTGTTACCTGCAGGGGATGCCTGACTGGGTCGTCCACCTGGTGCCCCGCTGGGCCTCGTTT
Source organism: Homo sapiens (assembly GCF_000001405.40). Classification (NCBI taxonomy): domain Eukaryota; kingdom Metazoa; phylum Chordata; class Mammalia; order Primates; family Hominidae; genus Homo; species Homo sapiens. The sequence goes on along the minus strand of NC_000006.12, from coordinate 168,075,401 downwards.
GCTGAGGTGGCCTCCCTGGGGACAGGTGCCGGCCCCTCCCTGAACCCCTCCCCACCTCTTTTGCAGGTGAAGGCTACTGGCCGCGAGCTTTTCCAGCAAGTGTGCAACGTGGCGAGCATCAGAGACGCGCAGTTCTTTGGCCTCTGTGTGGTCAGAAGTAAGCATCGCTCAGTCCCCACCTGCAGGAATGCCCAGGGGCCGCATCTGCTGGAGGTCAAGGGGGTGGGCACACCACACACATCCATAATGTACACAGTTATACACCACTCTCATATGTACACATGCACACACCATGCACAATGCACAGTTACACACCACTCACATGTACACATGCACACACCACACACATGCAGGTACACACCATTCGCACCATGTACACATGCACACACCACACACATGCACAGTGCACACAGTTACACACCACTTGCACGTGTACACATGCACACGCCACACACGTGCAGTTACACACCACTCACACTTGTTCACATGCATGCAGCACACACATGCACACAGTTACGCACCACTGACATGTACACATGCACAAACCACACACATGCCCACAATTACACACCACTCACACGTACACATACATACACCACACACATGCACACACACACCAGTCACACATGTACACATGCATGCACCACACACATGCACACAGTTACACACCAGTCACATGTACACATGCACAAACCACACACATGCCCACAATTACACACCACTCACACATACACATACACCACACACATGCACACACACCAGTCACACATGTACACATGCATGCACCACACACATGCACACAGTTACACACCACTCACATGTACACATGCACAAACCACACACATGCACACAATTACACACTACTCACATGTACACATACATACACCACACACATGCACACACCAGTCACACATGTACACATGCATGCACCACACACATGCACACAGTTACACACCACTCGCACATGTACACATGTGCGCACCACACACATGCAGTTACGCACCACTCACACATGTAAACATGCACACACCACACCTGCACAATGCCGATTGTGCTGTTCTGGGGGGCAGTTGGCTCCAGGGGCTTCTGGAAACCTCTGTACAGTAGCAGGACCCTGGATCTATGTGAATTCGTACCTGGAGTTCTAGTACACGCAGACGGCAGGTGGAGGGGAGTGGGGCCGGTCCCCTGGGCTCCACAGACCCTGCAGCTGGATTGTGTCGCATGGAAGAGCCGTGAGAACCCAAAGTGCTTCATGTGCACTTTTTGCTGCCCCAGGAAGTGAGTGGCAGCGCCTGTATCCAGTCTCACTAAGGACTGGTGGCTTCTCATCTATAGTGGGGGCTTGAGGTTGGCAGCACAGACAAGCCCTGGCCCCCTCTCCCCAGCCAAGCCGAGGGAGGCTACATGGGGCATGGACAGATGGAGATGAAGCTCAGTGCTGACCAGCGGTGGCTGAATATCCCCCTGTCTTGCTGCCTGGGGAGGACAGGGCTGAGCTGACCTCTCCCAAGCTCTCCCCAGAACAAGTTGCCCTCTGTCTAGGGGAGTGAGTGAGCCGGGGACCCTGCACGGGACACCGGAACCCACACTCCATCCTCCCAGTGTCTGCAGCGCCTTGTCAGGGGCTGTGAAGGGAGCGTGAGATTTTAGGATCCTTTTGGACGAAGCCATCTTGCTGTGACCGTCCTGTGTGGTGCCCTGGGGTTCCATCCTAAGTTTCTCTTCCAACCATCGTGAGTGTGGACAGAAGCCAGCCTTTCCCTCAGCGCGGGTGGCCCCGGCCCCTTCTGTGCCTCAAAGTAGAGGCGAGAGTGCCCCTGTCTCAGTCTCCTCCTTCCCTAATCTCCGCCTGGAGCAGAACCCTAGCTCCATCTCAGGGCTGCTCTGGGGGCTGTGGGACCCCTGGGCGGTGTGGAAGGAGGACCCTGGGGGGCAGAGGGAATAAGATGGGGTCCAGCAGGCCAGCCTTTCTGATGTGACCTCATGCATTTAGACCCAGTCCTGAGTCCCCCAGGGGACCCTGAGTGGACACCATGAGCCCCTGAGGGCAGGTGTGGATCTGGGGCTTCCTGTGTCAGACTCTCCAGGCAGGGTGGGGAGCAGGGAGAGCTGGAGGGCGCCTCCCTTTGCTGCTGTGTTTGTCAGGCAGCCCCCACCCGATTCCAGCCTCCAGCAGCTTCACTTGGTGTTGCAGGGGGGTGACTGGGGGTGGGGAGGTGGGAAACTACACCCAGCACTGGGCTTACACCCGGGAGCAGCAGATGTCAGTCTTGCTGTCAAGGTTGAATACTGGTGGACTTTTCCCAGTTTTCAGGGAAGTTCTAGCCCAGTTAATATGTTTGTCCACAGCTGCCATTCATGCCACCCTGTGCAGGAGCCCAGTCAAAACACGTAGCTTCCCAGACCCTGTGCCCCCATGGGAACCTGAGCCATCTGAGGGCTGTGGACAGAAGTCTCCAGGCCCCACTTTTAATCACAGTGAGAGTCACTCAGGGGAGGGCGGGATGTTGACTTTGGAGAGTCCAGTTTTGCTATTCGGTTTTGTGGTTGGTGTCATCTCTCTGTGATTTTAGAAATGAAAAGAAAATTAGTCTGGACAGAATGAGGGAAGAAAGTTCAAGCGTCCCAACCCTGTTCTTGGCATCTTTTATTTCTTAAAGGCTTAAAGTCTCTTTAACAGCCAAAAAACAAATCGAGGGCGGGGTGGGGATTGGGGGGAATTCAGGGGCTGCCCGCAAAACCCGGGCCAGGACCCATCGCTTTGGTTGTGCATCATGTTCATCACCGCCGGACGTTCACCGACATGTTGGAGCCGCCGTGTTTGGGGGGCGAGCTCTGGTCCGCGCTCCACTCTGCCTCGTCTGTGCCCAAGTTCTCGGCACTGAGGCTTCCCTGCTCTCCCAAGGCGAGAAACGCCCCAGGGCATCCCCCTCCCTATGGGAGGCCCTGCACAGGGCGGGTCGCTGTGGTTGAGAGGGCCTCTGGGAGACGTGGTTCGCAAGGCGACCACGGGTGTGAGGGCACGGGGAGTTCAGCCCTATCCGGAGTTCAGGCACAGCCCCTGATGTCCCCGAAACCTAGAGACAGCAGGTGGTGTTGGGGGGTTCTGAGGGTGGAGTGTGGGGGTCCCCCAGAGGTCCAGTGGCAGCTCCTTGGGGAAGGACCTCCCCTCCCAGCAGGGGGTGCAGGGCAGGGCGTCTCTCCTGTTGCCCAGGAATCCATCACCCAGGCGGGGCAGGTTCCCGGTGGCCAAGGATTCTCCCGGTTTATGTGCTGATGATCCTCGGTGTTGGGGAATTGCAGACAGGTCATGAAGTCGGCAGCCCCGGCTTGGACGCCATCGGCTGGCTTCTAACCCTGTTTCCCTTTCGACTGAGGCACAGTGTCCGTGTCATCAGCTGCCCAGATGCTAAGGGGAGAGCTCACGGGCATTTGCCGTGTGTCTGAGCACAAGGGCCAGCAGTGGGGAGGCCCGGGAGGCAGGAGGCAGGGGTCCTTGAGTCCTGAAGGTCAGCACAGGATGAGGGCCTGCAGCGCTGGGACAGCCTTGAGCAACAGGAGGGGCTGGGAGGGTGGCCTGGAACAGCTCCCACTGGCGGCCAGGCAGGTGCACACAAAGGGAGATTACTGGCTCATCAGCCAGTGTTTGCCTTGTCTTTACCCTGCGGAGGGAGTTCCCAGGTGGGAGGGCTTTCCGACTCCTGCCAACCAACCCTTTCTCACGTCTTTCTTGATGATGTCCCCTTTCTCCCTGTCCCCTTGACACTGGACATTTGAGACAGCCTGTGGCCGAGCTCACTGGCCTCAGGGACAAGAAAGGAATCTGGGGTCACCTTTCCTCCTGGTGATCCAGGAATCCGCCTCTGCAGGAGGAGGACAGACTCAGAACCGGCCCCTCAACCTCCCTGGCGCTGCGGTTTGGCACCTCCACCCAGCAGAGCCCTGTGGCCCCAGGGCCTTCTTGACCCGAGGACACCCTTCTTGGTTCTGGCCAGAGCCCTTGCTTTGGAGATTTGGACTTTTTATACGGGAAGTGCTTGGATTTCTTACTTTAATTATCTCTTAAGTTGTAAATTGTGTACATTTTTGAGACATTTTGTGAATTGTGTACATTTTTGAGGCCTGTAGCAAAAAACAAGAGATGTGATTTGGGGCTTGGATATAGAGGCAAGGCAAAATAAGACAGAGACAGAGAGGAATAGAGAGAGAGTGGGCTCCACCTGGCCTGGCCTTGGCCCTCGCTGCCTGGAGCTTGCTCCTGTGGCAGTGAGCAAGGGTGCCGGTGTCCAGCCCCTTGGCCAGCCCTGCAGGAGTCTCGTGCTGTCACACCAGTGTCAAGGGTAGCAGGGCACAGTGGGGAAGTTCAGGCCTTTTGTTCAATCAACAGGCACCTGTGGACTCCATGGTGTGTCCCGATCTGCCTGCCACGAGCTGAGAGGATGACTCTCACTGGGAAGAGAGTGAGGAGGCTCTAGAGGGTGCATGTAGTCCCCACCCTGCTGGGTTCAGGGGAGCCTGTAGCCAACGCCAGAATCTCCCCTTCCAGCAGCAAGATGCCGGTCCTCCAGCAGACAGTCATGTGCCAGTCAAGGCTCTCCAGAGAAGCAGGACAAGTAGGACGCGCACGCACACTCCTGACAGATGTATGCGTATGTGTATGTCTGTATACACGTATCCTTCCGATCCCATTTCTCTCTACAGATAGTGTGTGTGTGTATAGATACATAGAGGGAGAAAGAGAGAAGCTGATTTATTGTAAAGAACTGGCTCATATGATTGTTGGAGGCTGGCAAGTCTCAAATCTGCAGGGCAGGCTGGAGACCCAGGGAGAGCCACTGTTGCCATCTTGGGTCCGAGGGCCATCGGGAGACGGAGTTCCTTCCTCCAGAGGGGACCTCAGTCTTTCCCTGTTAGTCCTCCAACCGACTAGACAAGGCCCACCCACAGTATGAAGGTCATCTGCTTTGCTCAAAGTCTACTGATGTAAATGTCTCCCTCCCTCCCTCCCTCCCTCCTTCCCTCCCTCTCTCCCTTCCTTCCTTCTTTCTTTCCTTCCTTCCTTCTTTCTTTCCTTCCTTCCTTCTTTCTTTCCTTCCTTCCTTCTTTCTTTCCTTCCTTCCTTCTTTCTTTCCTTCCTTCCTTCTTTCTTTCCTTCCTTCCTTCTTTCTTTCCTTCCTTCCTTCTTTCTTTCCTTCCTTCCTTCCTTCATCTCACTCTGCCACCCAGGCTGGAATGCAGTGCTATGATCATGGCTCAGGTGGATCCTCTGGCGTCAGCCTCCTGAGTGGCTGGGACTGCAGATGCATACCACCACAGCCAGATACCTTTTGTATTTTTTTGTGGAGTCGGGTCTCATTATGTTGCCCAGGCTGTCTCAAACTGCTGGGCTCATGCAATCCACCTGCCTCTGCCTCCCAAAGTGCTGGGATTACAGGCATGAGCCACCACACCCAGCCTGAGTGTCGCCTTCATCTTAAGAATGTCTTCACAGTGACATCTAGACTGCTTTGACCATACAGCGGGGCACTGTGGCCGGGCTAAGAAGGGTGCGCCCATCACCAGAGGTGATGATGTCTGCTGTCCCACTGCTAGGGGTGCAGGGGTTTAGGGGGACAGTGATGATTTTGAGAAACAAGTGGTTTCATCTTCTAGATCGGTGTTGCCGCAAGTATTGTTCTCGTAGTGTTTGAGGTTAAGTCCTAGGAAGTACTAAGCTTAAGGAGTTCATTTTCTGTCCTCCTTATTATGATTTGAGATGGAGTTGGTAAGGATACAGTGGGGTGATTTAGGTAATGAATGTACAAATAAAAGGCCTTTTGCTGACCTTACCGAGGCAAAGGTAACCCCAGATCCTTTAGCGAACATTGCTAAACATCTGCCACTCATGCTGCAAACACTGAGTTCAAGCTCGAGTACCCAAATAGTGAATTCGGGGGAGTCAGGACCAGAGAATGGTGATCTAGACCTTTTCACTCGGCATTTGCTTAGACCGGGCATTGGCAGACTTTTTCTGTAAAAGGCCACATAGTAAATATTTTGACTTTGCAGTACGAAAGCAGCTATGGACATGATGTAATAGAATGATTGTGGCTGTCTACCAACAAGATTTTATTAACAAGAGCGAGTGGGTGCTGGGGTTTGGCCTGGGGCCCTGGTTTGCTAACCCCTGGCTCTGAGGGTCCTTGGCCTGTTATGGGGTGGGGTGGGGACTCCCCTAGACTCTGCAAGTCTGGGCCTCCCTGTCTGTGAGATGGGGGTAGATAACAGTGCCATCAGGTTGAAGATGTAGGGATTGGTTCAGAGTCTTTAACACAGAGCATGGCACCCAGTGTCTAAGCAGTGAGTTGCTGTGGTTGTTACCGATGAGCCAAGTGTTTGATCCTCCCTGACACAAAAGTAAACTGGGGCTGGTGACACCTTGGAGCCTCCCCCTGGGTCTAACGCCGTCTAGAAGAGCCAGGTACTAAGGATTAGAAAGACAGGCAGGGCAGAGAGGGGCTGAGCCAGGCACCCGGCCCTGTGATGCCCTTTCTGCAGGCCTCTGTGGGTAAGTCTTCCTCACTGGTGTCTTCATTTATCTGCAGATGTGCTAGCACTTGGGGATGGAGTATCTTCATATGTAATGCAGGTGGCTGTAAGGGAGTACTGCCTTATCAGGGACTAACTTTTCCCTGTGGCTTTTATTCTCAGGACTGCAGGTTTTCTAATATAAATAAGAGTAGACTGTGCTCTGTATCCACGGGTTCCGCATCCTTGGATTTAACTAACCTCATGTTGAACATACTCAAAATAATAACAATAAATAGTACAACAATAAAATAATATGAGCTTAACAACACAGTACAACAAAGACTTCCACAGCATTTACATTGCATCAGGTATTATAAGGAATCTCAAGATGATGTAAAGTGTACATGAGGATGTGCATAGGGTACATGCAAACTCTACACCATCCCCGGGTTTTGATATCCGAGGGGAGTCCTGGAACCAGTTCCCAGCAGACACGGAGGGATTGTACGTTGCTTTAAGTCGCAGCAGGAATGGTGTCTCTCTAGGCTTTATTTTCCTCTCTAGGAAAATTGTTTAATTTTTCCAGGCCATAAAGAAAACACATGCTGGTAAATATTTTTAAAATATAGAAACACCTAATTTAGAAAGAAGCGTCTCTTATAGTTTCCAGGGAAACCAGGTTAACAGGTAAAGCTGGGATCATTGACTTGAAGTTGATCACGTTGGTACTAGATTATAGACATCTCTATTTTTATTGATTGATTGCTTGATTGTTTGAGGCAGGGTCACACTCTTATCACCCACACTGGAGTGCAGTGGCACGTTCATAGCTTTCTGCAGCCTTGAACTCCCAGGATCAAGCAATCTTCCTGCCTCAGCCCCCTGAGTAGCTAGGACTACAGGCATGCACCGCCACACCCAGCTAATTTTTTTTTTTTTCCTGTGGTGACAAGGTCTCATTATGTTGTCCAGGCTTGTCTTGAATTCCTGGCCTCAAGCAATCCTCCTGCCTTGGCCTCCAAAATTGCTGAGATTACGAGGTTGAGCCACCGCATCCAACCCTGACATCTCTATTTTTTAAACGACTCATTCCATAGCTGAGAGAGGGGTGCCTGGGTTGCAGAGGAAGAGGGTAGGGATACATGTTGCTAAGTTGCTTTCCCAAAGGGCGTGCCCGGAGCATGTGCCAGTTTTGAATATCAGCTTGTAATATTCCTACACGTTGGAACATTGTTTTAGTAAGCAAGCATTTGACACCTGCATGTGTGTTAAGATGCTTTCTGCGTTGTCAGCCAAGGAAAGCCCCATATGCAGCGTCAGCTGCAGACGCACAGTTTTCAGCTGTGCATCTCTTCTCTCCAAGCCACACTCAGTTTTGAACACACGGTGACACCTGAGAAGCATGGTGACTGCTCTGATGAAGCCTTTTGTTTTGCTTTCAGACAATGAGTATATATTTATGGATTTGGAGCAAAAGCTCAGCAAGTACTTCTCAAAAGATTGGAAGAAAGAAAGAAATGAAGTAAGTGTAGAGTGTCGGGTGGGAGAGGGCAGGCACCGCGGTGGGCTGTGCTGGGCCACGGGGACACGTGGGGTGGGAGAGAGCAGGCACCGCGGTGGGCTGTGGGGGACCGCGGGGATGCGTGGGTTGGGAGAGAGCAGGGCACCACGGTGGACAGTGGTGGGATGCGTGGGGTGGGAGAGGGCAGGCACCGCGGTGGACTGTGCTGGACCAATGTGCTGCCTTCTGTCCACGCAGCTGCTCCGTCCAGAGGGGCTGTCCGCAGGGGGACTGTGGTGAGCCCTGAGGCTGCAAGCAGGTGTGCCCGCCCGAAGCCCGCCTTTGCAGATGTTCTTGAACGCTGTAGACCACGTCCCACTCAGGGTTCTCCGGGTAGAAAATACCATGAGTCGAATTGTCAGCTATGGCTGCAGACACCTGAGCTTCGACTTTAAGCTGAGTGTGAAGCAATCCAGGCCCCCCCAACTGGGAAGACAGGACAGCCAGCGGCACCTCCCTGCGGCTCACTTGCTCTTTCTTGCATTTTCCCCACTAGGGAAATGAGAAACCCAGAGCCCCCTTCGTGGCCTTCCTCCGAGTGCAGCACTACGTGGAAAACGGAAGGGTCATAAGGTAACGGCATGCGGACTGTAAGGGGTGTTTCCTGGAATACTGAAAATCTGCCGCATGACGTGGAAGTCCCCTGAAGGCCACACATTACATTTGAGTTTATCCAAAAACAAAAAACAAACAAACAACCCCACTATATCGGCTGTTTGCTTTGGGGTTAACACAGGAATTCTATTTAATCGAAAGGTATACAGACTGTGTCATAAATTGGTACTTCTTTTTCTTTTCTTTTTCTTTTTGTTTTGTTTTGTTTTGTTTTGAGACGGAGTTTCACTCTTGTCGCCCAGGCTGGAGTGCAATGGCACAATCTCGACTCACTGCAACCTCCACCTCCTGGGTTCAAGCGATTCTTCTGCCTTAGTCTCCAGAGTAGCTGGGATTACAGGCGGGCGCCACCACACCTGGCTAATTTTGTATTTTCAGTAGAGACGGGGTTTCTCTGTGTTGGTCAAGCTGGTCTCAAACTCCCGACCTCAGGTGATCCACCCGCCTCGACCTCCCAAAGTGCTGGGATTACAGGTGTGAGCCACCGTGCCCGGCCTAAAGTGGTACTTCCTCAAATGCCAGGACTCGTACTCTCTAGGGTGGGTATACCATCCGGGGGTGGGCGAGGCTTCTGGAGGTCGCTGGGCTAAGGGCTGCTATGCTTGCTGCGTGGCGGTTCTCGCTGTTCACTGCCCACTCTGCAGGTGTCTAGTGGGAAGCTTTCCCCGACAGGAGTGGGTAAGTTGTACATCTGGTGGGCTGCACTCTAAACCAACGGGGGCTGCTTCTTCCAGAGCTGCCTTAGAGCTTCTAGGGTAACAAAGACGTCCCTCAGGAGGATCCTGAGACTTACTTCCAGAACAGAGCTTCAGGGGTGCGTGAACAGGGTTTACCCTGGGGGAAAACCTAAGGGGGTTTCCCAGGAATTCCCTAAGCAGGCACAATCCCTGCCAGTTCCAAAAGGCATGTGTGCGGTTGTGTGGAAGGTTCTAGGGGGTGAGGGGCGTGTGGTTGTGTGGGAGGGTTCTGGAGAGTGAAAGGTGTGTGGTTGTGTGGAGAGCCCTGGAGACACTGGTATGTGGTTGTGTGGCAGGTTCTGGAGAGTGAGGGGTGTGTGAATATGTGGAAGGTTCTGGATAGCCTTGGAGGGGAGGTCTGGAAAGTGTTGGGTTGATGGATGGAGCTACCTGGTGCTATGGGGCCAGTTCGGGGGAATTATATGAGAAGATCTTGCACCTGCATCTTGGGCGAGCCTCCACCTGGCCTGTGATTAATGAATACCAGCCATGGCCAAGCCCCGTGCTGGGCGGTGAGCTCTGGGAGCCAGGTCTGTCCACATCCAGGGATTCAAGTTGTCCAGGCCCTGTGCACCTCCAGGGATTCGAGTCGCCCGGGCTCTGTGCACCTCTCCTGCACTGGGGCTTGGTTTGGTGAAGGCCAAGCTCACTGGGGAAGGAGTGGGACCTCGGCAGGTGGAGCCTCATCTAGTGGCTCCTTGGTGGCAGCAAGTCACCTGTGCCCCGCTCCAGGAAGAGTGTGGGCCTGTGCCGTGCTGGCCCTGCAGGGACACAGCTGTGGGTATAACAAGACAGGAACTAGGTACCAGGGGCTCAGGACAGCCCTGGGAGCTGGTGTGGGGAGGGACAAGGCAGGGCCAGAGGGGCCAGCAGTCCCCACACCGGTCGTCCTGGAACTCACTCCCTGCCACCTTCCAGCGACCACAGGGCACGGCACCTGTACTACTGCCACTTGAAGGAGCGCGTGCTGAGGTCACAGTGCGCTCACCGGGAGGAAGCCTACTTCCTGCTGGCTGCCTGCGCGCTGCAGGCTGACCTGGGCGAGCACCGGGAGTCGGCCCATGCCGGGAGGTACTTCGAGCCACACTCCTACTTCCCACAGTGGGTAAGGTCAGGGCCCACCTCCTCCCAGCACTGCTAGTCTGGTGCCTGTCCACCTCCACCGGGTGCCATCCATGGGAGCAGGGGACTGAGGGCCTGGCAGGGGCTGCTGGAGCAAGGGTCAGGGATGGAAACAGGGCAATCACCTGTCCTTCTGTCCTGAAGGCCCAAGGGTCCTTACCACCCCCAAAGGCAGGCAGTGTGGGAGGAGTGGCCCTGAGCAGGCAGGTGTGGGTGCCTGTGCTCCTGACGCACCCAGCCAGCTGTGTGGCCTTGCACTCTGGCTTCACCTCTCTGAGCCCCTTGGCTGCCTGGCTGTGGAATGTGACCCACACGGGCCTTGTGGCTGTGAACCTTCCTGCTTCTCTCTAAGTATCCTGGGACCCGTAGGAGTCTCTGAGCCTCAGCTTCCTCACCTGTAAGGGAAGGAGTGGCATCCCCCTGGGAGGAGGGCCATGGAGAGGCGTGGGCTGTACCACTGTGTGCCCAGTCCCAGGCGCTGTCTGGCCTGATGGCCGCGCGGATTGATGGCTGTCACCCCGGGGATGCAGGCCCTGTTCCGGGTGAACTTTAAGGTTTCTCTCCTTGACCGCTCATCCCTGTGTACCTCTCTATCCTGTGCACCTTGGGGCCTTCTCACCTTTGCTCTGAGGCAGTCGCTGAGGTCAGGGTGGGGCCCAGCCAGGCTTCCTCCCAGTGCTGTGGATGCCACACGTGCCCTTGGCCTCTGAGCACATTTCCACCCTCAGTGATTCCACGTCCCTGCGATTCTTACCCCGGTCCCGGTGATGGCCCCAGCTGGTCCTCACTGGGCAGGTTCCCAAGAGCCAGGGCTCGTTGGGAGTAGAGTCCCCACCTGCAGACGTCTGAGGAGGGCTGGCTGCTGCCATTCCCCTTGGGGAGGACCCGAGGGGGACAGGAAATCAGACAGGGCCCAGGGCCACAGTGGGCACTGAGACTTCATCTCTGGTTCTGGGCTCAGCAGCCAGGCCCTGGCCCTGCCCACCGAGGTTGGCACCAGCTGTGGGAGTCTGGGGAAGCTTCTCGGAGCAGGGGGCTGGCAAGGAGGAAGGGGGGACCAGCAGGGGTCTGAGCTGACCTCCCGGCTCTGTCCTCAGATCATCACCAAGAGGGGGATTGACTACATCCTCCGGCACATGCCTACCCTGCACCGTGAGCGCCAGGGCCTGAGCCCCAAGGAGGCCATGCTGTGCTTCATCCAGGAGGCCTGCCGGCTGGAGGACGTGCCCGTGCACTTCTTCAGGCTGCACAAGGTCGAGCCCAGGGCGGCCAGCGATGGGCTGGACTCTGACTCCAGGCCAGGGATGCACGGAGCCCCCATGGCTGAGTGGGATCAGGACCCCAGGGCAGGGATGGATGGAGCCCCCATGGCTAAGAGTGGGACCAGGACCCCGGGGCAGGGATAGATGGAGCCCCCATGGCTAAGAGTGGGATCAGGACCCCAGGCCAGGGACGGATGGAGCCCCCATGGCTAAGAGTGGTCAGGACCCCAGGGCAGGGATGGATGGAGCCCCCGTGGCTAAGAGTGGGACCAGGACCCCGGGGCAGGGATGGATGGAGCCCCCGTGGCTAAGAGTGGGATGGGACCAGGACCCCAGGGCAGGGATGGATGGAGCCCCCGTGGCTGAGTGGGACCAGGACCCCGGGCCCGGCATGGCCAGGCTCTCTTAGGTCGTGGCTGGTGTTTATCTGGCATGATGAAAGGCAGTGCTTGTGCTATGACAACTATGCCTTTGATCTGATGCTGGAGTGAATGAGACTGTCTGTAAATGGGCCCCAGAGCTCAGCCTGGTCCATGGAGCCCTCGGCCCCTAGCCAGACTGACCATACTCTGCCATCAGTGAGGCCCAGCACCTCCAGGCCTGCAACTTGACCTCTGACCTGTGTCCTCTAGGATAAGAAGGAAGGTCGTCCCACCGTGATCCTGGGACTGGCCCTCAGGGGAGTGCACATCTACCAGGTGACCGAAGGGGCTCCAGCCTCACAGAGCCCCTCGTCCTGCCCCCACCCCCTCCTCCCTTCCCCACTGGAGTCTGGGCTGTGTAGCATCCCTGCAGCGGTCATGGGCGCTGGCTGGCCCTGCCTGGACGCGCCCTGCCTCTGCTGTCCCGCAGGAGGTGGACCGTGCTCCGCAGCTGCTGTACGACCTCCCCTGGCCCCACGTTGGGAAGCTGGCATTTCTGGTGGGTGTCTGGGGGGTCCCCGTGCCCTGGAAAGCCTGGGCAGATGCAGCTTCATCCTCGGGGCATTTTCTGGACAATTCTGCACCCGAAGAGGTGCAGGTCCCTTCCTGCCGGCCTCTCGGGGGCATCAGGGCCGTCCTGGCCTCACGGGCTTTGTGCCTGGCCCTGGCCCTGCAGGCGTGGGGTGTTTAGCTGCCCGGTGAGGTCTAGTTGTTGTTATCGCTTGAAAACTTCTGGCTCCCAATTGAGAAAATCAAGGGAGAAAAGAAGAGCAGGTCATAGAAACGCACCTGTGTGGCCTCTGTTCCTCTCATCCCGGCCCCAGAGCTGTCACCCAGGGTCACCCCACAGCCCGGGTGCCGGGGATAAAAGGGCAGTGACTGTGGGGGCTGCTGGACAGCAGGCTTGCTCTGGACAGCCAGACCGAGGTCTTCCTGTCCCACCCCAGACCTCCACTCCCCTCACACTGCTGCGGGCACTTTCTAGCCAGGAGGGCTGTGTCCTCTCAAGCAAGGGCGGAGCAGAGCACAGTGTCCGCGCACAGTGTCCGCCAACAGCCATCTGCACTGCGAAGTGAAAACCTGGGCCTCGTCCCCCTGGGGGCCATGGCTGACATTTAAAATCATCCTTTCCTGTGGCTAGCGTGGTTTTCCACCTGTGGAGTGGCAACTTCTCTCCTGTTTGCTCAGGGAAAGAAGCTGGAGATCCAGCTGGATGGGCTGCCCGCAGCACAGAAGCTGGTTTACTACACGGGGTGCACCTGGCGGTCCAGGCACCTGCTGCACCTGCTGCGCGCCAGCCACCAGCTCCACCTCCGCGTGCGGCCCACTCTGCAACAGCTGCGGCAGCGGGAGGAGGCAGAAGGTGGGGCTGGGCTGGGTATGCTGGGCTCCGCAGCCGGACTGTGCCTTCTGGGCTAGGCTGGGCACACTGGGCTCTGGCCGGACTATGCCTTCTGTCTCTTATTGTTGTGGCCTCCTGACTCCCACGTCCCCCAGATGCTGAGGTCGAAGGGCGAAGTGGTGGCCCCCAGCTCTGCCTGGAGTGGAATTCTATAGATGGGACTGGGGGAAGCTGGGAGCTTGAGGAGCCACCTGAGGTTTCCACTTCTCAGTTTCCTGGTCTGTTTTCCACTTCTCCTCCCATCATGTGCCCACAAAGAGCAAGAAATGCAGGTTCCGACAAGGCCTCAGTGTTTACCCACAGGCCTGGTCTCCCTTCCTGTTCCACATCCTCACCTGAGCACAAGGCCTGGCCTTAGTGTTTACCCACAGGCCTGGCCTCCCTCCCTGTTCCACATCCTCACCTGAGCACAAGACCTGGCCTCAGCGTTTACCCACAGGCCTGGTCTCCCTCCCTGTTCCACGTCCTCACCTTGAGCACAAGGCCTCGCCTCAGCGTTTACCACAGGCCTGGTCTCCCTGCCTGTTCCACGTCCTCACCTGAGCACAAGGCCTGGCCTCAGCGTTTACCCGCAGGCCTGGTCTCCCTGCCTGTTCCACGTCCTCATCTGGGCTGTGGGTGTGCATTTCTGTCTCCCGGGCTCTTCCTCCTGCATCAGCAGGGCTGGTCCCTCTCCAGCTCGCCCTCACTGTGCTCCCCACTCCCCACAGAGAAGCAGCACTACCGGGAGTCCTATATCAGCGATGAGCTGGAGCTGGACCTGGCCAGCAGGAGCTTCCCGGGCAGTGGGGTCAGCAGCCAGCACTGCCCCCACTGCCTCTCACGCCACTCCGCCGACAGCCACGGCAGTTCCTACACGTCAGGCATCAAGGCCAACTCCTGGCTCAGGGAATCCAGAGAGATGTCTGTGGACGTGCCCTTGGAGGTCCACGGGCTCCATGAGAAGGAGCCGTCCTCCAGCCCCAGGACCAGCCGCAGCCACCCCAGCACACGTGGTGACAGCCAAGGTGGGCCCGAGGGAGATGCCCAGGCCTCAGGGACAGTGAGTGTGGTCCAGCCAGCCCCAGCTTGGCTGACCCTGGACACCGAGGCAGCAAAGCCCTGGCCTGCCCTCCAGTGGCCAGACGTGAGGGGCTGGGCTGCTTGTGACCTGAGTCCCAGGAAATGTGCCAGAACATGCCGGAAGAACAGAGATGGCAGGGAGGAGCTGCCTGCAGCCTGCTGTGCCCGAGTCTCCTGTTCCTGCCAAGGGGCAGCTGCAGGCTGGGATCAGAGACAGGAGAGGTGGGATCCTCTTGGGGTTGCAGATGAGTCCAGGTCCTTTAGCTTTCTCGGAAGCCCATCTCAGGAGCCCCTCCCACTCCTAGGAAGCCCCTGGCCCCTAGGAAGCACCCCCCCAACTCCTAGGAAGAACCCCCCTCCCAAGGAATGCTCCCCATCCCGGGAAGCCCCCCAACAAAACTCCTAGGAAGCTCCCCTTCCAGGGAGCCCCTCCCTCTCCCAGGAATCCCATCCCCACACATAGGAAGACCCCCACTCCTAGGAAACCCCCCACTCCTAGGAAGCCCCCCACTTCCAGGAAGCCCCCCATTCCTAAGAAGTCCCCTCACTCCTAGGAAGCCCCCTGGACTCCTAGAGACCCCCCCAACTCTTAGGAAGCCCCCCCCACACTCCTAAGAAGCCCCGTGGACTCCTAGGAACTCCCCCAACTCTTTGGAAGCCTTCTGACTCCTAGGAAGCCCCCCACTCCTAGGAAGCCCCCTACTCCTAGGAAGCCCTGTCCTACCAGCTTCCCTCCCATCAGAAAGCCTGGGTTAGACTCATGTCTTTTTATACTCAGTTGAGTAGGAGTGAGAAGACAGAGCCATTCAGAGTGTTCTAGGACCATGTGTCCACCTGGCCCAGGACGCAGCACCTTGTCCTGAGGGATGCACCCTGCCCATTCCCTGTGTGTAGGACTGTGTGTGCACCTGGCCCAGGATGCAGCACCCTGTCCTGAGGGATGCGTCCAGCCCAGTCCCTGTGTATGAGGCCCTGAAGAGCTTCCTCATTGCCCCAGAAAGGGGACGTGAGCTCTGCTGGTCTCTGAGTGTCCCCACGGCCCTGACGGTGGATGTGATGAGATCAGGTGGGACCAGCCCCAGGGCTCAGTCACCCAGGACCGCCCAGCATCACCTACAGTCACCCAGGGCCATCCAGGGTCACAAAACATCACCTAGGGCCTCCCAGGGCCAGGCATTCCTGTCACTAAGCCACTGTGTCCGCCATTGCCCTTGGAGTGTCTGGTCCACCAGGAAGGGATGGTTGGCCTCCATCTCTGAGGATGTATGCAAGCTCTGTGGCCTGTAACCCAGCGGGAATCACCGTGCTAATCCCGCATCTGCACAGCAAGGGGCCGTTTTATCAGATGTCGGGGAATGGAGCAAAAGCAGTCACCGCACTGAGAGCAAGGGGGCGGTGTGAGCCTCAGGAGATGCCGGTCCGAGACCAGGGCCCCAGAAGTGCAGGGAACTGCCCTGGGGAGGAGCCATGTCGGGCAGAACCCAGACACCTGTGCTCACGGCTGCCTCCTCCCACAGCCACTCGTCAGGAGCCCTGCACCCAGGTCAGGACCAGAGGCCAGAGCGCCGAGGCCGTGCACCAGGTAGAGTCCCCCCCACGGGCCAGAAGCCCTGGCCCTGCTCCTCCACCCCCTTCTCCTAGGTCCCCTGTCAGGGGCCCTGGGGACCTTCCTAGGCCTATCAGAGGGTCCCTCGACTGACATCCCCAGAGACGCAGCGGGCAAGTCAGGGAGCAGCAAGGCTCTCGGGCACTGGGGCAGGTGGACGTGGGTGGAGGCCTCAGCCTCAGGGCCGAGTGAGTCGGCTCACTGTGGGGAGGGAGGGGTCCTGCCTGGGGCTGGGGTGGCCGGGCCCTGAGTGTCACCGGGCCACTGTAGGCAGGACCCGGACACCTGGGCCCTGCAACCTGCCATGCAGCAGACTGGCTGCCCCGTCCCCTTCGTCCACCTCCTCCACCCGGGGCCTAGTGCTGTGTGTGCAGGGCTGCTCCAGGCTTCCCCCACTTCCTGTAGAGCTACTGAGCCTTAGGATCCCCCAGAGGAGCTAGAGGAGAAGCGAGCCAGTGGTTCCTGGATGCCCAGGTGGGGAACAGGTGGGCTCAGGGTTCCCAGCCAGGCTCCGAGTTGCCCTCCCCACCCCCCAACCCCCGCCCCCGGCTCCACCACAGGAGGGTGAGGCCCCCTCTGGTCAGCCCTGTTCAGAATCCCCCTGGAAAGACACAGAAAATCGGTTGTGGCTGATTAGTTATCGTGATGCTGGATGGAGAGAGAAGAGGGCTGGGCACGGGAGGCTGGATGGAGAGAGAAGAGGGCTGGGCACGGGAGGCAGATGGAGAGAGAGAACAGGGCTGGGCACGAGAGGCTGCATGGAGAGAGAGAACAGGGCTGGGCACGAGAGGCTGCATGGAGAGAGAGAACAGGGCTGGGCACGGGAGGCTGGATGGAGAGAGAACAGGGCTGGGCACGGGAGGCGGATGGAGAGAGAGAACAGGGCTGGGCACGGGAGGCTGGATGGAGAGAGAACAGGGCTGGGCACCGGAGGCTGGATGGAGAGAGAACAGGGCTGGGCACGGGAGGAGGGAGGGGAGGCTGCAAGTCCTGGCAGGCGCGGGCCCATCCCAGTGGGGGCAATCCCAAACCCAGGTCAGCCCACTCAGTGGAGGAGACGGCTGCCCGAAGCCGCCTGAGCTCTGGGCCAGGGACTGTCACTCTTGAAAGACGTATTGATTAAAAACAAGGAAACACGCGTAGAAGGGCAAGTCAGACCCTGGCGCTGGGCAATCTTCGGCGTGGCCTGCCCCTGCCCCTGCCACCTGCCACCAGGGGCCTCATCTGCCTCCTGGGAGCACAGTGGTCCAAGGCAGATCTGAGGGGCCACGGCAGCCGAGAAGCTCGGGCTGGAGGCTTCACTTAAGGGCGATGACGCTGCCCGCTGGCCGCCCACCTGGACGGGACCTTGGACAGTCACCTCTGAACCCAGACAGTTTCCTCCCGTATAAAATAGGAGGCCGTTCTTGACCACTGAGGTGCTTCCAGAGCTAGTGTTCAAGGCCCACACTCAGACCTGATCCTAAATTACACCAAACGCTAAGAGTCCAGGTCCACTGAGTTAAAAGGCAGAAAGCAGCCCCAGGAAAGAAGCTGGGCAAGGTGGGGGCCTCCTGAAATGCATCAAAGGAAGATGCCAAGCCTCTCTCGCAGAGGTGTGTGCTGGGGGACCCGTCCAGGGGCAGGCCGGCCATGCACTGCGGCGCAGGGTGGGCATTGGCAGGGAGTGTGGCTCTGTGGCCACAAGCAGTGTGGCTGCCGTGTGCGGTGGTGGGAGTGAGAGGGGGCAGCAGGCCTCATCCCATGGCCTCTCCCCGCAGATCCAGGAAATGACAGCCGGGGTCAGTGAGGAGCAGCACAGCCATGGCCTGGACGACATGCAGCTGCACCAGCTGGCCCTGCACCCAGCGCCCACCTCACTCAGCCATACCTTCCACCGCGCCCTGGACTGCAGGCTGGCAGGCCCCTGCGAGACCAGGGCCACTCTCCCCAGCAAGAGGTCCAGCAACTGTCTCGCCCTGGACCTGTTCGGAGAGGCTCCACCACAGGAGTTTGTGGTGTAGGCACCACCCACCCAGCAGTACCGTCCGCACCGCCAGGCTCAGCCCCTGCCCACCCCACTTCCACATGGCCCTCGTCCCTTCCTGCCCGCCAGATGCTGCCTGCACTTCCGCAGCCAGCACGCTCCACAGGTTCACCTGTAAGAGGTGTGGAGCTGGCTCTGACATCAACCTGGGAGGTAACAAACAGGTCCCGCACCTCATGCCTGTCTGCCATACACCCGGGAGCTCTTTCCCTCAGGGTCTCAGGGAGCCAGTTCAAGGTCTGGCTGTCAAGTGTCCAGAGAGCCATGGTGTTGGCCCCTGAGGCAGCCTGTCACCCATCCTAATCTGGGAGAGAAGGTGACACAGCTGGGCCCAGACCCTGGAGAGACAGCTCTGCAGTTTCCCACACTGTCAGCTCCCCAAGAGACAGTCCTGATGGGCACAGGCTGCCAGAGCTCCCAAGCCGGAGTTCACAGTCATCACTGTGCAGGACCCAGGTTCCTCCCAGACCTGAACCCCTCTCTGCAACTCCTGTTTGCAAGCGCTGGGCCTGCCAGACAGAGGCCCCTCTTGTGGTGCAAGCCCAGCTCTGTCACCTGAGATCCAGCCAGAGACCCTCCTCCACCATCCACAGTCAATGGCTGTGCTTTCCCTTCCAAGCCAGGGCTTCCAAAGACCCCACTGCCCCGGAGCTGAAGCCGACTCTGCTCCCATCTCAGCCATGAGGCCTCAGGACCCACTCTGCTCACAGGTGGCTTCCTTAAGCCATTGCCCTGGCTGGGGTTGGGCTGGTGCAGCCCAGCTGGCGGAGGGGCGAAGCTTTGGTGACAGACGGAGAGTGGGGGACTAGCTGTGCATGGCACCTGCTCTGATCCGGTGGGCTCCACGGGTAGTGCGACCTCGGTTCTGTGGGCTCTGGAAGGCCACCAGGGTAGGGTCTCCCCAGGGCTCCTCCCCCTGCACAACACTCCTGCACACGTGCAAACCTGCTGTCCTCTGCATTTAGAGGAATGGCCCGTGCATCCCTGCTAGTCTCAGGCCCATCCCAGAGCACTGAGAGGCCACAATCGTTCAGCCCTGTGCCCTGAACACCACTGCCCCCTTCACTGTCTGTGTGTGGTGAAGACCACGCCACACCACCCTCCAGCTCACTGGAGACAAGCATGAGCTTGAGCCCCATGGCCTGGTGCAGGGCTGCGTGCATTGAGGCCGCCTCTTTGACGGGTCCATCCAGGGGGACCCTCTCCTTTCTGTGAAAGGGAATCGTGTGTGTGCCCCAGGCACGTGTAATAAAGAACCCGAGCAGATGCCTCCTGCTTGAACCAGGACCAGCCTGCCTGGGGGGCTGGTGAGATGCCGGCTGTAACTCACTCAGGGGCATCGGCCACAGAAGGCTGCGTTCTGTAGATGGCCACAAGCCCCAGTGCTGCCGAGGGCAAGACTGCCCACAATTCCTGTGCGGCAGGGGAGGTGCGCCTAGTGCTGGCTCAGATGTGAGCATGTGGGCACTTCCCAAAGCCATTCCCATTAGTACAAGATGATTGATTTGCCCCGCTCCGGGGCAATGACTATCTTCTTCCTTTGAAGAAACTTGGAAGCAAGAGCCCAGTCCCATGGACCATGAGGGAAGGTACACACCAGTGTTGGGGAGACACAGCAGGTGGTGTCCACCATGAAGCAGGGTCTGAGCCAAGACCTACATGCACACATGCACACATCCACATGCATGCACACACATACATGCACACACGCACACATCTGCACACAGATGCACACGCATGCACACACACACATGCACACATCCATACATGCACACTCCCCATGTCCAGGCTTCCCCTGCCAGTCACCTTCGCCACACGCCATAGACCCCAGGGGCAGCAAAGGCCGGGCCAGCCCACCCCTAACTTGTGGAAGCATCAGTGAAGCTGGCCCGGCGCCTTGTGTCCTGGCAGAGGCGAGGCAGCCATGGCCCCTGGCTGACCCGAGAAGCTTCTCTGGCCCCACTGGGGATTCCTATTTCTGTCCTTCCTCTGGGCCTTGTGGACAGACATGGAGAATTATGCCAGATGCCTGTTAACTACCGGGTAGGGCTGCTCCAAAGACTCTAATCTCTGGTGTTCAGGGTATGTGGAGAGGACAATTAGAGGCCCGCTGCCCTGAGACTTGCCCAAGAGGGGACGGCCAGGCAGGCCACATGAAGCCCATGTGGGCTACCAGCTCAGACACACCCAGCCGGGGCCGGGGCAGACTCCCCTAAGGCTTGAGCCTCAGCTTTGCTCACCGCCCCTCCCCACAGCCCCCTTCCACGTCACCCACACCTGGAGGGGCAGGAGCGGAGCTGGAAGCAGAAGGCCATCCTGGGAGGGGGCTCCTTCCCAGACAGAAAGCAGCAGAGAGCGGGGCTGCGGGAAGTCGGGGAAGCCAACCTTTCTTTTTGCACAGATTGAGATCAGAGGTCTTTTAGGCAATACGGCTATTTTCCAGAAAAATGGACACCGACTGGTAGGGACAGGGATGTTTCCTAAGAAGGAGGGTGGGGGGCAGGGCTGGGGGTGGCCTGCAAACAGCAGAAGCCGCTGTGTACAGGGGGGCTTGTGGCCTTCAGGTGGCATGAGGCAGGCCGGTGGGGGAGGGGCACAGGGTAAAGTCCCCAATCCCTGTCTTACCCTGTCAGTGGAGAGGAAAAGAAAACCACCTGTCCCAGTCCCTGTGGACCCCCAAGGAGCAGGCCAAGGACCTCCAGCATCACAGCCTCGCATGAGCCCGGCTGGGGTGGTCAGTCCTGTGGCCCGGGCCAGGTCAGCGGTCAAGCTGGCAGGTCCAGACTCGCAAGAACGACCCAGAGAGCTTGTTCAGGCTGGGTTTCTCAGCCCCCCACTGCGTCTGCTTCTGTGGGTCTCGCTGGGCCCCGGAACCTGCATTGCTGCTGCGGGGGTCTGGGTCTGAGGGCGCAGCTCTCCCTGCTGGGTGGGGTGTGGGAGGCGGCAGACCCTGCTCCTGGGGGCAGTTGGTCTGGAGTGGTGACAGGGTGGCCCTGGGCAGGGTGTGGCCGGTTCCCTCTTGCCTGTGTTGAAGCATGGACTCCTCTGGGCCCTCAGCCATCAGCCCAGCCTCCCTCACGGAAGATGGAGAATTCCAGACAAAGCTCATCCTTCCTCCAGGAAAGCCTGCTCCATCTGCAGTAATTGACGGCCTGAGAAGCTCTGCTCTTGGGCTGAACCCCAAGCAGGAGGAGGAGGCCGGGGTCCTCAGGTGCCCATCTGGGAGGCCCGGGGCAGCCAGCAACTGCCTGTGTGTCTGGGATCTCACAGGAGAGGTGGTTCCCAAGCCGAGCATCAGCCCGTCGTGGCCCATGGACTCTGGGTTCCCCAGGCGGGGGAAATGTGCCAGAGCCACGGGGAAAGCTGAGCTCTGCGGCCCTGCGAGTGCATTCACAAAGGTTTATCAGTTTGTAAAACTTGCAGAAAAAGCCGTCCGTGTTTGGGACAGGCGGCCCCTTCCACTCAGGGTTCATCCGTCACGCTCCTTTCGCCTTGAGGGGCACTGAGGGCCCTGTGGGTGTGTGGGGCCCGCGTAGGGGAGGCTGAACTGGACACACACTTGGCTCGGTCTGCTGGGAGACGTTTCGGGGTTCCCAGTCATGTCGTCTCTACCTGTAGGAGCAGCAGGGAGTCTCAGGACAGGATGGCCAGGGCCAGAGGTCACCTGGTGAGGCGGACATGTACTCCCAACCTGGGAGGTGTGGGGACTGGAAGAGAAACAGAGCTGGCAGTGGGAGGCTGGACGTGGTAGGCAATGCCGGTCCTGCAGCCGGGCCCATGACCGTTCTCACGGCGGCGAGCTGTGATGGGGAGGCTGCCTTCCAGGTGCCAAGGTTAGAAAACAAATCCGGGGCAGCCCTGCCGGGAGAAAGCTGGTATTCTACAAAGGCGCGTGAAGAGGTGAACACGCAGTGGGGAAAATGGCGCGGGTTAATTGTTTATTAATCACAGGCAGCTCACCAATAAAACCGTCACCAAATATTGTGTTACTGTGTTTTTCAGCTTTTTAAACTTTGTGATGTGGTGGTTTTTTAATGTTTCTGTATTTAGATTTATTTTCATACTTTAGAATTTGTAATCTTATCTTTTGCCCTGAAGGAGGGCTCCCCATCACCATCTAACCATGGAAGTTTCAGGCCTCAAAACGGGGCCCAGGGTGAGGACTCCTCTGATCTCAGAACCTTGGGTCACACAGCGGCTGCCATTCCCTGCTCACATCCCCTGGCTACGGATGAGGCCCCCGGGCCACTGGGCACAGGCTGGGGCTCCCTCCCGGCTCGCCGCCGGCCCATGCCTGGTTCTCCAGCCGCCCCAGGGTGGCAGTGTTCATCCTGAGTCCCCTCCTGGCTCTGCCCTGGCATCTGTGCTCAGGTGACCAGCCAGGCCTCCCGCTGGCAGGGGTGTGGTTCTCTCCATTCAGCCACTGCTGCTGTCACAAACCAGTGCACGCAGCAGGAACTGGACGTCACCGTCACCAAGTGGGGACCTGTTCGCCGCACCCTCTGTTGTCTGTCCTTGGACATCAGGGCCATTGTCCGCCCACAGCCCTGGACATCCACGCTGTTGGGGCGGCGGCAGGGCCTGGCGCAGTGGGAGAAGAGGAAGAAGCATGTCCTCAGAGCCAGATGCAGGAGTGTGCCCTGTGGGGTGCGGGCCAGGCTCCCTCCTGAGCGGACATGGGAACACGTAACAGTGGGAACAGGCCGGCCTCCAATGGGGGCCTCTGCAGGAGGTGGGCTGGGAGGAGGACGCGCCTCAGGAGCCTCCGGGATGCTCTTTATGGCCAGGCACGGTGCTTCACACCTGTAATCTCAACACTTTGGGAGGCCAAGGTGAGCGGATCACTTGAGACCAGGAGTTTGAGACCAGCCTGGGCAACCTGGCAAAACCCCATCTCTACAAAAAATATAGAAATAAAATTAGCCGGGCATGGTGGCGCCTGTGGTCCCAGCTACTCGGGAGGCTGAGGTGGGAGAATCACTTGAGCCCAGGAGGTCAAGGCTGCAGTGAGCTGAGATCATGCCACTGCACTGCAGCCTGGGCGATGCAGCAAGACCCTGTCTCAAAAAAAAAACCAAAATGCTCTTTGTTCTCTGAGGAAGGGGCTGCCCAGCAGAAGGTGGTGGGAGGGCATGAGGCTTTGGCAGCCCTGACAGTGCATGGGTGGAGTGCCCACCTGTGGGCTGGGGTGCAGGTCTGGGAGGCCGGCACTGTCCCCCTCGGTGGCAGGTGTGTGAAGTGAGGCATCCAGTGGGGGTCCGGGGCCGCCTCCCCGCAGCCTGTCCTTGTGTTTTGCTTCTCACATGTGATTCCTGGGAGCAGGTGCCCTGGGCTCCCAGAGAGGCTGCAGGACACACACCAGCCCCGGCGTGTCCACTGCACTGTGTCTTCCCTCTGGTCACTACAACAGATCTTCATAGGCCGTGTGGCCTCACTCTGCCCACTCCTCATGATTCTGGAGGCTGGAAGTCCAGGATCGAGGTGCCGGCCAGTTCCATTCCTGGTCCAGGCCCCCTCCCTGGCCGCTACGTCTTCTCAGGGCGGAAGGGGCTTGCGAGCTCCCAGGGCCCCCCTTACAAAGGCACTAATCCCACCCGTGAGCCTCCATCCTCACAACCTCACCGGCTCCCACAGGCACCCCCTCCTAACACCATGGCCTTGCTGGTGAGGATTCCCACACAGACGTCGGGGGGCGCACTCAGCCCACCCTGCATTACACGCTGGGACACATCCGGCTCATCAGTCTCCATCCCGGTCTTGGGATCTTCAAGGCAGGAGCCTCCGGCCTTGACTGCAGTTTCCTCGGTGCCAAAGCAAGACCCCGGTACAGGAGGCAGCCAATAAATGGGCACAGAACAGGTGAAAGAGGGAGGGAGGGCCAGCGGATTGGTGCTCTGTGCACCTCAGTGGGCAGGGCTGGCTTGCTCTGGCTGTGCTAACTGTATACACCTCCTTGTCCACCCAGGCTGAGCCACAGTCCACATGGCTGTGATGGAGCTGAAGCCCCTGCTGAGGGGCAGCTGGCGTCCGGCCACGCCCACCCCACATTGTTCTGGCCCCCCCCACCCCATCCCGGGGCTTGCCCGAGGAGCATGGCTGAAACTACAGAACGTCCCTAGCACTTCAGGGAAACAGATGTAAAATATCCGTGGGTTTTGGCCAAGCTCCACCAAGAAAGGAGAAGGTCCAGGGAGTTATGAGACCCCCAGGGCGTCGGTCACCCAGGTCCTGCCCACTGGGCTAACAGCTCACTGGCCTCCCACAGCAACACCCCCAGGGTCAACATTCCACCACCTCGGTCTCCACAAATGAGGTGTCTTCCATTTCTGCTAACTAAGCAAAGTCAGCGACTGGATTACAAGTTCCCAGGCCCAGGGCCTTGGCCACGGCAAGGCTGCTGGGCTCACACTGTGCTGAGGAGGCCACGGCTGCCCCAGCCACACATGGGCCCCCGGCTTGCCCTCCGTGCGCTCCTCCTGCCTCCTCCGACCGCTGCTCTTTCCCCGAGTATCAGGGCTGGGCCAGGCTGTTCTCGAAGTGAGGTCTGCAGTTAATTCGGATTGTGAGACGAGCCTGGTCCCAGACAGTCCTGAGGGAGCATCCAGGGCCGCAAGCCTCACTGCACGGCCTCCCACCACTCCCCAGGGCCTGTTCCTGGCTACGGGGGAGGGGCACAGGCAGCCTGCGGAGGAAAGAGCAGGCAAGAGAGATCTGGGGGAGCCAGGCGTCCCCCCCATATCTGGCCCCCTCCTGCCTCACACTAAACGATGGCCAGGGCGGGACTCTGGGCACGCAGGGACCTCCGGCGAGTACCAACAGGCCCGGGGGCTGGTGTCTGTGACGCTCTAGGACGGCAGCGTGCGCCCCTCACAGGGTAATTATAGTACAGATCACTCGGTCCGGCACAGGCAGACACTTTGTCATTCCCCCTTTGCCACTGTGGACCCTTCAGGCCTCTGCACAGAGGCCGCCCCCGCAGGGAAGCCACCCCGGACCCCGAGATGGGGCCGGGCCCCTGTGGTTCCGCTCTAACAGGCGCCTGTCGCAGCTCTCACACCCTGGGTGGCTGTGGTGTCTTCTGTCCTCCCCATTTGGGCTGTATTCCCCGCACAGTCTCCACGTGCCACCTAAACCTCTGCTGAGTGTTTCCTCCCACAGATCACTGGCAAATCTCTTCAAAACCAGCGGCCTCTGACCCGCTACAAGCTGAAGAGGACAGGGTGTTTCATTCCAGCCTTGCAGTGTCCTCTGGACGAAACCGCATTTGGCACCCAGAGCTGCCCCAGCCCTGGGCCCTGGGCCCCCACCCCACCCCACCCCCACCCTGGCCCCCGGCAATCTTCCCTCCTCGGGGCCTGGGCTCCTTCCCTTCCTCCTCTCCTCTCCTGAGCCTGCCCATGTCACAGGTTCTGTGGCCAAACGGCCTGAGGGAGGCAAGGAGGGGGTGCTGTCCAGGTTCAAGGCGCCCCTCCAAATATGCCTCGTCCAGCTGTGAAGCTCCCAGACATGTCAGCCCTGGGAACATAAACCTCGCACCAGAGTCACGCACTCACCCCATAAGGCGGCTCTCGTGCATGAACAATTGTGCCGTAGGTCAGCGCTGGGGAGGTCTGGTTGTGCTCAGTTTGAGGAAGCCACGAGTGTTTCTGGAGATGCATTTCTCCGTGGCGCTGGGACTGCCCTCCAAAGGTCCACGTCTGTGAGAGAAGGAGCCGGACCACGACTGAGGGGCAGACGCTCCTTCCCGCCCACTCACAGGCGCTGCGAGTCAGTAAGTACGTGGACTTCCACAGCCTCAGCGTCCTTGCTTTTCAAATGGGTTGATCCTAAACACCTTCAGAGGCCCTGAGCCAAGAGGAAGAAGCTAATGAACATGAAGATAGTAACCCCAGAGCAGAGCTGTTAATTGATGGGACGTCTTTGAGTTTTAGTCACTGACTAGTTTTGGGTTTTTTTTCTGTATGTTTCCTGGGTCCGTCCCTCCCTCTCCCTTCTTAGGGGCAGCGTGTCAGCACCACGGTGATGGGCCACTGAAATCACTGGTGGTGGCCAGCGGTGGGGTGAGTGCCTGCAGCCCCACACCCTGGAGACTGGGCTGGTTTGCTCTGAAACCCTGGCACTCTGGGTGTGGCCAAGTGGACCAGGGTGAAGACTGGGCCCAGGCTTCCTTCTAGGAAATGAGGAGTTGGGAGTGAGAGGCAGACGAAAACCTGGGAAGCGAGGACTCAGCTGCACGCCCTGTGATGGGGCAGAGGGTTCCAGTCTGCAGCGTGGGGGCGTCGAGGGTGGCAGGCAGTGGGGTCCGGTGCCTGGGGCCCAAGCGCCCCCCACGCCCACTGCCCCAACTCCCAGTCTCTGTAGACGCCCTTGCTCTAGGCTGTGACTGGCAGGTTCCTGAGTCACTCGCGCCTCTGCCATCCCGCGTAGAGGCTGGCCAGAGCCGGTCCAACACTTCCCCAGAGGGAAGCTCTGCCATTTTCACACGGTGCCCGTCTCGGGGCACCACTGTGGGCCCCACGCAGCTGTGGGGCGAGGCGTCCACGCATCCTCTACAAAGGCAGCTTGGTTATCACAACGCCGGCCTTGCTCAGAGAGGAACTTCATCAAACACACAAAGAAGGCTTGTCGAGTGTCACGCGGCTCAGCCAGGCTGTCCCTTCGGTCACGCTATGGCAGCAGCTCGGGCCCTTCAAGGTCAGAAGGAGGACGGCAGGGCCTGGCGGCAGTTGTTGCTTGGCACTGCTGTTCAGTGCGGGCTCCACAGAGAAGCTTCCATCTCACCAGAGCTGCCACCTCCTGAGTCCATCATTTGTGCGTTGGTGTC
This sequence comes from Homo sapiens, assembly GCF_000001405.40. NCBI lineage: Eukaryota > Metazoa > Chordata > Mammalia > Primates > Hominidae > Homo > Homo sapiens. Next base: position 168,048,249 of record NC_000006.12, on the reverse strand, counting down.
TCTGTCCTACTAAAGGAACTTCGCACCTCAGCAAGCCGGTGAGGGGCTTCCTGAGCCAGGGGCATCTGCCTGCCTAAGGGCCAACCCTAAAGAGAAGTTTGATTTTATTTTGGGCACTGAGGGAGCATCTCAGAACCTGTGGGGTCATTCAAGTCATCACAATGATGAGGGGACACAAGTGACATTGAGCAGACAGGCACCAAGGACGCCAGGTCCCCATAAGGCACAGGACACTCCCACCCAGCAAATACTGTCCCGGGGGCCACGTGGCTTTAGCCCCCGTCAGACATTCACAGGTGGAAATCCTGCATTTGGTGATCCAGGCCTGAAACCTCACACTGCTCTCCATAAAATCAGGAAGGATTATTTCTGCAGTTTTAATGTACATTATGTGTCAGGAATGCAACAGTTGTGTAAACCAAGAGAAGCTGAAACTTTGTAACATTACCAAGAGGTTTTCACCATGTACAAAATTATATCACATTGCTATACTGCTGGTGACATGTGAGTCACAAATGGGACACTTGTGACAATTCCATGTCTGTGTGTCTGTCTGCTTTTTGTAGCGGCCACATTCCTGGAGATTTTACATGCATGTACGTGCACACACACACACAGATACAGTCACTTGGCCCTTATTTTTAAATTGTCGAATATACATAAATTGAATATTGTCTTCCTTCTTATACCGAAACTCATTTACTTCGCTGTGTGTTCAGATGTAGTTGTTTTGAAAGTTTTACGAATTGAAATATACTTATGTGTATATACACAGAAAAAAACTTTTTATTTCTCCATTATATTTTTATTTTTATTATTTATTTATTTGAGACTGAGTCTCGCTCTGTCGCCCAGGCTGGAGTGCAGTGATGCGATCTCGGCTCACTGCAACCTCAGTCTCCCAGGTTCAAGTGATTCTCGTGCCTCAGCCACCTGAGTAGCTGGGATTACAGCTGCCACCATGCTCAGCTAATTTTTGTGTTTTTAGAAGAGACGGGGTTTCACCATGTGGGCCAGGCTGGTCTCAAACTCCTGACCTCAAGTGATCCGCCCGCCTCGGCCTCCCACAGTGCTGAAATTACAGGTGTGAGCCACCGCATCTGGCCTATTTCTCCATTATATTATAGTTACATCATTATATTGATTCTTTTTTTTTTTTTAAAAAAGGCATGCTCTGTTAGGATTATATAATCTATGTATAATTTCACTTTAGGATAATCAAGGGATCCTTAAAAATAGGTGGTGTTACAAAATGGAGGCATTTGTCTGTGGGGTTCAGCACAGGGCTAGGTGGGCTGCCCACCTGTGGCCCCCTAAGCTCGCAGCCAGCCTGTGCTGAGGGGCGCTGTCAGTCAGTGGGAAACACACCAATTCTGAAGACTTAGTGTGGACAAAGAATCTTGAATATCTCATTAATATCTCTATATTGATTTCATATTGATTACACATTGAAACGATCATATTTTTTATATATGAGATTAAATCTGATCTATCTGCTGATGAGTTTATCATCCATGGATCTACAGATCTGCCATCTGTTCACTGACTGATCATCTACCATCTCACCATCATCTCACCTATCTACTGTCTATCATCTCTACCCAATTATATTAAAAACCATGAGTTGAAGCAGATGTCTCTGCTTTCAGCCCCACTGGCTGAGTCCTTTCCTGGCAGGGAGAAGCCCAGCATCTCTGTCTTCAGCGCATGATGCCCCGTGCACCTGCCCTCCTGGCCACCCTGACTAAAAGCTGGACCCCAGCAGCCTGGGCCAGGTCCCCACTCGCAGTGAGGCAGAATGCTCCGCCCTGGGAAAAGGAGTACAGGAAAAGGCCGTTAGCACACTGGGCTCTGAACACCCCCTGCCTGTCTCCACCCCTTGCTCTGGGCTCCCAGGAAGGGAGGGGGTTCCTACCCTTCTGCCCGCCATGAGTCAGGACCACCACAGCTCACGCTCCTCACCTGAGCCGCATGTGGGCACAGGTTTACTTGGTTTGTGCTAACTACTAGAAAAGACATTTTACCTCCCTCTTGCATAAACAGGATAGAGTAAAAAAAAAAAAACATTTTCCTGGCATTGAAATCATCTGAAAGCTACCAGCTGTGACTCCTCTCCAAAACCTGCTTCCCAGCCAATTCTCAGAGCCAAAATGGTTGCTGGTAAGAAATGGGGTATTCTTGGTCTGTGCTTGTGACCCCCCATTCCTCCGCACATGCGTTCCTCCTGGGACCCTGCTCTTGGATCTGCTGGGTCCGAGAGGGTACATCTGTCACTGCGGGCCCGGTGGAAATGGGGGCAGCCCCAGGGGGCACCCTTCCAGCAGAGGACGCGGTGGGCAGCTGTCACCATGCATCCCCTTGTGAGGCGGAGAGGAGCCCTGTGGTGGGGTGGGGCTTAAACGTGCCAGTTCAGCCCCACGGCAGGGGAAGTCACAGGCCAGTCTCCAGAGCTGCTCCTTGTCTCCTTTAAGGCTCCCAACCCTCTGGTTTCACCTGGCTTTGCCGAGGAGGAAGCCAGGCTTTAGAGGCCAAGCAAACCGTCCAGGGATGCAGAGCTGGGAGGTGGCAGAGCCACCATGGAAACCAGAGTCCATCTGGTCCTGGAGCCTGTGGTGAGGAATCCTGGGGGCCGCGTTTGTGTCAAATGAGACGACAGGTTCGTGAGGCTGGCCCCAGACGCCCCCTCCCTGCCTGGCACAGCTCCTCATGCGGAGTGTGGTGGACAACCAAAAACAGTGGTGAAGAAAGAGGGAGCCTGGGGGGAAAGGAAAAGCACGAACTCGAGGAGGCGGAGGTGGCAGCTCTGTGTGAGGCCTGGTGGCTCTGGGGCCGTACGTGCCCAGCAGCACCTCCCCAGCTCACGGGTGGGATCTGCACTGGGCCCAGGCTGACCAGCTCCCACTGTGGGGCACTCACGCCCCCTGCCCTCCTGCCCACAGCTACTTCTGCCGGCTCCCGAGTTTCCCGGGGCAGGGCCTTCAGGGCCCAGGGTGGCCTCTGGGGAGAGTCTGATGAGGACAGCGAGTGCCTGCTGTGACACCTGGTGGCCGCCGCACTGCAAGGAGCTCCTCTGTGAAGCCTGCCCTGCCTGATGGTCTGGCAGGAGTTGGAGGTCCCATCCACATTCATGAGGGTGCTTTGGAATAAAGCCAGGTTTATTGAGTCCACGTGAAACCTGTTTATTTCTAAGCACATATGCATTATAAAGCAAGGACAAGAAACACAGTTTTAGGAGAAAAACTTGTTAATGCATTCAATCCGGCCTCCTCTTCCCCTCCGTTTGGGAGCTGGGCGGCTTCTTTCGGGCAGGGCCTCGCTGGACTTGCCGAGCTCGGATCCCGAAACCCAGGCCCTGCAACGTCTGTGCCAGGTGCCTCTGGCTGGGAGAAATGCAGAGAATCACCAGTAACTTCGCATCGCCTCCTTTAAAATAGAAAAACAACATGCAAGCTGGAAAGAAGAGCAGCATCTGAAAGTGCCAACATGCCAGCAACCAGGGCCCGAGATGGGCGGCTGCAGAGAGGGCCGCCCGGCGCCCCAGCGGGAAAGTGGCCACGTCTGGCAGGTTCCTGGGACGGGGGTCCAGGAGGGTCAGCAGCCGGTCACTAGCGCCCCTCACCCGGGTCCGGGAGGGTCAGCAGCCGGTCACTAGCACCCCTCACCCTCCGGGAGGGTCAGCAGCCGGTCACTAGCACCCCTCACCCCGGTCAGGGAGGGTCAGCAGCCAGTCACTAGCGTCCCTCACCTGGGTCCGGGAGGGTCAGCAGCCGGTCACTAGCACCCCTCACCCAGGTCCCGGAGGGTCAGCAGCCGGTCACTAGCACCCCTCACCCGGGTCCGGGAGGGTCAGCAGCCGGTCACTAGCGTCCCTCACCTGGGTCCGGGAGGGTCAGCAGCCGGTCACTAGCACCCCTCACCCTCCGGGAGGGTCAGCAGCCGGTCACTAGCATCCCTCACCTGGGTCCGGGAGGGTCAGCAGCCGGTCACTAGCACCCCTCACCCTCCGGGAGGGTCAGCAGCCGGTCACTAGCACCCCTCACCCTCTGGAAGGGTCAGCAGCCGGTCACTAGCACCCCTCACCTGGGTCCGGGAGGGTCAGCAGCCGGTCACTAGCGCCCCTCACCTGGGGAAGCTGCAGGCCTTCTACTCACACTCCTGTGTCCCGGGAATTGGGAGGTATGAAGTCAGCCCTAGGTTGAGTCTGCACATGACCCTGAGGGACGCTCAGCCCCCTGGGGCTGTTCTTTCTAGATCTCCCTCATGCCCACACCTGCTGCTCACGGCCCATGGCCCTGTGGCTCCCTCAGGCCCCCCTGGGGCAGGGGCCGTGTGCCCAGGACTTCTCCTCCTGAGGAATGCTGTCTCTTCCTGTTTTTCAGGACCCGTAACGAGGGTTAAGAATTACAGATGAAAACCAAAAACAGTGGAGAAGGAAGGGAGAGCTAAGGGGGAGGAAAAGTGCAGACCCCAGAGGCCAAGGCCAGGGCTCCATGAGGGACCTGCTGGCTCTCAGGTACTGTGTGCCCCACGGTGCCGCCCCTGAGATCACGGGTGGGCTGTGCCCCTGACCCAGGTCGCCCTGTCTCTCTGTTGGGGCTGCGAACTTTGGAATCCAAGAGTACCAGGTGGTCTCTCTCTTAAAGGCAGAATCCAAAAATATGCTCCTGTGAACAGCCCTGTTATTCACCGTGTGGAGGAAGCCAATTTGCCATGAGAGGGGGAAATACCCCACAATGAGAGACAGGGAGAGTGTCTGGAACATTCCAGCCTCCCCGAGTCCCGAGCACCAGCGGCCCCTCCACCACCTCCCAGGGTGGCCCTCCCAGGAAGGAGGAGCCCCCCGACTGTGGTGGCCATGTGCCCCTGCCGTCCTGCAGTGGCCGTTTCTCAGGACACGGCCTACAGGGCCCAGGGCCACCTCTGGGGGACTCTGCCTGCACCCTGAGTCAGGAAGAGCCGCAATGCTTCCTCGGGTCCTCCCTTTCAACCAGTCTGGAGTCTGAGTCGGGGGAGGGGGCACTAACTGAGCTCCCCAAAAACCGCAAAGCCCAGATCCAGCCACAGCTGGATGACTCCACACAGGGGCCGCCTGTGCCCCACCTGGCACTGGTGCTTAATCTGTTGCGTCCAGGCTTCTGGCACCTGCCCCCAAAAGACCCAAGGAACTTGGGGCCTAAGCAGGTCTACACAGCCGGAGGGACCCAGGCCACACATGCAGCAGCAGCCTAGAGAGCCCTCAGCTGCTCTGGCGGACCCCTGGTGAAGAGAAAGGCCAGGGCTGCCACCCTTGAGAAACTGAGCCCCAACCAGGAGGCAAGTCACACACAGACCGAACAAGCACACAATCAGGCCAAGGTGAGACGGCGCAGGAGAATGACCACCGTGCCGTGGGAGTGCCAGCTAGCCACAGCGAGGACACAGGAGGTGCAGGGGGTGCATGGGTGGCCCTCGAGGACGTGCAGGCCAGAAGTGTGTGCACATGTCCTGGGGTACGTGGTCCCCCATCCTGGGGCATTTTGGGGAAAACGGTTACCGAGGCAGTCCTGAAGGAGGTGGGTGAGCCTGCTGTTCCGGTACGGGGCATGGCCACGGTGCTCCAACAAAGCCCCCAGGACGCCTGCCAGGGCCGCAAGGCTGCGGCTGATGCACGCCATCTCCCTCAGGGCCAACCCGGTCACTCCAGACACACCTGGACAGGACCGCCACGCACCATCACCGTTTGCACCAAGAAAGGAGGCAGGAAAAGCAAAACCGGCTCCTTGGGAGGAGCGGCTCTCAGGCAGGTAGAGGGGAGGCCATGGACGGGACAGGCATGAGAGTGAGTGTCTTTCATGGCTCTGCTCACAGCTCAAAGCGAGCTCCTGCTGGGAACTCAGGTTTTCTGTTCCCAGAGGGCCCGTGTGAGGAACACGACTCTCGGGTTGCCGGGGTAAGAGAACCAATCCCTGAGAATGTAACGGGATTTGGAACTCACCTGTGGAGGGGGAAATGCCTGGCTCGCCCAGAGCTTCCCGGGCTGCCTGGTTGCACATCCAGCTCCATCAGATCATAGGCTTCTGCAGCACCCACCCCCCAGGGAAATGCCTGCCCCTGCTCACCAACGCACTCGCTGCCGGCCGAGTCCACGAGCTGTAGTCGAGCCTGCACCTGCTCCGCATGCCCTGCGGGGTTCCCAGGAACCAGCTGTGGAGCCAAGGCCCCTTGAGAAGCTCTGCGGCTCCTTCCTGCCCTTCCTGCCTCTGTTTGCTCCCTGGGGAGGGTGGCACTGCAGGCTTGGTCTGCTGCAAGGGACCAAGGAGCGACGAGGAGGAAAACAGTTGCATGAAGCCATGAGGCTGTGCTTTGCCTCAGTCAGAGCCGAGAAGCTTCTGAACTGCACCCTCCTGCCCACACCTCCCACCCAGTAAGAAGTGGGATTTCCGCAGAGGTCCAGGGGATAGTGGCTTCTCTGGGGGAAAACACAAGTTAGAAAGCAGCTTTCTTCACTGTGGAAGGTTGAACTAATGCCTAATTGGCCCAGAGGAAATCAAATAATGCTTCTTAGGAAGACTTGGTAATCATGTTAATTAAAATCCCACTCAGAAAATCTATGAGCCCTTTTAGAAATAAATTCTACAATCTGTTCGATAATCTTCCACACAAATCCTAACAAAAGGGCTCTTAATTTTAATGCAAATGTCTTTGTAGTGTGTTATTCCTAAACAAACTTCTTAGGTTTTTTAAAAAAGCAAAATAACATTTATTCACTGTGCAAAACATAGAAAGTATACACAATTTTTTTTAAAGGACATGAAATCCGGTCTTATTCCCACCACCACTGGCAGCCACACCGCCCCTGTATCGGGAGCGTTTTTGGTAGAGATTGTTGGTGTTCCCTAAACATCACACGCCTGTGCCTTTCCAGCCCCTGCGGTACAAGGCCGTGTGCCCAGCTGTGGCCCACTCTGGGCTGGCCAGGGGCTATTGTCAGCACCTCCCCGTCACCTCTCCTTCCCTTGCCTGAGCAACCTTGGAGGCCAAATGTTTCAAGTGCCACGGTGGCAAGAAGGATGGGGAATGTTCAGCCACACTGGCCTTCAATATGAGTGAGAAATGGCCTTTCCAGTGTCAACCCACTGAGACCAGGTTTTGATGGGACTACAGTCTCATGTTCCGGCCCCAGACCCGTGGCTCTCCAGGTGTGGTCCCCGGAGCCGCATCCTTGCAGAAACGCACACTCTGGGTCCAGTCCCAGCCCTGCTGAACCTGAGCATGGGTGGTGTCTGCTATTAGTTCCCACCACCTGCTGCAGGGAATTGGACGCAGCTCAAGTTTGAGAGTTGCAGCCCAGGCTTCACAGGCCTGTGTTCTTTCTGTTACATAACTGGAATCATTTTATATACTACATAGTTTGAAATTTTGGTTTTAAACTGAAATTACACTCATTGTTTCTTCCATGACAAATGCATGTACTCCAAGGTGTATTATGCCCTGCTTTTCTTTCTGCATTATATTTTATTTAGCAGAGTGTTTTCCTCCCTCCCACTCTCACTTTTTCTTCTCAGCCTGGGATCCCAGTGGACTTTTGGGTTTGGGATGCAGATACTGAAAAGGTGTGGCTGCTGTTCCCATGCTGGGTCCCATGAGAGGCCTTGGATGCTGCAGGCATGCTGATTTTTCTTCTTCTTCTTCTTCTTTTTTTTTTTAACAGAGTTTTTGCTCTGTCGCACAGGTTGGAATGCAATGGCACAATCTCGGCTCATCGCAACCTCTGCCTCCTGGGTTCAAGCAATTCTCCTGCCTCAGCCTCCCGAGTAGCTGGGATTACAGGCTTGCACCACCATACTCAGCTAATTTTTGTATTTTTAGTAGAGACAGGGTTTCACCATGTTGGCCAGGCTGGTCTCAAACTCTTGACCTCAGGTGATCCACCCGCCTCAGTCTCCCAAAGTGCTGGGATTACAGGCGTGAGCCACTGTGCCTGGCCTGATTTTTTTCTTCTTAAGTGGGTTTTTCTATTACTTGCCACTGACCAAGCACAAATGGTGACTTACCAGTGCTGTCAGAGCAGGAGGCTGTGGTTAGAGTCACCGTAATTATCAGGTGAGACCTGGAGGAATCCGCGTGCACCAGGGTGGGGTGCTTCGCCCTGAGCTGCAGACCTCCATGAACGAGCTCCATCAGTTTCGAGGCGCTGCCGACAGCCCTACAGACAAGGCAAGCAGTGGGGAACACAGTGAGGGCGGCCCCCCTTACCTAAGGCGACTTCCAAGACTCCTCGGCTCAGGGAAGCCTCTCACATGAGCCACGCGTGCCAGTGGGGTACTGAAGCCAGTCTCAGGCACAATAAATCATGGTAAAGCAAACTTTTTCCTTTTGAGACCTAACCAACCTATAGCATCTCTAATTGCTGACCCTGAAATAATGGACTGTTTCAGAACAAAATCAGAGGTTGCTAACCTTTTCAACATCACCTATTCCTTTATTTATTAGAGCCTCCAGGAACCATGTTTTAAAAATATTTTGTGTATCAAATCTGATTTGTAAAATAAAGGTTTAACCCATTTCTCCGTGTTAGTGGATGAGATATGACTGCTAATCAGAGCTCTTAATCAGCAGGAGATAACATTTCCATCACAGTCTGTCAGTCAAAGGCTCAAATTTTGGGCGACTTTGTGTGACCGTATCAGGGTTGCATGGATGATTTCCTTCAGCTCTGTGAAACATTCAGCATGGCTGGTGGGCCCTTCCCTTGCTGCCTCCGGGGCCCAGGATGGGCAGCCTGACTGGGCCCTCACTCATGGGGAGGGTTCCTTCTGTCACCTCCCAGCTGCACCCCCACTGGGGCAAACCCAGCACATCCATGTGGATTTGACAATAGGGAACTTTGAGGAAAATACTTAATATGGGGGATCCTCACTTTTACAAGAGGATTCATTATCATATTCTGTGAAATACTGATATTTACAAATGTGGATGAGTTCATCTCTCCTAGCCTGAGTGGGGTGGGCAAGTTCTTTCACCTCCACAAGTCTGCTTCCTCATCTGTCAGATGGGATGACGCCCATCTGAGGGGCTCTTATGAAGGTTTTTTTAAAGATACATTTATTTATTTTAATTTTGATTGTAAAAAATATTTTTTGTGGTTTTTTTTACTTTTATCTCTAACAGCTTTAAGATATTAATGACATGAAAATTGTGTATGTTTAAGGTATACACCTTGATATTTTGATATGCGAATACATTGTGAAATGATCACCCATTCCAGCTAATTAACAAATATATCATCCTGACATAGCCACCTTTAAAGAAAGATCATTCTTACAGCAAATTGAGAGTTGTGCAACACATACGAAGCATGAAAACACACAAGGAACCACTCAGTGACAAGGAGCACTGATCGGGCCACCACGGCCGATTCTCCTTGGGATCCTTGGGCGTGGGGAGCTCGTTTAGAGACGTGCAGCCTCCTGACCAGGTGGGAGGGGCAGGTGCCATTCTCACTCAGAGGCCAGCAGCACGGGGCAGGTGCAGTACTCACTCAGAGGCCAGCAGCGCAACCTCTGTCCGTCCATCCTTGGCTGTCACCACCTCACGCTTGACCCCCGACACTGCTGCAATGCTGTCTTTGGCCAGAAGGTCAAAAATGTCATTATTGTAAACTTCCACTATGGAGACTTCAACCTTTGGGCTTCTTGAGGTATTTTCCAAAATGAGCCTGCGGGAAAACACACAAGAGAAACTTACAGAAAGTCTCACAGAGTGATTTTCAGTGTAAGCCAATCATAGCCCCAGACGCCCTACAGGATGCTCAGTAAGACTGCTGGGGTCCGAGCAGAGGGCTGCATGTTACATACCCGAAGATCACTCAGGGAAATAGGGTGTGCCATTTAGGTTGTAGGGTGAATACGTGTCTTGGGAGCAGTTATTTTATCAGAGTTATATTTAAACCAACACTTTTGCAACCAGTACACTGAGGATTCTAAACACACAGGGCGAAGAAGCCTGACTATCCCATGGCTGTGGTCTAGAAATTACCATGCCCCATTGACCAATCACTGCAGACACCCAAGGCAAGCTGCAAGGATGTTCAGGACTCTAGCACTTCTCCAGTGATGGGGTTTGTTTATTTTAAAACTTTTCCACTTCAGGGAAGCTTCAGTCCAGAGTTTATTCCAATTCCACTTACGCCTTCCAACTGCAACTTTCCTGCAAGACCCGTAAAACCAGCTCGGGCTCATTAAAAAGCAGCTGCACAGCCAGGCACGGTGGCTCACACCTGTAATTCCAGCACTTCAGGAGGCTGAAGTGGGTGGATCATGAGGTCAAGAGATGAAGACCATCATGGCCAACCTGGTGAAACCCCATCTCTACCAAAAATACAAAACTTAGCTGGGCGTGGTGGTGCATGCCTGTAGTCCCAACTACTCGGGAGGCTGAGGCAGGAGAATCGCTTGAACCTGGGAGGTGCAGGTTTCAGTGAGCTGAGACAGAGCAAGACTCCATCTCAAAACAAAAAGCAGCTGCACATCTTATTTTGCTCCATGTTTTAAAGAACTATGCACTGGCTTGTAGGAATGTTTTTAAATAAAGATACTACAGAGAGAGAGAGAGAGAGAGAGAGAAATAAAACCTTAATCCCACAACAAGAAATGGGTGAGTGCTAACCCTGGATTCCCTCCCTTTCTCTCTCCTCCCTCTGGCTTTCTGGTTTGTCTCTGACAAAACTCCCCTTCCAACCTCGTCACCAAATAACAAAGGCCTCTTTCTTTCTGCTGGAGGTGACCGCCTCTCTACCACCTGCATGGTGATGTCAATCCGATGGTGAGCATTGTGCTTTTCTTGTTCCTAAGGCTATTCTGAGAACCGGGCGGGAAGTCCTCAGTGACAGGATGCTATCTGTACTCAAGGGAAAATCCAGCAGGAATGTTTCCCACCCAGGCGCTGCCAGGCTGAGTTTTTCATCCAGATCTAGAGGAGTTTTGTCTTCTAATGACAAACAGTCAAGAAAATGATGAAGACTAAAATGAAAGAGAAAGTAAGTAAAACTCTCAGGTAAAAATCATTATTGGCAAAGCATCAAGATTTGGATTCGACAGGTTCAGCACTGGGGTTTGCTGAGAACACTCTGAGTGTGTGCAACAGTGAAACATGAAGTTAGCTAAGCTACAGATTTTATTTTACTTTATATTTATTTATTTATTTATCTGAGACAAAGTCTCGCTCTGTCACCCAGGCTGAAGTGCAGTGGCACATTCTCGGCTCACTGCAACCTCTGCCACCCAGGTTCAAGTGATTCTCCTGCCTCAGCCTCCTGAGTAGCTGACATTACAGGCATGCACCACCACACCAGGCTAATTTTTGTATTTTTAGTAGAGATGGGGTTTTGCCATGTTGGCCAGGCTGGTCTCAAACTCCTGGCCTCAGGTGATCCACCCGCCTAAGCCTCCCAAAGTTATGGGATTATAGGTGTGAGCCACCATGCCCAGCCTAAACTAGAGTTTTTACATTCTCCTCCTCTCCACACCTTAGGCAAAATGCACCACATATCCAGAAACTTAACCTCCACACTTGGGCCCATCATTTATGTGTCAGTTTGTCTCTTTGAGTGTCACAAAACCTAAGTTAGAGATTTCTCAATTACATAATACCGAGGAGTTAATTTGAGAGATTTCCCACAAGTAATCATTGGGCTGTTGACTAGATTCTAGGGACAATGGTGAAAACCACAGGCTGCAGTCTTAGCCTTTAAGAAGCAAAGTGTTGAGAAGGCGAGGCACACACGCAAAGGACTCCAGGTCCTGCAATGAACAGTGTGATTCCAATGCACGCAGCTCCCCTGACTCTCTGGGGCGGGGAGGGGCGGGGCCAGGCTTTGTCTCTGCCATCTGTTCCTGCCCATTTTCTACTGGGTCATAATTACCCGTTTCCACTCTAGACTTTTTAAAAGCAGAAAACTGATCACATGCACTTTTGGATCCCTTGTGCCTCTGACAGTGTGTAGCAGGTGGAGAAACATCACACACTCCTGTTGATAAGGATGACAGCGGAGAGCAGTCGGGAAGGAGGCGGTGTCAACAACCAGGTTTAGAAGAAAGGAGAGAGGCGTGCAGAGCCAAGGAATCCAGGCAGTAGCATTTTATTTACTTTAAAACGACAGGAAATGGCTTATCTGGTGACTTCAGCAATCTAAGAGTAGTCCTTTTCAGGGTAAAGGGTTCCTGTAAACTATCTCTGATATCAGCACTGATGTCATTGTGGTTTTGTATCATTTTGGGCAGAGGGCCGTTTGCAACTTGAGTCACGAACACCCAAGCTCACCCCCAGCCCTGGCCCAGTGCACCCCTCTCCAGGTCGTGTGTGGATGTGATGAGGGAGGACACGGTCCGTGTCTGCTCCGATTCTCGTTTCTGCAAACGACGAAGGTGAGGTGTAGGGAGAGTACGGCCTTGCCCGGGGCCACTCACTTGGAAGAGCAGAGATTCTGAGACTCTGACTGAGGGATTCCAGTGCCGCAAATCACTGTGCCCTGGAGGGAGACGCACAGCACCCGAGACTCAGAACAGCAAAACGGAAAAACCATTTTAGAAACGAGGCGACTGAAACGCTTGCCAGTAATGCGATGGGCCCATTGGTAACGCTGATTATCCGGTTTCTGGAGAGGCGCAGCCGCCTGGCCATCTTCCTGATGGATCTTCCCTAACACTTTTAGGCAGCTAACAGCTCTTCCCAGTGCTGCCTCAGCTCAGTTCCCGCCTCCTCCGCAGGGCAGTTCCCGCCACCACCTCAGCACCGTTCCCGCCCCCCCCGCAGCGCCGTTCCCGCCTCCTCCGCCGCGCCGTTCCAGCCCCGGCATCCCTTTGCCGCCCTGGATATGCTTCCGTCGGCAAATTCCAGAGCCAAACGGAAACGCAGCCGTGGAATGTACGACGCCTGCTCTCACTGGCTGTGCATCGTGCATCTCTAAGCCCAGCTGAGGGGGAAACGGCCTCGGAAGCACGCACGCAGCTCACACTGGGAACACTGCGAAGCCGACGTCCGGGACGTGCTGCCACACCACATCGCCCCCTTCCACCGTGGTGTCCCCGCTCTCACAGACGAGAAGAGACGCGGCGGGGGGTCTTGAAACTCCCACCATTCTCTCCCGCTTTCTACCTCAGTTCCCCAGGGCTCTTGCCTGAGCCTTTGTTTTTTCTACCTCAGTTCCCCAGGGCTCTTGCCTGAGCCTTTGTTTCTGGAACTTAAAGAGTTTGCTTAGCAGAAGGAAAAATGACTGGTTGAATATTTAATGACATGCACCATCCATGCAAGCTCGAACTCCTGACCTTGTGATCCGCCCGCCTCGACCTCCCAAAGTGCTAGGATTACAGGTGTTTGAACCACCGCGCCCGGCCACTGAGACGACTTTTTACTATTTTATTTTTCCCTAGAACTAACTATGTTGGTGAAATCATGACACGGGCAGTGGGTCTCTTTCGAGAATGTGCTAACGGGTCGGGAGCATCTTCGCAGGCCATGTTGGCTGGACCCCTGAAGAGAAGCGAATGCATACACTCCTGATGGCGGCAGGAGGAAGGGCGACGGAAGGACGGGAGTTTTCCCTCTGTGCTTCCCATTCCAGGACAGAAAACCTCCATCCCTCACCATCCCCCACCTCCACCCCTGCCTAAGGAACCCTGTAACTCGGGATCTCTTTCAAGAAGTTTTGTCTTAGCCAGGCAGGGAGACTCATGCCTATAATCCCAGCACTTTGGGAGGCCGAGGCGAGTGGATCACCTAAGGTCAGGAGTTTGAGACCAGCCTGGCCAACACAGCGAAACTCCGTCTCTACTAAAAATACAAAAATTAGCTGGGTGTGGTGGCACACTCCTGTGATACCAGATACTCGGGAGGCTGAGGAGGGAGAATCGCTTGAACCCAGGAGGTGGAGGTTGTAGTGAGCTGAGATCACACTATTGCACTCCAGCCTGGGCGACAAAGCAAGACCTTGTCTCTAAAAAAATTTAAAAATAAAGTTTAGTCTTAATGATGGAATTGCAACATAATTTCATCACAGGATTGGTAGCAATAATGCCCAGAAGTATGAAAGCACTTCATAGTGTTGAATGTATCTGATGAGATTATGGGGTTTGATCACCTTCTTCAAATGGTAATAATTTTTCCCACGTGATAACCAAGGTGCTGACCGCCTGGCTTCCCTGCCATATTTCTCTGCCCCACTCATCACCATCGGCAGTACCTGAAGAGCTCCTCAGCCACTCTAGGGATAATTCCTAAGTCACTCTGTGGGTCAAGCGGCAGAACAGGGCCGTCGTCCGAATGGCGTCCCAGCATGGTATAGCTCTTTCCGCTGCCCGTCTGTCCATACGCCATAACACAAACATTGTACCTAAAATTCAGAGCAGATTCAGTCCAGCAAAACACACGTGGGTGCCAAGAAGATTCCAGGAAAAATTTTCACTTGTATGAGAAACTTCAATACATTTCATTTCCTATTCTCCTGTTACTCCATTTCTTATAAATTAGGTTTTCATTTAACTACAACTATTTTTTGCATAATCTATCCTTGTTGCTATCTTGTTGTACGACATTGGATTAAACGGTATTTGCACTGACACACACACAGCGTGGGTTCATCCATCCCGGTTTCTCCTGGGTGTTTTCATCTCCCCATCCACCAGCTCAGCATTCACATAGGGATTCTGACCTTAGCAAGGCCTTCCTAAATCCCCACACCTTCACTGTAACTATCTATTTTTTTTTTTTTTTTTGAGACGGATTCTTGCTCTGTCACATAGGCTGGAGTGCAATGGCACAATTTTGGCTCATTGCAACCTCTGCCTCCTGGGTTCAAGCAATTCTCCTGCCTAAGCCTCCCAAGTAGCTAGGATCACAGGCATGCATCAGCACGCCCAGCTAATTTTTGTATTTTTAGTAGAGATGGAGTTTCGCCATATTGGCCAGGCTGGTCTCAAACTCCTGGACTCAAGGGATCCTCCTGCTTTAACCTCCTAAAGTGCTGGGATTACAAGCATGAGCCATTTTTGCGTATGTTTCATACAAAAGAAAAATTTTGTATTTTGTAATTGGAAGCGACTTTGAGGTGTTCATGTCCACAGTCAATCCACATGTGCTGAGGTCCTCTCTGTGACGTAGCACCTGCTGCCTCTCGGCCCCAAGACTCTCAATTAGCTAACTGCAGCTTATTTCAGAGAAGTTAACTACCAACATCCCTACATTTCCTTCCAATTGTGCTATTTAGCCCAAAATATTAATGGGAGGATCAGAAATATTTGGAAGAATATTTAAAATAAGTATGATAGAAAATCATCCTCTTAGTCATGATGTTTAAGATGTTCATGGTTGTAAAGGTATGGGTCCACCTGACCTGATGCTAAGTGGGTTCATGCCTCAGAGCAGGATCTCCGGCCCTGACCCCCCGTCCGAGTCATCTGGGGAGATTCAGCAAGTCCTGCACTCAGAAATTCTGACTTAACTGGTCAACTGTGACTCCGGTGTATCAATACCGGTTTAACGTGGTGTACCCACCACAAGTCCAACAAATAAAGCTTGTTGTTTTGACAAAATGATTGCAAGACAGTGTTCTGATTGACATCTAAGTCTCCCCTAGAAAAGGACAGGAAAAGCAGCAGAGCCCAGTCCTGGGGCTGACGGTTTGAGTCACTAGGGTTGACTGTTACATTCCAGCCACAAGAGCCTGGAAACCACAAGCTCCCGCCAAGCTGATCAGGCCTCTGCGTTACCATCCTGTGAGTTTTCCTTCCAGGATTAAAAAGTCTCAAGGCATTCATAACAAAACCCCACTATAGGCTATGTCTCTTCCAGCTTCCCTGAATTCATTTACATGCATTTCTTTGTGTGGAGAATATCTTTGACTACAACAGATAAACGGGTTCTTACAGGAGTCTTTCAACCATTTAAGAATGAACATTAAAAGGAAACTTCCCGGAGAAGGAAGCTGTAAACCAAAAACACAATTCTAAGGCCCCCCAGCCATCTGAATGGACTTCCTCCTTGGCCAGGGCACTCTAAAATTTAACCTCAGAGTCTGGTTCAGGCCATGACGGGAAGTGGGGGCCGGACAGGCCTCACGATACCCTGCAGCCTTAATATCGACACAGATCTTACATCTGATAAGAAACATCTACACTCTGTTCTCTCTGAAGCTGCTACCTAAAGGCTTCCTCTGCAAATGAGAACTTTAGTCTCCATAATCCTTTACCTTAACCCAGACATTCCAGAGCCAATGTATTTTTAAAATGAATTGGATTGAAGTCTCATGTCTCCCTGAAATGTACAAAACCAAGCTGCGCCCGACCACCCTGGGCATGTGCTCTCAGGACCTCCTGGGCTGTGTCATGGGCCACGGTCACTCATATTTGGCTCAGGATAAATCTCTCCCAATATTTTACAGGGTTTGACTCTTTTTGCTGACAAGACTCAGAACTCAAACTAACTCCATCTGTTTCGCATTATCCTGGAAAGGCAGTTCTGGCAGTGATCACTGTGACCACGATGTCTTTTTTATTTCTGGAATCTGCTTACTTAAAAGATGCCTACTTAAAAAGAGACTCCCCTATCATTTTCAAAACCATTTCTTCAGATGGGTATAAAAATCCCAGCCCTCTGGAGGAAGAGTTGAAGCAGCAACTGCATCATGATTGGCGGAGCGGCCCCGCGTGCGTGCGTGGTCAGATGCAGGAGCTTCCTGACTTGACCCTACTCGTTGGATCATGTGCCTTTGGGACGCGCAGCACACTGTGTAATTACAGTTTCTAGGTCCTTGAGGTTCCTTGAGGTTGGCTGTGCAGAAGCCTTTGCTGGACAATGCAAGTAAGTCTTCGTCAGGAACTTTATGTGGACTTCTGCCACAAAACTGAGATTCTTCAAAATGCCCCAGAGTGGAAAGTATTGGCTTAAGGTGTCTCCATTAAGTAAAAAAAAATTCTTCATTCCTAAATTACAGCCCACTGCCTTTGACATCAGTAGTTGTATACTGCAAGAATAGAAGGCTGATTCCCAAAGGGAAAAGTCCCTAAATCTGACATTAACATTCCTTACAGATTTTTTTTAAATTCTGAAATGTTAGAATCCCAGAGAGAATGGCAGCTGCACTCACAGGCTTAAGCCCACATGCACTGTAACTAAAGTGGAGTTTGGAATCCCAGGTGGATATGCTCATTTAACAAGCATTCTCCAAATCATTCTCACTCCTTTTCCCAGGGTGCGGAAATAGTCTCCACGGATGCAAGTGGAGTCCATGCTGGGTGACCCATGGGCATGCTCTGCAGTGCTGTAGAATGCTCAGACTCTAATGCTACATTCTCACTCCACAGCACAGTGAAGCTTCTTTATATTCAAATGTAACTATGATGACTGGCCTTAAAAATATTTTAACTCACCCATCCAAGAGAGAAGTGAGTAGGGGGCACACATCTCCAAAGACCGCGCTCTGAGACTCTGCTGGACCATAAACCCTGAGAGACAAAGTGAAAATGCTGTATTAATAGAAGCAGCAGAAAGCGGCTCTAGCATGCAGACTCAGAAACCTGGGAACACAACGCCCCGTGTACTTCCCATCCCCCCAACGCCATCAGGATTCTTCAACAAAAGATTAATCTGTGTTATTTTTCAAGATAACAGAGGTTAATAAAGAGTAAAGATAGTACTTTCTGCTATGAAAATGTAATAAGCATAAATGAAGTGACAGATGCTTGCAAGAAAGGAAGGAAGGAAGGAAGGGAAGGGGAAGGGAGGGAAGAGCGGGAGGGGAAAGGAGAGGGGAGGGAAGATGAGAGGGGAGGGGAGGGAGGAGGAGGGGGAGGGAGGGAGAGAGAGAGGGACAGAGGGAGGATATAATTATCCCATAACTAAATTAGCTCTACTTTAGAGGGCCCAATAATCACAATGTAAAAATCCCACTCTGAGCAATATTTGATATATAACATTTGATTTTTATGTTCAAGCTCTTAAAAATCTTGTTTTCCTAGGCCCCAGGTCAGTTCAGCAGAACTTGAATTGATATCATGGGACTGGATGTCCACTCTGAAAAGGAAACCTCATGTGGTTCTGGGTCTATAAACAGGTACAAATAAAATAGGAAGCAACGTCCAAAAAATGCCGTTTCCTGCACAATTTGAAAGAAGCCTGGAGCACGGTGAGAGAACAGGCTCCCTGGCAGCTGCCCAGCACTGGTGGTTGGTTGCACTTGGTCAGGTATGCTTTAATGTGAACCTCAGTTTCCTGAACGACAGGTTTTGACTTAGCTGGAACCAAGTTTTTTCCTTCCTTCATTTTCAAGTGTGTCCTGACGCTCAGTTGATCCACTTCGCCTCCAGCAGCGGCATTAATTTGACATGGGGGAGGGGACCCTTATGAGGTGTTCCACATGCATGATGTAGAGGGTGTGGTGAGCACTGTGTGGGAAGATGCTCAGGGCTGAGATCTTTTTTAACTTTTCACTCAGAAAATACACCAAGATACAAAAGTAGAAAGAATAGAAAAGTGAGCCCCATGTGCACATCACCCGGCTCCAGACCCAGGCCTGGCCTGCTTCTCACGCTGAAGCTGACCTGAGGTCCTTGTCATCTGGGAAGGCCAGGACGGCTCCAGACCCAGGCCTGGCCTGCTTCTCACGCTGAAGCTGACCTGAGGTCCATGTCATCTGGGAAGGCCAGGACGGCTCCAGACCCAGGCCTGGCCTGCTTCTCACGCTGAAGCTGACCTGAGGTCCATGTCAGCTGGGAAGGCCAGTATATCTGTAAAGGATCATGACTTGAAAACGTAACAGTATTACCACGACCATGCCTTAACATGAATGTTAGTTATTCTTTAACACCATCCAAAAGTCAGTGTTCGCATTTCCTTAATTGTCTAGTTAAGTTACTTTTTCCAGCTGGTGTTTTAGAAATAATAATTCATCATGGCATCTACATTGCACAGGGTTGCTGCCTTCTAAGTTTCCTAATCTATGGCAAGGGTTGGCAAACTATTTCTGAAAAAACTAGATCGTAAATATTTTAGGTTTTGTGTACATCTTACCTTTAAAGAATACTGGAGTTTTTCCCATAATAGGAGGGAAAAGTCCAAGATGCCAACTACCTGCAATACTCTTTACCTGCAATACTATTTAATATTGCAACGAGCTATGATTGGCTTATGCAGTTGAACAAAAGAAATCAATTAGTGACATAAGAATCAGAAAAGGCAAAACAATCTCTACTTGGAGCTAATATGGCCATACATCTGAGAAATCCAAAATGAAAAGACAAAGAAAATTACTAAATCAGTAAAATAATTTAACAAAACAGCAGGTCATAAAATTAATGTAAAAACATCCATAGCCTCTATATATACAAACAGAGTTAGAAGACATGCTGGGAGATGAGACTCTATCAGTGATAGCAACAAAAATATGCCTGGAAATAAACTTAATAAGAAATGTTCTAATCCTTCATGAAGAAAATGATAAAAAGGCTCCTGAAAATACATGATTAAACTCAAACAAGTGAAAAGTCACGGCATGTTCCTGAATAGAAGAGTCAACTCATGAAGATGCCAGTTTTTCCAAAGTTGGTTTATAAACTTACCTCAATCCCCCCCAAAATACTATATATGCTGTCAGGTTTTTCCTGGAGCTCCAAAGTTTTGTTACAATTTTTTTTGGCAAAATAAAAGAACGAGAATAGAAAGAAGCCCTGGAAAATAGAGGAACTGGGATGGGACGGGCTCAGACACTGGAACCTTCTCTGAGACTCTATCTATGACAGCTTGGTCTTGCTGCGTGAATTAGTAAGTAGGCCGAAGGAAGACAGATACAACTCCATGTGGCAACGGGCTGTCAGATAAAGGGGCATCTCAGGTCAGTGGGGAGAGAGGTGTTTTAATAAGTGGTGTTACAGGCCGGGCACGATGGCTCACGCCTGTAATCCTAGCACTTTGGGAGGCCAAGGTGGACAGATCATTTGAGCCCAAGAGTTTGAGACCAGCCTGGGCAACGGGCAAAACTCCATCTCTATATCCTTTTTTTAAATAAATAAATTTTAAAATATTATTTTTAATTAATATTTTAAAAAATAAGTGGCGTTGCAGTAAATGAATAGATATAAAAAGATAAAATGGGGTCAATTCTTTATAAAATGGACTAGGACACATTCCCAACAGACCACGAGTTTAATGAAAACCACCCGGCCATGCGTGTCCCAGCAGAGTCCACAGGGGGGTTCTTCTGGAACCTGGCAGCCTTTTTACCTACGATCATGTAAACATGTTCGTGTGGCTCAAAGACACCAGAAGCAAACGACAGACTGAGAAAGTAGCGGCGGCTTAAATATTTCTGTTCTATCAAGTGCTCCTAGAGATAGAGAAGGGAAAGGTCAGTCCTTGTAGAGAAGTGAAGAATGCACAGAAAAAAAGATGCGAATGTCAGAAGCACACGAAAAGACTCAACTTCGCTCTGAAGAGACGCGACACAGAGAACCCGTTTCTCACCCACGGACCGGAACAACCCATGCATCTGACCTCGTGCTCCGTGGGGATGTGGAGGGAAGCCGGCCTTGCCCACGCGGCTGTCCGGGGAGGAGGGGCGGTCCCGGTGCCAGTGGGAAGCTGGCCCTGGGACCTGGCACCCCCAGCACCCACCTCCCACAGTCATGTCCAGCCACACCCAAGGCTCCTGTGCTTGGACCCTGTCATTCTCATTCTTTTTCTTCATAACTTTGACCATTTTCCCCCCAACCTGGAATCTCCTTTCCCTTTTTCTTTCTCTCTCTCTCTTTTTTTTTTTTTTTTTTTTTGGAGACAGAGTCTTGCTCTGTCGCCCAGGCTGGAGTGCAATGGCCCAATCTCAGCTCACTGCAACCTCTGTCTCCTTGGTTCAATCGATTCTCCCTGCCTCAGCCTCTCAAGTAGCTGGGACTACAGGTGTGTGCCACCACGTCCAGCTAATTTTTTGTATTTTAGTGGAGACGGGATTTCACCATGTTGCCCAGGGTGGTCTCGAACTCCTGAGTTCAGGCAATCTGCCCGCCTCTGCCTCCCAAAGTGCTAGGATTACAGGCGTGAGCCACCACCCCCGGCCACCTTTCCCTTTTTCTATGCCTGGTTAACTCCTGGTTAGCTGAGCTGTCAAGCCCCAGGTCGAGGGCCTCCCCCATCTCTGCCTCCTGCCCCACTGCTGTGTTGGTGGCTTCTGAGCTCAGCGCAGCCTCCTGGGAACGGTCCCTACAGCTCTAGGTCTTGGTGGCAAAAATGCTGCCTTCCTCTCACCTACATCCCTTGTGTCTAACAGGGTGCCTGGCACATAATAGGTGCTCAGAAAAATGCTTGAACTTGAACGACTATAGAAATTTCACACAAATGTGTCAGTTAGGAATATCACATTGTAAATTCCTGTTCTACAAGAATACAGCCAGCAGTCCTTCAGCTTCCTGATAAATGAATTCTTCTCAAAACAATGAACATGACTTATTCTTTTTCTCCTTGCATTTTGGATCAGTGGCATTACTTTTGGTTTGCCTTTTTTAAATAATATTTTTATTTCACTTAGAAAATAACCTTCTTCTTACCCTGGACCTATTAATATTTTTTCTGAATAGTAAAATTGAACTTTCCCCCTCATACAAATTTATTTTTAAAATAAGTTAAGGGCTGAAAGTGTTGGAATTTTTTTTAGAATGGAAATAAAATATTTTGACATTCGTTAGTTCCATAAAAAGCTGTTATAAAAACCAACAATGTTCTGATTTCATAAGAACCATATGCTCCACTGTTTATAAAAACACGGTGATCCTGAATGCTAAACAATATTACCCCAGAATGAATTCTTGCAGAGATTTATATTTAAAGTCTCCCCTAACTCTATAGATAGACAGCAAGTTGCACAAATTCTTCCATTTTTCTGTTCACTTCTAACAGCACAATTTTGATGTTTCCCTTCGACCCTCAGCGTATTCATATTGAGACAGGGCCCTCTGAGAAGACACGTGTCGGCATGAACTGTGCTGCTCCACTTCCTTCTTCCCCAAAACAAGGTCACACGATCCCCGAGGGTGGTTTCCCCACCACAGTGCCCTTGCCTGTGCTTCTCCACTGACCTGAGCAGCAGCCTGGTGTAACCCAAAGACTGAGACCTTCTGCCCAAATCCAACGCTTACTAAAAGCCATCGTTTAACTAGACTGGGCGGTGGTGCCCCCCGCAGCTTCCTCTTCAGGTCCTCCTGGGACGACCAACGGCCTGAAAGTACTTGGAGACTGCCAAGGGCTACGTGTAGGTGACGTATGTAACTAAACTCCACCCAGCTCAAGCTCTAGCCACTCTGTGACTCTCTTGCCCACAGGAATTTCTCTGTCACTCAGTACTCGGCCGCACACTCTGTGGGACTCTGGCTGCTTTGCGGTGATGACCGATACCCACAGCCTGTGTGTAAGCCGCGTGGGGAAAGGATCATACTTTAAACTTTTTATTCCTAATCCGACCCTACTTTATTCCTTCTCAGCAGCTCTGTGCTAAGCACCCGAAGGTGCGCATTGAATCCTTCAGCACTTTAACCGAAGGGTGCATTTGGCTCTAAACATTCAGCCCAATCCTTTATCAATAGGCCACGTGCTTCCTTAAGCTGGCGCTGTTTACTTCCCAAGTCAAGTCTAGGGTGTGTAACAGTAAACTGCAAGGATTGGAGGTGGGGTCGGGAGGAAGGAAAAAGCTTTTACCACAATGTATCTACCACCGACACCAGCTGACACGGTTCAGCCATCATCCAGCAAGCCACGATTTTAAACACAATTTAAATGAAATGCTCATTTATTGGGATGCAAGGTAAGACCTTGTCCCCAGCCCCGCGGGGCTCGTGTTCCAGTTGGGAAGACGATAGTAGAAGCAGATACTATAATGTGCCAAACACTATTCCAAGAGATGAAGCAGGAGCGGGAAATGAGAAGTTGGAGCAGCGGCCTCCAACCGAGGGACACAGGGAAACTGAGAAGAATTCATCACGAAGGAGACATTCCCCAGCCACACCCCCAGGTCCTTCATCAGTGAGCGTCCCCGCGTCTCTGATGAGTCTCTGTCCTTTGTTGGGATGCCTGTCCCACCTAAACCTCCAGAGCTGAGTCCAGGCTCAAGGCCTCTTCCCCAGAGGTGCTTCCCTCATTAACCCTGTTCCATTCCAAACATTCCTTTCTTTCTTTTTCGTTTTTTTGAAGACAGAATCTCACTCTGTCGTCCAGACTGGAGTGCAGTGGCACATTCTCGGCTCACTGCAACCTCTGCCTCCCGGGTTCATGCGATTCTCCTGCCTCAGCCTCCCGAGTAGCTGGGACTATAGGCGTGTGCCACCACGCCCAGCTAATTTTTGTATTTTTAGTAGAGATGAGGTTTCACCATGTTGACCAGGCTGGTCTCGAACTCCTGACCTCAGGTGATCCACCCACCTAGACCTCCCAAAGTGCTGGGATTACAGGCGTGAGCCACCGTGCCCAGCCAGCCAGGCTGGTCTTGAACTCCTGACCTCAGATGATCCACCCGCCTTGGCCTCCCAAGGTGCTGAGATTACAGGTGTGAGCCACCGTGCCCGGCCCCGAACATTCCTTTCTTCTCCATCCTTGGCCAATTATGTCACCTATTTTGATTGCTTCACCTTATTCTGCCAACGTTGATATTACTTATCATTGTAAAGATCTCCCAAGCCTCCCATCCCAAGCCTAGTTCTCAACTAGGGTATAAACTCCTGGAAGGAGTCAGGCCAACCCCATTTCCCTCCTTACCTAGCCCAACACCAGATTACTCTGAAGCACAGTAAAAAAAAAAAAAAAAAAAAAAAAAAAAAAGAGAGAGGTTTTTACTAAGATTATTCCCCTGCATAATTGAGTCATCAAAAGAGGACAAAATCAATAGTGGAAGAAAGGTCAGCCCAGTGAAGGATTGTAAAAAAAACTGTGTGTCACGAGGAAGCAAAGTTCCACAAGTGTTTGCATAAACAAACATGATGAAGCTAAGCCATGGGGCTATTACTCCAAAGTGCTCATAAATTTGCTTCTTTTCTACACTGATAAAAAGTATCATTTTTCTCTATACTGTTTTTAGTGCACAGACATGAGAAAAAGCTTTTGCACGTGAAGACTGGCTTTGCTCTTACAAATTAAATCCATTGAACCACCAGCACCGTGTATGGAAGTTTCTTCAGGAAGCTACTTTATTACATGTGAAACTGATGAAAATTTTCTTGAGTATTCATAGTGAGATTTTTAAATATGATTATTTTAGGGGAAAAAAATCAAGTTATTTGGTTTTAGATATACAAATAAAATGTTTTTCAGTAAATAATAAAAATGCATGAGACTATACAGATTCTAATATTATTGCAATCCTTGAGTAGTAAAACACATTCTGCAAAGTGCACTGTCTCTGAAGCACCAGATCGCGACACATGGTGGCTAAGATACAACTCCCTTTCTCTCCCCTAACCAACATGTAAGTAATGCAGATAAAATAGAAACAAAATATGTTTTAAAATATGCTGCTGACGTTGAAGGGAAGAAAGAAAGGAAACTGGCTGGGCACGGTGGCTCACGCCTTTAATCCTAGCCCTTGGGAGGCTGAGGCGGATGGATTACTTGAGTTCAGGAGTTCAAGACCAGCCTGGCCAACATGGTGAAACCCGGTCTCTATTAGAAATACAAATATTAGCCAGCATGGTGGCTCACGCCTGTAATCTCAGCACTTTGGGAGACCAAGGTGGGCCGATCACTTGAGGTCAGGAGTTCAAGACCTGCTGGGCCAACATGGTGAAACCCTGTCTCTACTAAAAATACAAAAATTAGCCGGATGTGATGGTGCATGCCTGAAGTCTCAGCTACTTGGGAGGCTGAGGCAGGAGAATCGCTCGAACCCAGAAGGTGGAGCTTGCAGTGAGCTGAGATTGTGCCACTGTACTCCAGCCTCGGCAACAGAACAAGACTCCTCAAAAAAAAAAAAAAAAAAAGGAAGAAGGAAACTTCCTAGGTGCAAGAAATGAAGAGTGGAAAAAGGCTGGGTAGAAGGCTTGAGTTGGTACTGCAAGCACCCAGGCTGAGGAACCAATCCAGACAGAAGCAACAGGGCTTACAAGGCAGGGTTTTCTGCCCTCTGGAGACAGCAGGCAGGACATGGAGGTGCCATGGCTGTGCAAGTCCAGGGCACTCAAAGATAGGCCTAGTCCCTGAAAAGGGGGTCCAGATAAGTGGTAAGAAAGTATTCCACGTGCCTGAGAGTCTAGATGAGGAGTCAGGTCTCCTGTGAGCAATCAAAGCCTCACACCTGCACCGCAAGTGAGCACAGAATCCAAATGCAAGGAGCCCACAGGGCAGAGAAATCACAAACCACAAACGTTACCTGAAAACTGATTCAGAACTTTTGTGAAACCCCAGGCCCTTGCAGGAAAAATCATAGTTGCAAACCCACAGCCAAGAGTACACAAGTCTCCTACCAAAAAAAAAAAAAAAAACAACAACAACAAACAATCAAAAAAACTCCTCACCAAAGATAAGTTCGCAGTAAAAACTTATAAAACACAAAATAAATAAATCACTACAGTCAGTGGCAACAAAGATACAAGTAATACAGCAGCCGCCACAAGAACCAGACACAATAGAACATTCTGAAAGAGACTTAAGAAAACAATGTTAAACATGAATAAAGTCATGCCTGTAATCCTAGCTACTCGGGAGGCTGAGGTGGGACAATCACTTGAGGCCAAGAGTTCAAGGCTGCAGAGAGCTATGATTGCAGCACTGCACTCCAGCCTGGGTGATAGAGTGAGAGTCTGTCACTAAAAAATAAAAAATAAATCAGTAAAGATACAAAATAAGGAACACAAAACATAAGGAAAATGGAAGACTATTTTTAAAAGGGTAAGAAGATTTAAAAATGAGCCAAATAATTTACAAGCACGAAAAACAGATGGGTTAAATGGAAGTTTACCCATGGATGAAGAGAGAATAAGTGAATTAATTAAAAGATTGTCACAGGAAAATTACCCAGAATGCAGCAGAGAGATACAAGGAAGGCGATCATCTCAAAAGCGGGTAATGGTAGAGACACAGATGGTAGAATGAAAAGGTCTAATCTATATCTAATAGGAATTTCATTAAAAGGATATAGATAGAAGGAGAGAAAGTACTTTTAAAAAGATTTTGCCTGATAATTGTTCAACTTAAAGAATGACATTAATTCAAAGATTAAAAGTCCCAAGCAGTATTATAAAATAAAATAAAACAAACAAAAAACTCAGCAACTGCCGAGTGAAACAGTGCAGCTTCACTTTGATTTGGAACACTGAAGTCAGAGAGAAAACTCTTAAAAGCATCTAGAGAAAAAATTGATAACGTTGAACTTTACCCATGCTCTGAGATCCTGAACGACCGCAAAGGCTAAGAAATCCCAGCACTATCTGTAATTTCCAGAATGGCTTATTGCAAAGAACATCCCTTCCCTACCAGACTTCGATAAAATGCACAGATGCCTTAGATAAGACTTCTCAGACAGAAAATGGAACAGTGGCTACCAGCAGCTGAGGGAGGGGAGACAGGCAATTCAGTGTTTAATGGGTTTGGAGTTTCAGGATTGGATGACAAAAAACACTGTGAAGATGGATAGTGGTGATGGTTGCACCAGATCATACTTTGTCCCATTGAACTGTATACTTAAAAATGGCTAAAATGGTAAACTTTTATGTCAGGTATATTTTTCTACAATTATAAATTTTATATATAAAAGCACATGAATTGTATAAACAGAAATAGGTTAGCACAGTATGTAAACTCGTGCGTCATTTGAAGCAGAGAGAAAGGGGAAAACTTCACCATGATCTGTCTTCGAGGGAGCTTCTCCTCTGAAGCAGCGGAAGCTGGGGAGGCAGGGTCGGTTCTTGCTGCTTCTTTTGATGACTTTGATGTTGGGACAGATATTTTATAGAAAATGGGTTTCTCCTGCTCTTCCAGAAAAATTCTCTTAACAACATGGAAGGTAGATATCTCAGAATACTATAAATTAAGAGGACAGCCCCCACCATTAAAAGAGTAAAACTATTAAAGTCAGCTGCCTGCATCTGTGTGGGTTTATTTCTGAACTCTTCTCCGTTCCATTGATGATGTGTCTGTTGGTTTGCCTCTATCACGCTGTCTTAATGATTTTAAGTCTTTAAATCGGGTAGTGTGAGTCCTCCAACTCTGTCCTTTTCCCAAGTTGTTTCGGCTATTATAGTTCCTTCACCTTTCCATATAAATTTTATCATCAGCTTTTTCGTTTCTACAAAACATCCTGCTATGATTTGGGTTGCCATTGTATTGACCGCCTTTATTTGTTTTTAAAATAGCTTTATTGAGATATAGAACAGCTTTCCTCTGATTAATGTTAGCATTCAGGTAAATATATCTTTTCCATCCCTTTCCTTTTTCCATCTTTTAAATCCTCTTTCCCTTTTTCCTGACATTTATTTTTGATTGAGGATTTTTTATAATTCCATGTATCTTTTTTTGTTAGCTTATTGTATATATCTCTAGCTTGTTATTGTCTTTGGTGGTTGTTTTAGGGTTTACCATATGTAACTTAGAGGCTGCCTGCAATCGGATTCTATCGCCTAACATACCAAATAAGGACCATACGAAAGTACACTTGCACGCCCACTCCCAGCCTTCACACTGTTGCTCACGTGCATTTTATGTCTGCATGTGTCATGAGCTCCACAATCCATTGTTATTTTTCTTTAATCAGTTAACTAGATTTGGAAGAGTTTTTTTTTTTTAATAAGAAAAAGCGTCTTTTGCATATGCCCACATGTCCTTCAGGACAGAATCCGTTGTACACTCCTTGTGGTGTGTCTCTGGCGATTAATTCTCTCAGCTTTCCCATGTCTGGAAATGTCTTTGTATTTGAAAGACATTTTCACTGGCACAGAACTCTGGATGGACTGTTTCTCTTTCCGTACTTTAGAGGTGCTGGTCCTGTATCTTTTGATTTGCATTGCTCTGTGGAGAAGCCTAAGGTCATTTTCATGTCTGACCCTGAGTCTTCAACGTGTCTTTTCACTCTGGTCATTTTATCTCTGGTGTTTCTCTGTTTGTTTGTTTGTTTGTTTGTTTGTTTGAGATGGAGTCTCACTCTGTCACCAGGCTGGAGTGCAGTGGCACAATCTCAGCTCACTGCAACCTCCACATCTTGAGTTCAAGCGATTCTCCTGCCTCAGCCTCCCAAGCAGCGGGATTACAGGTGTGCACCACCATACCCAGCTAATTTTTGTATTTTTGGTAGAGACAGGGTTTCACCATTTGGCCAGGATGGTCTCGATCTCTTGACCTCGTGAGCCACCCGCCTTGGCCTCCCAAAGTGCTGGGATTACAGGCGTGAGCCACCGCGCCCCACCTCCGGCCGACTTCTTCAAATGTTCTCTGAGCGCCCACTCCCGTCACCTTTTGGGACTGCAACTCCCGCTGTATTTGGCTTCTTGGAAGCCAATACATCATGGTCCCATGGCGCCATGATGCTCTGTTCACTTCCTTTTTAATTGTGGTAAAAAAATACATATAACAAAATTGACATTTTCACCATTTCAAGTGTGCCGTCCAGGGGCCTCAAGCTCATTCGCACTGTGGGGCTTGCGTCAGCCCAGCCGTCCCCGGAGCCCACTCTGTCCACTCGCTATGGAGTCTCCCTGGTTTCACGTTGGTCATTTCTGTTGCTGCGGCCTCAAGCTCACCCGTCTTTCTCCTGCATCCCAACCAGTACGTTCGCGTCTCCTCTATGGCATTTTTTTCATCTCCAGATGTTTTATTTGGGTCTTTTTATAATTTTTCATATCTCCACTCAACGTGTTTACATTTTCCTCTACTTCCTTGAACACACAGATTTATAACAACTGTTTTCACCTTCTTTACTAATTCTATCATTTGTGTTATTTCTCGCTCTATTTCCGTTGCCTGAGTTTTCTCATCAGAGGTCATATTTTCCTACTTCCTTGAATCATGTCTGGTAATTTTTGATGTCAGACTTTGCTAATTACTCCTAACTGGGTGCGCCATGTTTTGACCCTCCAATCCCAGTAATTTTTCTTCGGCTTTATTATGGGATGCCAGCAGTTACTTGGAAACAACTTGACCCCTCGAGGCTTGCATTTAAGTTCTGCCGCATGGCACCAGCAGCCTTTACTCCAGGGCTAACTTCTCACTCTACCCAAGGCCTTGTGTATCACGAGGTATTTCTGCCCCGGCGGGAGCACTCACAATTCCCAGGCCTGTGTGAGCTCTGCAGACTTTCTCCCGGGCTCCTCCCCGGTGGTTCTTTCCTGGCCTCCTCCTTCTTACCGCTCCTGTGCTGGTCAGTGCTCAGCGGAGGCTTGAGGGGAACCCTCTGCCCTTCTCCAGATGTGACCCTATCGAGCGACACAGGCTGCTGCCGGGGAGAGGAAGAGGCCTCAGGCACTGACGTCCTTCCGAGGAGCAGGAGGACAGAGCCTGGGAGCAGGACCACTCAGCCAGCCCTTGGTAGCTGAAGGAGGATGAGCAGGGCTTTCCAAAGGCCACGCGCATTGATTCTGAGCCTTCCGGGGCTCTCCTACCACCCTGGGAATACACCACGACCCAGTGCCGAGGAAGGCATCTGACAGAAAGCCCTATTGTTAGTTGCTATCATCACAACGAAATTACTATCAACAAACTGGATATATAAAAAATGTCTATTTACTTAAAACAATGAACATATGGATTACAGATGTCCCTCGTCTTATGATGGGGTTGTGACCTGAGAAACCCATTGTAGGTTGAAAATATTGCAAGTTGAAAATGCATTTGATACACCTAATTTACCAAGCATTGTAGCTCAGCCTAGCTTGCCTTAAGTGTGCCCAGAACACACACATTAGCCTACAGGTGGGCAAAATCACCAAATGGAAAGCTTGTACACTAAAGTGTTGACTGTTTCACGTAGTTTACTGAGTACTGTACTGAAAGCAAAAACCAGAAGGGTTGTAATGGGCACTCGAGACATAGTGTCTACTGAATGTGTATCTCTTTCACACCTTCCTAAAGTTGAAAAATCTACCTCAGGGACCGTCTGTATTTATAATCACAATTAGTCAAATGATAGGATAAATTACATATTTCATTACTCAAACCCCAATGCAAAATTTGTATTTTTAATATGGAAGTTTGCTTTATAGGACATCTTGAAAAGCACTTACCTTTCAAAATGATATGTCTTATCAATCAGAGGGTGGCCAGGACGATCACATTTCACCAGAATTGTTTCCTGAGAGAAAAGAGTAAAACGACGTCATAAGACTTTGTGTGCTGCGTTAATTAAACACAAGCCCCACCAACCCCAGCCTGCCGCCTGTTTTTGTAAACAACAAAGTTTGCCTGGAACACAGCCCCGTCCTTTGTTTACAGACTGTGTATGGCTGCTTCTTCCTCAAGGGCAAAGCTGGATGATTGAGTTGGAGACCACGTGGCCTTCAACGACGAAAATATTAACTCCCTGGCCCTTTCCCAAAAAGGTTTGCCGACCCCCATAAAGAGAAGAAGAAAGTCGCATCTACTGGGGAACACACAACAGAGCTCCTCAATCTGCCACAGGCTGAGGGTTCAACACCCAAATTACTGACTCTAAGGGCCCTTGACAGTTCGCAGGAGAGGTTTTCAAATGGCAAAAAAATCACATCTCAGACATCATTATATTCCATCGTAACCAGTGGAACTAACATGTCTGTTTCAAAAACAAATTTCGATCTTGCTGGACTGTATTCTTAAATTATATCCTGTGTAAGGGAAGCAAAGGCATTTTTCAGCAAGAAATCTGAAATTAGTTTAGTTTCACTTAAGCAAAGAAAAGATGAACCTGGATTGGTTCCAGTTCTAAAACAAAATGTGTATTCATGAAATAGCAGGGGTGATAGGGAGAATGAAAACCACAACTGCAGTGGCGAATAACCCAGAGGCACTGGATTTTTTCCATAACAGTGTTTAGCGGATGCTAGGATGATACCTCCACACCTTCTTCTTAGTAGTGTGTGTGTCTGTGTGTGTGTGTCTGCAATAACATGTCAAAGAAGTGGCCTATTTTATAAAGACAAAAGCTGTGAGATTCAACAGCTGTTTGTGGTTGTTGTTGCTGTTTGTTACTCGCTTACTGCTGGACGGGCAGTCGTGGGCAGCTGCCGGACTATTGCTGCCTCTGGATTCTGTGAGGTCTCCGATGTGAAATGCTGAGATAATCAAATAGTGAACCTGTCCTGTCTTGCCAGAGGTGAGAGGCCGTGGGAATCCCCGGCGTGTCTCTCAGTGGGGCAGCTCAGGAAGCAATGACGGAACGCCAGCCTCAGCCCCGCGCTGCCTGGGGACAGAGCCTCGGCTGTGCCTCGTAGGCAGCCTTGGGTTGCTCCCTGCCCCATGCCCACTGCTATTGTCCAGTGTAATGAAACAGCGCCCTGGCTATCCCCTAACTGGCCTCTGCCTCCAGTCCAGCACCCCTCCCACCTGTCCTTTATGTTGTTGCTGTAGAAATCTTTCTCAAATGCAAATTAGAAAAGAAGAAAGCAGATGAAGTCACCGAAGCCAAAGAAAGAAAGTTAAGAGGGAGGGAGTGGGTGACGCAGAATGCCACCTGTTGGGGAGAGGTCGCTTGGGTCCTTGTTTAAAACTCTTTATTGGATTTGGTAGACTGGGAGGTCACTTGCTACCGTGATTTGTATCCAATTTCCTGGGATGACTTTTGGGAGAGTGGGTGGGGATGCAGGCCCCACCACAGTGACTCTGGCAATGCCGGGAGGAGCAGCCGGTGGCTGGGGCGGTCCGTGGTCTCCATCGCAGCACAGAAACGACCACCAGGATGTGGAGGTTGCGCGTGCTCGTGCTCCGGCACGGCTTTCACAGAAGAAGCTTATGTCTCTGCTGAGTATTTACTGGGCAGTCACTGTGTACCAGAAACTGTTTCGGAACCTGCATGTTCTTACATGATAATGTCACATCCCCTAAGCCAGAAGCAGCTCTTCAGTTCCCTTCACGCTCAAAACACCGAAGCAAAACTCCGACACCCGCCAGGACCAAGCCCCTGGCCTCGCCATAAGAACAGACCTCCCAGTCCCTAATCCAACCGCCAGCCTAGGCCCTTTGCTCCTTTCTCGCGGCATATTTTCATTTTTCTGCTGTCCACTTCGGGGACCGTTCCTTTGATGCTATGCCAGAATGTAATCCTAGTGCTCCAGTATGAACCGTACAGGAACACACACCCCAGAGTGTTTTACTGCTGTCTTCAAATGTCCAAGCTTTAACCATAAAGAAAAGCAAACGAAAACCACAAAGGTCTACAGTGTCTAACCCGAAAGCTCAAGGGACACCATACAAGAAACGTGCAAAGCCATAAAAACAAGCCTGAGTCCAAAGGGTCCCCATGCTATTTAGAACTTCATTCCACAGTGAGATCGTTCGATTTTAAACATCTGAAATTATTCCACAGCAAAGTTTAGTTTTTCCAAACAGCTTCAATGCGTTCCTGCCTGTCCAAAAACCCTCCCCACTCATGATACTAAATACCCTTAATCTCACAAGAAGGATTCATTTCTCTTGGCTTTTTAAACAACTTTCTTTTATCAAAATTTTCAAGCTCTTGACAGCATCCTTCTTTTCAAGATGGGACTGCCCATCTGGAGCCACTTCCCTGAAGAGGCCTGAACACAACTGCATGGGGGACGCATGGCCCCTGCCTCTGGAATCACAAGGTTCCCATGAAACAGCCTGTGAAAAGCACCTGGCTCAGAGGCAATGATCAGTAAAAACTGTTTTCCTTACATTTACATGCTGTAGCATCTAGTTTTTTATTTATATCCAATTTCCTAGGATAACTTTAAAAGCACTTGGGGCATAAAATTCTTTGCCATCAAATTTTAGAGCTAAAAGTACATTGAATTCACCCTCTCCATTTTAAGTAAGGAAACCTGAGAGGAAGAGGAGACCCGTGAGCAACATGCAGACAGAGTCAGGGACTCTCCCAGAGGCAGACACAAAACAGCCAGGAGGGAGGGACTGCACATCTACAAGCTCCGTGCAAGCCAAGGCTGCCTGCTGTGGATATCATCAGTCCTGTGGATGGTGGTTCAAGGCCCAGCGAACCCACGTTAAAAAAGAACAAGTAATGTATTAAGGACCATACAGTCTCTGACCATTAAAAATTTTGTCTCAGGTGTATCAAATCTATCAGTTCTGCCAAGCACCACCAGAAAAATATGCTTTACATTGGCTGCATGTAACTAAATAAGTGTCATTTGATACATAGGCTCTGTTGACTATATTCAGACATTCAGGTCAGTAACTGTCAAACTTAACAATAAGGGAGAATCAGGGACGAACAAAGACAGTCCAACAAGAACTTGATACAAAGCCAGAAATCTGTTCTCCCATGTCTGATTATCAACAGAGTGGATATAAATTAAATGAAAAATGAAAATAAATAGCCTTTAAGACAGCTACCAGGAACTAGGGCAGCAGCCAGATTCTCCATCTGAGATCGACTTTATTAATAGATTGAATCCAAACGATGAAATGCTGAGTTAGATTGCAAATGGAAATGAAGTGCCGTGTTACACGTCCAATACAAACTCAAACTCTCTTTAGACTTTTGGAAATAAAAACATAACGTGGGAGCCAGGAGATACAAGGTCACAAAACGGATCATTTGCTTTCTCAGCAGATTTGATGGCATGAAGCCCTTCAATGAACAGGCCTATCAAATTAAAAAGCAACATCTTGGATTCTGATTTAAAAACAGAATCCAAAATGTCCCAATAAAATTTTATTCTATTTTGACGAGTAAGATGGAAAACCTCAAATATCCAAATCTGAAGATTCGGTGGAACTTTGGCAGGAACGGGAGAGGACTGCCAAGAGAATGAATAAAGTAACAAGGAACAGTAACAACAAACAGTGATGTTAATAATCATAATAAGCTTTCCCCAGGGGCTGGGGCCAGGCCTCAGCCTCAGGATGCATTTCCTCACTGAAAAACTCCTTCAGGTTAACCAGGATGCAAACAGGGAAGCGTAGAAAGGCAATTACTAACCACAAATACTCTGTGTGTTCACTTATAACAGGAGGGGATTGATAAGGTCCCAAGGGCTCCTGTTAACACGAAGTCCTGATCATGAGGATTTAATCTGTCTCCTTTTGTTTGACTCAAGAATACTGGTGCTTAAGGCATCAAGTGAGATAAATATATATATATATATATTTGCATGGTGGGAGCAAAGTCAGCAAGACGCTGATGAGAGAGAGCTGGTGCTCAGCTCCCTCTGCCCAAGAAAGGACCAAGGCAATGACTACACAGCTGAGCTCGGACTATGTGGAAGGAAGAGAGCTAAGATCTGGCAGAGTGTGCAGTGCAGCATGGGAGTGGAGAGGCACCTGTGTTGACCGGAAGTCCAGGAAGGCAGAGGGGAGGCACCTGGCTTCTGCAGCCCCATCTCCCCTGCCTGGGTCAGATCTGCCCAGGCAGAAGGGACTTCCCCTTGCAGGGAAAGGGAAGCAGCAGATCCCCACCAGCCCCCACAGAAAACACCTACAGTCCTTACAGCAGGGGAATCCTGCAGTCCTCACAGGCCCTCAGCCATTTGGGAGCTGCAGAGAATTCACGACACAGCTCCATGGCCCCAGATTAGGAGCACAAGGTGTGCACTGCTCACCCCCCAGCCATCCCTGTGAGCCAAGCTGCTGCAGCACAGCCCCATCTTGAGACCAGAGCCACCTCTGGAGCATACCCTGCTCTGGGGAATGGAAACCACAGCCATTCTCCAGCCTTGGAGCTCCATCTTCATGACTCCAAGCCTACACGGGTGGCTGAACGTCACAACCCCAGCTGCATGGATCCCGGGCCCAGGATCAGCTGTGACTCCGGCCTTGCACAGCAGGGAAACCAACCCCCATCACTGCCCTACCAGCTGGAGGAACCTGGCAGTCCCACCCACAGCAACCCTGCCCTTGAGTTAGCCAAGCTGCTGTTCACCTTTCCCCAAGCAGGAGAGGCACCTGAGCCTCCTAGTGGCTAATACACCTCCAGGCCAGAGGAGGGGCTGGGCACCTGTGCTCAGGACATGAGAAACAGCCCCACAGTACCCCAACACCCTACAGACATGCTCCTCACCTGCCCAATAAGCACCTGAGAAACAGCCCCGTTTCTCAGCCACCATCAGTAAGCATATCCCCGAGCCAGGCATGCAGCCTTGCACCTGTACCCCAGGCCCAAGAAACAGCCGCATAGTTCACCCCTGGTGGACACATCCCAGGCCAGCCACACAGCCTGAAACCTGTACTCCAAACCCACGAAACAGCCACACAGGTCACCCCTGGCAGATATACCTCAGGCCAGCTGAGCAGCCATGTGCCCTCGTCCCAGGCCTGAGAAGCAGCCCTGTGGGCAGCCCCTGGCAAACACACCCTCAGGCCAGCCAAGCAGTCACGCAGCTGTGACCCAGACATGGGAAACAGCCCCTTGAATTGGCCCCAGCAGACACACCCCAGACGAGCTGAGCAGCCTTGTGTCGGTGTCCTGGATCAGAGAAACAACCCTACAAGTCACTCCTGGCAGGCACACTCCCAGGTCAGCTAAGCAACTGTGTGCCCATGCTTCTGGCCGGAGGAACAGCCATGTGGCTCCAACTCCAATGAGCCAGACCCCATGTTGGGTGACCTACCGTGTGCATGTGTGTATCCCGAACCCGAGATATAGCCTGAGAGCCTACCCTTGGAAAAGCCGCATCACTGTTACCACAGACTCCCTCACTGTAGGCCACTGAGAAACTCACAAACACCACTAGTGTGTATGACAGCTAAAGGAACAATATGGAGACTACATTGCTGTGTCCATCTAGAACCATGCACCCTAAGTCTTTCCTCCTGAAACCTACTCCATAAAATTGGAAGAGACAATTTTTTCACCAGATGTATAGGAGTCAATGTTAGGGACACAGCAACCATGAAAAAGCAGGGAAATATGTAACCTCCAAAGGGAAGTAATAATCCTCTAGTAACAGAACCTAATTATAAGGAAATATATGAAATACCAGAAAAAGAATTCAAAATAACAATCTTAAGGAAACTCAGTGAGATACAAGAAAATACAGACAATTCAATGAACATAGAAAAACAATTCATAATTTGAATGAAAAATACAATAAAGAGACAGAATTATAAAAAAGAATCAAATCTTAGAGCTGAAGAATTCAATGAAATATATGATATAATAGAGAAATAAAAAATACAATAGAGAGCTTCAACAACAGACTAGACCAAATAGGAAGGAAAAAATTCTAAACTTGAAGACAGGTCTTTTGAAATAACACAGGCAGACAGAGGGAAAGAGAGATAATAAAAAATAATGAAGAAAGCTCACAGGATTTATGGGACAGCATTAAGTGAATCAATATTTGTATTATGGGCATTCCAGAAAGAGAAGAGAAAAGCTGAGGAAAACATATTTAATAAAAATACAGCAGAAAACTTCCCAAGTCTTGTGAGAGAAATGGACATCTAGGTCCAGGAAGCTCAAAGAACCCCCAGGCAGGTCCTCTCCAAGGCACATTGTAGGAAAATTGTCAAAAGTCAAAGACAAATAATTTTAAAAGCAGCAAGAGAAAAGCATTAAGTCACATATAAGTCCATTAAACCAACAGTGGATTTCTCAGCAAAGACTTTGCAGTCCAGGAGAGAATGGGATAATATAGTCAAACTGCTGATTGAAAGAAAAAAATAATTCAGCCAATAATATTATACCCAGCAAAGCTATCCTTCAGAAATGAAAGAAAAATAAAATCTTTCACAGACAAGTAAAAACTAAAAGAATTCATTACCACAAGACGGGACTTACAAGAAATACTCAAGGGTGTCTTACATGTGGAAGTGAAAAGACAATAACCACCATCATAAAAAATACAAAACTATAAAAGTCACTTGTATAGCCAATGCAAAAAGAAGATACCAAAAGGAATCAGACTCACTACAGAAAACCACCTAAATGCAAAAAATAAACAATAAGAGAGGAAGTAAGAAGCAAAGGATAGACAAAACAATCAAAAAGCAGTCAATAAAATGACAAGAGTAAGTCCTCACCTATTAATAATAATCTTGAATGTAAACAAATTAAATTTCCCACTTTAAAGATGTAAACTGCCTGACAGATTAAAGAACAAGACCCAACTATATGCTGTCTACAAGAAACTCACCTCACCTCAACTGTAAAGAGACGTATAGTCTGCAAGTGAAGGGATGGAAAAAAATATTCCAAGCAAAGAGAAACCAAAAGCAATCAGGAGTAGCCTTACTTATGTAAGATAAAGCAGACTTCAAGTTAAAAGCCATAAAAAAGAGGACAGGAGGGACATTACACAATAAAGGGATCAATTCAGCAAGAGAATATGACAATTGTAAATATATTTTCACCCATATATATATAAAGCAAACATTATTAGATCTAAAGGGTAAGATAGGCCCCAATACAATATTCACTGAGGACTTCAACACCCCACTCTCAGCATTGGATAGATCATCTACACATAAAATCAACAAAGAAACATTGGATTTAAACTGCACCATAAACCAAATGGACCAGAAGACACTTACAGAACATTTCACTCAACAGCTACAGAATACATTTTTTCATCAGCAAATGGAACATTCTTCAGGATTGACCACATGTTAGGACACAAAACAAGCCTCAACAATTTTTTTCAATCAAAACCACATCTAGTGTCTTATTCGACCATAACAGAATAAAAGTCCACATCAATAACAAGAGGAACATTTGAAAATACACAAATACATGGAAATCGAGCAACATGCTCCTGAATGACCAATGGATGAAGGCGGAAATTAAGAATGAAAATTTAAAATTCTCTGAAACAAATTAAAATAGAAATATATCATACCAAAACCTATGGGACACAGCAAAAAAGTTAAAATTCTCTGAAACAAATTAAAATAGAAATATATCATTCCAAAACCTATGGGACACAGCAAAAGCAGTATTAAGAGCCAAGTCTGTAGCAATAAATGCCTATATTAAAAAACTGGAAAGATTCATATAAATGACATTATGATGCACCTCAAGGAACTATAAAAGCAAGAACAAATCAAACCCATAATTAATAGAAGAAAATAAATAAAGATTAGAACCACAATAAAAGAAATTGACACAAGAAATACAGAAGATCAATGAAACAAAGTTAATTTTTAAAATAGACAAAGAAAATCAACAAACCATTAGCCAGACTAACAGAAAAAAGAAGGAAGACCCAAATAAAATCAGAAACAGAAAAAGAGATATCACAACGGCTACCACAAAAATACAAAGGATCATCCAGAACTACTATAAACAACCATATGCCAATAAATTCAAAAACCTAGAAGAAACAGATAAATTCCTGGATACATATAATCTACCAAGATTGAACAAAAAAGAAATTAAAAATCTGAACAGACCAATAACAAGTAATGAGACCAAGTCAGTAATAAAGTCTTCTAATGAAGAAAAGTCTAGGACCAGAAGGCTTCACTACTAAATTCGACCAAACCTTTAAAGAATAATTAATACGAATTCTTCTGAAACTATTGCAAAAAAAACTGAAGCAGGGGGAATTCTTGCTAACTCATTCTACAAGGCCAGCATAACCGGGATACCAAAACCAGACAATGACAAAACAATAACAAAAAACTATAGGCCAACATTCCTGATGAACATAGTTACAAAAATTCTCAGCAAAGTACTAGCAAACTGCATTGAACAGCACATCAAAAAGATAATACACCATGATGAAGTGGGATTTATCCCAAAATGTGAGGACAGTTCAAAATATGCAAATCACTAAACAAATTGGGTCACATCTACAGAATGAAGGACAAAAATCATGTGATCATCTCCAAAGATGCAGAAAAAGCTTTTCAAAATATTCAACATCCTTTCATGATAAAAAAAAACAACTCTTAATAAATTAGGTATAGAAAAAAACAACCTCAATATAATAAAGACAATATATAACAAACCCACAGCTAACATCCTAACATCTTTCAGCTTTTTCTTTAAGGACTGGAATAAGACAAGGATGCCAAGTCTCACCACTCTTATCAATATGGTATTGGAAGTCCTAGTCATAGCAATTAGGCAAAAGAAAGAAATAAAGAGCATCCAAATCATACAGAAGGAAGTCAAATTGTTCCTGCTTGAAGATAACATGATCTGATATATAGAAAATCCTAAAGACTCTACCAAAAATCTCTTAGAACTGATCGACAACTTCGGTAAAGTTGCAGGATACAAAATTAATATGAAAAAATCAGTATTGTTTCTATATATGAGCAATGAACTAAATGAAAAATAAATTTAAAAGGCACTCCCATTTATATACAATAGCTGCAAAAAATTTAAAATACCTAGGAATAAATTTAACCAAGGAGGTGAGAAACCTCTAAAAGGGTAATTAGAAAACACTAATGAAAGAAATTGAAGAGGATGCAAACAAATGGAAAGACATCTCATGCTCAAGAATTGGAAGAATTAAAATTGTTAAAATGACAATACAACCCAAAGCAATCTAGAGATTCAATGCAATCCTTATCAAAATACCAATGACATTTTTCACAGAAATTGAAAAAATTGTAAAATTTGTATGGAACCACAAAAGATTCCAAAAGGCCAAAGAAATGCTGAGAAAAAAGAACAAAGCTGGAGGAATCACACTACCTGCTCTCAAAATATATTACAAAGCTATAGTAACCAAAATAGCATGGTACTGGCATAGAAACAAACACATAGACCAGTGGAACAGAATAGAGAACCCAGAAATTAACCAACATATCTATAGTCAACTGATTTTTTAACAAAGATGTCAAGAACACTCATTGAGGAAAGGATGGTCTCTTCAATAAATGGTACTAGGAAAACTGGAAATCCATATACAGAAGAATGAAACTAGACCCCCACCTCTTACACTATACAGAAATCAACTCAAAATGGATCAAAGGCCTAAATGTGAGACACAAAGTGATTAAACTACTGGAAGAAAACACAGAGGAAATGCTTCAGGAAAAGGTTTTATGGGAATCTCTTTTGGCTTCAAGGAAGAAATTCTTTCATAAGGTAGGCCAAATCCATACAGTATTCCTTCATAAGGTAGGCCAAATCCATAAAGTAAACTAAAGAGAATGTTCTATTAAAGGAAAGAACAACAAATCCATGAAGTTCTCTCTCAGGCCATTTAAGATAAGAGTGATGCAGTAGGGCCTGTGGGCCCACAGAAATCCAAGCTATGACTGACCACAACAGGGAAATGTGATCTGAGAGACCAATAGATGCTTCTTTATCAACTAAGATGGATCCTAAGATTAAGGAAATAAAAGGTACCTATGAGTCAGAGGTTCAGGGCTTGGCTGCCTGACAGCTTCCTAAATTCCTGTGGCTACAAGAAAAACCACACTCTTGCTAAACTCCCTAACAACGGGAGCCATCAGGAAAATCCCTAACTCTGATTCACAACCCAGACCACCGCAACCCTGATTAGGCAGAGGATCAGCCTTGCACAATTCTTTCCTGAGAAGCAGCTGCAGACCTCCAGCTATTTTCGGCCAGCTTATACAGACTGTGCACAAACTGTGTGTCCTGGAGTTCACCTTTTAACAGAGAGAGCTGGAGACTGTCTCTTCTCAGTTTGCAAACTGATATCACTGATAAAATCCCCCTTTCTACTCTTTAGCCATCCTGGTAGTCATTACCATTGACTGTGGTAATCATTTTACTGATTGTATGGTTTTGTGTTTGTTTTTGTTTTTGTTTTGAGATGGAGTCTCATTCTTGTTGCCCAGGCTGGAGTGCAATGATTCAATCTCAGCTCACTGCAGCCTCTGCCTCCCGGATTCAAGCGATCTCCTACCTCAGCCTCCCAAGTAGCTGGGACTACAGGCGCCCACCACCACGCCCAGCTAATTTTTTGTATTTTTAGTAGAGACAGGGTTTCACCATGTTGGCCAGGCTGGTGTCGAACTCCTGGCCTCAGGTGATCCATCTGCCTTGGCCTCCCAAAGTGCTAGGATTACAAGTGTGAGCCACCATGCTCAGTTGTAAAACTGATTACCACATGTGTCATCCAAAGATGGATGGTAATCATATACATCTGTATATTAAATTATCATGTTGTAGATGTCGAATGTATACAATTTTTGTCGATTTTACCTAAATAAAGCTGAATCAATCAATCAATCAATAATACTTTAAAATAAAGAATTGTAAAAGTTTTTCTTTCTGGGGACATAGTAAGAGCAATTTTAAAGTATGGCTATAACAATTTTCTTGGCCTTTTTAAAAAGTATAAGGCTATCAGTCCGTTAACTAAAACTACCTTTTGAAAAAGAGTTTCTAAAGTTTACAATACGTAACCATCATCAGACTGATTCAGGTGACGGGCCTTGTAGAACCGCATATGGTAATCAACGTGACACAAAATCATCTTCAAAATGGCCATTGTGTCCTACATGACCTGAGATTTTCCTGAATTCAAAATTATCAATGTTAGTGAAGTGTTTAGCATTTCATGTGCTTTCTAAATTCATCTTGTGATCACCATAATAAGCT
Organism: Homo sapiens; assembly: GCF_000001405.40. Taxonomy (NCBI): domain Eukaryota; kingdom Metazoa; phylum Chordata; class Mammalia; order Primates; family Hominidae; genus Homo; species Homo sapiens. The sequence goes on along the minus strand of NC_000006.12, from coordinate 168,006,617 downwards.
GAATGAAGGAGAGGCCCAGCATTTTTTTAACTGTTCTCACTGGGGACTTTGTAACGTACACAGAAATGGGGGAAACAGCACAAGACGTCCTCAGGTGCAATCGCCCGGTGCCACAAGTGTGGAATATCCGGCCAGTCTTGTTTCACAGACACTCCTGCAAAACCCACCTCCCTTTCCTCAGCATACTGTACATTCAAAACCAGACAACAGATCGTTGTATTGCTGAGTATTACAGGCTGCATTTTTAAATGATAAGAACACTTTTAAAGCACAATTTGCCCGGTGTGGTGGCTCACGCCTACAATCCTAGCACTTTGGGAGGCCAAAGCAGGAGGATCACATAAGCCAGGAGTTCAAGACTAGCCTGGGCAACATAGTGAGACCCCCCCATCGCTAAAAAAAAAAAAAAGAAATAGAATACAATCACCATGCCATTCATCACACTTTACAAAATTAATGTCACATGGAGAGTGGCAGAACATGTCACCCCAAAATATGCCACTTTGGCATCAGGATTATCTTTACTTAAAGGTTCCTGAGAAGCAGGAGGCTCATGCAGAGCACTCCAGCTTCCCCTCTTCCTCCTGCACTGAAGGCAGGACCTGACCCTCCCATGAGAGCCGCCCTTGCTGGGCCAGGAACAAAGCATGTTCTCGTCAGTAGATGGGGTCTGTGATGGTTAATACCGAGCGTCAACTTGATCAGCGGATTAAAGGATACAAAGTATTGATCTTGGGTGTGGCTGTGAGGCTGTTGCCAAAGGAAATTAACATTGGAGTCAGTGGGGTGAGAAAGGCAGACCCGCCCTTAATCTGGGTGGGCACCGTCTAATCAGCCGCCAGCAAATATAAAGCAGGCAGAAAAATGTGAAGAGAGAGACTGGCCTAGCCTCCCAGCCTACATCCTTCTCCCGTGCTGGATGCTTCCTACCCTCGAACATCGGACTCCAAGTTCTTCAGCTTTGGATCTCGGACTGGCTCTCCTTGCTCCTCAGCGTGCAGATGGCTGTTGTGGGACCTTGTGATCGTGTGAGTTAATACCTAATAAACTCTCCTCTACATATGTATCTATTCCATTCGTTCTGTCCCTCTAGAGATCCCTGGCTAATACAGGGTCGAAGCTGAGCAGCTCTGCACAGACAGACCTGTTAGCACAGCCCTCGCCTTCCCTCTGTCTCCCATCTCATTTGGTTGCTTGTCCACAGTGGCCTCTGCCCAACCCCGCAGGGCAGCGTGCAGGCTGTGCCACTCCTCAACTCTTCATTTTCCGGGGGGCTCTGTGTCAGGTAGACCCCACATTCAACAAATCCGATGCTCTTCCCCGTCAACCTGCCTTAGGCCAATTCCATTCTCAGGCTCCACCAGGGACCCTAGGAGGATAGAGGAGAAGGTTTGCCCCCCTATATACCCAGGACACATTCGGACTTCCCCCACTGTCCCAACAATGCCTGTGACAGTCAGCTCGTGCATGCCAGGCTTGCCTGTGACAGTCGGCTCGTGCACGCCAAGCTCGCCTGTGACAGGTGGCTCGTGCACACCAGGCTCCAAACCAGGACACACTGAGGCTGACACGTCTCATTCTACTGTGTCCTCCTGCCTTTAAAAACAAAAGTTATTACTAGAGAAGCCAGGCAGTCTGTTCTGTGAAATGTCCGCATTCTGGCTTGGCAGATGGTTTTCTCTCCTTTAAAATGACTGTCCCCAAGACTTGATTAGATGCTGGTTTGATTTTGAAGCAAAAGTGCTTCATCAGTCCCACTGTGTCCCACCTGCTGCACCACCTCGGGACATCATGTCTCTGCATCCCAACTTCAGGGAAGCTGCGAGTGCTTAGAGGGTTTGAGGCAACCCTGAACCCTCGTCGTGAAGATCCTATCAACCCCTGAGCAGCGTCCACTCAGGAGAAAGTGCTTAGAGGGTTTGAGGCAACCCTGAACCCTCATCGTGACGATCCCATCAACCCCTGACCAGCATCCTCTGAGGGCCTAGAGTCACCATTTCATTGGGGGTTTCAAATGATGGTTTTCCAGTTTTATCATTTGTTGAGTTTATTACCTAGAATCTTCTGTTCCCTCAAAAACCATGCATCTGCCCTGAGTATGTTTCCTACAGGAAGGACATCACAACCCTTTTCTCTTTCTATCACTTTTTGGAATAATGAGTTGATGTTCTAGCACCCAAAAAATTAATGTGAGGTCTTTTTAAAAACTCATTATTATGAACTCAAGATTGTACATATAATTATATATTTCAATCTGCTTTAGTCCCTCCTTAATCCCCAGGCTTCTATCCCGCGTTGAGGGAGTGCCTGCCGTGGGCTCCATGTGCTGGGACAGCCCCCGTTCTGTTCTGAGGCCTCCCTTGCTGTTCAGCTCCCCAAGTGCCCCAGGCTCCTCCCACCCACTTCCTTTCCTGGCCCAGATGCGAGGTGTCAAATGAGCTTTTCTCCTGCAGTGGGCTTGGTACTCAGACACCCCTGGGGTGTTGGGCTGCTCCTTCTGACTTCTCGGCCTTTTCGTGGATAAAACTAAAAAGCAAGGAGGCTTTCAGGAGAAACAAAATCATGCTTGATTCCAGTTTAGAATCACAAAGTTCACCCATGATATCACTGATTTTATATTTATATCTCTTTTCCTGGTGCTCTAAATTTTAGAACTTGCTCATATTTGCACTGATTGATCATTTGGGCTGGAAAATAAATGGAAGTGAAGTAACTTCCTCACATAGAACTACGGGTCAGGAGCTGGTTTCCCACAAGGAAAGCATGTCAAATGCTTAATTTCATGTTCCAATAGAAATCAAGGAACAAAAACAACTCTTCTTAACTAAGAAAGCCTAAAATAAATTATTTTCTATTTATTCAGTCTCTGAGTTGCTCTCCATTGTAGGGATCTGTGGGGACTACGGACACCCACCAAGCAGGAAGCTGCTCTCTGAATACAATTTGTGAGGAAACTTGTAGACTCAGGTCATCAACAGCATGGGCCGCTTCTCTAGAGATGGAGCTGAGGGAATGAAACAACATTGAAAATACACATCATGAAGAAATTGCTTTCTGAATTCCTAACATTCAGCCTCTAAAACACCCTTGTGTTTCTTCGCCATCATCTCTGTCTCTGTCCTGGTCACTCTAAAACACCCCTCTGCTTCTCTGCCATCATCTCTGTCTCTGTCCTGGTCTCCCAGGACACTGGCTTGGCTCCTCTTCCTCCTCTTCCTGTGTGCATGGATCCACCCTTCCATCCTTTTCTAAAACTCCACTCGTCCTTTTGGACCTTATGCTTTTTATTTTTTTTACTCTTTACTTTTTATGTATTATTTTCTTCTCTTCCCCACCCCCTTTTGTCTTCTCTTGATTTTTTTACTCCAATACCCCTGTTCTTTATTTCTTGTTTTCATCTTCCCTGTCTGCATTGCATGGGAGAGTCATCCATACTCCAGTAAGAACGCTTAAATATCTCCTTCATGCGCAGTTTAGAGCGGTGGTGATACAGAACAAGGGTCCCAAATCCCTGGCCATGGAGGCCTGTTAGAAACCAGGCTGCACAGCAGGAGGTGAGCGGTGCGCAAGTGAGCAAAGCTTCTCTGAATTACAGCCGCTCCCTATCACTGGCATCACTGCCTGAGCTCCACCTCCTGTCAGACCAGCAGCAGCATTAGATTCTCTTGGGAGCACAAACCCTACTGTGAGCTGTGCATGTGAGGGATGCAGGTTGCACACTCCTTATGAGACTCTGATGCCTGATGACCTGTCACTGTCTCCATCACTGCTAGATAGGACCCTCTAGTTACAGGAAAATAAGCTCAAGGCTCCTACTGATTTTACATTGTGGTGAGTTGTATTATTATTTTGTTGTATATTACAGTGTAATAATAATAGAAATAAAGTGCACAATAAATGAAATGCAGTTGAGTCATCCTGAAACCATCCCTGCCCCGGCCCGCCAGTTCGTGGAAACCTGGTCTTCCAGGAAGCTGGTCCCTGATGCCAAAAAGGTTGGGGACCACTGATCTAGAAGACAAGCTCATCAGGTTCTCCCCTTCAGGAAATCAAGCATCTGCAAGCCATCATGAATCTGAAAAAATGCAACATGTTTCAAAACCAAAAGCCGATGAACACAAACAATGTGCCAGTCCACACACACGTTTATGGAGCTTCTTAGGAAGCTCTGAGAAGCCAAACAGCCCAGAGCCGCACCATCCAGGAGAAAGAAGCCTCTGGGACTATGGAAACTTGCCTGTCTTTCTCACCTGCCCAAGGCCACGCCTCAGGTGTCTTCTCACCTGCCCGAGGCCACGCCTCAGGTGTCTTTCTCACCTGCCCGAGGCTACGCCTGAAGGTGTCTTCTCACCTGCCCGAGGCCATGCCTCAGGTGTCTTTCTCACCTGCCCGAGGCTATGCCTGAAGGTGTCTTCTCCCCTGCCCGAGGCCACGCCTCAGGTGTCTTCTCACCTGCCCGAGGCCACGCCTCAGGTGTCTTCTCACCTGCCCGAGGCCACGCCTCAGGTGTCTTTCTCACCTGCCCGAGGCTACGCCTGAAGGTGTCTTCTCACCTGCCCGAGGCCATGCCTCAGGTGTCTTCTCACCTGCCCGAGGCCACGCCTCAGGTGTCTTTCTCACCTGCCTGAGGCTACGCCTGAAGGTGTCTTCTCACCTGCCCGCGGCCACGCCTCAGGTGTCTTCTCACCTGCCCGAGGCCACGCCTCAGGTGTCTTCTCACCTGCCCGAGGCCACGCCTCAGGTGTCTTTCTCACCTGCCCGAGGCTACGCCTGAAGGTGTCTTCTCACCTGCCCGAGGCCATGCCTCAGGTGTCTTCTCACCTGCCCAAGGCCACGCCTCAGGTGTCTTTCTCACCTGCCCGAGGCTACGCCTGAAGGTGTCTTCTCACCTGCCCGCGGCCACGCCTCAGGTGTCTTCTCACCTGCCCGAGGCCACGCCTCAGGTGTCTTCTCACCTGCCCGAGGCCACGCCTGAAGGTGTCTTCTCACCTGCCCGAGGCCACGGCCTCAGGTGTCTTCTCACCTGCCCGAGGCCACGCCTCAGGTGTCTTCTCACCTGCCCGAGGCCACGCCTCAGATGAGGCTACTGCAGCTGAGGAGCCCCATTTCTGATGGGATTTCATTTGCATTCATTTGCATGTATGTGCCTCTTATGGTGGGAGGCTCGCAGGGAGGCTGGTGTGTAACAAAAGCCGTCTGGAAGTGCCATGTAAAAGGCAAGTTCAGGAAAGCTGATCACCGCTGGGGGCCATTAACTACAGGCTGAGCATCCCTCATCCAAAAACCTGAAATCCAAAATGCTCCAAAATCCAAAACGTTTTGAGCACTGAGATGACGCTGAAAGAAAATGCCCACTGGATTATCTTGCTGAACCGGTCCATACAAAACACGAACATTCGAAAATATGAAACAATTCAACATCGGAAACACTTCTTCTGGTCCCACACATTTTGAATGAGGGCCACTTGGCCTGTCCCGCGCCACACTGACGTATCCGACAGGCCCAATTTCCAGTCCTTTGACAAGTGACAAGTGGCCACCAGTCAAAAAAGTGCAGAAAGTACTAGAGCCAGCACAATCATGTCTAAACACTTTGAAAAGAAAAAGTTTCAATGACTATCAAAAGATCCGAATTTCTTGTTTCACACTGTAGAACCGGCCAAGTGCTTTCTAAAGACCTTCTCAAGTCAGGTGCTAAACTGCAGGATGCAAACACTGTGAGGCTCAAGCCAGGCCCTCCAGGGAAAGCTCATTTGGACAGATTAAGTGGAGGAAACCAAGACCAGAAAAACAGCCTGAGCAAAGCAAAGTCAGGAGTGGGACCCAGTGCCCCTAGCAAACTGGTGCATACGGCCAACCCCATATGGCGTTGGGACAGCCGGGAAGCGCAGCACCTTGGAGTGGCGGGAGGGTCAGCAATGGGAGTGGGGAGGGCCAGGTGTGGTCAGGATGGGAGTGGGGAGGGCCAGGTGTGGTCAGGATGGGAGTGGGGAGGGGCAGGTTTATGGAGGGAGGGTGAGAAGGTCAGATGTGGTCGGCAATGGGAGTGGGGAGGGTCAGGTGTGGTCAGGATGGGAGTGGGGAGGGGCAGGTATAGACAGGATGGGAGTGGGGAGGGTCAAGTGTGGTCAGGATGGGAGTGGGGAGGGTCAGGTGTAGACAGGATGGGAGTGGGGAGGGTCAGGTGTAGACAGGATGGGAGTGGGGAAGGGCAGCTTTATGGAGGGAGGGTGAGAAGGTCAGGCGTGGTCGGGATGGGAGTGGGGAGGGCCAGGTGTGGTCAGGATGGGAGTGGGGAGGGGCAGGTGTGGTCAGGATGGGAGTGGGGAGGGGCAGGTTTATGGAGGGAGGGCGAGAAGGTCAGGCGTGGTCGGGATGGGAGTGGGGAGGGGCAGGTGTGGTCAGGATGGGAGTGGGGAGTGTCAGGTGTGGTCAGGATGGGAGTGGGGAGGGTCAGGTGTAGACAGGATGGGAGTGGGGAGGGTCAGGTGTAGACAGGATGGGAGTGGGGAGGGTCAGGTGTGGTCAGGATGGGAGTGGGAGGGTCAGGTGTGGTCAGGATGGGAGTGGGGAGGGTCAGGTGTAGACAGGATGGAAGTGGGGAGGGTCAGGTGTGGTCAGGATGGGAGTGGGGAGGGTCAGGTGTGGTCAGGATGGGAGTGGGGAGGGTCAGGTGTGGTCAGGATGGGAGTGGGGAGGGTCAGGTGTGGTCAGGATGGGAGTGGGGATTTCCAGGGGGTTTGTTTCATGGGGAAGGAAGTAAGTCATATTGAGTATGGTTTTCAAGTAAGCATTTGAGTAAATGAACTTCAGATAATTTTGCTGTATCCATGAATACCATCAAAACTTTCTCTAAGTCAAAAGTATCAGTTGAGTCAATACTCACTGACTGCCTGCATGGCGGAGTGGGTGGTCTTTGGGGTTCATAAAGGCAGGGTGCTCCCTTTTTGATATAGTGACATAAAGGGAAAAGTCCATTCAAAGCCTGTCCCTGTTCGGTCGGACCCCGCAGAGGCAAACCACGAAAAGACGGACGCCCTCTCAGGTGCAGAACCACTACCACGCACGAGAGGCCTGCTCAGGCAGTTTGGCCTTTTGCAGGCCGTATTACAGAGGGCTGCAGAGTGTCCACTGTCAGCAAGACAGCGCCATCCTTAAACAGAGCCCCCACCCACAACTCGAGAATGTCCTGCTTTGGGACCGGGGACAGGACAGTAGACGGCATTTAAAATTGTGCCACTCCTCTGTCTTTTCCCTGAGCACACAGACATACACACACCGTGCAAACACAGGTTACCTGCTCTGCAAAACTGGATCGTCGGATTCACTATCAAAAGGCAACAAAGGACGAATCCGACAGTGAACTCTGATATTTCGTTTCAGCTCCTGCAATGATCAAGAGGTCTGCGTGTCAACCCGGGCGCGAGCCTGCACTGCGGAGCATCCCCCACTGAACGTGCACCGGGCACCAGCTCCTGAGACGCGGCCGTGAGATCTGCAGCACCTGTCTCCACTTCGAAAGACCCCTGCAGGGTAGTGAACAGTTATTTTATTTATTTATTTTTTGAGCCAGAGTCTTGCTCTGTCGCCCAGGCTGGAGTGCAGTGATGCAATCTCAGCTCACTGCGACCTCCGCCTCCCAGGTTCAAGTGATTCTCCTGCCTCAGCCCCCAGAGTAGCTGGGATGACAGGTGCCCACCACCACGCCCAGCTAATTTTTGTATTTTTAGTACAGAAGGGTTTTTACCATGTTGGCCAAGCTGGTCTCGAACTCCTGACCTCAGGTAATGCGCCCGCCTCGGCCTCCCAAAGTTCTGGGATTATAGGCATGAGCCACCGTGCCCGGCCATGAACAGTTATTTTAAACTTCTGGATTCATACTTCACAAATGTGTTCACTTGGCAAAGGGGTATCCCTTGGTAATAAGTACCAAGGAAAATCCCTTTGAATGGCATCCTGGGCTCGACATTTTAGGCATTTTAGAGGGGATTTTGGAAATTCAGTATCTGTCATATTTCCTTGATTTAATGACTGGAAGGAAATTAGAAGCTTTTTATTCTCATAAACTCCACTGGTTTCCAGTGAGCAACACATCTTCTCCGTATGTGCTCAGAACTTGCCAAATCCATTCTGAAATCTTGTCTTGGATCCACAGCAAGTTTATCCACCCTGTCATGCTGAGCAGCTCCTTCTACATTTTGAAAACCAAGTGGGTGTCATAGGCCAATGATTTACAGCCTCCGTCTGGTCTCTATGAACCCACAGAAGCTGGGATCAGCCTCTGCCTGCATATTCTCCATGGGCCGCGCACTGCACGCTCCTCAGCTAGACCAGGAGACCAGGCTTGAGGTGGAACACTCAGAAACTTCCACAACCAATTCTTCCTTGTGGGACTTGACTCCATCTTAGGAAGGTTCATATTATCTTTTTCATGCTCCAGATTAAAAAAAAAAAAAGCTGCAGCGTAGTGAGACTTTCTGAAGTGCCAGGTGCTTCACTGATATCTCCCTTTGTCTTTATAGCAACCCAGAGAGGTGGTGCTATTGTGAAGATTAAATAAGAAAATACACCAAATGGTTTCAAAAGTACTTGGTACACAGGAAGCACTCAATAAATGTTCTCTTATATCAATGTTTGGAGCACTGAACTACATAAGTAGATGCTTAAAATGAGAATTATTCTTTGACACATCTAACAGCTGGAGAACCTCTCGGCATGGCCAGGGAAGAGAAGCTTCGCAGGAACACTGGCTTCGTGGGCCTCGGGCAGGTGGAATTCGGAGAAACTGGCCAAAGTGCAACCATCAAAATCAAACCTCACAGAAGCGAGGGTCACCCACTCAATCATCCACCTTGGCATCCTCGTGTTGCAAAATCAAACCCTGAGACTTTACATTAAATTTCATGGGATCTCAGGTCTCATACCTTCGACCAAGAAAGCACGAGAGCCTCTGGGTCTTGTTAATGGGCAGTGAGAGACGTGGGTGGAAGGTGCTGGTGAGGAAGGGGCAGGGGCAGGGGCAGGGGCAGTCTCCACCGGCATCTCCAGTTACAGCAAAATCCTTGCTTTTCCCGCGCAAGTCCCCATCTCTGCAGATTCCCCCGCCCCCCATCTCTGCAGATTCCCCCGCCCCCCATCTCTGCAGATTCCCCCGACCCCCCATCTCTGCAGATTCCCCCGCCCCCCATCTCTGCAGATTCCCCCGCCCCCCATCTCTGCAGATTCCCCCGCCCCCCATCTCTGCAGATTCCCCCGCCCCCATCTCTGCAGATTCCCCCGCCCCCATCTCTGCAGATTCCCCCGCCCCCACCTCTGCAGATTCCCCCGACCCCCCATCTCTGCAGATTCCCCCGCCCCCCATCTCTGCAGATTCCCCCGACCCCCCATCTCTGCAGATTCCCCCGCCCCCCATCTCTGCAGATTCCCCCGCCCCCATCTCTGCAGATTCCCCCGCCCCCATCTCTGCAGATTCCCCCGCCCCCAACTGCCCGCTACAGCTCTTTCCTTGTGCCTCACAGCAGCCGGTCCCACTTCCTGCATCGCCACCAATGTGGCCCAGGCCACCAGCCCCCGTGACACTGCAGCCATCCCCTTTGCTCCCCGTCGTGGCCTCCCGACCGAGCAGCCAGAGTGACCCCGAAAGCCTAAATCAGCCTGCGGCGCCCTCACCCGTCCTCCAGCTGCCATCGCCTCCTGGGTGAAGAGGACGCAGGTCGCAGCCCCCGCAGCTCTGCCCCTCTGCCCTCCGGCCAGGCCGCCCCGCTGTCCCCCTTGCTGTCCACCTCTCTGTCCACCCCTGCTGTCCCCCCCCGCTGTCCCCCCCGCTGTCACACCCCCGCTGTCCCCCCCCCGCTGTCCCCCCTGTTGTCCCCCCGCTGTCCCTCCCGCTGTCCCTCCGGCGAGGAGGCTTCTGCACGTTCTGCGTGGGCCTCTCCCCGGGGCCGCCCCAGGTCTCCCCTGACGCCCACACCCACCACCAGGCTGTTGTGCGGGACCTTCCTTCTCTGCCTCTCCAGCTGGTGACGCGCACTGACGTCCTGCAAGGCCCGCTCCAGGTGCGCCACCTTTGACTGGCATGCTGAAAGGACAAAGGGACGGAGGCATTTTACCGGAGAGGACATCCATGGGGCCCAGCAGGTCAAATTCCTTTCTCTAAGTATGGGAGACATTTTTAAAAATAATGGAGTCCTCCAGGGCCGGCTGCGTGCTGTGGCCTGTGCTCCTCACTGCTTTGGACCCAGGCTGCGCTGTCTCCACCACGACCAAGGACTCACAGAGCTCGCCTGGGGGACCTGGCCCCACAGTCACCCCGTCCGTCATCAGCCTCAAATGCCATCAGCCCGTGAATGCTGCTCCATCGTCTGCATGGCAGCCAAGGAGGTCTCTGCTCCTAAAGCACCTGGGAGCCCTTGGTGAGGGGGGAGTGGGGCAGGGAAGGAGATGCTGGGGCCCAGCTCTGCTGCTGTGGATTGTTACAGTGGCCTGGGCCTCTACTCCCGCCTCTGTCCTACCAGGATGGTGCCAGGTGATGTGGCGATGAGTGGGCATCGCGTGGGGGCCTTGGACGAGCGTGGACACCCCAATCCCCAGACTGGCCATTGCCGTGGAGGCAGCGTGAGTGTGACATGGAGCTCGGTGTCGTGCTGCAGAGGACGCCTCGCGGCTGTACGCGTCATGATAGCCAGGGACCCCTCCACATGTCACTTAGCCAAAGGATGCAGCCCAGCCTGGGGCTTTCTACCCCAGGCCCGAGGACCTGCAGGGACAAGGACCCCTCAGCGCAGATGCAGCTCTCATGAGGCCTGAAACCAAGCTGGACTTGCAGAACTGCGCACGCTCCCTTTCTGAAAGAAACACCCGTTACCGGGTCCAGACTGAATGTGGGCGTAAGAAAGCGGGAAGGGTCCCCCACAGCAAGAGAGAGACCCTCCCAGTCACTTGGTCATCTGAGCCTTGAGTGTGTCCGGCCCCAGCCACCAGCCTGTCCCCACTATCCCTCTTGTCAGCACGGCTGAAAGGAGCTGCCTGGGCACCTGAGGTGGCTGAGGCTCATCTTTGAGGAGCATGGAACTCGAGGGGAGAAGTCGCGCCCCCAGGGAAGCCAGGTAAGGAGGCCCCGAGCCCCTGAGCCTAACGCCTGGGCACAAATAAGCCGCCTGGGGACCCCTCTGTGTGGCAGGACTGCACCGTGGCTCCCACAGGCAGGGCCTCAGCAGGCCCTGCCTCCTCACACGTCAGCATTCCCTCTGCGGGAGAGCCTTGGCGGCTCCCTGCTTCTCCCTTTGAGTTTCACCTTTTCAAAGCTTAAGTACACTGCTTTTCACAAAATAACATGATTGTCCCTTTCCCTGGAGCACATGGCTTATAAGAACACAGGCGTTGCCGGCTGTGGTGGCTCGTGCCTGTAATCCCAGCACTTTGGGAGGCTGAGGCGGGCAGATCACCCGAGGTCAGGAGTTCGAGACCAGCCTGGCCAACATGGTAAAACCCCATCTCTACTAAAAATACAAAATTAGCCAGGCGTGGTGGCAGGCGCCTATAATCCCAGCTACTCGGGAGGCTGAGGTGGGAGAATAGCTTGAATCCAGGAGGCAGATGTTGCAGTGAGCTGAGATGGCGCCACTGCACTCCAGCCTGGGCGACAGAGTGAGATTCTGTCCCCCGCCGCCCCCCGCCCCCCAAAAAAAGAACACAGGCATGCACACGTCACTCCTACAAACACGGCCTTAGGGGAGTTACTGAGCAGAGTGCACTGAAGAAAACTAGGCTACAGCAGTGATTTCAATAAAACATCATGTAGCCTCGCAGAAGATCAGTACAGGTTCCAAAGTTTCCACACACCTATTTTGGAATATCAGCAGCACAACCCTTGACCAAGTTCCTAACTTGACCATCATCTCTTTGGCCTGTGGACACACTGAACACTGGGCAGAAGCTGTGAGCATGAGACGAACGTGGGGATGGTGCTATTTGGTTCTTTTGTTTTTTTGAGACAGAGTCTTGCTCTGTCGCCCAGGCTGGAGTGCAATGGTGCGATCTCGGCTCACTGCAAACTCTGCCTCCCGGGTTCAAGCAATTCTCCTGCCTTAGCCTCCCAAGTAGCTGAGATCGAAGGCATGCGCCACCACACCCGGCTAATTTTTGTATTTTTAGTACAGACGGGTTTCACCCTGTTGCCCAGGCTGCTCTCAAACTCCTGGCCTCATGTGATCTGCCCGCCTCGGCCTCCCAAGGTGCTGGGATTACAGGCATGAGCCATCGGGCCTGGCCGGCTAGTGCAATTTGGACGATGAGTTTAAAACTGCAGAACCAAAGTAACCTCTTCCACAGGCTTCAAGCACAGTAGCTGAAGATAATAAATCCATTATAACAAAAGAGTAGCCAAAATGCTGTGGCATTCTTAGAAATGAAGAAAGAACTGAACTGATAAGACAAAAAAAAAAAAATCTCACGTCATATTATAGGAAACTCTGACACAGAACGCCCAACGTGGACACAGGTGCCAGTTCAGCAGTGACCGTCAAGACCGGGGAAGTGCCCTGTGGTGACCAGGAGAACAAGGAGCTCCTCCAGCAAGCAGGGCTGCAGTGGGAGCTGGGAGGGAGCAGTGCACCTGCCAGCGTGGCCGAGTCACACAGTGCCTGCCCTCACCTGTGGAATTTGGTGTCAGCTAAAAGGAAGAAGAAATGGAAACTTAAATTCTAGCCGGTCATTTTCTTAAAACTGCAAACATTTCTCTCGAGTGTGGACTGGCCCGGCTTCGGTGAAAGGTGCCCTCCTACCTAGCAGGGTCTCGGCACTCTGCTGTGTTCTTTGCACCGCGGTCACTATTTCAGAAACACGGTCCTGATACTCATCCTGATAATCTCTTAAGAGCGCCCGAGAAGAAGAATGAAACGCCTGTATATCCTGGTTAAGTTTCTATAAAATAAGAACATACACGATTCATAAAATTATATGATTAATGATCACAGTATAATTACATAAGAATTTGTTATATATGTTTCTATAGAATAATAACATACCCACACAATTAATATAAGGGATATGTTGTTAACTGGAAGGGTGTAAAGCAGAAGTTCTTCGGCCCGGGCCTGTCGATGCCCGCCAGGACTGTTTTCATGCTGCCTGTGCCTCGGCTCACTTACAGAAGTTCTGACTCAATACATCTGGGATTTCTACTTTCAAAGCAGTACATGTGATTTTATGCCCTTAAAGTATTTAAGAAACAGAAAGTCAAGTGTTTCACCAATTTCCGTAGGAAGGGCCGCTCACTGCACGGTGGGGCGATGCTGGGCGCGAGCCGTGTTTCCGTCTATTGTTGACTTCCTCACGATGCTGGCTCAGGCTCAGAGCCTCTCATCACCGCCTGTGAAATGGGGACCACCCTCCTAATCTACTATCCAGACCTGCCTTCTGGAAGCTCAATTATCACGAGCACATGGTGGAAAACGTGGGCCGGTGAAAACAACTTAACATGTAAATGTACATAATAAAATTCCAGGCACAATACATATGAACGCTTTTAGAGAACTTTGGGAGCAAAGCAACTGATGTCCTGCGTGGAAAGTCCTCTTCTCCCCATGAAATTATCTCAAGGATCTTCCATGGGAAGATGTGACAGAACCAGGACACTACTGCTTAATATTTAATATCAGATACTCTTAAATCACAGGAGCATAACTAAAGTATTCTTCGTTTCTTTAGTCAAATCTCCTTTTCTATAAAATGGAGACGGCTTTCATATGTTTGGGAAACATTTTAATAACGAATTAATAAACATTTTAATATCAAAACTAAAGTGTTTTTCTTATATGGAGTACAGATAAAGTTATACATACAACTTATTCAATTAATTTTATTCAGTTGGAAGAGAATGAAAATTAATTTTATATAAATCTATTCTAAATACACTAATGCAGCTTACGAGGGGGTGGGATATCTCTAATTCTGACTAACATAGAGAACAGATTAATCCTGTTTACAGATGTTTTATTGTTGTAGTAATTATATGGTCACATTGTTTAAAACAAAAGGTAAAACAATGTTCTCAACCAAAGGTATAAAAATATCCTCCTACAAGCTCACCCTGGAGAATTGCCAAATATACTATAGGGAATAACAATTTTTCTAACTTTCTAGAAATTATTAGTAGTTTAACAGGAGCTGTTCACATCTGATGACATGCTGTACCAGATCTATTTAGTCTAACATGTATAAACATGTTTTCTACCACTTAACATTAAAATTAAATTGAGAACTTTGATTAACTAAAGTAAGATTTTAGTTTAATGATTTAATTTGATTAACTAAAATGAGAATTTTGACTCAGAAAATTGAACTGCTACCACAGCTATTTGAAATAATTCATTTCATGGACAAAATGTATTTTTCCTTCTGATATTTGCTCAGAATCCCAATCCTATGTTTTGTTTTGGTTTTAGGTTTAGTCTTCTGTTTAGTGTGTATTAGAAAGCAGAACTCCCAGAGTGAACAACATCTGCAATTGATTATGAAAATAGTAACAATTTTGGCCAGGCGAGGTGGCTCACGCCTGGAATCCCAGCACTTTGGGAGGCAGAGGCAGGCGGATCACAAATTCAGGAGATGGAGACCATCCTGGCTAACACAGTGAAACCCTGCCTCTACTAAAAATATAAAACTTAGCCAGACATGGTGGCAGGCACCTGTAGTCTCAGCTACTCAGGAGGCTGAGGCAAGAGAATCACTTGAACCGGGGAGGCCGAGGTTGCAGTGAGCCAAGATCCTGCCGTTGCACTCCAGTCTGGGTGACAGAGTGAGACTCCATCTCAAAATAAATAAATAAATAAATAGAAAGAAAGAAAAGAAAAAAAGAAAGAGAAAATAAGCTGGGTGCGGTGGCTCACACCTGTAATCCCAGCACTTTGGGAGGCCGAGGCGGGCGGATCACGAGGTCAGGAGATCGAGACCATCCTGGCTAACACGGTGAAACCCCGTCTCTACCAAAAAATAGAAAAAATTAACTGGGCGTGGTGGCGGGCGCCTGTAGTCCCAGCTACTCCGGAGGCTGAGGTAGGAGAATGGTGTGAACCCAGGAGGTGGAGCTTGCAGTGAGCCAAGACTGCGCCATGCACTCCAGCCTGGGCGACAGAGCGAGACTCTGGTGTTTTTTTTTTTTTTTTCTAAAAAAAGAAAATAGTAACGATGGTATACTCTTTTAAAGAAGACCAGATTGGGCCTGTGATGGAAACTTGTATCTAACACACGAGGGGCTTTCCTGGTTTCAATGAAGGCTTCTTTTACTTCCATAAGATTACATGTCTTTTGACAAGCATAATTTAAACCATTTCACCAGAAACAAACATAAACATTCACTGCATGAATTAAAACTCTGGCTTCTGGTGAAGCTGTTTTTACCTGAATGACATGACCCAGCTGGCTCAAGGCTGAGCGTGTGTTTCTCTGCAGACACTGCTGTTTGTTGTACAGGGTGGAAATCCGCGTGGCCTCACTGCGACTCTTTTCAATCTTTCCCTTGTACTATTGCATAGAAAATAATCAAAGACAATTTAAAGTCTTAAAACCTCGAAGCTGAAGCAGAGGAGAGCTGAACCTCTCCTCTTTCCTCTGAGAAGAGAATGGTTGCTGATTGTCCCAGATGCACCTGCCCACGTAAGAGAAGACACCACCCCTGCATGGGACTCACTGCAGCAGGGAACACGGTGGGGACAACTCCAGGTGATCCAGGGGCGCGCGGGGCACGGAGCCACAGGAGCCGTCGGGGAGGCATCCCCAGGGC
Organism: Homo sapiens; assembly: GCF_000001405.40. Classification (NCBI taxonomy): domain Eukaryota; kingdom Metazoa; phylum Chordata; class Mammalia; order Primates; family Hominidae; genus Homo; species Homo sapiens. The sequence continues at coordinate 167,990,836 of NC_000006.12, read as the reverse complement.
TGAGCCTGAGGGTCCCGGCCAGGTGCGGGGAGGCAGAACGTCCTGGAAGAGGGGCTGCGTGTGAGGCCCGGGATGCCCACGTGTGACTCGGCGATGCCCGCGTGTGAGCTCGGGGTCGCGCGCTGCCTGCGGTGCCTCCGGGGAGCTAAGCCCAGGCCCGAGTCCTGGCACAGAGACGGCCAAGCTCAGGGCCTCAGGAGCAGAGGGACGGGGGCGAGCCGGGCGCAGCGGGGCAGGGAGGCTGCAAAGTCACCGAAACTAACTGTGGAGCAAAGACGGCCGCGGAGGGGGTGCGATTAGGTCAGAAAATCGCCGTATTCTCCGTGTGAAGCTCCTCAGAAGCGGAAAGGTGTTAACAGAGAACTGCAGAGGAGCGAGGCTCCCCAGAGCCCCGGGGGGTGAAGAGGCCGCCAAGGGCACCGGCGGATCCGTGGGGCCTGAGCGGGGGCCCGGGAAGCCTCTCCCACCCTCATGGGACTGAAGAAGAGGCTGCAGCCAAATTCAGTCCCCGGCCCCCAAAGGCTCAGATCGTCTCTGGGGAAGAAAGAAATACCACGCACGTGAGTGTTAGAAATCATCAGCCTGCGCGTTAGAAACCGTGTTCCGGAGCCTCCGGGACTCACCGGGCGTGGAACGGCAATTCCGAGAAAATCCACGGTTCCAGAGCCCCGGGGACTCACCGGGCGTGGAACGGCAAATCCCAGAAAATCCACGGTTCCAGAGCCCCGGGGACTCACCCGGCGTGGAACGGCAAATCCCAGAAAATCCACGGTTCCAGAGCCCCGGGGACTCACCCGGCGTGGAACGGCAGTTCTAAGAAAATCCATGGCGCCAGGATGGTCTGCGCTCAACGTGGGGCTGCCCTGGGCTTTGGGGGATTTGGCCGTGGGCAACAGAAAGACGGGGGAGCGGGCCTGCGTGGGTACAGGGAGGCCGGATTGCGCTGGGGGTGCTGAGGGATGGAGTTGGATGGAAATAAAGTCACCACCTGTTGGGCAAAGGACATGGGACTTATCTTAGGTGGGGGCGACGTGGGAAGCAGGAGCATGAGTCACGGGCAGGAAGCTCCACTCTGGGGAGGGCGAGAGGCCGGGAGGGCCAGGAGGACCTGGAGGCCTGTGCAGCCGCCAGATCTGCAAGGTGCATGTGGTGGATGGTGCTCCGCCTGCGTCCCGGCCCAGGAGTCCCAGTGGAAAAGCCGTTTCATTGCAGGGCCCTTGACGCCAAGCACATCACACACCAAGGCCGCGGTCTGCGTGGCAGTGGAACATGCTGGCCTCCGGGAGGCAGCAGGCAGGGCCACCACGTGGAGATCGGCCTTCCAGTGACCGGAACCACCACGAGGAGCTCACAGTGCAGACGCCAGGGCTCCACGGCTTCCTTTCACACTGTGTGCCCAGTGATCTTACATGTTAAAAAAGATCCTTTAAAAAGCTCATCTACATGATGCTGGAAAAGTCGGCGGGCTGGGGCAGCACCCTCACCAACAGTGCGTGGTGGACAGCACCAGGCTCTGGACCGGACCCAAATGGGAAGCCTGGGCCTGCACTTTGGCGTCAGCGGCCACCCCGACAGCCACTGCTTGACTGGCTGCTGGTGCCACAGAGGCTGTGACGTCCTGGAGAGCCACTCATCCTGAGGGACCCTGAGCGGGGGCCGTCCACGTTCTGCTGGAGAAGGCTTTGGTGGAATGTGATGGCGAGGGGTTACCTCTGCAAGCTCAGGCACTCACGGGCAGGGGTCTGAGGTCCCTCCTCCACAGAAGGACCTGTGTCCCTGGCCAAAGATGGAGACTGGAGTGTGATTGTAGAGCAGCGACACCTCAGGTTCCTTGAGACCTTGTTGACCAAGAGTCTTGACCCTTCTAATAAAGCCACGAAATGCTGTGAGGCCCTCAGGCTGGACGGGGTTACTATTTCCAACTGTTTTCATTACTGTAGAATGACACTGTGAACTCCCAGGGAACAATGTGGCTTGGAATTGGGTGACGAGATTTGATGCTCAGTCCCACAGCTTTTTGTCATTGTGAATGTGGGAATGTTTTTCACCTCTCTGGGCCTCGGTGTTGCCGCCTGTGTCTTCAGTGCCTAGGAAGGGCATGATAATGCACTCATACCCGGGCCTCAACGCCCCAGGAAAGAACGAGCTTAAAAATGAACGCAGAAAATATTCACTTCATTTCAGAAGTAGTAGGAATATCCCTTAATTAATATGCAAATTTTGTGCAACTGCATTTTTTTTTTCAATGAAACTCGACAGGGTTATTCAAGGACAGTCAAGAAGAGTGGAAGCCCACTTGGCCCTGATTCTGCGAAGATTCCAAGAATTCTAAAGGGGTAATAATTTAAAGATGAGAACACAATGGTTTCCTATTTCCACTGTTACAAATTACGGGAAACTGGGGGTTTCCAACAGAAACTTCTCGTCTCATGGTTCTGGAGGCCAGAAGTCCAAACCCAAGGTGTGGCCGGGCCTCCCTCTGAAGGCTCCAGGGGAGGGCCCCTCCTGCCTCCTCCTGCCTCTGGCTCTGCTTACAATCCTTGGCCTGAGGTTGTATTGCTCAGTACACACAGTCACATCTGGAATGCCCCCTTCCTCCATCCCCACGTGGCCTTCTCTCTGTGTGGAAACTCCTCTGCCTCCCTCCTGTAAGGACACTCACTCACGGTGGCATTTAGAGCCCACCAGGATAACCCAGGACACTCTCCCATCCCGAGTCTTAATTTAGCCACATCTGCAAACCAGTTCATGTCCTGATGAGAAGTGTCCAGGGACTCAGGCCTGCTTTCTTTCCGCGACCGCTTCTCAGCCTAACCCAAGTAGCAACAGCAAACGGTAGAAAAGAACCACCCGAGTCCGTGTGTGCCAAGGGCGTTCTCCCTTTGTGCTCCCTTCCTTTTAAATTCTGAGAACAAACCTGCAAGAAAAACTGAGCGCAGTCATCTTCCAGAGACATTTTTCTTTGGTGAGGCAGACAGATCATATGCGTAGCATCGTTCAAGTGTTCTGGGGCTGATCCCAGAATGACAGATCACTCGAGTTACCAGAAGAGCGGCTTCCTGGAACAACGGGGTGTGGGAAGGGGTGGAAACACGCCGGCGGGGGCCCTTCGGGGTGATGGAGATGCCGGGCACCTGGCTTGTGGGGCCTTCGAGGTGATGGAGACACCGGGCACCTGGCTTGTGGTGATGGTGGCTGCTGTGGTTTGAATGAGCCACCTCCAAAATTCACGCGGAAGCTTAACCCTCGATGTGGTGGCGTTGAGAAGCGGGGCCTTTGGGGACGGACCTGTGCCTCGTGGACAGACTGGAGGGAACCGGCGCAGGCCTTCTGTGCTCCCCGCTGTCCTGCCAGGAGAGGACAGTGCCAGAGATGGCACCATCGGTGAGGAAGAAGGGCCCTCGCCAATGGCCCCGCGGCACCTGGTCTTGGATTTTCCAGCCTCCGGAACTGTGAGTGATAAATTCCTGTTCTTAATAAATGTCTCCGTTGCAGGTATTTTGTTACAGCAGCACAAATGACTAAGTCAGTTGCACAACTACACATTTCCTAAACGTTGACTTGTACACTTAACATGGGTAAATTTATGGTACACCCACCTGGTACACTAAACCTCAAGAGAGCTGTTTTGAAAAAGCGTGAGTTCCTGATGAATTGTTACTCATTAAATACCTGTGAGCACAGAGACACACAGGAATTTGGAGCTCAACCTTGATCCAGTGTCAGAAGACACTTCACACAGCAACCGAGGATTCCCTGTCACCTCACTCGATGGCAAAAAGAAAAGGTCCCAGGGAGTCACCCCCAATGTATTTCTTCCACAAGGGCTAAAAGCTGACTTCAGCACGAAATCACTCCCCACTGGATACGATTCCACTCAGCCTGCAGGACATGTGAAAATATTACCTGTGCCAATTTCAGAAGAAGGACAGCGTTTTCCGTTTCCAGTTCTGCTATCTTGTCTTCTTTGGCCTACAACCAAGGATGCAAAAAGGACAGCGAACAACAGAGCACGCACCTGGTCGCACCGACAACACGAGAGTTCTGTTCATCGGCCATCACTTTCATCCTCGGAACACAGCGCACACCAGACACAAACACACGGGCCCTCGGCAAGGAACTGCCGTCCTGGGCTGCACGGCTGTGCTTTAGTCAATGACAGGCCTCGTACCTCACAGGGGCCCCTTGAGATGGTAGTGCCTTATTTTTACTGTGGCTTTTCTGTGTCGTGATGCACAATTCCTCACTGTTGTGTTACAGCCACCCGCAGTGTGCGGCACAGTCCCGCGCTGCCCAGGTCTGTGGCCTGGCTGCAATGGCCGCACCCGATAGCAGCAGGCGGGACCTTCCCAGTTCGTGGAAACGCACCCCGCGATGTTCCCACAATGACAAAGTCGTCCAAGGACACATTTCTCAGAACACAACCCCGCCATTAAGCGATGCCTGACTGTATGGGAACTGACCGATGCTGGGCTCGGATGACGCCGCCGCCGCAGGACAGGGAGGAAAGGCCATCTCCACCCCCGACAGGCCCTGCTTCCCTCCCACCGTCCACGCTCACATCCACCACCTCTCCAGCCTCCAGTGTGGCCCCTGACCAGCAGTGGCAGCCGAACCTGGGGGCTTGGACCCTCCCACTCCTTGTCAGAAGGGGACTCAGAGAGGCCGGCTGGGAGGGCTAAGGGCTACCACAGAAACACTGGGGCACAGAAGCAGCCGGTGTGAAGTCCCCGAGGTGGGAACGAGCGTGGCGTGTTGAGGACGGGGCAGAGGCCTGCGAGGTCGGCGAGTGGGTGAGGGAGGCTGGGGTGGGAAGGAGGCCGGGAAACAGCCAGGGTGTGTGCAAGCCAGGTGCAAGCCCGGGTTTGATCCCACGTAGACGGGAGGGCACTGGAGGGTCTGACGTAGGGCAGTGACATATCACCCTATCAACAGTGAACACGGAGAGAGCCAGCGACCAGAGAATTTCCTGCAAAGACAACCACCAGTTTCTTAGGAAGGGGGTTCAGGTGCAGCCCCTCCTACTGGGGGTTCAGTCCTCTGCCGGGGACTCCTCCTCCCCCATGCCTGCTGACACGCCCACAACCAGCTGTGATGAGTTTAGGACAATCTTACTTGTAACTCCAAACTCTTTGGGACTGGTGACGTGACCTGAGGCCTTGGGAGTCATCTACACCAGAGGTCCCCAACCTTTTTCCCATCAGGGGCTGGTTTCGTGGAAGACAGTTTGTCCACAGGCTGGGGGTAGGGTGGTTTTGGGATGAAACTCTTCCACCTCAGGTCATCAGGCATTAGATTCTCATAGGGAGCACGCAACCTAGATGGCCGCATGTGCGGTTCACAAGAGGGTCCACGCTCCTCTGAGACTCTAATGTCGCTGCTGATCTGGTAGGAGGCGGAGCTCAGGAGGGAAAGCTCACTGGCCCCTGCTCACCTCCTGCTGTGCACCCTGTTCCTAACAGGACATGGACCAGTACCAGTCCATGGCATGGAGGCTGGGGACCCCTGATCTACGCTACCCATTGCTATATGCAGTCCATTTAAGCTCTTAAAAAGAAATCTCTGGAATATTTCCTCTCCAATCCACTTAATTCCAAAAGGGCACCCTCTCTTCATGGACAACTGCAGGAGCGGACACCACCACTCTCTGCCAGCTTCTTCTTTCTGGAATTAATTGAAAACATTTCCATATCCTGACTGAGGTACAAATCACACGCCAGACAATTTACTCATCTCAAGTGCACAGTTCAGCAAGCTTTAGTGTCCTTCAAGTGCGACTCACCAGAAAGGTTCAGAATATGTTCATCTTCCTCAGAAGAAACCCTTAGACATTACTCCTAACTACTTCCTACCCCAGTGCCAGGAAACCACTGATCTATTTTCTGTCTCTATTTGCCGATTCTGGACATTTAATGTAAATAGAATCACACAACACGTGGTCCTTCGTGTCTGGCTTCCACTCTGCATGTTTTCAGGGCTCAGCCATGTGTAGCAATATCAGAATTTCATTCCTTTTTATTGCCAAATAGTATTTCATTGTATGGATGTACAACATTTTGTTTATTCATTCATCAGCTGGCGGACGTTGAGGTTTTCTCTTTGGTTATTAAGAGTCATGCTGCCAGGACGTTCACGTACAAGCTTTGTGGAGAAGTGTTTTCAGTTCTCTCGGGTGCATATACCTAGCATTTTGAGGAACTGCTAGACTGTCTTCCAAAGCAGCTGTGAGGCAGGAGGATAGGGAATTCGGGTAACCAAGGGTGAAGGCATAAGCAGAAGAACAGCAGGTGCAGCTACTTCCAGGCAGGACTGGGCAGCACACAGGCCACAGCCTCCCTCCAGTGATAACAAGACAGACAAGTTGCACGTCAGCCTCGGACTGACCACGGGCCACATCTCTGCTTCAGCCTCTGATTGGTCACAGGCCTCTAAAGGGCACCCAGGGGTGTTACCAAATTCTTTTCGCTTAAGAAAAGCCCTAAAGAACATTGCAACTGGGGATCTTGAGCCGCTTGCTTGAGCCCGCTCCCACTCTGTGGGGTGCACTTTCGCTTCAGTAAATCTGCACTTTCTATACATCTGTGCTTTTGTTGCTGTTTTCTTTTGTTGCTTTTTTCTTTTGTTGCTTCTTTCTTTTGTTGCTTTGTTTGTACATTTTGTTCAATTCTTTGTTCAATTTTGTTCAGTTCTTTGTTCAACGCACCAAGAACCTGGACAACTCACAGTCAAGATGTCCCATCCGGTAACAGCAGCATTAGTTTTACTTTCCCACACAATTGCATGAGGATCCTGATTGCTCCACCTACTCTCAAACACCTGTTATTTTCTCTCTTTTTTATTATAGTCCTCTTTGTGACAAGCAGTGGTGTCACACTGCAGTTTTATTTGTCTTTCCCTGGTGGCTAATAATGGTGAACATCATTTTCAGTGTAAAAGTCTTGTTAAGTCTTATACCTTGTACTTCTTTGGTTAAAGGTATCCTGAAATGTTTTGATATTTTTGATGCTATTGTAAGTGAAATTGTTTTCTCTTTCTTTCTTTTTCTTTTTTTTTTTTTTTTGGACAGAGTCTCACTCTGTTGCCTGGGTTGGAGTGCAATGGCCTAATCTTGGCTCACTGCAACCTCCACCTCCCAGGTTCAAGTGATTCTCCTGCCTCAGCCTCCCAAGTAGCTGGGATTACAGGCACCCGCCACCACGCCCAGCTAATTTTTTGTATTTTTATTAGAGATGGGGTTTTGCCATGTTGGCCAGGCTGGTCTCGAACTCCTGACCTCAGGTGATCCACCCGCCTTGGCCTCCCAAAGTGCTGGGATTACAGGCATGAGCCACGGTGCCCAGCCTTTTTTTTTTTTTTTTTTTTAATAGAAACAGGGTCTTGATATGCTGGCCAGAGTGGTCTTGAACTCTTGGCCTCAAGCAACCCTCCTGTCTCAGCCTCCCAGAATGCTAGGATTACAGGCATGAGCCACCATGCCTGGCTGGAATTGTTTTCTTAATTTCATTTTCAGTTGTTCATTTCTACAGTATAGAAATACATTTGCTTTTTGTATATTGATCTTATATTCTTCAACCTTGCCGAATTTGTTTAGTGAGTTTAACTCTATTCTGAATACGCTCCAGGATAAACATGCTAGGTCACAGAACAAGCCTGAATACATTTAAAGGATATAAATCATATATGATTCAGGCTTGTTCTATGACTTAGCATGTTTATCCTGGAGCGTGTTCAATGCGCACTTGAGAAGAATTTTCAATTCTGTTGTTAGGTAGCGTGTTCTACAGGTGTCTGTTAGGTCTGTTCAGTTTATCGCATTCTTTGAGTCTTCTGCTTACTTGCTGATTTTCTATCTAGTTGGTCTACCCATAATTGCAGGTAGAGTATTGAAGTCTGCCATCCTTGTTTTTGAATTGCCTATTTCTCTTCCATTCTGTTGGTTTTTGTCTCACTAGTTCAGGAGCCCTGTTGTTAGGTGTATTCTTCCCTCCTTTTATATTATTATAGTTATACACATTATATGTATATATGTTATAAATATAATACATTGTTATAATTATGACTTTACATAATTTCATGTTCATTAAAGGAGGTGAGAAAAGGAAGGAGGATACATATTTATTTATATGCAAGTTCTATTTCTCTTTTTATTCACCATGTTTGTTTCTCTTCATTTGGTCCTGTGGATTCGAGTCACTGGCGTCCTTTCCTGACTCCAGTAAAACTTTGCCTTCATCACATCCTTTGTGTTATTTTTGTCAAATACATTACATTTCTACATGTTACAGGGCCAACAGTACAATTATACACACTCTGTCTTATACAACTGTTCTTTAAATCAGTTAAGAGAAGGAAAATGAAGAAATATACATGTCTACTGTCTTTTATAATTATATAATTACCTTTACTGATGCTCTTTGTGGATTTGAGTTTCCTTGTGGTTTCACTTGCTTTCAGCCTGAGGGATTTCCTTTTCACAAGAAATTCTCTCTGATTTTTTTTTGAAGAATGCTTTTATTTTGCTTTAATTTTTGAAAGACAGTTTTGCCAGATATAAGACTCTTGATTGACAGCTTTTTTTTCTTTCAGCACTTTGAACATCTCACTCCACTGCCGTATGAGTCCATTTTCATGCTGCTAATATAGACAAACCCAAGACTGGGCAAATTACCAAAGAAAGAGGTTTACTGGACTTACAGTTCCACGTGGCTGGGGAGGCCTTCCAACCATGGCAGAAGGGGAAAGTCACACCTCACATGGTGACAGAGAGAGACAGAAGGAGCTTGTGCAGGGAAACTCCTCCTTTTAAAACCGTCAGATCTCGTGAGACTCATTCACTATCACGAGAACAGCATGGGAAAGATATCTGCTCCCATGATTCAATTACCGCCCACCAGGTCCCTCCCGCAACAGTGGGAATCCAAGATGAGATTTGGGTGGGGAAACAGCCAAACCGTATCAACTGCCCTCTGACTTCCATCATTGCTGAGGAGAAGACAGCCATCAGTCCTTTTGGGTTCTCTTGTACACGGCAACTCGTTCCCACTTTCTGCTTTCAAGATTTTCATGTTGGCTTCAAACATTTGTACTATGACATGTGTGAGTGTGAATCTCTTTGTATTTATCCTACTTTTGGGATTCATTGAACTTCTTTGAGAGATTCACATTTTTAAGCAAATTTGGGAAGTTTTCAGCAATTATTTCTCTGAATGTTTTTCTGCCCCTTTATCTCTCTTCTCTCCTTTTGCTTTCATTATGCATATGCTGGGGGGCTTAAAGGGTTCACATATTTCTCTGAGGTTCTATTCCTTTTTTTCAATCTATTTTTATCTCCGTTTTTAAGATAACATAATTTCTACCAACCTATCTTAAAGTTTGCTGACTTTTCAGTTCAAATCTACTCATGAGCCCTGCCAGATGTTTTTTGGCATTTCAGTTATTTTCAGCTCCAGGATTATCATTAAAAAATAATTTCAATCTCTGTATTTTTTTTTATTTGATGAGACATTGTCATGGTTTCCCTCACTTCTATGAGCACAGTGTTGTTTAGTTTTTTGAACATGGCTGTAATGTCTGCTTTGAAGTCTCTGTCTACTCAACATCTAGGCCCTCCTGCTAGTCAGAGTCAAATTAAAAAAAAAATCTAGGCCCTCACAAGGCAGCTTTTGTTTCCTGTGTTTTCCTCATGTCTCATTTTCCTGTTTCTTTGAATGTCTTTGCATGTCTACATTTTTGTTGAAAATCGGATGTTTTAGGTAACAGTATACAAACTACATGCTGATTCCTCTCTTCCCTCTCTGTAGCTTGGTTTTGTTGTTTTGCTTATTTGTTGAGTCACTTGGCTAGACTATTTCAGTGAAGCTTATTTCCCCTGCAGTGTGAAGCCTCTGGGGTAGTTCCTTGGAGGACTCAGCCTTGGGCATGCACGCAGCCAGCCTGGGTTGTGGTGGTTTTGGTGGGGACACTGGCTATCTCTTTCCTTGATCCCTCTGTTAAGCTATCTACCTCATGCGGTATCATATCTACCTGTTAAGCTCCATTAATTACTAACTGATTGCTCTATGATTTTCAGTAATGACCTGGGCATACATTTCTTCAATGTCTGGTCCAATTAAACTGCAGCAGTGAACATTTTTTAAGGCCAGTCTCTGAGGTTTGTTTTAGCTCCAGGAGGGCTTTTTTTTTTTTTTTTTTTTTTGAGACTGAGTCTTGCTCTGTCACCAGGCTGGAGTGCAATGGCGCGATCTCAGCTCACTGCAACCTCTGCCTCCCGGGTTCGAATGGTTCTCCTGCCTCGGCCTCCCGAGTAGCTGGGACTACAGGTGTGTGCCACCACGCCCAACTAATTTTTATATTTTTAGTAGAGACGGGGTTTCACCATATTGGCCAGGATGGTCTCGATCTCTTGACCTCATGATCCACCCACCTCGGCCTCCCAAAGTGCTGGGATTACAGACGTGAGCCACCGCGCCCAGCCGAGGGCTCTTCTTAGTGTCACCTTGGTTCTCTCTAGCAACCTAGCAGGGCTATGAATTAGTTTGTTGATGATGTGCTGAATTGTGTCTCTACCCTCGAATTCGTATGTTGAAGTCCTAACCCCCAGCGTATTAGAACATGATTCTATTTGAAGATAGGCCCTTTAAAGAGGTGATTAAGTTAAAATGAGTCCATGGGGGTGGGCCGTATTCCAATGTGACTGGTGTCCTTACAAGAGGAGGAAATCTGGACACAGAGACACAAGGAATGAAAAAAGACCACGTGAGGACACAGTGAGAAGGGGGCCATTCACAGGCCAAGGAGAGAGGCCTCTGAGGCAACCAAACCTGCCAACGCCTTGAGCTCAGACGCTTCCGCCTCAGAACTGTGAGGGAGAAATTTCTGTTGTTTAAGCCCCCAGTCTGTGGTGCTTTGTTCTGGCAGCCCTCACAGACCAATTCATTGCTCCTAATTAAGAGGAACAATCATTTCAGAGCATGCCTTCAGGCTTGAATGTTTCCACGCTGTTTCCAATAAAGCCAGTTCCTTTGGGAAGAGCTTCAGAGCAACCTTTTCTTCCCTGTGGACTGCCCTGCTCTCTGGTCTTTTCAGTTTGCCTCTTTTTACGGAACTGCGTCCTACAGTGGAGCTGGGCACAGCAACTGGATCCCAGCCTTCTTAGCCCGCTGTTCTTGGGCTAGAGCCCCATCCGATGAGTAGGGACTGGCTGGAGGAAGGGGGCTGTCCGTCATGCTCACCAGGAATTTAGCCTCTTCAACTGGGTGCTGGGGTGAGAAATGCTGGCATCTGTCCCTCCTGGTGAGATAAGGGGACCCTCGGGTGGGAGCTGAGGGGAGAGCGAGCCCTGTCTCCTTGGCCACAACCACCAAGAGTGGGGCTTCTGTCAAGATGAGCTGGGGTGGGGGAAGGAGGGAGCCACAGATGATCATTATTCTTAGGGAGTTTCAGCAGACTTTCTTGAATAAATATTTGTCATCTGATTTTTGCTGTGAGGACTATGCTCTGATTTTTTTTTAACTCTTACTCAAATTCCTATCTAAGGGGTCTGGGGAGTCATGCCCTACAAATCATAAATTCTTATCAGATGGGTTTTATTTAACCCTATATATTGTGACTTGCTTTCCAAACCTGACTCGTGCATAACATTACGAGACAAGGAAGAAAGTCAAAATATTTTACCCCAAAAGCATGTTTCTTTGCCATATTTTGAAACGGTCCTGCAGAGCTGTCCGTTGTTGGGAGACGTGTACATCTGTAAAGAATCTCTGTTAACATGGCTAGATCTTTCTTCCAGGCCCTCCCAATCCTGAAGAAATGAACTAGAGTCTAGCACCTTTTAAAGATCTAAATAGGAAACATTTGTCACCTATTGTCTCCAAGGGCAGCCACTATGAGGCTTCAAAAGAACCTTGGTCTCCACAGTCTTTTATCTTAACCTGAACATTTCCTTTCTACTGATCCCAGGTCTTCGGAGAAACTCAACCAATTGTCAACCAGAAAGTGTTTACATTTACCTAGAGCCTGGAAGCCCTCCCCCTGCCCTTTGAGTTGTCCCGCTTTTCTGGGCAGAACCAATGTATTTCTTAAACGTATTTGATTGATGTCTCCTGCCTCTCTAAATTGTATAAAACCAAGTTGTGCCCCGGCCACCTTGGCACACGTTCTCAGGACCTTCTGAGGGCCGTGTTACAGGCTGTGGTCACTCATATTTGGCTCCGAATAAATCTCTTCAAATATTTTACAGAGTTTGACTCTTCGTTGACAGCTGTTCGCACAATTTCCATTAAAACCTGGGTGGTTTTCCCCATTTTGCGCGTTTTGCTCAGGTTTCCGGGGCTCCGGTCCCTGCCACCCCGGGTGTCCCCGGGCGGTGTTCTCCCTCCATGGCCATTACTGCGCTTGAACCACCGCCCTCCACAGTGTGACATTTTCAGAATAGGAATGTAATCTCAGCTTCCCACCCTTCTCACAGGCCCTCCGACGGTGGCTCCGTGCCCTCAAAAGAAGGATGATCCCTTCCTGGTCCCGCCTGACCCGGGGGAGCTCGGCCCCTGCTGTGCTGTCAGCCTCGCCCCGGCCGCCCGCGCTGACCCCCGCCCGGCTCACAGCACCGCTGGCCGCAGCCTCTCACCGAGAGCTCCTGCCCTCAGCCTCCAGCCGGAGAAGGACTCCCCATCCCAGCAGAGCTCAGCTCAGCGGGCACGCGCACGACGCAGAAATCCTTGATTTCTCAGGTTAGGCGACGGCTGAATTATAAACACGGGTAAGACCACGCACCTCCACTTCCCAGCGTTCTGTATTTTACAACCATTCTGTGTTTATTTCATTGATCTACTTCCCGGATTCAACGGTATACTCCAAGAGGGCAGTGACTAGAAGAACTTTATCTGTCCCGGCTTCGCTACTGTGCTCCCAGCACGTGCACAGCACACAGCAGACAGTTTTAAAAGCCGCGGAGGCCCCGGGTGGGAGGGGAGAGGAGGCCCCGGATGGGAGGGGAGAAGAGGTCCCGGGTGGGAGGGGAGAGGAGGCCCCGGATGGGAGGGGAGAAGAGGTTCCGGATGGGAGGGGAGAGGAGGCCCCGGATGGGAGGGGAGAAGAGGTCCCGGGTGGGAGGGGACAGCAGGCCCCGGATGGGAGGGGAGAAGAGGTCCCGGGTGGGAGGGGAGAGGAGGCCCCGGATGGGAGGGGAGAAGAGGTCCCGGGTGGGAGGGGAGAGGAGGCCCCGGATGGGAGGGGAGAAGAGGTCCCGGGTGGGAGGGGAGAGGAGGCCCCGGATGGGAGGGGAGAAGAGGTCCCGGGTGGGAGGGGAGAGGAGGCCCCGGATGGGAGGGGAGAAGAGGTCCCGGGTGGGAGGGGAGAGGAGGCCCCGGATGGGAGGGGAGAAGAGGTCCCGGGTGGGAGGGGACAGCAGGCCCCGGATGGGGGGGAGAAGAGGTCCCGGGTGGGAGGGGAGAGGAGGCCCCGGGTGGGAGGGGAGAAGAGGTCCCGGGTGGGAGGGGAGAGAAGGCTCCGGTGTGGGAGGGGGGAGGGGGAAGGGGGTAGGAGGTCCCTGGTGGGAGGGGAGAGGAGATCACCAGGGAAGTCCAGGGGTGGGAGGACAGAGCAGGTCCACCACCCCTAGGTCCTGGAAGCCTAGACGAGAGGGGACAGGTCACGTGGGACGTTTGCGTCCAAAGCTGGCTACCATCCAGTGAAAGCCTCCAGCCCACCCGATTCTCCCAGGCCTCCGCGTGGAGCCTCTGAGGGGGGTCCCTCCTCCCTCCCCCCACTCAGCCGCACTGGGCTCTGCAGCTGCCGGGTCCGTCGCTCCCAGAAGCCCCCCCACCGCCCGCTCCCCGCCGGCATCGCCTCTGCTTCTGGCCTCCTCTCACTGCCCCCAGTGACCAGCACAGGAGCGGGCGTTGGGGAGCACGAGGGGGTGGCTCGAGGCGGGAGCGAGGGGCAGGAAGAAATAGCAGGAAGACCCAGGGGCAGGAGGCCGGTGTTCAAGCGTCGAGGAACGTTTCATCCCTTCTGAATCCCAGGCCTCGCTGGACCACGGACCCGCCAGGTTCTCCCGCAACTTGCGGAGCTCCTGGACCGGCCCTTCCCAGAGGCGCAGCGCTGAGTCCCAGGAGCAGGACCTGAACCAGGAAGGGGAGGGGCGAGCACAGTCCTGCCTCCTCCTCCCCGCACAGTGCTGGGGGAATGACCCCCACTGCCTTCTTCTCCTCCCCCAACACTGCAGGGGGAATGACCCCCACTGCCTCCTCCTCCCAACACACTGCAGGGGGAATGACCCCCACTGTCTTCTCCTCCCAACACACTGCAGGGGGAATGACCCCCACTGTCTTCTCCTCCCAACACACTGCAGGGGGAATGACCCCCACTGCCTCCTCCTCCCAACACACTGCAGGGGGAATGACCCCCACTGTCTTCTCCTCCCCCCACACTGCAGGGGGAATGACCCCCACTGTCTTCTCCTCCCCCCACACTGCAGGGGGAATGACCCCCACTGTCTTCTCCTCCCCACACACTGCAGGGGGAATGACCCCCACTGCCTCCTCCTCCCAACACACTGCAGGGGTAATGACCCCCACTGCCTCCTCCTTCCCCACACACTGCAGGGGGAATGACCCCCACTGCCTTCTCCTCCCCCAACACTGCAGGGGGAATGACCCCCACTGCCTCCTGCTCCCCACACACACACTGCAGGGGGAGTGACCCCCATATTTTAATGCAGTGGTTTCTCTGGTCACTCACGGTCCAGCACTAGCACGCAGCAGTCGGGGAAATGCTGTGGGTATGAGACGGCCTGGATTTTGAAGGCGCTGCATGAAAAAGAATGTAGAGAATCTGAATGCATTTTATGTATAGATTGCATGTTGAAATGATGCTGTTGGGATATATTAGGCAAAATAAAATATATCACAATTTATTACACCTCTTTCTACTTTTTTCATGTGACTCCTAGAAAATGGATGGTCTCTGAAGGGGCTGGTGTCAGGTCTCGAGGGGACTGAGCTGCTCTGAGCCTGTCCCGTGTCACAGAATGTGGCCAAAGGTTCCAGGAGAGTCGGTGGCAGTGCTGGACGGAGGCCTCGTCTCCTGCTGCAGCGTGTTTGTAATACATCAGGTCCGTATCACTTTGTTTCCAAGCTTATTTACGTAGCAGCTGTTGGCTAGGCATGCACATAGGCCAGGAGAACAGTGGCGAAAAGGCCAGCTCACGCCTGGCAGAGGTGACAGGACACGGTGTGCGACGTGATCGCGGCGACCATGTGGCATCGTTGGTTAGGAACATGGACACCAGCTTCTCATGGCCCCAGTGCCAAGGACGCCCTCCCTGACCAGACCCTGGGCTTCTCCACGCCCTTTTTCAACTCAGCCTCAAGTCTGCATCGCCGTGAGAATCCCCCACGCCTGCGTCCGACATCTGATCAGTTCTGCGTCCCCCGCCAACCCCCAGGTGATGCTGGGTTCCCCAGGCCTGACTTTAGGAAGACTCCCCATGGGTCAGTTTAGCCTGAGTGCCCTCCAGCCTTGCTGTATGCAGAGTTGAGTCCAGCTCCAAACTGCGGTGTTTTCTTCCCCCTATTACAAAGTTCTGGAATCCAACCTGCTTTACCACTTTAATGACTCTGGCTCTGCCCATGTCATTAGAAACCCTGCCAAGAGGTGTGACAAATCTGTGTCTCCACCTGAGACAGCCAGAGGCCCCGTGTATGTACACAAGTCAGCCCCGCAAATGGTGTCCTCAGGAGCAAAGAATATTCAGGGCGGCCCATGTCCAGTGCTGCCTGAGAAACTCCTCTTAGAATATGAGGCTGAGACAAATTCCCTCCGGAAGGTGCTTGCGTCTTGCTCCTCTTCTGAATACATGCAACTGGTATGTGGTACCCAGCCTCCCCGCGCAGCACGGCCTCGCAATGCAGTCGGCCTGTGTGGTCCTCACCTTTGCACTCTCCTCTTCCTTCATTTCCTATTTTTGTTTGTATTCCACCAATCCCTTTTCTTGTCTTGCTACAAGAATTCTTGAGAGAGATCTGATCAAATCATTTATAGACTGCAGCCTCCAGCTGTCTGTGAGCAATCCGTCTACTGTACTGAAGATAGCATTCCTCTATGTTTTCTTGCATGGAAAGCTAATTTCAGAAAGTTATATTTAGTAACACTAAGCAAGATGTAACTGGATGACTTGCAGGAGGGAAAGTATATGCAAAAAGTGAATTTTTAATTCCACGATTTCATCCAGTTTATTCCAAAAAGTCACACAACCCCAAAGATACATACTAGACTTCAGATTGAGAAGAATTTACCCAACAAATATTTATGGGTGCCTAGTCTGCGATGGGTGACGTATAATTAAAAAACTGGAAAGAGAAATAAACATCTCACATCACAGGAAGGAGAGGCTGCTTCATTAAATAAGTCACTCTTTGTCCACAAAGACTTAGAGGGCTCTGGACAGTCTCTGCATCGATGTCAGCAATTTTCCAATATTTAGGTAATGGCAGTTACAGAAATCAGACAAACCCAAAGTCCCGAGACTCCCTAGCTATGCTTCGCCTGTTCAGAACATGGTACGTATTTTGCTCAACTGAACTAGGCTGTTTTTATATTTTGGGATCTATTCTCATACAAAAAAGATTGACGGGAGGAAGGTGGAACATTTTTAAAGCCATACAATTGACTCTATGGTTTCCCAGGTCTCTCTTTGGGCTTAGATTACTTAATATCTTATAATCATTTTTAAAAGTTCCAAGTTGAAGTTGGAACCACTGTCTCCAATTTAACATTCATTTAAGCCTGTAGTCCCTATAAAAGAATAAAACGTAAGATTTAGAAGAGCAGAGAAAAATAAGATCTAACCCACTGAAGACATGTGAAAGTAGTTTTCAAACAGAAAGCCATGGTTACCAATTTGTTTGAAAGCCAAGCTGAGTTTTGTCCTCTTTTCTAATCTGTTCTTTGGCATCTCTGTAGCTATGCAAACAACTCTAGAGCTTACCTGTGCCCACCCCAGCCCATGCCTCCATGCTCTCCTATCTGGGTGGCCACACCACCATCTGGTTCCTCAAAGCCTCCAACTCCTGCAGGAGCCTGCTCCGGGCTTCCATTCCTTCCCCTCCCATCCCGGCAACCAGAGCGACAGCCACTGACATCACCTGGGTGGCCCCAGCCCCTCCTAGAAACCCTGCAGAGGCTTTGCACTGCGTGAAGAAAACAAGTCACATTTCCTGCCATGGTCTTAGAAAATACACTCTTTTACCACCGGGTAGTGCCAGGTGGCCCCTGGCTCTCTCCAGCCCCTGCCTGCACCCTCCTGTTCTGGGGCTCTGGCTCTGGGCTCCCCTGATCTTCCTGAGGTTCCAGCTTATCTGCCTCAGGCTTCTCCTTCCATCTGCAAGGCTTCTCAAGATCATCACTTTCTCAAAACAGCCTACCATCTCCCAGGAACTTTATTAGACCTCCAGGTGTCCCCTGCACTTCTTTACTGTTAACAGTTACTATGTATCTGCATATGTAAATGGAACATGTGCTGCTGCCTCCTGGAGTGATGCTCCCTGGGGGCAGAGCCACGCTGTTTCAGGACAGCAGGTAAGCGCTGTGAGACCCGTCACCATCACTGAGGCAGGAGGCACCCGCAGGCTCCCATAAACATCTGCTGAATTAAACAAGAAACTAGCTTCAATTCCCAATCTCAAGTCTAGTATGTCTCTTTTGAGGTTATGTGATTTTTGGAATAAACTGGATGAAATACTGGAAATAACAAAACTATCACTTTTTGTACATCCTTTCCCTCCTCCAAGTCACTCGAATTAAATTTTGCTTAATGTTTACTAAATATAACTAAATCTTTGAAATCAGTTTTCCACTCAATAAAGGATAGAGGAAATTGTGTCCAACGGCGCACACCAGAAAATGATCAAGTGCTTGCTGGTCCGTATGACAGACCACTGTAGGGCAGTACCATTATTTCCACTGACAGCAACAGAAACACAAGGCTTGAGGAGAAAAAGGAATCTGTAATAATACTCAGACTTCCTAAGTTTTTGTATTCCCAAACATTAAAGTCCCCTTTCAAGCATTAAAATATAGTAAAAGTGAATACTATAGTTCTAATACACAAACATCTCGTTCTATCAAAAAGGTCTCCACAAGTTTCTACAACCCTAAGACACACTCCTTCCTTCATGAACGTCCTTATTTTTACAATACATGGACTACAGTCACCCTGCTGTGCAGCACATGGATCTGAAAACCTATTCCTTTTGTCTATCTGAAACTTTGCATCCTTCAACCAACAACTTCCCATCCTTTTCTCCCCCCATGAAAGCTCTAAAAATTCTCCATCCCTGCCCTGTCCCATCCCCCTGCTCACAGGCCATTAAAAGGTCCACTGGAAATAGGCAGAGGCAGGAGATGGCGCAGAGGCAGCGCTGAGCCCTGTCCACACAGAAGGTCCCGCCCGCACATGCCCAGGCCTCCCGCAGCTCCCAGGTCCTCACAATGTGACTTGTGTAGTTTTACAATCAAACACACCCTTTTACACGAGGCCGTCCCGAGTGGGTTCTTGCACTAGGACGCTTCTCACCAGGATGCCTTATGTACACCATTTACTTATTACTACGGATATTTTATTTCAAAGGGGCCACCAAGAGACAGTGTCACTGAGAAATGGCTCGAATGCCCACCTAAGCTTGCTGGGATCAAGGAAGCATCAGGAAGGCCTGGGCAGCAGAACGGCTTATGAGACTCAGACACCACCCGTGAGCTGTGTGACGAGGCACACGACACGTCCCCACAAATGAAAACCACTGCCTGACACAGAAATCATACTCAGTAAGTGTTTAATGAAGAAGAGACAGATGGAAAGAGATGGGCGAGGAAGGCTGATGTTACAAATATAAACTTTGTCAGCACTTTCAAAACAATAGCAAATACACTTAAATACATACAAAGTTTATTAAAAATAGGTTGCAACTGAAATACAGTAGAAATGGAAAACTACAGCAGTTTTGATGTTTTCTCATAGTAATGCAGTTCTGAAAAGCACTTTTACACATATTCACATTTGACCTCACTGCCCAAAGATGGCCAAATCCACTTGTGTATGGGTTTCACAACCACACATACAAATATCCCTGTATGTAGATATTTACATGTATCTGCATGTTCTCCTGTGTATTTTTCTATATATTAACAGAAAAGTAATTCATCTGCATCTCTTTAAAGAAAGTGTGGATTTAGTCACCATAAGGCTGCCAGTGTCCTCAAGATATTTGGGAGGTGCCTGCTTTTCCTAGAACTTCTGCTGCAAGCAAGCAAATCCTTCCTAAACACTCAGAACCATTCACTCTCTTACTCAAACAAGGAAATGGTAAGAGCACACTTTCAAATAAAAACCCTGATAGAGGTAAAAAAAAATATTTACACTCGCATTTTTAATGATTTATCATACAACTTTTATTAAAAGTGATTTCGAAGGCAGTAAAAAGCCCCTATACCTCTCTTTGAAAGTGTGCCTATTTTCCTAACATATGTAAGAGAACATTCTCTTTGAAAATGTGTCTATTTTCCTAACATACGTATGTGTAAGAGAACATTCTCTTTGAAAGTGTGCCTATTTTCCTAACATACGTATGTGTAAGAGAACAATATGGTACAGAAAAATCATTTGGACTCCACCAAGGGCTTTGTCAAATAGAAAATTTGCTTGTAATCACAAAGTAATTTATCATCTTAACACCAGACAATATAAAACACACTGAGGTCCGTCTCCCCAACATCAGCCACATATCCATAGCTGAAGAAATGACAGTGGTAACTAATAATTCAACAAATTAAAATTAAATAACTCTATTATAGTATAAAAATAGCTTGAACTTCCATATGAGTTATTCTTACAATATTTAAGTTACAGATGCCCTGTAACTGAATTCCTTCCTTGACGGCATACAGATGAAAATCGATTTCTTTTTCAAATTTAAAATTTCTGAGTGACAGCTGTGCTTGAGGGGTCCCTACTCATCTCCCATTCTTCTGTCATTCCCAGTCACATGAACATTGCTCCAATAAAGATATCTTCTTTTACAGACGCCTTGGAGCGAAGTATTAGTGAACTTTCCAAGGTAACTGTCATCTTTAAATTTAACAGTGATTTATTAAGTCTAACAATAATCTGGTATTTATAAAAATAAAATCCCCTAAGCTTAAATCCTCAAAATTTTCTTTCAGAATTAAAATTAATCAAATATTTAGAATTGATCAGAAGAGCTCAAATTTGCGAGGAATGAGATGGAACAGTCTCGGACGTGCGTCATCACACAGGAAGCTTTGGCCTAAGCCACTTCACGATGCAGACTAGAAGGATATTGTGGGAACAGACACCATCAGGGGACATGGGAGGAGCATGTCGTCATATGTTCCTTCCCGGGTAGAAGAGCGTGTGGTCACTACTAAACAGTGCCAACAATAGTCTGAATAGTTCAAGCTATTCTCTGCTTGACAGCTAAAATAAAGTTTCTGAAAAAAACAGAAACAGAACTTCTTTGTGCTCCTCGGTCGATGATGAGGGGAAGATGGGAGAGAAGACACATCCATTCTCTTCTCCTGCCCTTAGTTCTGTCCCCTTTGAACTCAGGACTCCAAAAAAGAAACCAACAAAAAACTTACCCTCGTGTGAGTTAGATAATTAAGAAACTAGACAGTGTTTAAATTACATAAATGGCAATCTCATGGTAAAGTAAAATAAAATTTCTTGGAATTGAAACATTTCTAAATCCCAACAATTTTAGAAACAGAAATTGTAAATCACTTAGAAATATAACCCCCTTCCTCTTTTCCTCTTCAAACTCGCACCTACAAACCCACAACTGAAAAGATTTTGGGGTAAATACAAAGTGTTCTCCTCATTTTCTTTCACTTTGTGTTCAGTTCATTCTCCAGTTCTGTTAATTTACGAGAAGCTTTCACTTTATTGGATACATCTTGACCTTGTGAAAAAAGACGCTGGCGTTCCTTGAATGTCAAGTTTTCAGGGGCCCCAGAACTTCCAGGTGAATCTGCATCTTGGCTGCAGAAGAGGGCAATATCAAAGATTACTGGACAAACTAGAAACAACCTGTCAACAATTACACACGTTTGCAAAATGGGCGATTAAAATTTTCACTCATTCTTTGTTAAATTGTGCTATAACCTTTCTTATAATCGAAATCACAGGGGCTGTATTTAAACCCATCTAGAAAAAAAGGGCAACATGTTCTCTTGGCTACAACATTAACTTTTCCCAGTCATAGTCAACTCTCAAAAAACTTGTAAGTTAGATTTTAGCAAGCAGGTGACTCTTACCAGTTAAGTGTAACCTGAGGGGTACAGTTTTAAAATACAGCATTTTAAGGCATCTTACATGTACCTGAGAGGCATCTATAAATATGCCAAATTTAATAATAAGTTATAGAATAGTACTGATGATTTTTCTGGTGAGTTCAAATTCCATGTTTTAAGAACACTTGGGGCAATAGCATTCCTAATTACAATCCAGGTGAGGTCACAGAGTGAAGCCATGAAGTCTGTTTACATAATCTCAAGGTGTCGTGAAGAGTGAAAGGGCTCATCAGGTACAGATGAAGTTCCTCGTCTAGTGCAACCGTCCATACCTTTTAGAGCGCTTCTCTTTTGCATCCCGACAGGCGTCATGGGCTCCAACAGCTGCTCCAGTAGATCCTGGGTAAGAGTTTGGTCCTTTTCCATGAAAGAAACAGTACAAGTTAAAGTACCTGATTATTTCTAAGCTTTACTCATGATAAAGATGCAGTGCTCAGAGAATACAAAAATACCTTTACTGAGTAAGTAGGAAGGTAAAAGACCCCTCATATTGTATCAAAGTTTCATCAGTTTGAAATTCATCCCTGTTGGTGGCCTGAGTAATCCAATTACTACTCTCAAAAGGTGCTAAAATGTTGACCTGACGCCCTTCACTATGAGGGAGGAATACTGCCCACTGGCCCAGCTCTGCCTCTGACTGGCACAGCAACTCTGGGTGAGTGTAACATCAACCCATCGGCAACATTTGCCCTGTTCCTACTGGCTTCGGTGGATTGTTGAGGATCAAAAGATGTGATGCAGATACAAAGTTTTCAATGTATCCAAGTAATAATGTCACTAAGTGTATCCAAGTAACAATCAATGTTATATTGTTAAAATCATAATGCAGTAAATCAGTGTTAATGTATTTCTATTAATTGTAGCATTAGAAAAATTCACACTGGAAAAATCTGACAGTGTAATACAGGCTGCAGTAATAAATGCTCAAACTATTTAGCAAATACTGACAGCAATGAATATTGGATTAAACAGGCCACAAAAGTAGTACAATATTTTCACATTAAAATTCTTTTTCAAACAACTTGCACAAAAATACATTTTTGTTTCTCCTCTTCTACAAAAGGACCTGCTGTGCAGAACTCATCTGATGTGCTGCAGACGGGACACAGCTGCCTTTTGAAGGCGCCTCTCTGCACTGCACCTTCACTCAGGTTTCCCACCACCCTGCAGAGGGCGCCATCCTCAGCAAAGACTCAAAAGATTCAACAGAAACACATCTCCACCTTACGACAATTTATAGCGGGCCTTTAGATAAATTACCGCATGGAGACATTTTTTTCAATTTTAGTTCCAAATTTTTTATCTTGCTTAGTTTTAAAAACATTGTATTATATCTTTTGAGCTTTAAGAATGATACTGGCTTCTTCCACTGGTAAAACTAATTCTTCTGAATTTTCGGAACTTTTAGACTTAAGAGTATCAAATACCTTCAGCTGACTCTCTATGAATACTCCAAATCACAGATCATTTTCAAAAAGCTTTAGTAATGAATCTTTCATACAGTGCTATGTTCAAATCTGGCATTACTCATTCACATCCTAATGCTGCTCCTCTCACTGTCCAGTGGAAGAAGCCCAGTCCATCTGCAGAAGCATGCTTTACCAGAGTGCTCGCGACACAAACAGAGCTGAGCAAGGAATGAGACCATGCTAGTGAAATGAGGAGGACACAAGGTCGGAATGCGCTCTGCACACGGTGCAGACGGCTCTGTACATTACGAAGAAGTCTTCAAAGAGGTGGAGCAATCAGATGTCGGCTATGACCTGGTCCTGTGAGGTACTTCATGTGTGCGGTAAAATAAGGGTTAGTGGTAGGACTGAGAGCCAAGATGGTGAGTAGTGACACCTCATTATAATACTTGGCTACCAAACCTCACATTTCTGTCATGACACATAAAAAAATATCTTAGGTTCAGCTTATAAAATTCAATACAAGGAGACTGATGGCATCCTGCTTCAAAATTTACTATTATTCCGTAAATTTCTCTAAAAGGTACCAAATTGTAGATACTTACAACAGATATTTCATAAAATGATTTAATCCTGGCTTCCAAAGTGACTCAACCTAAATATTATTATATATTAAACCTTCAAAGTAGATCAAAGCTCTGATCCAGGGGGGCGGGGAAAGACAGAATTCTGGCAAAATTAATCTGTTATTTGTAAGGGTGACAGTTACACTGACTCTTAGAATATTTGACAATTTCAGAATTGTCGAGTCCCATGCATTGCTTATGCAGAATGATGCAGGATTTAGAAGACTCTCATACACTCACTAAAAGTAATACTCTTGTATTTGAAGATATTTAGTACCAGAATTCCAGTTTCATTTAAGGTAAGATTAGTGTGAAATCTGAATCCTTATGAATTCAGCTATATTTTAAACATGCTGTCTTGAAAACAATGACTACTGAACCCACGCCTGTGACAGCCTCTAGGCCCTGTCCCCTGCACAACTGTCCTGCTCTACAGTCAGCATAGGGGTTTCCCTAACGGCAGCTGCACGCCTGCTAAGGTCTGGCTGCTGGTGTTACTAGGTGCTAAGAGTGCAAGTAACAGGAAGGAGTGAAGCCAGTTAGAGGAAAAGGGGATGAGAGGAATTTCCCTGTAACGGGGGTCTCTGGACCCTGGCGTGAGGCAGCCTGCACGGAGGTCATGAAGCCAACAGTGAACCAGCTTAGCGGATGCTCCGGCCACACCAACCAAACCACCATGAGAGCGCGTGATCTATTCCACAGGCTACTTAATCCAGAACAGAAAGTTCTGCCAACATTAAATAAAGGAAACTTATAATAGAATTATAACCTTTGTCTCTAGAGACACTACAGCGTGTGAAAAGCACTTGTTCAAACAAATAGAAGATCATTGGTAGAGAGAGAAAATGAAAGCCAAGACCAACAGTACTTCAAGTGATTTGGGAACAACAGAGAAGGACTGATTGTCAGCTGATCAAAGAAATGGAACTTTTTAAAGTGTAAAAGAAATCGGAGTACTAAGATATCTACCAAAGAGTATTAGCACAGAACATCACAATCAGAGGCAGAGGAGGATCACCATGCCGAGACCAGTGATCACATGACATCCAAATTCCAAGGCAAGTATGATCGCCATGGACCATACTACAGGGCAAGTGTGCAGAGAGATGCTGAGGTTCCAATCATTAAGACAAAGAGAGCTGATTTGTCACTCTTTTACCTCTACCTTTGCAGTGGCTGGGATGGTAGGAGCTGGATTTTTTTGGAGGGGGCAGGGGCTGGCCTTTTTTGTGAGCAGTACTGTTGGCTTTGGCTGAGGGTGGCTGGAATGAGTTGGAGAGAAAGACGCCATCGGAGGCCGGGCGTGGCTGGCAGGGGGGTGGCCGTGGTTTAAGAGGGGCAGGAAGAAGGTCCCCATGAGACTTTCTTGTGCTGGAGTACTTATCCTGACCTGCTAGGCTGCAGTCCTCCTCCTCCTCCTCCTCATTGTATGCAACAAACTTGGCAGTGAACAGCGAGTCGGGGGAGAGGACCTGTGTTTTGAGGTAGGAGGCGTTTCGCTGAGGCGGGGGAGGAGGGGCGCCGGGCGCGGGGGACGGGGACGGGGGCTCGTAGTCCCGGGGAAGCGGAGGGCGGCACAGACCGGGCGCCTCGGGCTCCAGCAACCTGCGCGCCGCCTCGTCGTGCTGTCTGCGCCTCTCGGCTTCCAGGCGGCTGTAATACCCTTCTTCCTGTCGCCTCTGCGGGCGGGAATAGACAAGAGTGCAAAGGTCAGAGGTGAGAAGGGAACAGCCGACCCACTGGGCCTTCAAAGGGAACAATCCTCATCATCACACTGACGTCAAAGTTTAATAGTTACAATTACTATGTAACAGAAGCAGCAGGTCAATCCAGAGTCTTCTCCCTAGACTTACAAGTACATTAATACTATCCTGGATTATTTGACAGAAAACTGCTCAGAAGCATGGAATGGATTCTCAGCCTCCTGCTTCCCAGTCACTTATGCCTTTCCATTATCCCAGTGGACTGAATTCTCCTCTGCTTTCCTTCTTTCCTTCCTCCACGCTCCTGTTACTTCCTTCTCTCTCTCCTCTTCTGATTTTGGCAGGATATTAACTTACCTGTTACTGCTGTGTTTAAAGATAATGCAAAACTAAAAATAGGCTGTCACTGGCTTTCTATGGCCAGCACTTTCCAAAAGGCAAACTTGCACTCTTTTTCACTGAGCCCCCATGAATGCAGAAGAGCAGTCCTTCCTGGACAAGGAGGACATGAGTGAACCACCCTGTTTACTTCAGTTATCAGGAAGGAGATTAACAGGAAACCAGAAATGAAGAAAAAAAAAAAAACACTCATTCTCCCAAAGTAACAATCTAACAAATATGCTTTCCATAGTTCTTAACTTGTATTTCAAATCTTAAGAAACTCCCTAACAGACAGAAAATTAGAGAGCCAGGAACTAACAGCAACAGCAACAAGATATTCAAATATATTTTGACACATACTGTACATTTTTTTCTGACATACATCTGCACAAACTACAGTTGACAGTGTTAAAATTCTTTTAACATTAAAAAAGGTAACAGCACAGTTTTGTTAAAGATTGACAAAAGTTTTAGAGCACAAGAAAAAAGTAAATAAGAAGGGGGATGAAAGAGCAAACAGAATAAACTGCCTCGAGTAAATGTTTAATGCTGTGAAATGAAGTACAATGAATTGTAAATTTGTTCAACCAAAGAAAACTAATTTTAGAGAGCTTGCTGGCATTCAGTGAAAAGTTGTTAGTCCCTGTTTTCAATTTCATCCTGTATTTTCTCCCTACTCCCTCTAGAGCTACACACACACACACACACACACACACACACACACACACACACACACAGAGTGAATACGCAATGTCACTCCTTCACCTTTTGAGGGAGAAAACTCTTAAGAATAAATGCCAGCCCCAATTACTGCCCTGAGCCCAATTTTTCATTGAATCTTCTTGCTCTGTGTTTAGAAATCCTGAAGGAAAGACTCTCATCTTCTTGTCTACACAAAGTAAGTGTTCCCTTGGAGTGAGGAATAAACCAGAATGACTTCTTGTGGCTTTTAAATGGAACTATCAAGAATCTTAGTATTAACATGAAGAACAGTTGCTTGGTAACATTTTAGGAAGAAATCAAAATATCCTCTTTTAGTTATACCAAGAGCAGATACAATTACAAGACAACTTTATTCTACCCAACAAATGAATGGCACATTTTTCTATAACAAAGCAAACCCATGAGTTTTGGACATTCTGATATAAAAATAGGTTATTCGCCTTTTTACAGTGACCACTTAATTATAGAAGCAGTTACTAACACAAGTGTATTTCAAATAATCATGAGTTATGAAAACACATTGGAAAAATTAAATAACCCAAGAGTTTCTCAGCACAGGAAAAACATGGCCTGGTCCTCTCTGCATGTGCACTGTGCTGCCGTGACAACCCAGCTGCCCCCGCCGAGGCTCCGGCGTGGCCAGGACTGGGCCCAGCTATAGCAATGGGCACTGTGCACGGCCTGGGACAGCCAAGCTGGCACTGACCTGGAAAAGCACAGCCCTCCAAGCAGCCAGGGAGCGCTTTCATGGAACAGCAAAGCAACAGCAAAAACCACCAACACTTAGACATCAAGCGGCTCAGCATTTTGTAAATCTGATTTCCTTAGAAAGATCATCAATGTTGACTTACCATTACACAAGTGAAAGACTCACAGGGGAACCTAATCCTGAAAGCTCAAACTCTTTGAGAGGACTTCAAATGCTGTTCAGATTCAACAGATAATATGATGATAAACTTAGAGGGCAAAGGTCTACAAAATGCAGAAATCACCAATTTCAACAGAGGTGAGTGTCCTTACATTATTCACTCTACTCCATTTAAGTGAAGTCACATCATGTCTATCAAGCTTACTCTTAGATTGTTCTGTATCCTAATAGAGCATATCACTACAAAAAACTCCCTACAAGTTCTTTTCTGTGAACAGTACACTGTTCTATTAATATAGTTCACTAGACTATCCAAGAAGGAATTATTAATAAAAACTAAATTTTCCGCCATCAGAAGTTGTAACACTGAAAGCTTCTACCTTCATAGAAGGGAAGTAACAGAGAAGAGCAGCTTCTCTCAAACCACACAGAGCAACACGCAGTCCCCTCGGGATGAAACAGGCCCCCACAGGGAGCTCAACGGCTACAGCCTCTTCATCCAGAGGGCGTCGGCCACACACACAGGACAAAGGGAGATATGGAGAGAAACATCTCAAAATCCCCATTTCTCAGAATGTCAAAATTCGCTGTCATTTTAAAATTCAATTAAAAGGGTTACTTGATTTAAACACACACACACACATGAAAATAAATAACTTAGGATATTTACTGGATTACATACTAAATTTTCCTGTATCATGTTTTCTAAGCCATCTGCTCTCTTTACCATCAACCAGAAGTGAGTGATTTGAGTAAACCATCTATTTGAAATGTTGAATGGCAGCCAACTGTCTTACTACGCTCCTACTGCTTCCCACGGTCCACATGCCATTTAAGCAATCACTGAACCAATGTCACCTTCACAATGACAAGCTGGGCCATGTTCAGTAAAGATGAGTGCCCGAGGAAACGAACCCTTTGCAAAGAGGCTCACTGCTACACACGCCCAAGAGTTCAGAAGTTTGAAGGAGACAAAACTTGGCAGATAAGGGGATCTGGAGACAGTCCAGAAGAGAGGTAGGTGGGCCAGATGGGGTAAAGTTGCAGGTCCAATCACAAAGCTGGGGGAGCCAGGCCCTGCTCTGCCTCGTGCTTCTTAAGAAACACAGAACTTCCAGCCCGCTCTGCCCCAGCCAATCGATTACGTTCAGGCTAACTTGGTAAAATTCTAGCTGCCCTTAAAGGACCATAACCTTTTCTTCAGCGTCTCGTTTTGTTCGCTCCTCCTCCTGCCGCCGGCGCTCTTCCTCTTGCCTCGCTCGGTCTTCCGCTTCCCGCTTGCGCATCTCTTCTAACTGCTGCTGCCGCCTCCGCTCCTCGTCCTGCAACTAACAACAGGCTGACATTAATCTCCCTCCACAAACTCCACCAGCACAAGACATAAAATGCACACATTAAGACAAGTAGACACACATATACACAAACACACACACACAGAAAGTTAAATATAAAATACCAGGTTAAAATCACTGTTGGAAAATAAAACTTTTTACAATTTTTTAGCTCTACAATTTTAAAATAAATTACCTAAAAACGGTTGCCACAAATCCCAGTTATTCCTCCATTAATCATGGCTATAAGATGGAATTTATCATCTACATTCACACATTCAACAAGCACAATTCTTTTACTGGAACAAATTTAGTTAACCCGTTCATGTAAATTAACAGGCTCAAACAGGCCCCACTTGATGGACCTGCAGAACACACTGAAACACCTCCTTTCTCCTCTCCCTTTTTAATTTCCACTACGAATATCTTGTAGAAGAGGGAGGCCCCCACTCGCCTCTGCATAGGTGGGACAGAAGCAGCATATGTGACTCCAGTGGGCCGGGCAGTCGTCCATCTTTCCCGGGGACCAAGGCCTGCCACTCTCTCTCCTCTGCCCTTTACCATCAGCTCCCTCCAGATCCCACCCTGGACTTCAAGAATTCCCTCCCGACTCAGGACTACCCTACACTCTGCACCATGGACTCTGAACCTGAGATGGGAAGGAGCCCTATCTCGGCTCTCTTCTGTCTGGACCTAATGTTGACCTCTCAGTCAATACAATCCATTCTGTTTTCAGGTAACACTAGTCAAGAAGTTCTTATGTTAACAATTCATTACCTCATTGTTTCTCTTTTTGGTCATTCCAGTTCTGCCTTTTTGAAACAACACAGAAAGATACCTTTCCTTCATATCATTCAAATACTTAAGGATGTCCTTCAAATACCTAAGTCCCTTCTTTTCAATTTTTAGCTCCTTTATCCTTCTGCTCACATCTCTATGCACTATAGGTTGAAAATACCTTTTCTAAAGAGGAACCCTGGATTAACAACCAGTGCAGAACAGAAAGACTCTCCCTTTTGGTCTTGGATACACGCAGCTTTTCTGTTATTCTAGTCTAAGATAATGGTAACTTTGAAAACTGTGTTCTCCATTTACTTCTTATCTGGTATAGACCTGTGCTACAGGAACACCCACAGCTGTATTATCATGTGTCATGAAGAAGTAATCAATATTTATAGGATTAAAATGAAACTTAAAGCCATCTAGTTCAATCTCTAACCACTGCAGGAATCCCTTACATAAAATTCCTACGTGCTTCAATTTCTACAGAATTACCAGTTTGTCTATAAATTGTTTGTAGTAGAAATATAACAATGTTAAGTGCTGGAATTTGAATTGATTTTGTATGTATTTTTTTTTTTAAATAAAAATCAACTTCACTCTCCCTTGATTTCTGTGAAGAAAACACTGTATCTGGTGAGAAAGAATAAATTAACCTGTGTTACTAGGCTTTTTCATGTCAATAAACAATAATAAAACATCTTAGAAAAAAATTAAAATTGTCTTCTCAAAGAGACAAATAATTGAACTGTCTCTTTAGGACAACCTATCCATACCCCAAGAG
The DNA here is from genome assembly GCF_000001405.40 of Homo sapiens. NCBI lineage: Eukaryota > Metazoa > Chordata > Mammalia > Primates > Hominidae > Homo > Homo sapiens. Next base: position 167,960,865 of record NC_000006.12, on the reverse strand, counting down.
GGATGTTAGGATGACTGGCTTTTAGGGGGCTTATAGCAGGAGTAGATGCCACTAAGAACCCACAAGGAAGCCGTCGGTGACGCCTTGCCCTTGAGTTGACAGAACCAGCCACAGCTCCCCACAGGCTTCCTGCACCAGGGGCCAGAGCAAAGGATGGAAACGTTCAGCAAGGATTTCAGGGGTCAAGAAAAACTAGGAGAACTAGGAGAAACAGCGCCAAACAAAAATAGCAAAATAAAGCAAGTGAGAATATTAAATATTCTACAGAAAAGTAATTAGGGTAGAATGTAAAATTGCATTAATGCAATATGGGCCTTTTCCTTATCCCACAAAGCACAAACTAATTTATGTTAATATTTTCTAGCCTCAATTAAAAATAAGCGCTGAGCAAGAAAGTGTTACACAATGATAGACCAATTAGTTCTTTTAAACAGAAGTATATTTTAAGAAATCAGAACAATTATTTTCATAATTTTTTATAAATCTGTAAAAACAGGCATTTTCTTCTTAAAAACCTCTATTCTTCTAAATCTGGAATGCGGTCAGCAAGGAGCCTCCACTTGTGTTCAGCTCATCAGTTACTATTCGTAAAGGAAGGCAAATCAACCAGCACCAATGTCATCAAGGCAGTTTCTTTCCACTCTTTGGCTAACTCACGTATTTCCATCTCCAAAACATAAATTGTTTTGTTCTTCAAAGCTATGTTGCTTTACTCCCACCATTCACAAAGCATTAATGAGAAAAACGAGAATCTCTTAATTTACTCAAAATAATAGCTTAAAACAGTACACTGAATTGTATGGGTTACTCACATTCAGTAACACTTAAAGGATATTTTAACTTAAATTACAAATTTAATCACCCAGCAATCCAGTGGCAAACTGCCTATTAGATTAGCACTTTGATTAAAAGAATGAAAAGTTACATGCTACCAAAATAGCCTTGCAGGAAGTGATCTTTGAGGAGAGTGCAGAATAGATTAAAAAATAACTATTACCCGATGAATCAAGACCATGCAGACTGAAAGTTATTCTAAATCGAGAACTACACTGGGATTTGAAAGCCAGTATGTAGCAAGCTTGAACCAAGGTTCTGCTATATGGGTAGTCCACATTCCCCAAAACAGGTATTTTCAGGTTTTATATACATATATATGTGTGTGTATATGTTGAGATCTGTGTGTTTATAATTTTGTATCATGAAAATGAAACTGGTATCTGAACATAAAATGGGGTCATAATACCCTTTACTTTTTGACAAATTACTGAAAACACGACTCTGTTAAAGCCCTTAAAAAGCCTTTTACTCTACAGACTTTTTCTGCCTATGCTCCCTCCCTTTAAAAATGTCCACCCTAAAAAAATTTTAGGGACAAAAACATGAAGAAAACACCTGATCATTTATTACAAATTAATGATTGAATCGGAGTACCTCTGGTAAGTGACATAACACCTGGTTTTTAGACCAAGCAAAAGTCTACTCTATGTCTTAGGGACCGATTTCCTCATTAGGAAACTGAAGTCCTCTCTCACAGTGGTAGAATGTATTAAATGACACAGGAAAAACCATCCACTGTAGCACCTGGTCCTCAGTAAGTGCTAGCTCCCTTCCTGTAGCACAGCCCACACACTTTTTTCAGATTTAAGTAAAATGACCATTTTATTAGAAGTTGTAAGATCTAGAGCTTAGCTGGTGAAACGCCCTTGTGGCAGAGACTTAACACCGTAATCCACAAGGAAGACAGTGTGGCTCAAAGAGGCCTACAACAGAAACTTGAAGTTCTTTTAGGGCAACTGTTTTACGCAATCATACAAACTTTGTATTCCATTCTGCAATATATACGTGTTGGTTTTAATACATATTTCTTCTCCTAATTCCTTGAGTAAAACTGAGACTTCCTGAAGATGCACTGTGACTACACTGTGGCTCTGATATTCTGGGCAGGGCCCATTTTCATTCTAGAGGCACTCCAATTTGAATAGACAAAATACAGTCTGACTTCCCCCAGATAGATTTCTCTGAAGAAACAATTCTGAAATTAGGCTTCCTACTAATTCCTGCTTGAAATTTTTATAAGGCTTTTAATTCAACCCCTTCTATACCTGGGATGCTCAAGAGGGGCATGTCCAATTTCTACAGTTCCACGCAAAAACAAGCAAACAAAAACAAGAAAGCGGAAGAGGAGGGAAGACCTAGCTTGGGCTTTCATGTAAGGAAAGCAGCAGAACCACGGAACTCTTTGAAAACATCTTTTCACTGGTATTATTACCCCAAGGGGGAGGAATTTCTCCTGTGAGTTCTCATGTTTTCTGAGTCAGCAGATGATCCATTAAAACGTGTTAACAAGACAAACCTGAGCTTAGCCACTGAGAGATTTGTCAAACCAAGTAAATTTCGAGAAAATGGTTCCTGCCACTACAGTGTTACAAAAAGAGGCATTTTTGTGTCCTAGAAAGGGCACGTAATATGAATTCAGAAAACTCTCGTTAAAACCTTCACTCTCACCTGATCCATGTGATACAAAGCAGAGTATCCCTTATCCAAAATGCTTGGAACCAGAAGTGTTTCAAATTTTGGATTTTTTATTTTTGGACTATTTGCATATATGTAATGAGATTTCCTGGAAACAGGACCCAAGTCTAAATATGAATTGATTTCTGTTTCATATACACTATATATATAGCCTAAAGGTAATTTTATAACATATTTGAAATAATTTTGGACATAAAACGAAGCTTTGACTACAACCTCTCACTGAGGTCAGGTGTGGAATTTTCTACTTGTGGCATAATGTCGGTGCTCAAAGAGTTTTGGATTTTGGATTCTGAATTTTCAGATTAGGAATGTTCAACATGTACTGGCAAAGTCTCTCCCATGGTGGGTTTGGGGACCCTGGCTCTCACGTGCTCTGTGTGATACTGGGTCAATCTCTTCCATGCTGGCTTAGGCCCTTGTGCTCTGCCATAGAATAGCTTTGTCATGAGGAAATGAGAGGAATATATGCAGTTATGTGGCAACCTGGAGCAATGAAGGCACGAATCACACACCTTGTCATCAGGTGGAAGGACTAGCTACTTCTCGAGGCTGCAGCCAGGCAAAGCTGCAGCCACAGTCACGGCCACCTCCATGGTCCTAACTAACCGGCTACTCAAGTTAGAGACAGGTTCCAAGGCTAGGACAGAGTACTCTGCCAGGAGAAAGCAGACATCCTGACGAATTCCAGGTGTCCTGGATTTGCCCATGCGATATAAAGGAAAAGCCCTAACGACACAATGGGCTTCATCATAATCTAGTGCTGAAGGAGATCCCTCCAGCAAGTCAGACTTTGGTTTGAACATGACTTACACACCATCTCAGTCATTAAAATAGGAAACAACCTAGTAACAGCTTTACTCTTGAGATGCTAACAGTCAGGAAGGTCACACACCTTCGAGAGCTTGGGACCTTGGCCTGGAATCCGATCCCACTCACTCGACTGCCTACCACACTCCAGAACTCTTCTAGAAACTTGGACAAAGGTCACTGTTCCCATGGAGGTGGCGCTACCCAGAAGAGACAAACATGCCTAATGATGAGTAATGTGTATAGCATGTCCACAGAAAAACACACAGGACACAGTGAGGCCAGTGGGCCCCTGATACAAAGCAGCATGGGCAGGTGGGCCCCCCCCATATGAAGCAGTGGGGGCAGGTGGGCCCCCCCAGAAAGGTGGCATCTGAGAGACACCTGCATGTGCCAAGAGGGTCAGCCATGGAGACAGGCAGGGACCCTCCCGACGGCCCAACATGTGGAGGGTCACTAGAAGGCAGGCAGGCAGGCTGGAGGGCCAGTGGGCAAGGGTGTGAAGAGGAGATGAGACCCGAGCAAACTTAGACCGCCTGTCTAAGTGAAAGGAGAGACTTAGGAGGGCTGTGAGGACATTCTCGTGAGACTGCTGTATGCTATGTCAAGGCTGTCCTGTGAAGGGACTGGGGGACAGTACCGAGGGATCCTGCCAGTCTCTCGCAGTGACCCCGGCAGGAAAAGGAGAGAGGCTCTGGTCACGGGGGCACAGAGATTGGTCAGGTTGTGAGGAGGTCAAGCCAGTAGAGTTTCTGAACAGAGAAAAAAGGGGGTCATGCATGACTGTGAGGTTTCTTGCCTGAGCAACTCGAAGCATCAGCTGAAATGGGGAAGGCTGAAGGCAGAATGATGAGCAGTGCAAGGTGAGTGAAGCAGACAAAGATTTCACTTTGAGCATGCTGCATTCCAAAAGTCTTACTTGACTCCATGTGGAGATGTTACATGGGCAGGTGGATATCTGAGTCTTTAGTATGTGAGAAGTTTGGACTAGAAATCAAATGAGGATATTGCTGGCATCAAAGTGGTGCTACCGTCTCAGGTCGGAAGTGAGCACAGAGGATGGAGAAGGTAGGCCCTGGACTGACAGGGGTGATGGGTCACAAAGAGACCAGAGGGAAGAGCAGAAACGAGTGCAGGCAGCCTCCCAACTTTATGAAACTCAGCTGCTTCCAAACAGGAAAAGACCTGCCTCATTTCTCTAATTACCTACCTGAAAATCCTGTGATGTGTCTAAGAAAATATCTTAAGAACCATACTGGGTAGTGTCACTCCCTATATAGTCACATATTTGCCCTTATCCTTATTAAGGAGAGGGCTAATATCTTCACAGATGAGGGTCTCCTAGGGTAACCTGCCAATTCTTACATAAAAAGAATTCTATAGTTTTTTTTTTTTTTTTTTTTTTTTTTGAGCCAAAGTCTCGCTCTGTTCCCCAGGCTGGAGTGCAGTGGTGCAATCTCTGGTCACTGCAACCTCCACCTCCTGGGTTCGAGCAAGTGTCATGCCTCAGCCTCCTGAGTAGCTGGCATTACAGGTGCCCGCCACTGTGCCCAGCTAATTTTTGTATTTTTAGTAGAGACGAGGTTTCACCATGTTGGTCAGGCTGGTCTTGAACTCCTGGCCTCAGGTGATTCACCTGCTCGGCCTCCCAAAGTGCTGGGATTACAGGCATGAACCACTGTGCCCACCCAAGAATTTTATAAATAATGAGGTGCTGTTAATAATATGTACTGGGGAACTGGGCTAAGAAATGCTCAGAAACATGTGGTTAAGATCAATATTAATACTCAAAATAATTATCTTCTAAAGAAAGAAACTCTCTGAATTATTTCTATGGAACAAAAACCTTATTGCAAGCATTATTTTACTGTTCATGTGTCACAGAATTCTTCATAGTATAAGAAACTCTCTTTGGGCCTGAGAGCTGGCTGGTATCTTCAATGCCTCAGGTCAGTGCCCACCGTGTCATGGATGCTGAGCAAGTATTTGCTGAATGAATATCTCACACTAAGGTGACTCTGATCAATATCTTCCAGCTACACTTATGTACATCAAAACACACAAAGAAGTAGGGAGAAAAATGTATAACTTTTAAATCTTTGTTTCATGTAAAAAAAAAAATGCAAAGCTCAGAAAATATGCCTTCCAATCACCAAGGAGGGAAGGTGTTTGTAAGAAAGGTTCCTCTCTAAGGTGTTATTACCGCTGTGCTAAACTGAGGGGGGAAGGAAAAGGGGACTATTATTTGGTGAAAAGGCCACTAAAGTCAAACCTTGATTCACAGGTTTTAAATGTACCGTCTGATATTGGCTTTTGTCTTTATAAGTTGACTAGAATTTGTCTTCAAGTTTATATAAATATATCAGAGTATAATTGTCTAGCAGGTGATAAAGATACCATACGCAAGCATAATGGGCCCTAAACGATGAGCCAAACTTCCCCAATATGACAATGAACACTTTGAATTTACAACAGACCATGAACCTCAAGTATTTTTCAGCAGACTGATAAATTGGCATGGCTGATAAACTGAATTAAAATCCATGTTATATTATTAAAGAAAACATAGAATACATGTTCACTGGAAATCTCTTACTCTACCAACAGACAGTTATATCTTAACTGGCAAATAATGTCAATACCCTTTCAGCTGAGTTTATAACAACTGAATATTTAAAATCTATGTCTAATGTGAAAAAAATGAAATAGATTACTCATTACAAAATTTATTTCATTTGCTCATGTATTTATGACTACGTAAGAATACACGGAATCAATTTATGACTGAAACCGAGAAAAGGTCAAAACCATAAACAAACAGTAACACTTAAAATTAACGGAGAAAAGCAAAGAGTAACTAAATCTAGGAACATTCAAAGGCATGCTTCTAAAGTGTCAGGGACTCCATCTCCTGATGGAGGACACCCCTAAGGAGAACTGGATCTACTGAAAACATCAAACAGCCACCACTGAAAGAAAAGAAAATCAAGACAGGAAAAAAGTACCAAAGGGAAAGAAACAAGAACATACCAAATCTAGAACAGAGATTGCTGGCATAGCAGTCTGCTGCAGGTAACAGAGAAAGAAAAAAAAAAAGAAAGATGAAGTGTGGAAAAAAAAGTTAGGTTTAGACCTGTAATCTGCCATCGGCATATTTTCTCACTATCATGCGTCATCTGTGTTTCGACAACTTGATGAGAAAGGTAAAGAACTACAGACTAACTTCTAGTATTCAGAAACAGAAAAATGCCCACATGGTATTAAATGAGTTTCATCATTAGGATACATAGAAAATAAAAAACAGCAAAATTTCCCTTAGCTTTCTTATTTGGAGACTAAGATACTAATTGTAACAGAACTACTAAGCAAAAAGCAAATATTTTTTACTAAATTTTCATAAGAAACTTTCCAAATATCGCAATTCATACTAAAAGGCTTTGAAATATTCAGTGTTTTAACCCATTTGGAAAAACTCTGAGAGACCTTTAAATAAAAGTTTAGTCCTCACAGAAAAAGATACTTACAGAAATACTACAAGGCTAATTTTTCATTATTGTCAGGATACAGTTATAACAATAAGAAATGCTGATACTGTTGACTCATTTGCCATACACAACAGTTGTATATTCAGAGTTGAAAATGCAGCGAAGGAAAAGACATCTTTTCATCTTTTGGGGTGTGGGTGACACAAGGCCATGAACGTCCTTAGGATCCTAACGAATCCATCTTAGTGCACCCAGGAGCGACACTGGCCAGAGCAGAGGAGCATGCACCTGGCGCCAGCAGGCCCAGCACCTTTCAGAGAGCTCTGATGGGGAGGGGAATGCAGAGTACTTTTAAAGTACTGTAATTTTTAAGCTACTTTTAAAGTAAAATAGCTATTAATGTAGTGGTTGGTTTTTCAAATAAAACAGTGCTTACAGTAAACACAGCTACTCATCAGGAAGTTTACTACTAATGACTTGAGGAATACTAATAAAAATAGTAGTAAAACAATGTAATAATTCACACTTTGGCCTCATTTAAGAAACTTAAGTGTCTAAGGGGATTCAAGCTGAATTTTGGGCAAAGTTTTATATATACACACATTTTGGCTGAGATATGTATATATTAAGAAGTATGTGTGAGAGAGACTTTTCAGGAAAAATTCACAGAGCAAATCGAAAAAGAATCACACTACTGGGCTCCAAGGATCTAAGGACTCACAAATTATTATCTAAGGTTAAATTTCATTGTGAGGTAGAAAGATTAAAATGTCTGACCTAATAGCTCCTGGTAGAGCTTTACCATTAACAGCATAAAAAAACAGTTGAAATTAGAAACAGAATCCAAAAGATAAAAAGAACATGGCTCTGGCCATCTTTTCTCAAAATATTGCACTGTGTCTAAAAAAGAAAAAAAAATCACTAAAACTCATGAACACAATATGGTCAATAGCATTCTCTATAAATTAATATTAATAAATGCCCAAATTAATAGCAGTAAATGCCTCTTAACAGTTCTCTTTATAGAGTAACAAAGTCTTGCTTTTATCTAAAATTTCTGCATCACAATTTATTGTGTTAAACGAATTTATACTTTTGTTAGTTTATTTAAAACAAAAATCATTTTCATACTGTGGAGAAATAAGAATAAAATCAGTTCTCAATATCTTTATGCTACAATTGGAATATAATTGTTTATTACCTTAACAAATGCTTGCTTCATCAACAGTACAACTACTGTGAAGATTCTATTTTTGGTAATGACTGTAAATGTAATGATCTGAACAGTTTCTTTTGTTCACCACCACAAAATGCTGACAAGACCAGGGGCCAGACAGTCATCTGCCCTGTGTTTCTGTAAATAAAGTTTTATTGGTACAGAGACACACCCATGTGTTTACTTGTGCCTGTGGCTGCTTTTGTGCTACAACAGCAGAGCTGGGGGTTGCCAGAGACCCCGTGGCCTGCAAAGCCTAAAGTATCAATCTGGCCCTGGAAGAAAAATTTTGCCTACCCTGGATCAAGATTATTACTGGTCATTAACAAATACTTGTTTTCTCAACTGGAAGTGTTAAGGAAAAGGATAATTATGAGTTTGCTAATGAAAACAATCAAGTTCCATTTGAATTGTATTTAATACTTGTCAAAGCATGTCTTAAAAAATTTAGCCTTATAGGCCTGACTCATTTCTCTACGACATCAGCCAAGAGTAACACATACAATAAAACAGTATAAGCCTAGGGGCCCTTTTAATCCTTATCACGATCAGGGGCCTAGCTATCCCCATGGGAAACACGCAGAAGCTAAAATAGGGACCACAGATGGGCACAGCCAAAGCACTCCCCCCTTTACCCTCGCTCTTCGTTCAGCCTCCAGGCGCTGCATGATCAGCATGGTGTCCACATCATCGTCCTCCTCCTCCTCGTCATCTTCGTCCTTCTGCTTCGACTCCTGGAGTCTCTTCTGGAACTGCCACTCCAGCATGAGCTTGCGCAGCCGGTCGCTCTCCTCGGCGCTGCGGTCCGGTTTGCTCTGGAGCTCCTGGATCTCCTTGCTCAGCATGTCCACGATGTGCATCTGCTGCTGCTTCTCCAGCTTCTCCTTGGCGTCCCGCTTCCACGGGTCGGGGGACAGACTGTCCCCCGAGGAAAGCTCCTCTTTGCTGACTGTAATGTACTGCAAGTCTCTGCGCTCGATCGTGCGGGGCTGCTGCTGAGGCTGCAGCTCCCGAATGACTGTTTCCTGTGGCCGCTGGAGTGTGGAAGGCTTTTCGGGCTTCATCTGCTGTGCAGTCAGGGGAGAAAACGGAGCAGGGTTTAAGGACTGAGTGCGCATCTGGCCCAACTTCCTCTCCTGCTCTCTCCGCTTCCTCTCCCGCTCCTCCTCCAGGCGGGCCTTCTCCTTCTCATACCAACGCTGATGTTCTTCTCTCTTTCTCCGTTCAGCAGCAGCCACCTGCGCAGACGGCAGCCCTATCTGGTTGGCGGAAGGGGGTGGTGGGAGAGGCAAATCCATGGACATTCCATCGAAATCACCGGCATAGTGGACTGGAGGTGGCGGGGGTGGCGGAGGCAGGTCTGTTCGGATTGGCTGGGAGACGGCCACAGGGGTGGCCGGTATGGCTGCTGGTGTTTTCCAACGGCCAGGGCCACTTTTGGTCAGTGTGGAAGCAGGGGTGACCGACTTAGAGGAATGGTTCAGATGCTCCTGGCTAGAGGTACTGGAGTCCAGTGAGGAGCTCTGATTTATCCACATATCACTATCAGACTTTCGGTCCATAGCTGCCTCTATTCGATGCCGCTCAAGTTGGTAAGCTTTATCTTCTCGAAGTTCTTCTTGGGAACGTGTAACACGCTGCAAAAAGAAAAAGAATTATTATATTTCAGCCATTTACTAGAAATTACCAAATATCCACAAACATTTTATCTTCAGACAGAAGAAAAACTGTTAAATCAGTGTACAGAAAGAGACTGAGACTGCCCTACAAGGCTCATTGGCTAATGTGGAGTAACAGTGCATTTATCTGTGTAAAGAAGGAAAAGCGGCCAAGCGTGGTGGCTCACGCCTATAATCCCAGCACTTTGGGAGGCTGAGGTGGGTGGACTGCTTGAGCCCAGGAGTTCGAGACCAGCCTGGGTAACATAGTCTCTGTCTCGACTAAAATTTAAAAAAAAAAAAAAAAAAAGCAAAAAAGCAAAGCTGTACTTTCTCTCTGCCTCGAGGCCCTTCAGTGCCAGTGCCCATCCTCATCCTCCTCACCCTCCTGTGTGCCCAGCACCATCTCCACTGCAGAGCCAGACATGTGACTTGGACTTCAAAGCAATGAGTGTGTTTATTCATAATATGTAAAAATCAACAACAGGTACTTCTCTAATTACTATGACGAGTGATTATTAAATCTTAACCATGTAACCATCCGTGACTTTCTGCATTTTACAAGCTAAGGACTGGCTTTCTGGGCTGACAGAGCTGTGCACAGTAATGCAAGGACAAGTCCCACACATCTGCGATACGTCCGCTCCAATACCAGAAAGGTCCAAAATGTATTGCTACAAATGTGTTGAACACAAAGGTAGGGGTATGTGTGTGTGTGTCTGTGAGAGACAGAGAGAAATGACACACACACACACACACACACACAGACACAGAGAAAAATGAGTATACTTTTTCCAAAGGGCTAGTCTAAAATCTGAGAAATGGCACATATGAAAGGAGTCTACTCAGATAAACATGATCACTATGAGGTCTGAATCAAGCATCTTTTTCCTGCCCTGTTACTGAATACAAATTAAAGATGTAAACCAGGAAAACAAATTATTTCCTTTTCCTTAAAAAGCAAACCAACAACAAAGATGAAGTATCACTTCAAAAAGCAGTAGTCTCACAGAAAAATGGAACATTTACTCCCAACATTTTGCTAGAGCTTTACTTAGTACACAGAGTCTCATTACTGGGGTATAAAATCTATGGACCACATAAAAACAGAGACTGTGCCTACCGCCGCTCCCTGCTGCCGGAAGGGCTGACCTGAGTCACTTCTCTGCTCCCTTAAGACTTTGCACTGGCCCCGGCTGCTGGCTCGCACTCTCCACCTCCTCGCTTAAACCCCATCATAACTTTTCATTCCACACTCTGGCCTGCCTCTCAGTTCCTCAACTCTCTCCTCTAGGTATTGTTTATCCATGTGAGGTAGAAACAAGTAGCAGCTGTATACTATAAATGTGAAGACGTAATGCCAGCCCCACACAACAGGAAATACTGTGCATAAAAATGGGATTCAATGTATGCACTACAAATTGGGTTGTCTTGACATATGGGAAGCAGATTCTCCTACGTTCTAACAAAAGATACTAGAAGGACTAGGGCACAAAATTACTCAATTTTTAAAGAGAAATTTGGAGAAAGACACCTTCTCCCAGATAACTCCAGCTTTTGGTGACAGAGTGCATCCAAAACTCCCAAGACTGGGCCGTTGCAGGTGATCAGGCCCACCTAGGAAAACAGCAGGATGGACCAGCACACCAGACAAAAGGCCAAGATGAAATCTCCTGATAGCCAACATCTGTGGCCTGAGGAGCATTTTCTGCCGTCAGAAAACAGGCTCCTCCTCATCTGTATCACAGCGTCCATCTCCTCAGTGCAATCCTCTCTCCGCTGCCTACTGTTCTCATTCTTCAAGGCTCAGCTCAAATTCCATCTCAACTCTGAATTCTGTCTTTTCCAACCACTCTAAGAATGCTAATCTTCAGAATTCCTAGAGCGTCTGCGATCCAGGGCATGTATTTGTCACAGATCCTAGACTGTAACTATTTTTAAGCATACCTTTAATTTCTTCTCCCAATCCTTCACCATACAAACAGTTATCTCTCTAAAAAGAAAACCACATTGGATAACGTTCCCCAGCTTAACTACTCAGATTGGCATCACCCGTCTACTAATGTGGACAAAAATCAAATTCCTTAGCTGTCATGTCAAGCCCTTCTGTCTGGCCCCGCCTATCTTCACTGCCTTAGATCTTGCCACCCCTTTCCCCTCTACCCAGGGTTCCTGCTGAACTACTACACATCTCTGTGCCTTTCCCTCCTCCTGGAAGGCCCTTCCGTGCATACAGCTGTGCCCAGGTTCTCGTCCAAGACTGAGAAGCTCCATCCCCTGCTGGGGCCTCTTCTCCCACAGCACTGACCATGCTGTGTCTGTTGTGTCTGTCTCATTTCCCTGCCACACCATGAGCTCCCACAGGCAGGGATAGCTCCTGATACAGTGCAAAATACACCACTTGAGTTCTAATTTCTCACTTCTAGAATCAGTGAACTTTGTCTTAAAAATTGTAAGGCCTTATATTCCTAACATTTTGTTAATCAAACATCAGAGAACAGATAATCCTTTTTCTTATTAAGTATTCTATCCTGTCTCCTTTTTTCCTCAAACTTAACCACAAAACCATTAAAGGAAAAACAAAAGGCCAACAATGCTGTTCTATAGAAAATATTAATTGTGTCTCAGAACTCAGTGTGTCCTCCTTGAGAGGTGAGAAAAGTGTGTGGAATCTTTGATTTCTAACCTGAATTGCAATACTGGAATGATTACTATCTGTGTGCATATGTGGCTTTTCCTCATAATTTGGCCACTGGTTCTGAGGAGGAGCCATCCGATCCTGGGATTTGGAAGCTGGGAAGGTAAAATACTCTCTGGTGTACGTCTGAGTGGGGATGGGGTAGGCTTCAGGTCTAGGCGGAGGCGTCTGCTCCTGTAAAATGTGAAGAACAAAAAAAGTGAGCTTTTTACAACCATACAGACTAACTTGATTTTCAATGATCTGTTTTAAAATTTAAAAAATAGTATATGTTAAATACTGCATTAAAAAGTGTTTGATCCATACTGAGAATAAATAACATTTCATTTTGCCCAGACTTATTAATTTAAAACTGATTTACCTGACTAGTATATTAAAAATCAAAAGATAAAACACTGCAAATTTAGAAATTATAATCAATGCTAATTCAGAGTAAAAATTGTACTAGATAACTGAGATGTCCAAAGGGAACCCTAAGGATGGAAATGCAGTAGAAGCCTTTTGCTTATCAATCAATCAGACCTCAGTGCAGAGGTTTCCAGTAGAGACAGATGTTATCTTCGCTGTTGTTCCAGAGGCATATGCACTTTTCCCTCCAGGACTAGGAGGCTGATCTGCTCAAGTCAGGGGGGAAAAAAAAAAGTGTAATATTAAATAAACAACCTATATATAACATGAAATTTCCTTAAAGACCTCATTCATCTTCATACTGCTAGTGAGTATCCAGCACAGAGATGAAAAAAAAAAATCAAGGCAGGTAAGAAATCAGGTCTTGTCATATCCACATCCATCTTTTAAATAATCAGAGCCCAGAGCTACAAAAAAACCTTTGTAGCTCTGTGTATCAGGCCAGGGACTGGTAAACATTTTTGGTAATAGGCCAGAAAGTAAATACTTTAGGCTTTGTGAGCCTTTGTCTCCTGCTGCATATCCTTCTATTATTTCTTCTTCTCTTTGTTAACAACCCTTTAAAAATGTAAAAAATATTGGCTGGGCATGGTGGCTCAAGCCTGTAATCCCAGCACTTTGGGAGGCCAAGGCGGGCAGATCACGAGGTCAGGAGATCGAGACCATCCTGGCTAACATGGTGAAACCCCGTCTCTACTAAAAATACAAAAAATTAGCCGGGCGTGGTGGTGGGCGCCCATAGTCCCAGCCACTCGGGAAGCTAAGGCAGGAGAATGGCATGAACCCAGGAGGTGGAGCTTGCAGTTAGCCGAGATCGCGCCACTGCACTGCACTCCAGCCTGGGCGAGAGAGTGAGACTCCGTCTCAAAAAAAAAAAAAAAAATGTAAAACATATTTTAGTTTCTCTTGGTAATTTACCAACCCCAAATAGAGATGTTATTAATGTATTTGCTTATGGGATCAACTGAATCTAAAGTTTTTCCATCTTAGTTTTTGTTAGAGAAATGTTACTTATGATATCCCTTATGAAAACCATATCCTAGTTAGCCAATGTTTGCAGAGAATAATTTTAATAATTAACAAACCACAAAGTGCCTCCTCTCACTTCAGACTGTGATCACAAGTGTACTTAGGAAGCAAAAAAGTGTCACTCTTACTTGCTACGTTGGGGCTGGAACGGTGATCAGCTCTATTTTTCATCAGTCTGTCATCACCAGGCAATTTCTTTGGTTCACTATATTCTGCCCAAGGCAGCTGAGGACTCTCAGGAGACCCATTTTGAGTTGAATTATTATAGAGCTCAAAGCCTTCACTCTTTGGTCGGGGTTTACCTGAGCCACGACGATCTGAAACTGGAATCAAAGCATATTCAGTATCTCTTAAGATTTTATTTTCAACACCCTGATTATCATTAAAATTCCATAAGAATTGTTCTTAGCATAAGAAATAAGGTGATAAAGGTCAATTCTTCCTACAGAATCATAAAACAGCTTTTAAGTAAATATACTGAGAATAAAGAAAATATTTTTACTTAATTAGTAATGATGGGAAGATAAACACTTTCAAAGCTTATTTTCTCATTAACTGAAACTTCACTATTTTAAGCAACAAATCTAACCATTTTTAAAGTATCTTTAAAAAAAAAATCAATAAAGATATATATGTTTCCCTGACTTTGTAGAAAAATATCTGAACTTTTAATCGCCCAGCGTCATCGTTCTGAGCAGCCGTCATGTGACGTGAGCCTTCCGCTCCTGGCGGCCGCTTCTGTCAGTTCTCCTCCTTTTTGCTTGCTCACCCTGGTTTATCATCTACTATTCACAGCTTCCCTCTGTGATTTCTAACTCACATTCTAGTTTGCTTCTTTTAAATGACCACTAACTAAGAAATTAGACAACCAAGATGTTAAGTTCTACGTGACATAAAAAGTAAACAACATGCTGAGCAAGGCAGACAATACCACACGAGGTTTTGTTGAGCTGCCCCTTGGGTGGTGTGTGTTTGCTTCAAGAAGCAGCAAGTCACGTTCTCTGATGCCTTGGCTGTGGCTGTGATTTGTTACTATTAGGTACCAACTTGAGGTTCTGGGTTGTGAGGTTTCTAGAATCCTGCCTTACGGAGGAGAAAGCCATAAAGGCCATATTTAGAAGTCTATGTATACATTTAACAAGTTGTGCTATGAATCACAATGGTTTTCTCCTATTGTGTCTGAACTAATTATTTTAAAAGCCCTAAATTTGTATTGATTTTATCCTGAGATTCTTTTTGATGTAGCTGTAAAACCACAGTTCCAGAAAATAAATTATTTAAATAATTAAGATGTTTAAGTGAATTACAGTCATGAACCAAATAAGCCCATTTTGGTCAATGATGAACCACATCCGTGACAGTGGTCTCCTAAGATTAAAACGGAGCTGAAAAATCCCTATCTTCTAAATGATCTTAGCCAGTGTAAAGCTGTAGTACAATGATTCCTCGTGTTTGTGGTCGTGCCAGACTGCACTGCTAGCTGTATACAAGTATAGTTCATACAATTATACACGGTATATAATACTTGATAATGTAATATGCGACTGGGTTGCTTGTTTATATATTTTACTATACTATATTTTTTATTGTTATTTTAGAGTGTACTCCCTTTACTTATAAAAAGAGTTAATGGTCAAGTAGCCCCAGGCAGGTCTGTCAGGAAGCCTTCCAGAAAAAGGCATTGTCACCACAGGAGGTGATGGCTCCATGGCATGTCACTGCCCCTGAAGACCTTCCCGTGGGACCAGATGTGGAGGTGGAAGACAGTGACACTGATAATCCTGACCCTGTGCAGGCCGAAGCTAATGTGTGTGCTTATGTACGAGATTTTAACCAAAAAGATGAAAAGATAAATTAAAAAAAAAATAGAAAATCACTTATGGAATAAGCATAGAAAGAACGAAAATATTTTGTACAGTTGTACAACATGTTTGTGTTTTAAGCCAAGTGTTACTACAAAAGAGTCAAAAGGTTTTTTTTAATTTAAAATTTTATGTAGTAAAGTTACAGCAAGCTAAGGTTAATTTACTATTAAAGAAATATATATATATATTTGTAAATTTAGTGTAGCTTAAGTGTAGAGTGTTGATAAAGTCCACAGTAGTCATGGCCATGTCCTGGGCCTTCACATTCACTCACTACTCACTCGTGGACGCACCCAGAGCAACTTCCATCCTACAAGCTCCACTCAGGGTTAAGTGGCCTTCTATGGGTCTAGCATTGTTACTCTTCCACTTTTTTTTTTTTTAACTGTAGTTTTTCTATGTGAAGATATGTTCCCACTGAATTACAGTTGCCTGCAGTATTCAGTACAGTGACACGCTGTGCAGGTCTACAGCCTAGGAGCAATAGGCTACACCATCTAGGTTTGTGTAGTACACTGTGACGTATATACAATGATGAGATAAACTAAGGACGAATTTTTCAGAATGGATCCCCCTTGCCAGGTGAGCATGACTGTATACAGAATGAGATCATCATGCCTTATCTCAGCAAATGCAGGACTAAGGTAACTACTCATATACAAATAGATGCCTATTTCTTCAGTGAAGAACTGAATTTATTCTTTAAACACTTTAAATCCTGAGTCTGCCTATCAAAACTGAAAATCCATTCATTCATTCTTTAGTTTTTTTCCCAGTTCATCCTTAACACGTCACATTCATTCTCTACTGAGCACCTACTATGTGCCGGGCCTATGGAAGCTCACCAGCAGTCAACCAGCCCTGTGGGGGTGAAGTTAAATGGCTCCTGGTGACAGGGAGGGGTCCTGGTGACTCACAGTGTGGGCTCCAAGGTCAGAAGGTTCACATGGGAATCCCAGGCACTATGCTGAAGCGCTCTCATCCTCAATTTCTTTCTCTTTAAAACTGGGGCGATAGTAACACCAGTACCTCCTCCATGGGGGTTTTGTGACCATTCAAAGAGGCCATGACTGTAAAACACTGTTGTTTCCCTACTGGTCCTTACTTCTCTGCATCATGGGGGATGGCTGATTGAGAAGGGTGGCCAGACCGTGGTAGATGGCACCCTGCTTTGCTACTTCCAGTGTCACCACAGAGCTTGTTCTTGTCATGAGTTCTGCCGCCCTAGGAGAAGAAGATTACACATGTAAGAAAGACTAAAACGCAGTGCCTGCTCTGTCATGAATCGCTGTGATTATAGCAATGGAAAATCATGTTACACAGCTTCATCTATTATTTTGAGTAATGGTTCTGACTTCCAGACAGCTTACTCACTACCCATTTTCTCCTTTGAAAACTGACTATGAAAATAGGCAAACACATCTCCTGTTATCATTTTAAGAATAGTAAGATAATATTCAGAAATTTAAAGAAGTGTTGAGTATGTTTCTTTCAAGTTTCAAAGAAACTGTACTAGATTAAAATATATATTTATAATTTGATAACAAGTGAAATGTCACGTACACTATAAAAGGTAAAGAGTAATATGAGCACGTTTTAGCATAGTTTTTATCTTCCAATTTCAACATTTAATGCAAAAATCACCTAAAAATGCTAATACTATGCTTCAAGCAAATAAATCAATGATACCTTTCCTGAGAGAGTCCAACCAGACTTCGTCCATCCACACTGAGGAGCTGATCACCTGCAGCTAGACGTCCATCCTAGGCAAATCCACAGGTGTGTGCATGGATTAGGGGTAGAGAGCAAAGAGAGCGGGAGGAAGAAAAGGTAATGATGAGTAGATACTCTATTTGTTCTTCCAACAAGCACTATAGTGCTACATAACTAGAAGTATCAGCAGAATCTCTCACATCATTTGCTGAATATATGACACACTGAAAATGTACTTCTTTCAAAATGATACTGACCACATCTGCAGCACCTCCTTTCACAACCGACTTCACATAGATTCCTAGTTTATCTTGACCAGCACCCTATTGCAAAAACAAGGCGAAAACACTGCATTGAAGATATATTGTAAGAAATGCACTATGCAGGAAAGTAAAACAAAAATAAAACCACCCAACATGTACACAGATAACTGCAACAAAGTCCTGGTTCTCATTTTTACATGAAAATTACAAGTATGAAAAATCAGTTATTCATGCATCAGTTAATGATGAGAGTAAAATAGAGACTTGGAATCCTGAAGTTAATTTAAGAATAGTTCTGAACAGCCACAAGTGTAAGCAAACTAAAAACTACCTGCATGATATATACTATCAATCATTTTAATACAAAAAGCAACCTAGTACAGTATTTTTACATTTCACCATTTACCTATATCCTCCCTTATACCCTTGTTCTTTTCATACGTATAGTTTAAGATTTTAAATGATAAAAAAACTTCTTGTGGCAAACAGAGGAACTTAGTAAGAGAAAATCATACAGAAAATAATCAGTATTATAACTCATGTACTGTAACTGTAAATAAATATCAAAGCAACAAGACCCAATTCACATAGAATTGATATATTATGAAAGAATAAAATTCTGTTACATAGACTTAAGTTCTATATATAATTGTTTTCAGAATCACCAATATTCTACTTGGATACCACGACTATACTAAACCTAACTCTATAACAATCAAAATTTTGGGTAATTTATTGCAACTATCAAAGAAAGCAGTCCTACGCATGAAATCTTACTTAGATATTATGGACAAGGTTATACAACTGAGCATAATTCCTTAGGTCACAACGATTGAAGACAAATACAAATCCATTTCAATCACTGCGAGGCACTGTACGGTAAGAGTAAAAATACAGCACAGAAAGGTACGAAGATACGATTCAACACATGACTTAGTTAAAACAGATTTTCTGTAACACCCTGGAGCTATGTAATTTTCACTTGGAAACCACTCGCATTTGTCCCCTTTAGTTAACAAGTTAAGTTTACAGAAGACAGCCTGACTGGCCAGCACTGTTGATCCTGACTCCCTTTATCCCCTCAGGGAAAAAACAAACCAAACCAAACCAAACCAAACCAAAACAAAACGCCTGTAGCAGGTCAAATTTTGTAAGCATAAAACCATCCATTACATATCTCATTTTAAAAACAGTATAGTATTTCTTAATTTAACAAAGCAACTCCATTTTGGAGAGCAGTATATACTTCAAATTTCATGGGTTACATTATCTGGCAACTAAGTTTATAAAAGTTCTACAGAAAGCAAAATCAAGTATTCTCCTTTGCAGCTTTTGATCTGAATTTTCCATCTGTTCACCTCGTCATCCCTCTGTGTCTGTCCACACATCTCTCCTGTGGATGGTTTCCACCCTCACCCCTACATCCCTCTGTGTCTATCCACACATCTCTCCTGTGGATGGTTTCCACCCTCACCCCTACATCCCTCTGTGTCTGTCCACACATCTCTCCTGTGGATGGTTTCCACCCTCACCCCTACATCCCTCTGTGTCTGTCCACACACCTCTCCTGTGGATGGTTTCCACCCTCACCCCTACATCCCTCTGTGTCTGTCCACACACCTCTCCTGTGGATGGTTTCCACCCTCACCCCTACATCCCTCTGTGTCTGTCCACACACCTCTCCTGTGGATGGTTTCCACCCTCATCCCTACATCCCTCTGTGTCTGTCCACACACCTCTCCTGTGGATGGTTTCCACCCTCATCCCTACATCCCTCTGTGTCTGTCCACACACCTCTCCTGTGGATGGTTTCCACCCTCACCCCTACATCCCTCTGTGTCTGTCCACACATCTCTCCTGTGGATGGTTTCCACCCTCACCCCTACATCCCTCTGTGTCTGTCCACATCTCTCCTGTGGATGGTTTCCACCCTCATCCCTACATCCCTCTGTGTCTGTCCACACACCTCTCCTGTGGATGGTTTCCACCCTCATCCCTACATCCCTCTGTGTCTGTCCACACATCTCTCCTGTGGATGGTTTCCACCCTCACCCCTACATCCCTCTGTGTCTGTCCACATCTCTCCTGTGGATGGTTTCCACCCTCATCCCTACATCCCTCTGTGTCTGTCCACACACCTCTCCTGTGGATGGTTTCCACCCTCATCCCTACATCCCTCTGTGTCTGTCCACACATCTCTCCTGTGGATGGTTTCCACCCTCACCCCTACATCCCTCTGTGTCTGTCCACACATCTCTCCTGTGGATGGTTTCCACCCTCACCCCTACATCTCTCTGTGTCTGTCCATATGTCTCCTGTGGATGGCTTCCACCCTCACCCCTACATCCCTCTGTGTCTGTCCACACATCTCTCCTGTGGATGGTTTCCACCCTCACCCCTACATCCCTCTGTGTCTGTCCACACGTCTCCTGTGGATGGCTTCCACCCTCACCCCTACATCCCTCTGTGTCTGTCCACACATCTCTCCTGTGGATGGTTTCCACCCTCACACCTACATCCCTCTGTGTCTGTCCACATGTCTCCTGTGGATGGCTTCCACCCTCACCCCTACATCCCTCTGTGTCTGTCCACACATCTCTCCTGTGGATGGTTTCCACCCTCACCCCTACATCCCTCTGTGTCTGTCCACACATCTCTCCTGTGGATGGCTTCCACCCTCACCCCTACATCCCTCTGTGTCTGTCCACACATCTCTCCTGTGGATGGTTTCCACCCTCACCCCTACATCCCTCTGTGTCTGTCCACACGTCTCCTGTGGATGGCTTCCACCCTCACCCCTACATCCCTCTGTGTCTGTCCACACATCTCTCCTGTGGATGGTTTCCACCCTCACACCTACATCCCTCTGTGTCTGTCCACATGTCTCCTGTGGATGGCTTCCACCCTCACCCCTACATCCCTCTGTGTCTGTCCACACATCTCTCCTGTGGATGGTTTCCACCCTCACCCCTACATCTCTCTGTGTCTGTCCACCCATCTTTCCTGTGGATGGTTTCCACTCTCACCTCAATGCAAGTCTCCAGCCCAGTCCCAGATGCCTCATGGCCCACTTGCTACCTCCCTCTAGAAATCATTCACCATAGTCCACACACCACAACAGCCAAATACAACCTGTGGTCCTTGAACAGATCCTTTTGCCATAAAAAGCATGACTGGGATAGTTGGCAAAGACTGAGCTTTTTATAAATTTAAAATTTCAAAAATAAAAGATAAAATATACAGCAGGCACTCAATAAACAGCAACTTTCTGAATTTTAGCATATCACTTAGAAAAGAATAATACATATGCTTTTTGCCTCACTCTATCTGTGACAATGTTGGGTTTCCTTGAATCTAGGGACCTAAGACACACTACGGAAAAATACTTCTAAGACACAGCACCCTCCTCACCGCCCCTATTTGTTAAATCAGGTAATCCCTCATACATAATCTAATTAACTGAATTTTTTCACACATTTAATAATTTTATGTGATTCATGAATAACTTTAATTCTACAACTTGGCTGTTTAAACGACAATTTCATTCACGGAACAAATATCCATCGAGCGCCTGTATTGTCCTAAGCTCCACGTACACATCAATGAACAAACCAGACAAACACCTTTGCCGTTTGGGAGCTTCTTCTATTCTTCAGCAGAGTTTATCTGTGGTCATCCACTAATAATTTTAGTTGGAGCGCTGATAGTCCTTCTTCTTCTTTTCCTGAAAATGCTGCATGCCTATTCCCTTCCAGCTGGTACCCTAGGTCAGTTTTTAAAAAGTTCTACAAGCACTACTTATTTTTTCCTCTGCTTTCCACCTGACTACAGAAAAGCAATGATTACTGAACATCAGAATGCCAACTGTCAGTGAGAATGGGCACCTCACGACATTTTCACATGGCATTATCTTCCGGTTAATGTAATACTGACCTTGTAAAGAATAAAAATCATCCCTTTACTAAGATAACCAATTATTATCATCTCTGACAAGAAAAATGTTTAGCAATAATATTAGTAATACAGCATTTTTAGTGACACTATTATAAACAAGGAAATACCAAATATATATTTTAGAACAATAAATCAAGCCTCCTTCCTCCATTTCTGGTATGTTTTACATGATCACAATTAATACAGACCAAAAAAATGACAGTTACTTAGACAAACTGTAATAACAAAACTCCCTTTTTAAAATCATAAAATAGAATGATATCAGAAATGAAAACAGGACTGTTTCATTTCTCCCTAAAACCCAAGCCCCTGCACACACAGTTGGTGCTGCCTGCCAGTCAGCTCTTCTGCCACTCCCAATTTTCATTTTTGGAAGATGTCTTTGTTCCAGTTTCACAATAAACTTCAGTTTTGTGGCACCTGTTACTCCATGTTTCAACTCCTTCATTCAGAGCAGTAATCACATACCTGAGGGCAACCACTAGGCTCTTTTCCTTCCTAGCCACCCTATACAAGCAGACAGCCAACGTGCAAGCTGAACATGTGGACTCCACATGAACAGCACATGGCATTTAAAGAACCCGAAATCCTCTACCATTTTAAGGTAGGTAATTTATCATACTATATGCAATAGAAAATTTAATGCCTAAATTTAAATCCTGAAGCAAAACTGATCATGTACTACTGATATTTTGACTGCACTCCCTATCTTTAAATAGGTTGAAGTTTACATTATAAATTTCAGACAAATTCTGGCAAAATGAGGAAGCTCTCCTCATGACTGATCTTCTGGTCTCTCTAAATCCAATCACATTTCCTGAAGCACAGCTCAGCTCACACTATGCTGACCAGACTCTTGTAACTGCCAGCTGCTGTAAAAATTCACAGCAGCTTCCTGCATAAGTTATTCACAGCTCCATGAACCTCTCTCGTCATTCTCCACCCAAATCGCCCCTCACCTCTTCCCATTCTATCTGACTCATGTTCATGACTTGGTTGATGTTCTCTCTACACCAAGTGTCTTTCTGATGCAAGATATATGCCCAAATCCTCTCCATTCACCTCCGAGGCTCACCTGCCAGCCCACTCACCTTCCCAGTGTCAGGGAAGGTATCATCATTCACTTATGTTCTCATCACATTGGATTCTCTTTGTTCTCTTTGAGCAGTGAGTCACTGTGTCCTGCATTACAGCTACCTCTGCAAATGGCTCCTTCCTCCAACTCCATTAGAAGCTTCTTGAATATAAGGAGCTCTATCCCTTCCAGAAGAGCTTCTCAATTAGGTTGACTTATAGTTTACCAACATTGATCGATAAGGAATTTGGCCAATTTCCTATTTTAAAAACCTACGATGAGGAGGTCTGTAATTTTACTGAATAAATAGTAAGTTAAGAAGCAACCGATATGCCCATTATATATGGGTTAGCAATAAAACTGTAAAATTACTAGTTTAGAAAGATAGATACAAAAGCACTTCAGGCTCTGGCACCCAATGTGCCCTTTTAGGAAGGGAACTCAAATCCATGATTGTCAGGAAAGGCACAAATAAGACACATTCTATTTTCTTATATATTCAGAATTTATCTGAATTCTAAGTAATAACCACTTCTTTTAATTCCAAGTAAACTGAATTTATAAAATCTGTTTGTCACAAAAGGAGGTTTTCATTTAAGGAAATAAGCATTCATGATAGGGCCAGGCATGGTGGGAGTCATCCCAACACTTTGGGAGGCTGTGGCGGGAGGACTGCTTGAGGCCAAGAGTTCACAACCAGCCTAGGCAACATGGCGAGATCCTGTCTCTACAAAAAAATTTTAAAAAGCATTCATGATTATTAGAGACCTCAATTCAAAACACCCATTAAAATCTAAAAGGTCTATTCAAGGTTGATCATAAAAATGGAATTTGATCAAAAGTCAAGACAATGCATCACGAAATATATTTTGAAAATACTCTTAGACACAGAAGACAAAACAATGTGCAAGTAAAGAATACGGATCTAGATAATGTAACAGGTATCCACATTTTGGTCGGCATTCGGGCCTCCACTTCACGGACTGCTCTGCTTCATGGACATTTCCGTGGACACATTCCCTGTCCACTGACCCTGCACCTTCTGTACACACTCCTTTCCTGCAGACCCACTGGCCCTGTTCACATGCCCTTCCCTCCTATCACCTCTGGTTATTTGGATCCTACTTATACTTCAGGTGCAGCTCACAGTCATAAACTGATCATAAAAATTCTAACTACAACTGCTGAATGGAGAAATTACAGTTCTACTGGTAATTATCTTAGCAAAACAAAATTAGAGATGATTACCCAGAGATGAAAGAACTCTAGGAAATGTCTATTTGTATCACATCAATATGGGCAATTACCTTCAACCCGAACCACCACAGTCTCTGTCCAACTACAAGGTGTCCACTTGTCCAAGGTTTCTCAGTCTGGCTATGGCAGTGCAGGACTGGAATGTGCACCCTGACTGGGGGAAGAGCAGAGTAAAGAAACTCTGCTGCATCCCTGCCTCTGCTGCTGGTCAGATGCCTCAGCAAACTGTCGTCTGTCGAGCCATAACAATTCCTTAACATTATGGAGCTCTCACTACCTACCCCCCTTCATTTGAATAAATGAGAATTGTACTGCCTACGGTTAAAAAAAAAACTGTATGAAACAATTTATTAATTTCAGAAATATTAAACCACTTAATTTAGGTCTTATTTCTAAACAATAATGGACAATCTATGTAGTCTATTAAGGCTGAACTCAAAATTTATTAAAATAATTAGTGTCTTTATATTTACATGCGCACACAATTAAAATTCATTTTATGGTAATTCTATTTCTTTTCCAACTAAGAAAGAACAGCCAGGCCTAGAAGCTCTATGTTCTTTGCTGCTGTGTGTCAGCATGTAGAACATTCAAGTGTTAGCTACCAACCAAAAACAATCACAGAAATGTAGAAACAGTTCCAAGAATACTAGTGAAACGGCATTAAACACTGTGCTGTTCAGTATGGCAGTAGGCAGGCCACAGGTGGTGACAGAGCACTGAAAGTGTGGCTCATCCAAACTGAAATATGGAAATGCAGAGACTTAGTATGGAAAAAAGAATGTGAACTATCTCATTGATGATTTTTATATTGACTGCATGTTGAAATAACATTTCTGATGTATTAGATAATATAAAATATGGTATTAAAATTAACTTCACTTTTTAAAAAAACACAGCTAGCAGAAAACTGAAAATTCCCCATGTAGCTCATATTATATTTCTATCGGATAGTGCTGCACCAATAATGTAGATTTTCATAGTATGTTTGTTATGAGTAATGATAGGTACTAGCAACACATTTACAATTATGCAGATAATATGGCAAAAACAAGATTTTACCATACTATAATTTACATGCTAACATTACACATCCTGATTTCCAAC
Organism: Homo sapiens; assembly: GCF_000001405.40. Lineage (NCBI taxonomy): Eukaryota > Metazoa > Chordata > Mammalia > Primates > Hominidae > Homo > Homo sapiens. The sequence goes on along the minus strand of NC_000006.12, from coordinate 167,935,795 downwards.
CAAAAGAAAAAAAAAAGAAAAGCAAAAGAGCCATTAAAATTGAGAACACAATATTATAGATAACTCCAGAAAGGCTAAATAGTTTTAAGGATTACTTGCTTAAAGGTACCTAAATATGGTATTTGAAAAGATATTATTGCATTTTAGTCCATTTATTCTCTGCAAAACTAATTATTCAGGATTACTCATTCCTCATTTAACAAACCAGTTTCTTTAAAGAAAAGTTGAGGCAGAGGTCTTCTGAAAAGCAGTTACAGATTCCAAAGACATCAGGAATTACAAATTTCATTAAGTACAATTTTGGAATTTAATTAACCACACTTAAATACCAGAGGTAAATTTTTAAATGCACTTTTCCCCGTCTGGAGGCCCCTGAGAACATCTGCAGTACAGCGCCCACACTGCTATGTCCAGCCTTTGTGCCCTTCAATGCAATTTCAGCGTATCAGAGGGTACCCAACGTGTAGCACACACTGGCAGAAGATTTAGATCTTGTATCCTTTAAAAAACACGCAAAAAGGAAACACAAAGATCACTGCCTGTTTGATCTTAACATTTTAATCTTAAAATGCCTCTTGAAACTGCCTTTCTTTCCATTAAAAAGGAAGAAGGGGGTTTCAGAGTGGGGATGGGACTAACGAGGGAGAGGAGAGAGAAGAAAGGAGGACAAAAAAGGATGAACCAAAGCTGTATCTGAAATTCACCTGTAGAACGAGCTACAAGAGAGAATGGCAATAAATGAACAAAAAGTTATCAAAAATTATAATAAAAAACAGAAATAACTCAGCTGCCATACATTCAACTTTCCCTAGAACTGAGAAAGAAGCACGCACCTATAAGTTGCTTTGTACATCCGATGAGAAATGGCAACAAGGAAAAGACTGCTCCCCAAATGTCTTCTCTAATTCTTTTACTGCACCTTTTCAGAAGAGGGCTTATAGAAGTGTAGGTAGTCTCCCCACACGCACAGGGAGGCTCGGTCAGGCGGAGCCTAGGCTTCAAACATTCCAGTAGCAAACCCTGAGTGCGTGTGGGAGTACAACGTGATAAACAGCATAAAGACATCATTAAAACACAATCCAAAAAAAAAAGAGCAGGAGGAAGAAAGATATGCTGGCCAAATCATCATGAATCCAACCCTATTGTTCTCAGGTAAGAAAACCTAGCCTGGGTTCTCTGGCTGGTGATTTTAGAACAATAAGTGGCTGAAATGACCTCAGAGCCCAGAAGTATTTCAGTCATCAGGCATACTTCTGTTGACACTCTGCCCGCTCGCTGCTCTCCTCTGGGTTTTTCAACTGCTTTACTTCTAGTCAGATAAGTAAATCCAGGCTTGGGTTTTAAAAACATTCTAAAGATCTCTCTTCTTGGGTAGGAATTACCTTAATTGTGAAATAATCAGTTCTAAAATTCACTTTGTATATGAATTCTACATTCAGCAACCTTGGAAGTCCATGGTAAGTTACCCCCAGCAGGTTTGGTGCTGTGAGCAAGGTAACTGAGCTTGATATCTATGAGCAAGGCTGTAGTTCCAGCTCTGGGTTTCGTTTATGCTTTGTATAAAATACAAACCCAACAGACCACATCTATCTCTTCCCTCTCCATAAAATGAAGGGAACGAAGGTGGTCCCACAGATGGGATGCAGGAAGCCCATAAACCCCCAAAGACCGCACGCGACATTTGCAGGTGTGTGAATTTCACCAGGGTAGAGTGCACAACTCTCCTTAGCCTCGCAAAGCGGTGTGCGACTCAGCAGATTTTCAGGCACAAGAGACCACTGGAGGTGAGCCTGACACTCCTGACAAAGCTCCCCAGAGTCCTGGCCTGTGCAGGGGATGGGTCTGGATCACTTAAGATTCCACTGAGAGAGATGGGGCAAGCCTGGGGCAGTGTGAACCTCTGGGCTACCCCACAGCCAATATTCTACATCCAGGTAAACTCTACAAATTATCATTTTCTATGATGGCTCTTTAGAGGATCAACATTTTATGTTCCTATTATGTTATTTTAATGTTGTACTTGAATTCAGTATTTCAGCCAATCCAAGAAATCAGCACTTAGGCCAAAATTATAAACCAGGTAAAAATAGTATTCTTTTATATAATTTACTATTTTGCTTTTGATACACAAATATATTGTTTCCAAATTCATAAGAAGCCATGAGGGGCAGTGTCACTTCATACAACTTAGTGGAAAGATGTTTCTGGCATCTCCGTGGAAGAAATGTAAGCACAATAGGTCTTTGGAACTGACTAAAAAGGAACCCGGAATTTCCTGACTTCATTTGTTTGACTAGGTGTTTCCCACATGGTCATAATTAGACCATTAAAGAACACAAGAGAAGGTCTCAAAGTCTTCAAAGGACTAAATTACAGTTTATGCGAGAAACTGACTCTCTAAACAGTGAGAAGGCATGTTAATAAACAGTCTTTACCATCTCATTTTTAGGGCATAGGAATCTTATGTTTTAAGCTAAGATTTTAAGATTTTAAAACTTTAAATCAGTACATTGTCTAAAAGCATAAACTTGAACATACTTAAGGCATTAATTAACCATTTATTTTTAAATAAAATAGTAAAATATCCTAAGTACTTTTAAAAGTGTCATTTTTATGTTCACTTTTAGAAAAAACAGGTCTTAGAGAAAGGCTGTAGTTAAAACCACCTAATGGGGCCAAATACAGGTTACATCATAGATATTCTTGTCCATGTCTTCAGCAAGTTACATAGCGGCAGTTATCATATTTAAAGCAACCTTCACCATATTATACCCAGCAGGATGAAATATCATGGCTGTTTTCTTAAATAAGAAGCATACAGAAGGCTTATGTTTTTATGAAGCTTAAGAATTTGCAGCACAAAAGTAGCAAAAACAAAAAAAGAGTGTGTAATTACAAGCTACATTAAACGGTTGTTGCTTCATGAGCAAGTTAATTATTGACAGGTTTAAACAAGTTACACTGAAAGAAAAAGCATTCCTTCAAGACCACAGTGAGCACGAGAACACCGGCAACTGCCCCCTGAAGAAACTCACCACTGACTGTGTTCTTCCAACAACAGAGAACCACATTTTCATTTCCGGGACCACAACAACTTCATGAACTGAAAATCAACCGTCTACTTCTCTCAGTTTTCAACAGCAACCAAGACAGCTGGTTTTTCAAGACCGGGATCACCACATTCTGCGCTGGATGCTATGACCCTGTATGGCATTTATCAACACGACCTAGAACCAATGCAATATTCAGGCTCTTACGTAACCAGTCCACGCTGACTGCTATTCGCTTTGTACTTTTAAACTTTAAAAAGACTTAGAAAAATAAAAAGGAGGGAATTGTTTGTAATTTTAAAATCCAAATTAAACAGGAAGCATCATGTTGTCCCACAGATGACCAAGAAGTAGCCTGCTGACCGTCCCCAAAAGCAATGTTTTAAAAAGTAAACTGCATACCCACACTGCTTCCAAATCATCTGGATTTCATAAAACTTAACCACCGTGTGGAAGGCGAGTCAGGGAACTTAACATCAAAACATGGTTCAGGGTTACAGCAGCTACCCCATACACCAATTTAGAAAAGGAAAAAAGAACGGGCCAAAGACAAAAACCACGCAGCTTATAGAAAACAAGAAAAGCACACAAATGACTAGGGGTAAAATTTAACGACACAAGTCTATAGGTTCCTCTGCAGAAAAAACATATACCACACACTCATGAGACTAACAAGAATACAAACAGCAGGTGATTATCCAATACCAGGCTCAACATGCCTGACACAGCTTCTCTCTCTGAAGAGCTGAGGTAACTATAACTATTACTACTATATTAAAGGCAAGGAAACTGAGGCTTTGAGAGGGGGTGCCATGGGCTCCGTGCTCCAAGGCTGCCAGTGGCAGGAGCAGAATATGCACAGCAGCAGCGTGACTGAAAAGCCCAGGCATAAACAGAATCCTATGTGATGCTGCCACACCAACACGCTCAGTAAGACGCAGGGCAGGGCTAACGGTGAAATCCCCCTGTATACTGCCCTACCCTGCACTCAGAATACACCCCTGAAATCTCAAAAATACCTCCACTCTATTATAATGATGTAAGCAGACCCACATACCTATCAACTATACAGTGTTATCTCGGCAGTGTGTATGTATTAGATGACTTTCCAAGTACCAGAAATTACAAGTAAACTGGAAAAAAAATGGACTGTATTTAGTAATCCAGTATGCCAGGGAACTGCTAGATTCATTTCTCTCATTTCAAGAAAAGGCATTAACAGATGCTTCATTTCTGAAAATGTTACACTGTCCAATTAACAGGCCATTTTCTTTATTTCCTTCAGAGCATCTATATGCTGACATCCAAATTTTATCTCTAGCTCTAACCTTCTGAGCTTCACTATCCAACTATCTACTAGATAATCTATTCACTCACCTGAACAGGCATCCCACATCTCCAGTGTGACATGTTCAAAGCTGAACTCCTGATGCCACCATGCCTGCCCCCTTCAGTTTCCCTGCCTTTGTAAATCACACCTCCATATGTCCAGCTGCTCAAGACAGAATCAAGATTCATCTTCTTGAGATTCATCATACTTCCCTCTTTCATCCACTACTGCAACTCATAAGCCAATCCAAAAACTGCCATTCAACAAATATGTATCAGTACCTACCATAACCAGAAACTGTCAACCTTTCAATAGTGGACAAGAGAAGATGCCCGCCTTCACGGGGTGTCTGTTCCAGAACGCCTTTGTCCTCTGCACACAGAGCAAACCATCTCGTCATCTCCACTGCCACGACCCTATTGTAAGCCTCCACGACCTCTCATCTGGAAAACTAGTACAACTTACTTACTAGTCTCTGGTTGTACTTCTGAGCGTCTCTAATCCATGTTCCAGAGTTGTAAAAATAAACTTTAAAAACTGCACTCTAATCATATCATGCCTCATTTAAACCTCAAGGGTCCTTATTTCACCTATAATAAAATCCTCAGCTCTGTCCAGACCCACCATCACAAGGCCTTTCTTTATGAAGTTTTATTGGAACACAGCCACGCTATGCCACAAACTGCCCTGTGGCTGCCATGATAGCAGAACTACTCAGGGCAACAGATTCCACATGGCCTGCAAAGCAGAAAATCTCCACAGTCTGGGCCCTTACAGAAAAAGCTTGCTGACACTGTACTCTATGATCCGGTCCTATCTGCCTCTCCACACACCCCACATGGCTTCCCCTGACAGCCCAAACTGGGCTGAGCCTGTGCACAGGGCCCGCTGCCATCCTTGACCTGGCTAACACTGACTCATCCTTCAAGTTCAGCACTGACTTCCACTCTGGAGCGCAGTTTAGACATTCTGCAAACAGCCATGGATAATGACCATCAACCATATAATTCATCACTCATATTATTCTGTCTCATCTTTCAAGTGGTCAAGGGGCATGTGCTGATGAAGTGACTAAGATCATAGACATCTCACCAGGAGAAGAAAACTTTTATCACTAGGTAAAAAAAACTTTCATGAGCGTCAAATCCACGCTTAGTCTCCCTAAATCTATTTTATAAGCTGATGATTAACCATTTTATTATTGTTATTATGAGACAGGGTCTTGCCCTGTTACCTGGGCTGGGGTGCAATGATGAAAAAACAGTTCACCACAGCCTCAGCCTCCTGAGCTCAAACCATCCTCCTGCCTCAGCCGCCAGTGTAACTGGGACCACAGGCGCACATCATCACACTCAGTATACTTTTTGATTTTTTTGTAGAAATGGGGTCTCACCTTGTTGCCTGGACTGGTCTCGAACTCCTGGGCTCAAGTGATCCTCCTGCCTCGGCCTAAACCCATCTGCTGGGATTATAGGCATGAGCCATGGCGCCTGGCCAAGTTAACCATTTTAGAACTAAATCTGAACTCCCTTTTCTTTCTTCCAGTTTTCAATTTATACACATTATTCACTGTGGAAGGTATTTGAAAAGACCAAAAACAAGAACAAAGTGAACATCATCTACAAGTTAGGGAGGATCACTCCCCACTTTAGAAAAGGGACACACAGGTCTATGTCCCCAGCAAAGGGAAGAGCAGGGCCTTTCCAGCCACTCTCTACCTCTTCCCGTCTGACTCCTCACGGAGGCAGCAAAGCCATGCATGGGAGAGTGAGACAAGGATGCCAAATAGAGCGGGTGCTCAAAACCTCTTCAGGCTGTCTTTTGGAGTGTCCTGCTCTAAGGGGACAACTACCTTCACCTTCCTCTTACCAGGGAAGACTTGCTGTGTGAGTGACCTGAGGAGGGGGAGGGAAGCATGTTTAATTCAGGAGTCACAAATTTGCAGGTGCAGTGTAGACATGCACATCAGACACATCCCCAATCTAGCTTCAGCTGGTGAAAGGTCCATCTTTTTGACTGTATGTACCTAACCTTCTACGCTGTTACTATGCCCCATTAAGCCCCAATTCTATTAATATAGCCTACAACCCAGTTAGAAGTACTATTAACATTGTTATTTCCTGGTCTTCTTTACAAATCTTTGTAAATATCTTTTGTTAATTTTTTTTTTTTTAATGCTGGAGATTTAAAGTTTAAAAGTGAAAATTTACACTCTACTTTTCACACGATAGGCAGTAATAGTCTTTCTGAAATATTATTTTAACTATTAGACACCACTTTCATACTAAGTTTATTCTAATACTAGTAAAAGTACAAAGAACCTAGTCTTGAAATTACAATATACCCTGAAGCTAACCCCTGCAGACTCCTAAATCACATTAGACTCACGGAAGCCAGTAATTGTACTACACTGATACCTACTGTACCTTTTCACCACACATGACAAATATTTTCGTAATAGCAAAGATTCCAGAGTCAGTTATTTTTATGACAAAATTACTTTCCATTGAAGATACAGAGAGAAGGCTGTGTTTCTTCTGAGGCTTCCTTGTGTAAGAGCAAATGCAAAGAGGACATACAGCAGCTCAGGGGACTTCACACCCCACAGAAGAGGGGATTAGGGATTAGCAGAGGCTGGGTGTGGAAGAGGTGACCAAGTGCAAGGATCTAAAAACAAGAAGCAAAGACAGGTGTGGGCAGCAGCATGGATGCACAAATGGGCAGAGGCCGGGTGGAGCCCATTCAAGCAGCATGGGCTCCCTGGACTCAGGCACAGTCGGGCACTCCTAGGGCTCTGCACCCGTGCCTGAGCGTCTGAGCTGAGGCACTTTTCCTGACACCTTTTGCACTCCTTCCCCTCTTCCCTCCCAGGTTCATAACTGGCAGAATCTTCCTTCTGGAGCTCCTCCTTGAAGTGAGAGGATTCTCCTCATCTGGGCATCATCTGACTGTCACCTGACACTGGGGCTGGCACCTTGTCCCTCAGCCTCTTGCCTGCATTGCCACAGTAAAACTGAACAGAGGCTCAGGTGTGACTTTCAAGCTGGCTTGTTGTCCTAATTGCCCCCTGTCACCCTGGCAAGGACAGAGGTCAAAATTCAGAGACAAACAACCAGAGGCCAGAGGCCACCCAGCAGAGGGTGAGAAAGTGCCAAGTGAACCCAGAGCTCCGCTCCTTCTGCCCTGCTGTAAGGTAATGCTGGTTCCTTTATACATCCGGAAATCATGCGAAAGAGAATACCAAAAACTCTGAAAGACTGAATGCAGAAGTAAATTAGACTTGAATCTATAGGAAACAAATAGTTTTGTACTGCAAGATACTTCTTTTAACTGGAAGAGGTGGACACTGATCTTGGAAGCCCCCTACTTCCACCTCCACACTCTTAAAACCCCAGGTAAGAAGAGCATTTAAAATAAGGTTACAGGATGAACATAACAGAAAATATGGAGGTTACATTCTGCCCACAGATTTGAGTACAGTAGGGTAATTTGTGATTCTGATTTTTTCCTGAAAATGGGCATTGACTCAGTCGGTAAGCAAAGAGAAAACATAGCTCTATGGCTGACAGTTCCCCTTTTACATCTCCAAATGTTTGAGTTCTGGTCCCTTAAATTGCAACAGCCTGGAAACATGGCCTGTGAGCAGGACCCTTACCAGGAGTAAGCAGAAATTCTGGATGGTGAGGTGGACTGAAGGGCCCTGGACTACCCTCTGCCTGCACAGGTGAACCCCACACGTCTTGGTCTCTGAGAGGCAGCTTACTATGCCCCACGCATCACCTTCAACCCATACGCTAAAAGGGTTCAGGTTCCTCTGACGAACTCCTGAACAGATGCCCACCTTTCGTCCCAGGTTCTTCTAATCCATCCTGCACACCAGACCCAGATGAAGCCTCCTAAAATGTCAGTTTCATCATGTTCCTCTTTTGTTCTAAATCCTGCATTTCTTTGTGGTGCCTACAAGATAAGGCACAGACTCCTTAACCTGTCAATCAAGAGTTTTAAAACTAATTAAGCACTGCCTTCCTTATTCTGCTCTCCTTAGTAATCGCACAGGTCTCACCTTATCCAAAAGTGGCCCACACAAGACTCGTTTCTTCTATCTCTGCTTGTGCTCTCACTCCCACCCACAATATATCTCCCTTATTCCTTTATCCCAATTATGTCTGTTCCAAGGATTAGCTGAAACTCCACCTCTCCCAAGATGCCCTCCACAACCGCTACAACGCCCATTCATCTTCTTAATTTCTCCAAAATACACAAAGGTAAAGTTTTATGGTACTTGTACTAGATCTTAATCACATATTGTTTCGTAGGCATTTGTGTTGTTATGACTAAGATTATGGATAACAAATTTTCCTCATAGCTAATTCAGTGAGAGTTGTGCTAATATAGCTGGTAATGTGTTATTTTAAATAAACTAACTTCCAGGATTAAACCTGTGTAACAGCAAATCAAATATCCACTCGGTAAAAAAAAATTGTTCTTATTTGCTATTTTTCAACAAGTATTTTTTGCCTACTATATGCTGGGGACTGTGTCTGGGAGTGGGGATAGCTACAAAGAAGATGCTACAGAATCAGTCTGACAGGAAAAAAGATACCAAACTCATGATTTAATTCCAGTTCTAAAAGTACCCTGATTTAGGGGACAGAGATGAGCAGAGTGAGCTGCCAGCAAGTCCTTGCAAAGTAGGACACAAAAGCTTTGTTAGCACTTTGGGAGGCCGAAGTGGGAGGACTGGTTGAGGCCAGGAGTTTGATCGAGATCAGCCTGGGCAGCATAGCGAGACCCTGTCTCTAAAAAAGTTTTTAAAATTAGCCAGGCATGGTGGTATGCTCCTGTAGTCCTAGCTACTTGGGAGGCTGAGGCCGGAGGATCACTTGGCCCAGGAGTTCAAAGCTGTGATTGTGCCACTGCACTCCAGCCTGGGTGACACAGCAAGACCCAGCCTCTTTTAAAACATAAAAATAAAGGTCTCACAGCATGATGGGACAGTAGATGCAAATATGCCCAGCCAGGCAAAGCCTGTGTACTTGTTAGACCACTTAGTAGCTCACCATCTAGCCTTCGGTTCAAAGCCAGGACCTCAACATTTTTTCTCATACTTCTGCACTTGTTCGCTGCAAAGCTGACCTCATGGCCTGCCCCTATACCCTCATTTCAAACGGACCCTTCACAAATTAGAGCAGCTGAGGAAGAAAAAGCTTCGGTGAAAGCTTTTAAAAATCACAGGTCTCTAGCAATGGGAATGGCAAGGTTTCAAATGACAGTCCATTTATTTCCAAATCAATATTCAGGATAATATAATTCTGGTATAAAGAAAAATAAACTAAAATTTTTGACTATTAGCAATTAAAATATTTCTCAAGGCACATTAACTGTGTAATTCAGAAGGCACTTCTATCATATTGCTATGTAACAGTTTCAAGCTTTTCATATATTCCCTAGAGATAGAAACAAAAATACAAATTGTAGTGGCCAAAGTGTTATTTTTAAGCAAAATATCAGCAAAGTTGACTGAAACATTAGTTACTGAATATTAGCTAAACACATATTTGTTTCATGGAAAATATCTAAATATGATTCAAAGCTAAAATTCATTCTAAGCAAACATAATTGAGATTCCATATTGGAAGAGGCTCATGAGTGAGTAACACCAAGTCACAATACTCATTTCTTTAACTCAAAGAAAAGATCTGTGTAGCTTTAAATATCCTGCCAAAACTAGCAGGTGAAGGGATTCAAACCCCAAGAATTCCAGGAGGGTGGTCCAGCAGTCAACACCTATCAGAACTATATAAGGCCTAGGTTAAGAATGCCATTTCCTAAGCTCCACACCAGACTTACTGGAAGGCACCTGGAAATGAGAACCAGAAATCTCCTTGTGTAGCAAAGTCCTTAGCGGTTTTTATGTGCACTGGAGTCTGAGAAAGGAGTCCAGTGGCCCACTATGATGAGGTGACAGCCCTGTGCCCCACTCCCACGATGCAGTTTTCTACTGTAGCAATGCTTTCTCTCCTCACTGTGCGAATCAAGTTTTGACTATGCCTTTAAATTGTTTCCTTCTGAGCACCATCTGCTCAATCTCAAAGTATCACTCTAGCTACATTCTCAGAGTAGGAGATCATCCCTCAACTAATTGGGCCCAGTGAGCACACTGGCTTCATTCATGTAACACCATTCCTCTCCTACGCAGAAACAGAACTGAACAGGCACGTTATACACAGGTGGTAAAGTACTCCCACACGATCCACTCTGACAACCACTGATTCAATGCCGAAAGACTGGAGAGAACAACTCGCACGTGACTAATTGGCCTACCTTTGCTGCAACAATGCTAAGGCCCATTCCATTCTGCTTTTTTAGGGTCACAGTGATTATTTCAGGTTCTTTCCTCAGAGGCTGAGCCTAAAGGATGAAAACAAAGGTTTATTTTATGACTGAAATGGAAGTGCTTCTGTATGGTTAGACAACTCATGATCTAGTCAATCATGTTCACTGGAGCAAATGGGGAAAGAAAAAGGATGAGAAGATAAACAGTAAAAAAAATTTCAATTAATATAGATACTCTTCAGGTATTAATCTGGTAAACTAAATCGATATTCTTGACTCAAGTCTTAAAGATGAATTTAGTCACAAATGCTATTTAAATTGATTTGAAGAACTTAGTTTATGAAACAAAATTAAACTCCCATTACTATCAGGTAGAAAGCCTGATCGTAAGGAAAAAATTCAATTTTCACTTTATTACCTTTCAAAATAAATTACCAGTCTTTTTGTGTTTTCAAAGAAGAAATGTAAACTTATTTTACACTATCCACGGGGAGGACTGCAAAAAATGGTTATAACAAAGATGACCTAACGTCTTTGTCTCTTGCGAAAACCCAGCAGTCATTTTATTTTAAATCACAGCACCAGGGCCGCTGCAGGACTCATGCAGCAACACCCAGAGCACGCTGCTATTGAGTGAAGCCCGCCTGGCTGGGTAAGGAGCCTAAAACTGACAGACCGTAAGGCAAGACAGCTCCTGACAGACTCAAAGAATGAGAAAGCAAAATTACTCATTGAAGTTACGTATTCTATACATGTCACTCCTATACGCCAAAGAGTAAACAAAATTCAAGAAGAAAATTAACAGTGCATACACACTAAGGAGGAACTTAAGTAATTAAATATATAAGCAGGAAGGTACCTTGCCAAGAGGTGGTAATTATACATATGGCTTTTTAATTTAGAAGGATAATAACTAAAGCTTGTAAGAGACTATTTTAAGGAAAATAAAATTAGTTGACATTAGAATTATTATTTTTTTTTTTAAATCAAAACCTGAAATCTCCTGAGGAATCTTAGAATAAACTAAAAAGACGAGGAATGAGTGAATCTACCTAGAAGGTACTTGTTTTTCCACAAAATTGGGTAAACAGAAGTTGCTGCTGTTATTTGGGACTTAACAGACAGCAGTTAGTAAAGTCAATAAAAAGTATTAGGGGCCGGGCGAGGTGGCTCATGCCTGTAATCCCAGCACTTTGGGAGGCTGAGGTGGGCGAATCATTTGAGGTCAGGAGTTCGAGACCAGGCTGGCCAACATGGTGAATCCCCGTCTCTACTAAAAATTCAAAAAAATTAGCCAAGTGTGGTGGCGGGCACCTGTAATCCCAGCTACTGGGAGGCTGAGGCAGGAGAATCGCTTGAACCCAGGAGGCAGAGGTTGCAATAAGCCAAATCGCGCCACTGCATTTCAGCCTGGGCGACTGAGCGAGACTCTGTCTCAAAAAAAAAAAAAAAAAAAAAAGTATTAGGGTATGTTCACTTTGTCAGTAGTTCAATGTGATCATCTATTTGGTACAAAAGAACGATCATCAATTAATTCAATTTCTGGAGATGGCCATGATATGATGCTCAAACCTAAGGTATGCCAGGAAGCCAAATTAATTACTTTGAATATACAAAAATTCCTGTTTGTGTTTAAAACTGTCTATATGAGGCAAAGTAGAATTGTTCTTAACATGTATGAAACTGGGAAATTTTGGGATTTACCACTCTTTCAAAAAGATATAAAATATTACTAAATGGCTTGATATATATTTAAGACAAGGCAGAACTGACTATAAAAGAATGAAATATTTCTGCCAAAGAATTTTAAGAAAATATTTTAAGGTTATCATATTAATATGTTTTAAAATATGTATTAAGACTGGTACAACCATGGGTATAAGTGTTCTTTATTTTAAAAAGCACCACTGCTTACAGACAAAACTGTAATAGACATGGCTTGGGAGGAAAAAATACATATATATGAATTATGGCTTGAAAATTTCTGAATATCAGTATTTAACAGCGATTTTAAAACTCTGCCATCACACCAATCTTCAGTGTAAGAAAGAAACAAATCTGCATCACATCTTCAAGTCCTAAGGATCCATTTCACTTCATGGTACCCTCAAAATACTTGCCAGCTCTGTGTTCTCACGCAGAAGGTGACTTTCATAATCTGCACCTTCAAAATATATTGTCCAAGTACCTGGTGAACGTGTGTGAGGAATTAACCTGCAAAATCCTAAGGAGGAAACAAGCAAATTGTAAGTGAAAAAGCACATCTTGTCAAGATAAAGGAAGCAAGATTAATTACCAATTGCTTAATATCCAACACACGGTATTGATTCTTCTTACTCTACACCTTTAATCCCCTCTGCAAACTGAATTACCAGACATTTAAAATTATCCATTTGTTTTGGTCCAAGAGCATTTCAGCACCAAGCAGTAAAGTAAAATTGGCCTCCCACTCCTCTGTGTTCCAAAAGAACTTTTTTCTTACTCCTATAAGAAATTACCAAATAGCCTTGTCATTACTTCCTTGCAGAACCGTTTACTCCACTACACTAAGAGATCCTTAATAACATTCAGAATACCTACTTAGCAAAGGGAAAGAAAAGAGGGAAGGAGCCAGAAAACAATACGAGCATGGGGTGTCTGCCAGCACGTCAGACTCTCGGTTCAACTACTTACATTCAAATTACTGGGTAACTTGTATAACAATTCTAGGAGTCCTCCTCATTACTCTGTCCAAATTTACTTTTAAGGTCATACTAATTTAAATTTCTTACAAATAAAGTTCAGAATCATTTTATAATGTTTTCAAGAATATCTCTGATATTTTCATCAGGGACAAATGACATGCTTTGTAAAAGTAAGCCTTTCAATTCAAACTAGGTCATTCCTCATTTAGTCAAATCCTATTTTGTTTCTCAGCAATGTTTTTGACCAACTCCTATCTATCACACGGGCCCTGAACAATCCTCGGTACATTTTCTCTACTGCCATCTTCTTCCCACTATCAGCACCTAACATTCATCAAGAGCGTCCTGTGTGACAGACTCTGCGCAGCTTTTCACCACAGTCTCAAGTGGTCTAATGGCTTGGACTGGTGAGGAGTTTTCCCTGGCAGTAGCTGACAGTCTCACCCATTCCAGTGGTTCAACAAGGAGAAAATTCTGACCGTTATTTGTGGACAATTAGGTTATTTATGGTAGGCAAAAAAGGAGACGTCAAAAACATATTCAGTTAAAATAAGTATACAAAGTAATTTTACTTAGTTTTTTTTTTTATTTTTTAAATCACTATTTCAATTCAGATTCATGAAAATATAACCTACAACTTGCTTCTCTTTCTCATGTTTCAGGGAATCACTAATTTATCATGATTTTGAAATCTGAACAATTATAAATTATTTTATTTTTTTCAAGGGCCGCATTTCCATAACAAGCTCTGGACCATATTACAAATAGAGGTTTGGCTTTATTAGCTTACGGAATGCATCTCAGACAAGGAATGAGTCCAGGCTGGTCGTACAGTCTTTTCTCACAGAACTGTATTGTATGAAGGAAACAAAGGAATATATATTGACGGCACAAAGTAATTCTTTAATCAGCTTGTAAAGAATTGAGTGTGAAGCATTAAAAACACTGATGTCATGAAAGAAAACACTCGATTCTTTGTAAGTCTTCTAAAGGCATCTGTGTACTAAGCTACGTGTACAATGATCATCTAACACACATGAAGTAATGTGGTGATGCCTCGGCCACGGAAATATCACGTATGTCCTAACATTAATCATTTAAGAGAGCTTATGGGGAAGTCACAAAGAATACTCCATCATCAAGTCAAGAGCTCACTATTTCCAACTTGGTGAGGATCCGCCCTATGGCACATGTGACAAAACTGGCAGTTGCTTCTAACCTATAAACTATACGCATTTGCAAAATGCTAGTAGTCACCTTACATGCTTATTTGCAAGGTATTAATTATAAAAACAACAGTTACTGAGCACTGAACATACAGCAGGCCCATGTGAGGTGCTGAGGATCAGAGAAAGTGCAGCTGGTCAAGCCCAGGATCTCAGGGACCACCCTCACTAAGCGTGGAGGACAGACAGCGGCACGCGTTTGAAACACAATGTGACCAGTGCAAAAATAGAAGCAAGTAACTAAGAATCACTCCTGGGGAAGACATGTTAAGTGTGGGGAAGACATGTTAAGTAGGAAGACACTGAGGTTTTCCACATAAAAGGACGCCTGATTAGAATTAAGAAAATAAGTAAGTGTGTAAGTTCAACAGCAGGAGCAGGAGTAGAGTACCGACAACGGTAACAGCACAGATATTAATAATATACAGTTCAATATGAATGACATCTATAGTGTGCGTATTTCAAGGTGAAGAAGTAAGGCTGGAAGATGATGTCATGCTCAACAGTTTAAATTAATCCCACACATGACAGAGGAAGAGTTCCTGGCAGGAGAGCGCCATCCGCAAACCATGGTTTTAAGATACCATGGCAATATGAACAATAGAATACAATGAAAAAGTGGAGTGAGGAGACTGTCCGAGGACTAACGCTCTAAGTAACCCGTGTGTGGGGAAGAAGCCTGTGGGAAGGAAAGCTGGCTGTGCTTTCTGACTTGCTGAGATGCAGCACACTGGGAAGGATACTTCTCAGCAGTCCCGTGGTGGCCGAGTGCCTGCCGCTTGGAAGCTGTGCTGCTGCCTCTGGGTCCACCAGTGTGTGGCATGAGGCTTTTTCCAGGGAATGGCAGAGCACGGAACTAATGCTCTGGGGCTAGTTCAGGCCCACTCCATTTCTCAGACCTGCACTGAAACCCAGCCCTCCTCCTTCCCCAACCTCGTCACAGGTGCACCTCTACCAAGACTGAAGGCTCTCCCTGCCTACTCCTGCTCCTACCCCTCTTCCTTCACACACACTTTCCTAAAAGACCTCACCCCAGCCTCATCTCACCTTGGCCTCTCTCTGCGTCTCTGAGGATGGCACTGAGCCTTGAGCACCTTTTGGAAAGGCTCAGAGGTAACTGTTTTGCAAACACATTTCATTAAAGAAGCAGCCTTTGTAAAATGATTTTTTTAACTATCAGAAACTTTGAAGATATCTTGAAAGGTATAAAAACGTATTTATTGTGGGGAGTGAAACATTCACTGAAATTAAAAATCACACTCACCAGATTTATATACCTACGGGCATAAAACCTCTATCGTTATTACTTTTATGTGTTTAAACAAACCCCTACACTTTGAGTCTAACTTTCTACTCATCTGAGCTGTTTTCTACTTTATGAAAAAGTGGCAGACTGGGATTAAAATTTGGTCTAATACAAAACCTCATACATCAGAAATAACTGTGGTGTTTTTGATCAGTACAGATCACAAGAAAATGTAGTAAAAGTGACATAATAAAATCCAGGAAATCAGTTGTATTCGAACCTTTCAGGGCTATAAGCCCTTCACACAGAAAAGCACACAACATGCTGGAGTTTGGGTCTTGCCAGCACACAGGCGCAAGCCAGCTTGGCAGTGCTGGCCACAGCAGCAGCAGCACTCACACCCACTCGCTCTGTGCTAGAGTTCTGCATGCTCCACAGGAAACCATTCAGTCCTCCCAAGAATCTCTTAGCTGGGTACTATCAACATGCCCATTTCACTGAAAAGAAACTGAGGTGCCAAAGTCACCTGCCAATGGCAGCACAGCCTGTAGGTGACAGAGGTGGGTTTAGAATGCAGGCAGTCTGCTTCCAAAGCTTGTGTTGCTCTTAACTGCTATGCTGGTATCAACAAAGTTTACAATTTAGTGCTAAAGGAATGAATCAACCTACTACGCTCATAAAATACCAAGAAGGGAGAACAATAAACGGTTCCTTGTTATCAGCCCAGGCAGAAAATGTAACCATGACATCAAGTGCGCAGAGCAGATGCTCACTACAGGGTCACAAAACATGCCCAAGGGCTCTGTGTCTCGACACTTCTGACCTTACATCACCATGAAATATTTCTCCAAGTCAGTGGAACACGGACTTCTCCAGACAGCACGAGGGTGCACTCCCACACAAGTGGACTACCCTATGAGATGGACAATGAATAAAATGCTCGCTTCAACCTGGGGCGTAGCTCAGACTCAGGCATTTAGACTAATTTACCTCTCTGGCACAGAGGGTCTAAAAATTCTTGTAAACCATTTGGAATGTTTCTGACAACATCACAAGAATAACCATCTTCTGGCAAAAGAAACGGCAGCTGCAGATCAGGATCCTCCTCCAACTGCACTTCCCTTCCATCACTGCGGGCCAGCTCATCGGCAGTGTTTTCAGCCACAGTCACTACATTTTCTATAAGATCCTGTTTGGAAAACAAACGCAAAATTAAAAAGAGATGCTCACTGCCTGGTGCATGTGACCAACAACTATTCAAAGGCTGTCTGCTCACTGCAGCACAGCTTATCTCACAGACACACACACACACACAGACAGACGCAGGGTTACGGAGGGAGCACAGGTCCCAGGAGTACCCCCATCATCAGTTTTCTAAAGCCAGCAACTCTGGGCCGCACACATTTTATAGATGAACCAAGATTTTAATTACTAATTTTAAGTAACGTGTAGCTTTAAATAAAAAGAAATTGTTCAATCACAAGAAGTTTCTTTTCTAATCATTTTTTTCCTCACACAATTCTTTAATTTTCAGCTGTTAATAACTATATTTGTATAGAATGTTTAATGATATAGGGAAAAGCCCACACAATGTAAAATATAAAAGACCGGAATCAAATATCTACCCAGTATTTTTGCCAGTTTGGAAATATATCAATATATAGAGGTTATTTCTAAATTATTGGTTTATGGGTGATTTTTATTTAGACACGTTTTATTGATGTATTACCCACATATAGGAAAGTTCATAAATCCTAACTGTACAGATCAAAAAGATGAACACACCAGCTCAACCACCAGGTTCACTTCTGTTCAAGAAAAGAGAACATCGCCACCTGAGTAGCCACCCCATTCCCTATCACTGTCCCCTCCTTCTCCTTCAAAAAGAATGACATGGTTTTCAGGCTTCTATCACCAGAGTGTGATTTTGACTGTTCCTAAAGTGTACACAGATAGAAGCATATTCTATGCACTTTGCACAGGGCTGCCTTTTTTCACATTATGTCATAATGTTCATCCCAGTTGTTGTAACTGTAATTCATTCTTTCTCACATATTTCTTTAAATGACTATGACACGATTTATGTATATGCTGTGCTTTTGATTTGGTGATTTCCAGTTTCTGGCTGTTTTGTGCATGTCTTGTTAGCATAAACTCAATGCTGGTCAATCCATCCATCCACATACATAATTCTCATGACTCATATTTAAGTCTACAGTATTTCTCTTTATAAATAGCTAACAGTGGTAGATACTATTTCTCACCCTCTGTTTCTCCTACTGAGAGGCAGGCATACCAAAACTCCTGGCTCCATTCTGGATGAGAAGGGACAAGCCTCTCATTTCAGCTAGGCTGTAAGAGGGTGATCTGTGACAGAGGTACCCACCCTCTACACTCAGTTGTGGCTACGTACACTGGAACCCAACAGTCCTGGGCAGCCTCCTAACCTCCTCTCCTCTAGTCCTTCTGATGACTTCCCAAGAACCTAATTTCCTGAATAAAATCCCTTTCTACTTAGGAGTATAGTTTCTGTTTTTTCATTGAACTCTTGGACAGCAACACGAAAATGATCTTGTAAGATGAGAATAAATAAGTTAACGTATTAAATAGGATTTCCTTTTGTTTTTTCATCCAAATGTCCCCATGCAAACATGTCCCGCACTGTGTGGTAATGTGGCAACATCCACTCACCGTTGGGATAAAAGGCTCATCAGGTGCACAGTGATAGTTCTGTAATAAGGCTTGAAGTTGTAATGAATTTAACTTAAAGCAGGTGCTGTTTATATTTGGAATGTCATCAGGTGCATACTTATCCATGGTAAGCAAAGTCGTTGCCTATGTAAAAGAATAAAGGACATAAAATATCACACTTGTAAAGTTATTTCAAAAATATTATCCTTTATGTAATATTTATAAAAATATAACTTGCTAATTTAACTTTGAAATGCAGAATGATTTCAGGAAACAGACTTCCATTTACAGTAACTATATACATTAAATAGAACTAAAAGCATTATCTTGTAAAGGGCATCTTTTTAGATGCCCTCTTAATTTTATGACGTGCATGTATAATTAGATTTATGTTCGTAAAGCATTTTAAAAACTCTCTTCCAAAGCTAAACATTTACTTGACCATTCAGATGACCAATTACTGGTGTATGAATAGTTTCATCGTCCTGACTTTTCATAACCAGCTGTCTAGCCTCTATACTAAATCTCTTTTAAAAAAAGGTTTAAAAATGGAGAAAAAAATTATACGTAATACTAAAAAAAAAAGTCCTAGGTTTTTAAGCTGTAGATGACTCATTTCGTTAATTGCAAAACATCACCTCCTAGTTTTTCATATCTAAAAAATTTCCTCAGAGCTGGTTAAGCCACTGGGATATTATTTGGCTTTGTATTCTTGAGGGTTAATTATCATCCATTTTAAAACTGGTACTCATCTTTCACTGTAAAGTGTTCTGAAATCCATCTTACTGATCTCAATATAAAGAACCCTTTAAGGATATTTACAGTCCACTGGTTACCACTTATGAGTTAAACTGTGTCCCCTAAAAATTTGCAGGGCTAACCCTCAGTCCTCAAGAGTGTTATCTTTTTTCGAGACAGCATCTTTCCAGGGAATCATCAAGTTAAAACAAGATCAGCTGGTCCAATGTCGGCTGTCCTTATAGAAAGCAGTCTTTCGGACACAGACAGGCAAACAAGGAGAATGCCGTACGAAGACAAAGGCAGGGACTGGGATGATGCATCTACAGGCCAAAGAATGCCAACTGCGTGCAAACCACCAGAAGCTAGGGGGAAGGCCTGAAACAGATCCTTTCCTCAGAGCCCCCAGAAGGAATCAACCCTGCTGACATCTTGATTTCAACTTCTGGCCTCCAGGGCTGTGGAGCAACTGTTAAGCCACTCAGTTTTTGACACAGGTTCAGTATTCCTTAACTGAAATGCTTGGGACCAGAAGTGTTTCAGATTTTGGAGTTTTTCCAATTTTGGAAGATTGACATATATGAGATATCTCTGGGGATGGGACCCAAGTCTAAATATGAAATTTGTTTCATATACACCTTATACACACAGACTGAAGGTAATTTCATACAATATTTGAAATAACTTTGTGCATGAAACAAAGTTTGTGTACATTAAATTATCAGAAAACAAACCATGTAAACAATCTGCAGTTGCTTGGTGTCACCACCATTTCTAACTCTGAATTTTTATTTATCTATAAGCAATCATTTTATTAGATTTATTCAGGCTTAAGTACTTAACAGTAACAATTATGGCATACAATTAATACAGTGAAAAAATAATCTGTACTTTGTAACCGCAGCCCAAGTACTCACATAGCACTACTTCATTATTTGTACATACGAAAAACCCCAAAAAGAGGGTATTGAGGTTTTGCTGCATTGAAGCTCTTGCTCATCATAAAGATCAGATGCCTTTATCATAAAGCACATGAGCTGGGGAGTGGCACCAGCAATCACCTGCACGATCCTGCTCAGATGACAGTCCGCAGCCAGTTCCAGCCCCTGCTTCTCAGCCCAGGCTTCAATATGGCCCAACTGCTGACGGATAATCGCACCCCAGTAATGGGAGCACAGCCCCGAATCTGGGTCGGTCACCAATCTATTGAACAGCCACATATTGATGAAGTGGAAGAGCTGAGAGAAGAGCTGGATGGTCAGGGCGGCATTGACTCTGCAGCGTCGTAGCAAGGACATGGCTCCTGTGAGCGTGTGCAGCACATCATCTGCCCAGACAGGGTGAGAGGACAAGAGGAGCAAAATGTCATCCAGGAAGAAGCCTTTGAATGTGCAGCAGATTTAGATAATGGTACCTATGGTAGTAAGTGCCGTTTAATTACTTTAAAAATATCAACTTCATTCCAAGAGGAAACAGTGACATGATCTTAAACTACATATAGTTATTAACTAATTACACTTAACATCATTAGTTTGGCCTTAAGAGACTTTTTAAAGAGTATGGCCAGCATGACACACCAAAATGAGAACTATCTGTAAACAAAACAAATAATCGTTAAAATTTATTAAAGATTGCCAAACCCAAAAGGACATCCCATTTATTTTAAAAACACCTCCACTTACCTACGCTAAGCATTAAAATGATGCTAAACGTGAAGGAAGCGGGATAGAGGGAGACAGTCAGAAAACATCCTAACCTATTTTTGGTCGTTGCAGACTGTTCTCTTCAGGGTCATCTAGAAAGGCTGGCATGTAATTATTAAGTTCTGATTGAAGACAGTGAACCAAGTATCTGAAAATACATAGACAATTTAAGTAATCTTAGCATGACAGACAGCTATTGTCAGACATGTTATCACATGGGAAACAATCTGGACTCTTAAAAAATATTTTCCATTAAAAAAAAAATGTGGAATCTTGAAACATAGCTCACTGAATTCAGTATAACTATATTAAGGATATAACTATAGGTAGTTAATACATTTTGCAAAAATGTATGCTTCTTTATATTCACCTTCAATCAAGGTAAATATAAATCTTAAAATTAGTTTGGAAAACTGAATAAGAAAACAAATGACTTAATTATTTAGAGTAGTGCCGCCTTCAAAAATGTGTTCCTTACTTAAATGCCATTTGAACCAAATGTGCTAAAACATCTTGAGCATCCAGTGTGATCCGACTAAGGTCTCGGTCTTGCTTAATGAAGTTGAGAAGTTCAGATGCATTTGCCATCCAGAAGGCAAGTGCCCCTGCAATATTCTTCTGTTTCTGTAGACAGAACACACTTCCATAAGCAACAGAGAATAAACAAAAGTAATAAAAATATAAAGGAATGCTCTTGAAAAGCTGCTGAAGATAGACCAGTACCTTCCCATTTCACCAAGGTATTTACCACAGATACCAGATATTTGCAAAATAATTTGGGTGCATACATAGCAATGGGAAGTAAATAACCACTGCAACTATTTCTTAGGATTCATGCACATAGACATATGGATTCAGTTAGCTACAATTTATAGATGGAATCAGCGGAGAAATGGAGATATCAAATAATATAACACCAAATTGTAGACCGTGCATTATCTGGTAGTCTGTGCAGTATACATACATGTATCCATGGTTACCCACAGCCACCCTGATACTTGTAGTCACTGGCTTGGACACCATGCAACTCAGTATCAAGTACTGATCTATCACATCCTCTCCCGACCACATGTGCAGGCCAGGCAACCTCAGATGAGATCCAAAGAATAGGAACCAAGGATAAATAATAAAGAGAAGAAACAGAACTTTTGTCATTTCATATCCACACTGAAGTGCATTAAGCAGAAATTATGAAATGCCGATAAAGGTTGCACAGTCAAAAAGGGTTTTAGTACTGCATGTCTCAGTTGCTGAATGAGTGTTATGAGCTGTTCAGTCCAGCTGTTGTATTACTTATTTGACATGGGAGCAGCATGAGAAACTTGGCTAAGCAACACAGCTAGGATCAGCTCCCAGCAGATGTCCTACCTGGTCAACCTGGTCTACTTCCTGGAGAAAAACAGACGAGGGGAAATCAAGCAGAACGAGAGAAAGAAACTTGTAAACAATCATGATAGTTTAAAAAAATCAAAACACTAATATGAAGGTACGACATGAAGGTACGACATTTAGTTATGTTATTCCCAAAATAACATTTTCATTTATGGTTCTGAAGCACCTTTAGAAGTATACGACCTAAAGGATTAGTTTTATGTTCTTACCACTGGCACAATAACTAACTGTATTTTTAGAGTTTATCAATAAATATGATGTTACCATAAACACACATGAACACACTGATCTCTTTAAAAGATTTACAATGGAAGGACTTGTGAACGAACATCTTTCAGTGATATGGTGTGCTTACTACTTACTTAAAAGGTACCTAATAAGGTGAAAGTCCATCCCTCTAGATTAATTAATAGGAATGGAAGAGACAGGAAAGACCAAGAAACAATCAAAATAAAAGCTGAGAAGATGAGAATTTAAAAGTGTATAAATAACTTACACCTATACTAAAGGGAGCAAATTCTTTGTTTTTTGAAAATAGAATTTAAATTATTCACTACCACAGTTCTTTTCCACTACTTTAAGATTCCCCCCACTGGATACTAACCCTAAATCTGAAGTTTAAAAGACTTGTTTGATAATGGTGATTTCACTGACTAGTTCACATCAATAAGGAAAAGGCTATCAAGGGTAGTTTTATGATAGGTGTCTCACAACTCGAAACAGGCTTAGTAAGTCCAAACATGATAGAAGACAGACAATGGCTTTGAATGACAACTGAAAAGGAAATCCATGTTTGTTTATAAAATAATGACATGAAAGTAACAAAACGGTATCCAAATAAAATGACTTTCTTTTTTACCTATTTCCTAACTTGGGTAAAAGAAGCATAACCCTATCAAACTCATGCTAATCACTCAAATATAAAAGAAACATTTCTTGAAAAATTCTGGCCTTTGAAAACAATTCTGAAGGAACTAAAAGATCTTAGTTTCCCTCAAATGATCCTGCCAGGAGAAAAGCAACCAATCTATCTATGTTATTAACATTATATAACTAGAGTTTTATTAAGTTAAATAACAACATTGACAAGTGATTCAGAAAAACTGAAAAAATCTGTACATTTACTTTTAAGAACTTTAAAGATTAAATCTTCAAATCATCTGTAGATGAAAAACTGCTATGAAAATTTTATCAACTGTAGATCGGGACAGAAAGTACGTAAAGGAGTCAAACCATTCTACCAACAAAATACCTTTATCTTCTGAAATTTTGAAAACAGGTTTATGACAGAATTTCATTTTAAGTGAGAAGTATGTTACAATGTCCATTACACCTACACATGTGCTATCAAAAAGCCCAATTACTACCAACGTCTAGGCTCATTACACAGGAGCAAGTGACTTTTGAGAACCATTTTTAAAAAGTCTAAGAAGGCGTTACCAGGGAACGGGGGAAGAGAAAAACCCCAGGAACTACTTGAGGGGTATCGCTCTGAGGTGATGGAGACGTTTTGGAACCGACAGGGGTGGTGGCTGCACAACACTGTGAATGCACCAAATGCGACTGAATTGTTCACTTCAAAATGGTTAATATTATATGAACTTCATCTCAACAAATTATTTACAGAAAAAATTCTACAAAAGCCCACAACAGTCTCAGCACTTTCTCACAACTATTACTACAAGTTAACTTCACTTATGCTGAAGTTTTACAGGGAAAACAAAATAGAAAAAAGCTTGCATTTCCTTTCAACTCTTTAAAGTTATACATTTTCCTACAATATTTACATAACTTTTATTTTAGAAAAAAATCTTGTAACCAAATGAGAAGCCTTAAAGAAGCTGAATTCACTGGCTTAGCAATTACAACCACAATCACTGGAGGAGCATGGCTGGCCGGCTGGAACGTACCTGGATGACACCCTCCATCATGCTCACCATCTTGTTGACGACTGCAATGACTTTATGTGTGCGCTCTGTAGGGCTGATGTCAGGTCTGTACTGGTTGGACAATACATACCGGCATGCCATATATAATACATATGTAGGGGACAACTTAAAGTGGACTGTAGAGCTATTAGTATAATTTATAATGGCAGACAAAAATGAATCTTCAGCTGTGGAAAGATTTCAAAAACAAAGAAAAAAGGAAAAAAGAATAAAAACGAATGTGAAAATCAGATGGAGTAAAATGGATCAAGAAATAATTCATTGACAATGAAATCTGAAATTACTCACAACTTTCCCTGAATTCAATGCTTGCAGGTAGTATCAGCTCAGGCCCAGAAGCATCCTGTGTTCTAAAAGAAGAAAGCTGACATCACTTAAAATAAGGTCACATGGCTAACAATATTACTGACAACCTGTGTAGATTTCTGCAACTACTTTTTAAATCTATATACTAATCTTTCCAACGTAAAATAATAAAATATCCCTTGTTTTCAGATGTAGCCTAATCAAATAATGCATTGGGAGTGATCTTATCACGACTCCTCTAAGAAGGTTAGTTCCTTGAAGTATATGCCGCCGCCATGACAGCAGATCTGACGTGATTCTGGATTATTAATGAACACTTCATGTCTAGTACAGGGATCGGTCTGTCTTGCATCTGCTACAGCTATGGCTCAGGTAACACTGAAAACAAAGTACTAAGTGACACAAAGAAAAACTAACCATGCCAAGCTTGAAACGGAGTTCTTATACTGAAAGGGAAAAGCTTCCTAAGACCTGGACTTTGTCTTTCTCTGCTGACACAGGGTTAGACAAGCTGACCACGGCAAGTCTCCTTCAGCCATTACTATCATCATTTTCCAATGCTTACAGTGACGCATGCCTTATAAAGAGATGTTC
Source organism: Homo sapiens (assembly GCF_000001405.40). NCBI lineage: Eukaryota > Metazoa > Chordata > Mammalia > Primates > Hominidae > Homo > Homo sapiens. The sequence continues at coordinate 167,910,550 of NC_000006.12, read as the reverse complement.
TACTCACTCACATTTCTTCTTACGGTCACATAAATTCCAGGTCCCTTCCACCATTTAGCCTGACACTACACAAATAAGGAACTGTCAAAAATTATAAATACAAAGAAACTATAATTTGGAACATTTATAAAAACTAGCATTGTGCTGATGTTTATCTATTTCCAGGTATTCAGATCAAATTAATTCAAAAGTTAGGTTCATTTCTATCTCTATAAAAATATTCTTCAAACAGTGTGTCATCACCCATTGGCAGGGCAGAAGGCTGTTTTGTGAAACTACTCTTTCAGTTGAATACACATTTGTATGTGTGTTCACCAGAGCACAATGTAAGATATAATCTTGTGTTATAACCACAGTTCAAAAGCATTTTGAAAGCCATTGCTAGGCACAGACTCTTTAAATGTGTAAGATAATAAATTACAAATCCAGTTTAGATTTCCTTATCTTTGTGGATTTATGCTTTTCTCAATGAATAATGCTCAGCTTATTCTTTCACTTAGCCATGTGATTAGAACTTCAAGCCATTTACTTATTACTCTAAGTTCGCTACCCACTGTATTTTATATACAATATTTACCAAAAACCAGCGAAACACATAGTCAAGTGATTAGCTTCCTTAACATTTCAATGTCTTTATCATTTTAGTTCAACTTTAACAGAGATAACCAGGAAGAATTCTCAAAAATGTCTCTGAAAAAATAAGAAAATTTAAATTGACAGTAAGAGCCAGGGAACATGTGTTTTGCCTTCCGCAAACTTAATGAAAAATGAAATTGTGGGGATATTAATGACTTAAACTGTGATGAACATCTCTACTGAGTTAAATATTGACTTAAACTGAGACTAATACTTACTCAAATAAATCTTATTTGGTGAAATGGAAAGTCAACACAGTTATCTTGATATTGGAATGAGAAATACTCATTAGTGACTTCAACAACAGTCATTTCAGCAGCAATGTGTCTGTTAATCTTAGACAACTGGTACTGTACGGCCAGAATTAAGTATTTGGAATTGCTGGTCCACTCATTAAATAAGTTAATATAGATAATAAAAAACTTTCCTTCAAAAATAAAAAGGAATAACTTATGATGATTACAGATTTATAATAGTTTACAGACTGGCTAACTAATTTTTTTTTCAACAGCAAACCATTCTCTTCCCTCCATCCTCACCTTCTCCATGCACCAAAAAATGAATAAAGAGAAATGAATATATTTATACAAAATAATAAAAATATAACCAAATATTTTACTAATAATAAATACAACCCAAATCTTCTTTTTATCAAATTATATGTTTCAGAGTTGATTATTTAGTTTATGATCTAATGATTTAACTCAACAATTAAGGAAAAGAAAAATGCCTCTATAAACAATGTAATTTAAATGATCAATTATTTTAACACATCTCCCTTACATTCCCATATTTACAGACAACTAAAATTGTAGCTAGGCAGTTATATATCTCATAAAGTGAACCTGAGTAAACTTTACCAATTATATTTTAACAAATCTGGTAAAAAAGTGTTTACATTGTCATTGATAAAAGAAAAAAAAATTTAGTGACAATTAAAAGTCGTCCCCTCCATTCAAAAGGGTTTTTTCCTTCACTAATATTAGCATTTTAAACACGTTTAAATTTTTCATGACTGCATCAGTTAAATTAAGTAGTGCTTATTATAACACTGCCCATGTGAAAAACAAAGAATGGAGCAGAAAGGCTCATCTGTTCTCATCATTGTAGTAATAGCAACAAAACAACATAGTTTATAATTAAAATAAAGCCTTTAATAACTCTGCAAACTAATCTTACCTTGTAAAATTAAATTATGTGTTTATGGTAAAAAATAATTCCTGACATACAATTAACCATATTACTATTTTGACACTATATTAATCACTAATTTTGCATATATTAAAAGCATTATCCTAATCAATCCACTCCCTCGTGCGAATTCATTTACTCAAATATTTATGAGCTAAGAACTATGATTCATACTTCTCAGTCACACCTTAGAAATACATAGAGGTATTCCTTACAATACCAATTTACCATTCTGAACATCCTACTCCATAATCCACCAACAAAAACAAGTACAAACACGGAAAGTAAACTATTTATTATCACATGTAATAAGATTCACATAGCCAATAAAAATCTTGCATTAGAACCAAAAATCCACAATAAAAATAAAGTTAAAACCTGGGATTCCCTTATGAGTCTACACATGTATAACTGGTGATGAATGATATTAAAATCCTGCAATATCCAGTGCCCTCTGCTGGAAGTTGGGAAACTGAAGAACTGTGTCTTCGTCACCTGCAACTGAACTGATAGGTGACCCTGGGCAAGTCGCCTGCCTCATCTAACTGCCTCACTGACTGGATCTTTGAAGGAAACACAATGGCCTCTTCAAAAATCTATCTGAAAAGCCCCAAAGGGGGAATGCTGCCAGTTTCACTGCTGATAATGAGAATGCCATAGAAGTCATGCAGTCTTTCTGTATTTCTGTCTGAGTTCCCGCAGAGCTCTGGGGTAGAGGTGTTCAGCACCAAATCATGCTGCTGGTTCCACTAGTCAGTATCTGTTATTTATCCACCATGTTTAATGCAAAGATATTACTCTGCAACATTTAAATAATTCTAGAGGTCACAAGGAAATAGGATTCTGATTAAGGTGACACGTTAAAAATCATAAGACAAGGAAATAACAAGACAGTTCTCTGCCCAGAGAAATCGGCAAGAACAATGTCAGAAAAAAAAAAAAATTCATCCTCCATCTATCTCCACAGGGAGACACATCACATTAGAGCACAAGACATAATATGGCATTTATAATTCTTAAAATCTGTTTCAAAATCATTTTTGATCTTACATATTTTTAAACAGATGAAGATTTCTTCTAGAAATGGGTGAAATGACCAGATTTTTCTAAATACAAAAATCATCAAATATTAAAATCCTATAAAAACTCCCTTTCTCTATGTTTTTACAAAGTAGCAAATTTTAAATGGCAACATTTTAATTCAATGTACTCTTATTTCAATCTGATAACACTGTGGCATATAAGTGAGGGATATAATTATTGGTAAAGCATTTCTTTCAATTCAATAACACAGAAAGGAAATGCCCTTAAAATATTATTGCTAACATTGTAAACATGTCAGCTGAACCTTTATAAATTCAACAATCTTTATCCCAACCCTTTTTTAGGAATACTTTCAGTACTTTCACCATTGAAAAATGATGTGTTTCCTACCTGCTTTCTTGCCTGCGATAATCTGGCTGCTGTTCTACTCTGATCATCGGCTTCACCATTCCCCGCTCGGCTGTGCTAGAGGCAGACGACACTCTGTCGCTGTCCAGCCTAGTGGTGCTCTACATGGAGAGAAAGCACAACGGGTTTAGAACCTCACACAGACCAACCAAGCTTGACACTCAGCGTTGCAAGCAGAGATCTGATACAGGGCTGCCAAGCAGGGCAGGCAAGAACACAGACCAGGAAATAACAAAGCAATGCTGGGGACACTATGTCCACGGGGAGTGCCCAAAGCACACTGGTATTAAAGCATAGGAAGACGCACAGCCACTTTCATTCTCAAAGAGCTAGGAGTTGCCTTTAAAACACAGGCAGGCAAAGCTGGTAACACACACATGATGATTTTTCTGAAAGTACATTAATAGTAATTCGATTCCAACAAGTTATTTTAAAATCAGGATAAGACATAAGAAAATATGTACAACATGAAGAGGCAGGGTCTTTTTAAAGTTTATTATTTCTCAGAACAGATTTAGAAATCCTACTCCTTATAGCTCAATACCTAATGAATTCAGTACAGAAACTGGCTTCTTTCTTGCCCTTAATCAACACCGGGGAAAACACATATTATATGGTAACCCAATCAGGTATATTTAAATACTTCTAAAAAGTATACAATTCTAACCATTTGTATGGAATTTGTAGGCAGACAAAAGGATGAGTTACCTACATTAAGAAAATCACCAGAAAAGAAAAAATTTTATACAATGAAATTCACTGTAGAAAAAATTTCATGTAAAATTTCTTATTACATCTGCTTACTACAGAAACTGGGCACAAGTAGTAAATAAAAAATCATGTTTCTCTTATCACCTAGCGATTATTACTGTACTGTACGTCTTTCCAGCTTTTCATATTTTCCATAAATGGGATTTACAATCTTCTTGATAAAAAAACACTTTTTCAGATGTTACAAACATCTTACAATATCACTTATTTTTATATTACAGACTTGTAATGGCTGTATAACATTTTGTTGTCTATTCATCATACTTCATTAAACCAATGCTTTATTACATCATTTAAAATGTTCATCAGTACAGAGTGACAAGACAATTATGCTTGTAAATATATTTATATACACACCCAATGAATCCTTCCATAAGAGTTTTTTGGTTTTTTTTCTTGGGACGGAGTCTCGCTCTGTCACCCAGGCTGGAGTGCAGTGGCGCGATCTCAGCTCACTGCAAGCTCCGCCTCCCAGGTTCACGCCATTCTCCTGCCTTAGCCTCCTGAGTAGGGGGCTACAGGCGCCCGCCACCACGCCCGGCTAATTTTTTGCATTTTTAGCAGAGACAGGGTTTCACCATGTTAGCCAGGATGGTCTCGATCTCCTGACTTCATGATCCACCCACCTCGGCCTCCCAAAGTGTTGGGATTATAGGCGTGAGCCACCACATCCGGCCCATAAGACAGATTTATAGAAACACAATTGCTGGTCAATGGATGGCAATACTATTTACACACTATTAAAAAATTGTTATAAATGACTAGTAATAGGGCAATGGATAAAGAAATTAGAGTATGTTTATATGCTTACATACTACAGAATGGTTTTCATTTGTTTTTAAGTGACTTTAAAGTACTAAAAAATGCTCACAGAGTAACAGCTGAAGAAAGCAAGAAAGGTGTGTGTGGAGACAAATATATCCAATTGTGTTAAAATGCATACATGAACATATAGACCCATACCAGAGTCCAGAAAAGGACCCCTCACAACATTACTATCAAAGGTCAACTATAAATTGTGGATGACGGATTTTCATTTTTACTTTTTTCCTCTATTTACCAAGTCTTCTTTGTGGACTACACATTTTTTTAAGAAACGAAAATTTTTATAAAGACAGTTTTCTTCGGCTCATTCAATTATTCATGAGATGGTTCCCAAGAGTCTTCTACACAGCAGGCATTTTTTAAGAAAAGTGCAATAGAAATACAGCAATGACGTATGAAACAGGAGCCCCACTTGCAGAGTTCACATTCTACAGCTGGTCAACAAACACAGCAGGTATTGGATGGTAATAAAGACCACATAAATAACTTACATCAGGTGCTGTGACAGTGACAGGATGCTCAGGGACAACCTCTTCAGGAATGTGGCTTTAAGCTGAGGTCTGAGACAAGAAGGGGCCAGAGTGTGAAAAGCAAAGACAAAAGCACAAACACTAGCACAAGAAAGGCCTTCCAATGGGAGGAAAGAGGCAGGCACGGGCACAGGATGGAAGCCTCGTGTGGCCTGAGTGAGCAACAGAGACACGCTGAGAGGAAGCAGGCTCAGGGCATAGGGGCTGAGCAAGTCAGGGTGAAGACTGATATATGGGTTGGGAAGCCACCAGGGGCTTCGAAAGCAGAACAGTAACTAGAATCTAATTTACATTTTTTAAATGTGAGGAGAATGATGAGCTGGGTAGAATGGAAGAGGCTGCTCTTGGGGCCGTGTGGTCCTCCTGCCATGTGATGGCTGCAGCCTAAGCCAGAGAGGCAGAGGAACGAACCCCTGCATGCAGAGGCTGAGAGAAGGAAGGGACCAACTGGGAACGGGGAAGAGGTTTCTATTGGAGCAACGCTGCAGATGGTAGTATTGTCTTCTAAGGTGGGGAAGGATCAGGGAAAGTTTGTTAAGAAAGAAAATCTAGTCTTCTTTTAGCTAGATTTAATTTGAAATATGTACAGGATATGCAAGTGGATATGTCAAGTAAACCTTTAGAGATATGAATCGGGGCTGGGTGCAGTGGCTTACACCTGTAATCCTAGCATTTTGGGAAGCCGAGGCAGGCAGACTGCCTGAGCTCAGGAGTTCAAGACCAGCCTGGGCAACATGGCGAAACACGATCTCTACTAAAAAATACAAAAATTAGCCAAGCATGGTGGCAGGTGCCTGTAATCTCCGCTACGCAGGAGGCAGAGGCAGGAGAATGACTTGAACCTGGGAGGCAGTGGTTGCAGTGAGCCGAGATCATGCCACTGCACTCCAAACTGGGAGAGAGAGCAGACTCTGTCTCAGGAAGAAAAAAAAAAAAGAGAGAGAGATATGCGTCTGGAGAGGTCAGAACCAAAGGTACACATTAGTGGATAATTAACATTAGATGGTATTTAAACTCAGGCAACAGGGTAAGCTCACCTAGGAAAGATGCAGGAAGAAAACAGATTGGTGCCCTACATCTGAAACCCTGGCCCTCCAAACTTTAGGAGTGAAGCATAAGAGGAAGAGGTACCAACAAATCAAACCAAGGAGAAACCACTACTAGGTGGTTTATAGGAGGGTAATATACCCTAGAAGCCAACAGAAGAAAGTGCATCAAGTACGTGGTTGTGGCCTGGCTAAAAACTCCTGCAACAAGTAAGACAGGACAAAATGCGTGCCAGATTTGGGACCTGGGAGGTCATCAGTCCCCCTGACAGACAGTCCCTGTGGAGGGAGGGGCAAGAATGAACAGGAGCAGAGGAAAGAACATAGAGTTTGGAAGTGGAGGGAGCAAGCATAGATGATTTTTTTTTCCCCAAGAAGCTGTGTAGCAAACAGGAGTAGAAAAATGGGGTCAAAACTGGAGGGGTATAAAGAGTTTTCTAAAAGAGAAGACACTGTAACGTGTTTTGATGCTGATGAGAACACTCCAGGATCATAGGAGTTTGTGGCACCATGGCATTCAATAAATCACACCTTGAGTAGTGCCTTCCTCCTGAATCTGGACTGGGCCTGTATTTGCTTCAACCAATGAAAGGTGGAGGAAACGGGGTTGTGTCAGTTCTGGGCCTAACATTCAAGAAGGCCTGGAAGCTCCGTGGTTCTTGTGAGGTCCCACAACACTACGACTTCTGGCTGCCCCAATGGGGCTAAAGGTCCCATGGAGAGAATGTGAGACAGCACAGAGAGAGGGTCAGTGGGCCCTGCACTCCAGCCACTGGCTACCAACTGATCTTCTAGGTGAAGGTGGTCACACCAGTCACCACCAGCAAGACCAGCAAACAAACTGCCCAGGTGAGCTCAAACCAGATTGCACAATGGTAAACAAATAAAATGGTTGCTGTTTAGCCACAAAGTTTTGGAGTGGTTTGTTATCCAGTAATAGAGAATGAAAATGAGAAAGGAAATGAACTGATTATTCCAGAGATAAGGGATCATTATGGAAGCAAAGTGTCTGAGAAGTTAACTGATGAATGGGATTTAGTACCTAAACTGAAGGGTTAATAAAAGGAGTGTATTAAGGGTACTCTGACTGAGCAAGGCTAACTACACAGGAGAAAGCCTAGCAAACATGAAGGCTCTGCTTCAACCTGGCCTTAGAGAAAAGAAAGATCTGGTAACTTTCTTTTATGTATCACTAACAAACAACACAGCAGATTAGGACAACCCACATTTGGGGCCACTGGGAAGTCTGTTTTTACAAAGATGTTTTATAAGTGCACCTATTACCAGTTTACTGGAGTCCCCCTTATCTGCAGTTTCTCTTTCTACAGTTCAGCTACCTGTGGTAAGCTGCAGTCCGAAAACAGGTGAGTACAATACAATAAGATATTTTGAGAGAGGAGACAGAGACCAAATTAACATACCTCTTATTTGAGTATATTGTTATAATATATATTGTTCCATTTTATCTTCAGTTATTGTTGTTAATGTCTTAGTGTGCTTATTTTATAAATTAAACTTTATCACAGGTACATATATACAGGAAAACAACATAGTATCCATAGGGCTCTGTACTATTTATGATTTCAGACATTGACTGGTGGTCTTGGAACACATCCCCCACAAATAAGGGGAACACATCCCCCACCACTACTGTATTCATCCATGGTGTCCTATAGCAAGCACACTTCTATCAGGTAATCCATAATTACCTACCTTGCTTGTCGGTAATGCTGTCCCACTATGAATATCTCCTCCCAAATCAAAAGTTGTCTCCTGAACAATTCTGATGGGATAAAACAAGAAACACACTGACTTAATAACATTCCAATGACAGGCATAGTCTCTTCTTAATACACAAGGAAGAACTAAAATACCAAATGTCAAAGATTTTTAAGAAATTGCTCTGTTTTCAGCACACGAACTTACAGAATTAAAAAACCACCTTATGAACTTTCTTTACTGGTATATACTCAATATTCCCAGTATCTTTTTTTTTTTTTTTTTTTTGAGATGAAGTCTCACTCTGTTGCCCAGGCTGGAGTACAGTAGCACAATTTCGGCTCACTGCAACCTCTGCCTCCTCAGTTCAAGTGATACTCCTGCCTCAGCCTCCCAAATAACTGGTATTACAGACAAGGGCCACCATGCCCGGCTAATTATTGTATTTTTTGTAGAGATGGGGTTTCACCATGTTGGCCAGGCTGGTCTCGAACTCCTGACCTCAGGTGATCCGCCCACCTCAGCCTCCCAAAGTGCTGGGGATTACAGGCATGAGCCACCACGCCCGGCCCGATCATATTTTTTTTTTTAACTATACAAGAAACGGAACATAAAAAACCAGGTTATTTCATTATGTAAGTCTATCCAGGCAGCAAATGGCATATAAATGAGGTGTACAAGGTTGAAGTGCCGGCGGCCCTATTTATGGACACAGGGAAAGTGACACATGAGGAACAGCGGTGAGCTTCTCTCCTATTTGAAAGTCAATCTGATTATTTTTGTAAAGCACATGAGTATCACTACTTAGGCTACAAATTAAAAAGTGGGACATTTTTGATAATGTTAGCATGCAAATCAAAAATTATCCTAGTTTAAACTGATTCTTCAAATATCTCAAAATATCAAAATTTCTAAATATGTCACTTTGAAAACCTAACTCATAAGCAAAATCTCATTATGAAGATTGAAGAGTCTAACAAGCTGGGACCGACTACATTCTTCAGCACAAATGAAGGGTGAATGCAACTCACTGGTCCCAGCTCATTGGAGAGTGCCCTCCCCACCTCCACAAAAAAAAGCCCTAAAAACACCTGGAAACCAACAAGGATGAATTAGTATTTAAATTTCCTGGATTTCTGCAAAACATAATTTAAAAAGAATGAAATGTCCCGTTATAATACTTGAAAAATATTAATATATGGTCTAATTTCAAAGCAGCATGGTAATGGGAAACTTTTATTTACACTCAACCAATAGAAAGAAACAAGGAAGTAATGTAAAAGTTGAAAACAACTTTTCAGATTAGAAGAGCAGGTACAAATTTCTCCTCTATCTCACCACTAAGAAAATAAAACCATTTTGTAATGCAAAATAATACCATGCTTTAAAATAGTAACTTTTGAAAGAGTAAAAGTTTTTACTAAAGGCCAAATAATTGTCAATTTTCTGCACACAACTTTCTGCAATATATTACCAATATTCTGAAATTAAATACTCATAATCTATCACCAAGATATTCACAAAAACATGGAAATGCCCTGCTGGCTCCCATCAGTTTGAGTGGGAGATTCAGTCCAGCTATCGGCTCTGACAACAGGAGTAACAATGACAGCAGGCCAGCTTCTCTGCCACCTACCAAAGCTGCACACAGCAGTGTCCACCCCTAACTTCCTCTTGTGGGTAGTATGTGAGTAGAATCAAAGCCTTCTTGATTCCACTTACAATTATCATCCTAGAACAACAAATTTCCACCATGCAAAATTCTTTAACTTTTCCCACCAAAGCTACCTCTTTCAAGTTTTAACATGGCTCATTTTTACTGCAGGCTGGATATGTGGACAAGACCAACCAAAGTGACTTTATAATATGACTTTGAAATTATCAAACTATGGCCTTTGACTGTAACAATCATGGGTCGCTCCTCCCAGCATTCAGAGAATAGTAGCTCATGCCCTGGGTACTTGATAATTGTAAACTAGATTAACAAATCAGTTAATGAGTCAGTGTATCACCGGGAGGCCCTAAAATTCCCAAACTATCAATATCAAACTTTGCCACTCGTTTATAACCATCAGTAGGATTTGAAGACACACTATGAAATCTGCATTGGAGGGTATGTGAGTTATCTAGCCAGAATCTGTCACAATCGTTTGACACTAGAGCAAAATTAATGTTCCTAAAAAAACAAGAGTCCTTTCTAATTTATGGATGGTATGTTCAGCCGCCAAGCAGCTTTTACCAGATTTGCCAGAAAAATACCTAACAATAGTAACAAAATTTCACAGCACATTCTCCTCATTGAAACCTAAGCCATGTTCTTCAATGATCTCTGCTGCTGGCCAGAAATATGGTAGGAAGAGACATCTGCAGGCTTCCAAAGCAGGATCCACATGGCAAAAATACAGTAGGAGATTGTCTCACACATATAAAAACATTACAAGCAAAACCGAAGGGCAGACTAGGTGTGGGACACAGGCTGCTACTAGAATTGTGTTTATACAGAGAACAGAGATGGACAGTAACACTAGGAGTAACACATGTCACAAGAAATATATTACAACTCAAGAATAAAGGGCATTTGTATATAAGGGCAATAACTACAGGTACTATTGAGAGACCACATGTAACACACAGCGGAAGAAACTGTTTCAGACAATACATAATCTCTTTGGACAAACCTCAGTGAGCCTAAAAAATAAACAGGGAGTCAGGATATACCAGATCAAGATTTTTGATGCTGAAGGGAAGAAACAGGGCTGAAGAAAAGCTGATGATTGAAATGAACATCTAAGCATGAAATCATGACTCGCTACTGAAGGGAAGAGCCCATGTAAAGCTAATGACAAGGGACAGGAAATAGGGACACGGCTGATCAATGAAAAACATCACCTTCAGAAAGAAACAGTTAAAAGCTGTGAAGAATGGAAGGATGGTGTTTAAATACACTAGTTTAAAGATGAAAGTGTTAGAAAGAAATGGATTTTCTTGGGAAGCAGGGAGGAAAAGCACATGCTGGTTTCCTTGGATGCCACAGGTATGGTCATTTGCTGACACTTGGGGTGCAAGGTGAGGTGAGCAGCTGGGGATGGATCTTAAACAGCTGTGAACTTTACAAATAAATATATGTGATAACCCACCAAGTATTCATCTTGGAGAAAGACATTAATTCTAAATAGTCATATGTGGCCCAATGTGTAAGGTCTGGGTGGCTAATCAAAGGCATGCCGTAGAACAAAACAATGGGAAAGGCCAAGCAGGGAAGACCACGCGGGTTCATGTCTGTGCTTCAGGAAGAAAGCCTACAATCTAGGGGAGTTTTCAGTTGTTTTAAGCAGCATGAAAAATAGACAATGAAGTGGCTTAACAGGATGTTTTAAAAAGTAAAACCAAAGGAGAAGTCATATTCCCTACCTACAAAAAAATTTTACTAGATAGTCATTAAGAAAGGCTTTCTGTTTTCCCTTACTAAGCCCACAATGCAAGTCTTCAGAAAAGCACTAGGTGGAGCTAAAATATTCTGAATTCCTTAAGAGATCTTAATGTGTTTCATTATCAGTCACAGAAAAGAATACTTCAAAAAATTTTATAATCTTAGTTACACTGAATAATTACAAAGAACACCATGTTTTTTTCACAAAAGAAAAGGTACTGTTTTAGTATACTGGCTAAAAAACAAAGTTTAAATATAAACAATTTAAAACCAGTGAGAAATTCCAATTTTAAGACAAAGTCAAGACCTTTCTTCTTTCCTCTAAAACCAACCCAAGTTAACAATAGGAACCAAAATCACAAACTTCACTTTGATATTTTTTTAAAAATTGAAACAAAAATAAAAAGCCAAGATATCTATGAATAATCTGAACTACTTTAAGTATAATCAAAACATTTTAAATCTTAGGGTTAATCTATTTACCCAGGTTTATGTCTTGGGCCCTTAACCATCAGGCCTCCATCCACAGATCTTTTTGCAAGAGCATGATCCTGACTGGGGTCCACAAACTTAAATACATGGGACGCCCCAAACTGCACTTTCATGCCACTCTGCAGCATGGTGGTTTCTGAGATGCGCTGGCCTTCCACGTAGGTTTCTGCGTCCATACTTCTGGGCGTCACAGTGACCACTCCATCCATGTTGGTAAGGTCACAGTGATGGGGCTGAATTCCTGGGCCAAACAACTGGAAACCGAAGGAAACCAAAGAAACTCCCATCATGAAGTTCACAGCATTTAAACACAGAATGTTAAAACCGTGAGTACCCCTTTTATGACAAATATAACCTAATAAGCTCTGGATTTTTAGTGCCTTTTAAAGTGGATTTCCCTCAATCGTATAAAAATAATTAAACTGTCAAAAAAAAGTCAAACCAATCAGACCTTTTATTTTTAGTACCCAGTGACTTAAGGCATACTGTAACTTTGCATTAAAAAGCATACAGTTGGCCAGGCGCGGTGGCTCACGCCTGTAATCCCAGCACTTTGGGAGGCCGAGATGGGCGGATCATGAGGTCAGGAGATCGAGACTATCCTGGCCAACATGGTGAAACTCCGTCTCTACGAAAAATACAAAAATTAGCAGGCGTGGTGGCGCGTGCCTGTAACCCCAGCTACTCAGGAGGCTGAGGCAGGAGAATTGCTTGAACCAGGGAGTTGGAGGTTACAGAGAGCCGAGATCGTGCCACAGCACTCCAGCCTGCTGACAGAGTAAGACTGTCTCAAAAAAAAAAAAAAAAAAAAAAAAAGGCATACAGTCATCTTAACCAATATTTGTTAGATGGTTAATGGACAAATCTAAACAGATCATTAGCATTAAAGATTCCTATTATTATTTTTAGTGTTGTGCTAAGAAAGAAGAAATGGTAGAATTGAAAATGATATTAACAATCTGAACCCATCATCTTACAAATTGAGAACTAAGTACAGAGCAAGGGTGATTCGCCTGAATTCAACTTCAAAGAAGTGACAAATTCTGACTTCATTTATTCAAATAATGTGTTAAGCTCTGTTTTAAGTACTTGAGAACCATATTAAGCTAAATTTAATTAGAATTTACCGAATGCCTAATGCTATGTGGTCAGACCTCCAGTGATAAGCACTTCTGCATAGGTTATATCCTGTAATCCTGAAATAGACCTATAAAAGTATCATCACCATCTTTTAGAGAAAAGGAAGCAGTTTCAGAGCAATGTCATCACCAGCCCAAATTTCTAGAGGTGGAACTTGAACATAAACTCACATTCTGCTGTTTCCACACTAAAGCAGAGAAAAGTGACCCAGAGTAGATAAATTATTTATATTTAAATACAAGTCGGTAATTATAATTCCTTCTTTCATTACCATGTGGCAGGCTCTGTACAATACGTTATGCCTCCTGGAATGTCAGAGTTGCAGCAGGAAGCTCAGACTACGTACCTGGATAGAGTTGTCATCCAACTTTTCTGTCCCAACTTCAGTAACACTTAACTGAAGGCGGTAAAGCTTTGGCTTATCTCTAGAGTCAGAACCATCTGTGAGAAGAGAAGGAAGACAGCTCTATTTGCAAAGTCTAATATTACTGTCATGTTATTTCCAACAAACAAAAGGTTATCTCAGGCACTACAGTTCTCATTTCTCAGGATTTCTTTTCAAAAAATTCTCCAAACTTATGTAACACAATTTAACAAACTGGATACAGAAAATTCAAAATAAGAAATAAACGTATCAGTTTCTGATTAACACAAAGTGCTAACACTAGCATTAATTCCACCACATTCTTATTACATTGAAAAAGGCTTCTCTACCGCACTGCCCTGGACGTTTGTTAATGATTCTGAGGAGCAACTGTAGTAGCAATATGAAGCTCATCAAAGACACACAGGCCTTCCCTTCGGACCAGATCTTTCCTGCAGTATTCTTGCTGCCCTTATGGCACACAACACAATACAGGTTGAGGGCACAGCTAAATCACTGACGGAGGTTTTTAAATGTGCAGTTCTCATAGCGCTCCCCAGACCTGGATGAAAATCCTTGGGGATGAGGCCTAAGCATGTGTCCTCTGAAAAATCACCCCAAGTAATTCTGCTGTCCATTACTGATCAAGAATTACTGTTAAAAGTGGTTAGCTCCCTGGAGTAGAACTGGAGTAAAAGGAAGACTGGGTTTTTTGGCTTTTTTTTTTTTGTCATTTTATACCTTTATGAACTGTTGGAATGTTTAATTTATATGAGCATGTGTTTCCATGACAGGGAAGGGGTGAGGAGGAGGAGGAAGCTGCTCTGCCGAAGCCCTCTAGTCCCAATACACCTAGACATGTTTTCTCACTCTTCACCTACTGTATCCCAGATGAGGACAATGTCACTTCATTACCTTAACTAAAAATGAGGTATTCTGATTTCAGAGTTGACATATGAGAAAATGTGCCTTCCAGAACCCATGAATGATGATGTAACTGCAGAGCTTAGCACCTGCACCATAGCCATGGCAGTCAGTCTAGTGTGGCAAGCACACCACCCACCAAAGCTTAGGAAAAGGCCAAACCAGTAAGAGTCGCCAAGATCTGCTTTATGAGTGCCTTATAACTTTCAAACCCGCTGATTCCATTACCTGTTAAAATCTCTAGTCACTGCAATTAGGAACGTAAGCTTTGAGAGTTTCACACGTTAAACAGTTTGGAGTATGAGCGTGCACAGAGTTTGAGACTGCTAAAATCTCTCAGCAGTGGTACCGCTAAACTCTCACAGACAAAAGACACCATAAAAATGCAAGTCCTGTTAGAACTGATGTTAATTTTAGGGTACACAAAGTTACATTCTAATGACAAAATTTTCTATTTCTGAAATACTTCAGAAATCTGTGACATCGAGTAAAGGTAAGATGAGACTGAAGTACCTGAGAGACACTAATGCCTAACACCCATTAAGAAATTGTTCATCATCTGTGCTGCTTCACATCGTGTTGAAACATTTATTTTCAACTCTAACTGCTCTAAAGTCCTGATCTGAACAAGACATCAAAATCATCTGGGGCTTTTCCTGGACATAGGTAGCTCCCTTCTAGACCTGCTGAGTCCAAATCCTCCAGTAATGTTTACTATTTTGTGTGTTTTAACCACCAAAGGCAGTTCTAATGAACCCCCCTAGTTAAGAAATGTGTCCCCCTTATCTACTCCCAGAGCACCCCATCTGTTACATTAATTGTACCACTAACCGTATCGTATGATGATTTCCATCTACTTATCTCCCTCATCTCTGAGCTCCCTGGTGGCTAGGTTTACAAAAAAAAAA
This sequence comes from Homo sapiens, assembly GCF_000001405.40. Lineage (NCBI taxonomy): Eukaryota > Metazoa > Chordata > Mammalia > Primates > Hominidae > Homo > Homo sapiens. The sequence continues at coordinate 167,895,122 of NC_000006.12, read as the reverse complement.
AAATTTTTACCCTGGCACTGATCACTCCACATACGGTCCATAGTTAGCAATCAATAAAGACTTGATGTGTCAGCAGTGAATACTTATATAAAAATAAAGAAAACTGAATGCAATATAGTCACAGAGAAATGACACAAATAAATTATAAAGAAAGCAAAAGCAGTAAATAAGTAATCATGTGTGAAACAAGAACATTTCAACGCAAAGTTAAAAACAGAACATGAAAAATGTGTTTAGAGATGAAAGAAAAATTCACATTCATATTCTTCCGAATTCTGAATGCTTCTGAAAGGTCTCTTATGAGACAATAAAGAGCTATCACACACCTTTCTACATCAACAGATTTCAAAACAGAGAAAGGGAGAGACAGAAGCTGCTTTCTCAGTCTCTCCCTTCTCCTCACCTCACCATGGTAATAGAAATTTGTCAACAGATAGAGAGATAAACATCCTTCCCAGGCTCTCTTATTACTTCACAGTAATAATAGGAAACCATAGTTAAAGCTGTTACAGATTTTGAAGAACCTAAATGGTGGCCACAGGATTCAGTGGATAAAGGGATGTTTGGTTTGAGCTGGGGAGGAAAGGGAGAGTGCAGTAGTCCATTCCCTCTCCAAATTAGAAGGACAGTTATCTCACAGGGAGTAACATATAAAACCGTTGCCAAAAACAAAAATCCCAAATTTTCTCCCCTTCCTCAACAAGTATTCTACAAATAGTCAATTTCTGCCCAAAGTGCCTGAGTCTCTTTCTTCCCCGTAGATAATGACAATAAATCTGGAGCACCTTGAAGAGCAGAGACAAATCTAAGTAACCCCACAACAGACAGTAACGGCACTGCTACCAGAAAGTTTTCCTATTCTACAGATGAAGGGAGGCAGACTGGCTGAGCACCGCCCAACGAGTGCTTTGAAACAGCACTCTGTCTTTACTCCCCAGCATCCCTCCACAGCCACTGCTGCTTTTGCCTTCAGTTCCTTCCCAGGGTGAACCTGGGAAAATAAAGACACAAAACAAGCTTCCAGTAAATGAAATGAGTTCTAGATATGGAAACTTACTAGGTACAAATAAAATGACAGTACATTAAATTTCTTAAAATAGGTTATTTATATCAACTAAAAAACTGATACATAAGATATTTGGTCATTCAACACTATTCTGCCCATGAGGTTCTATTAGTGCTTTAGTTATAAAAGTAGTAGTAAGCATAGCATTACCTTCGTAAGTGTGATAGTTGTAGTAGGCAAAGTGATTCCTTCTCCCTGGGGTTAAGACACATGCCAGGACCCAGGTGAAGGCAGCATCAGCAGGAGAGAGACCATGCAGAACACGCGGAATAGGGAAGGAGGAGAAGAGACGCAGAGGGTGAACTTCAGTGAGACACGTTTCAAAGGAAGAAAAGGTACACTTCACCCATCAGCTTTTGTGAGGACAAGACTATACTAGTGCCCCAGTCAGTGTTTTAGAAACCAATGCAGACTGTTAAGGGAAACCACAGGACAACAGGTGAGTCACCAAGCAGCAGGACAGCAACAGTGAGTTAATCATACAGAGGGCTACCACCCCACTGGGCTGATTTCTTCTGTTTAAAGAACACATTCAAATCCAAAGCAAAGAACGAAATAATGTATTTCTCCCCATTTCTCCAAAAGACAATGCTGAGCTCATGACCACATCTCAAAAAAACTCCTAACCACACCCAGCAGAACCTCAGCATTGAGTATATAATGCTTGGCTGACAATGTGCCCAGGGGAAATACAGTACTTATCCATTCATAACAAATCATTATGTATGAATATTATTTTCTCATAAATGGAAAATAGATCAATTTCATTCAGCATGCTGACTGTGAGCAATGCATAATAATGAAAACCTAAAACGACATCATGACTTAGTGAAAGAACATGGCTTTGGTGCAGGGAAGACCCTGGCCTTGCATTCAGGCCTGCCACCAACCCTTAGGTCACCCTTAAAATAGTGGCACCAGACCTGAACTTCAGACATTTGTGGAACAAGTTAAGCTATCCCACAGGCACAGGGCTCAGGAGAAGTCGGGACTAGAGGCAGAGTCACTTGTCACATGGCACTGTGATTCCCTCCCACTGTGTGAATTACCTGAAGGCGGGAAGGAACTTAATCCTTTTGTATCCATTGTTTTGCCTAAAGTAGAAGGGTCAGTGAATGCTGACTGAAGGCAGCAGAGTGCCATGAGGGATGCAGTGTATTAATAACCATGTAACAAATGCTGTTGCCAATATTTGGTGAAAAGTAGTACAGAACTGTGATCTACTCCACACCTACAAAAAAAAATTCTATGTATTTGATTACCTGAGAGACTATAAGTATGAAAGAAGCAGTCGAAATAACAATTCTCACTAGAAGAGAAATCCCCAAGGTGAAGGGGTTTAATCTGTTTTGGTGCTCTACCTCCAAGGCCCAGAACACGGTATGACACACAAGTATTCAATCAATATTTATCAAATGCATGCGTGAATGAATGAATCCTCATCCTGTCTCTGCTATCTACCAAAATAAACTGTCCATTACTCATCTGAAAATTATTCTGTCAGCTGCTATTTATTAATTTCTCTCAGAACTCAACACTCTTAGATCCTCAAAAATTTGGATTTGGAGAAAACAATCATTAGTTTCTAGAATTTAATATAAAATTTTAAAGGGCAGACCCAATACCCAAAAAAGAGCCTAAAAAATTTTAAGTTCAAAAACTAATGGCTGCTTCATAGTTGCCATTCATTACCTCAGACAACCAAACATCAATGCTCTCACACACATTATAGACACACAACAATACTGGGATGTGTTTCCAAACTACAGTGAGATAATAAAGCTTCAAGTAAACTTTCCACCCAGAGAACTGAGGTTAGCAACACCAATATATTCCTCACAAATAGCTAATCAATTGATTTTTTTAAAGTCCTGAAGCATAATTAGGTATAAAAGCTACTACCTAAAGCCACACTGCCACTAACTGTGGCATCAAAATGATACCATCACTTCCTGTATTTATATAACCTACGGTACCATGAGACTGCTGGACAACAAATATCGTATGTAATCATTAGTTAATTGCAATAACCTAGCTGTAAGAAACTAAACAAACCTTGCAAATAAAAATAAACTCTCAAAAATCAAAGAAGAAAAAATGTAATTCACATTCATGGAGCCATATATCATACACATAACTGGTTCAATTTTCTGCTAATTTGCTCTGTGATTACTACTCGGGCTTTCTTTTGATGCAGCTTGGGATGGGGGTGCACCACTCTGATCTTCACAGTATTGTATAATGCAGGTCACATAATAGCATTTAATAATGAAATAAGAAATGAAGTAATGTTAACTGAATGATAAATGTCATGTACAGCCATGCACAGCATACATATGTGCAAATATACACTCTACCTAGGAATGTGTGTGTAAAACATTTCCTTAAGAATGCCCACGTATTTCTCTACTCAATGGCTAACCTGAAACGACAGCTTTAGTGTATTAAGAGTTCTACAAAAAAAACACTTAGAGGACTCATGTGAAAATAAATGTAGTCTGTTACTTTAAAATCAAATAGCCTTCCTCTTACTAAGATGGGTTTCTTAGATATAAAATTTAAAGATATTCTTTTTAGACACTGTCCATGCATCAGAAACAACAGCCACACACACACACACACACACACACACACACACACACACACACCCACCCCTTTATGAAATCTGCCCTAGGTAAATACCAATTTGTCATTGTTGGTAGAGTAACTATTTTACTAAAGTTATCTTGGAAAAAAAAATTTTAGGGATTAAAATAATTTAAAATTGTCCATACACTAAATTTGGTTTCTGAATACTCATCTTTGTCCATGTGAACCATTTTTATGTAAACATATACATATTTTACAACCTTAAGTTTTAATAATTTAAGAGAAATAAATGTTATGAGAGTTACTTTTAAAAAAATAAATGGCTAAAAATGTTAAGTCAGCCAACAGAAGACTACTTGAAGATGCATTAGAAAGTACAAAGATTTGAAGCTAAAAATGCACATTAATAATGTGTGCTGGTGTGACCAGTTTTCTCACCTGGGCTTAACTCTACTAAATAGGGCAGCTTCTCCGGAGGAAGGGTGGAGCCATAGCCAGACCCGTCAGCTCTCTCCTTTCCCTTGGGTGTCTTGCCTTCCAAGTGTTTCTTGGTTTTCTTTGGGATGTGGTCTGGTGGCCTCCTCTTCAACTGAAAGACTAAAATCCCTAGAACAGCAGCATGGGAAATCATCAGGCAGACTCAGGTTGGTCAGGATGGCCCGCTGACTGGCAGTCAACTGTGCAAAACTTTCTCAAAAAGATGCATGTAATTTAGGAACATCTGCCAAGGAATCACTGTGTACAGCTTACCCAATTCATACTTTCACTCAACAGAGGAAATATTAGCCTCTTGGTGTGTTTGAAAAGCTCTAGCAAGCAATTTCCAAAGACTACTCTAAATTAACAGCTACCGAAAGACATCATAAGCTTGAAAAAAAAACACCAGGTTAAGAATAAATGCTTACATTAGTAAACAACTCTATGATCAGTAAATACATTCATACATATAAAAACCACATTCACACACAAATACACATATAAAAATGTACTTTTAGGGTGATAAGTACACTAAAATCTCAGAAATCACCACGAAAAAATTTATTCATGTAACCAAATACCGCCTGTTCCCGCAAAAGCCTATTGAAATAAAACAACAATTCTATTACTAACAAAATATATGTGTATATTTTTAGTTGACCTGATTTTTATTAAATTCAACTTAAAGAATTTAGGCAATTTGCCTTTAATAAAATTTTAACTTTACACTGTTTTTAAAAAATACTAAACAAGTGTTTTAAGGAGGATAGAAATTTGCTTGCTGAGAAAGATTTTTTTGGTGTTTTAAAACTACCAATCTACATTCCATATTGACACGATTAAATGGCAATACATTTTTATGTCGTTATTAATGCAAGGCCCTCTATGGAGTTAACAGTTAACTTATGATGTGAATTTGAAAGAAAACCGTATTTTCTTAAAAACACAGCTTTAAACTTAAGACTGCTTTGAAATAATAAGGGAAAATTGTTTCAGTAGTGCAAAGTGTGAATTCATTATTTGAAATGACTAAATCACTGGACAATCTATAGGGTTACAGAAGTCATTTTCTCTATCATAACAAATTTGTCCAAACATCACACAGTTAATCTAGTCAGCATGAAATGTGTTTTCTACTACTGGTAGATACCAATGATCTTTCGCTTCTTGCTGTAGTGCTAATATTGTGGTTTCTTAATGAGATGTGTGATTTACCTGCAGTATCACCATTTGTTCAGTGTCTAACACATGAGACTCAGATAAGCTGAGTGTGGTCTTAGGGACAACGGCAACACTCAGGAATCATCAAGCAAGTTAATGAAGGAGGCAGAAAGCTCTACAGCAAAAAGCCATCCACATGGAGAAACCCCATCTCTACTAAAAATACAAAATTAGCCGGGCATGGGGGCGGAGCCTGTAATCCCAGCTATTCGGGAGGCTGAGGCAGGAGAATCGCTTGAAACCGGGAGGTGGAGCTTGCAGTGAGCCAAGATTGCGCCACTGCACTCCAGCCTGGGCAACAAGAGTGAGACTGTCTCAACAACAACAACAACAAGGCCATCCAAAAACATTAACGTACACATCTCCTACATCATGTGATAAGGTGAACACCTGGTATATCACATAGGAATCTGGTGTAAGTAATCCTTTAATAAGGTTACTACCTTTGTCACTTGGCCATTCCCTGAAGATTTGTAAAGGACACTCATCATCATCAAGAATAATTTCTTTAGCACCCTTTTCATCAGAATGCTGGGCTCCAGGAGGAAGCATAACCTAAAAAAACAAAAATAATTAACTATGAATGTGCCAAAGTAACTAAGTTAACAAGTACTTAAAAGAACACATTTATTGCTTTTGAATGAATAAAATGTCACCGTAGAATTAAGCACTAGAAACAATTCTCACTCATCATCAAAATAATCATCAATAAAAGTGAAAGGTAACAGTCTATAATAAAAAGCTAAGCCAGCTGATTTGGCTGCTTTTAATCACCTGGTCCCTAAAAAGAGGTAGACTAAATATTTTTTTTTTTTACAACTTTTTATATGGAAAGGCAGTACGGCAGTACGTAATGGTTAACTTCTGTGTAATTTCTTCACTATTGCAAATTTCAATCTCTCTAGTCCTTAACCCACCTTTTCACATTCAAACAATTGTTTTTATAAAGTGGGCTCATACAATATGAGATATCTTAGGATAACCACCATACAACAAGCCAGAATAGTTTTCGTTTTCTTGAAATAATCTCTTTATGATTAAATTTTAATCAGACCATTTAAATATATTACAGGGCAAGTCATTCATTCAACAAATGCTTTTAACCACCTGTTTCAATATACTGTATTCATTGAACTCCTAATTCATAATGCTGTATTACTTTTTTATTACATTTTTACTAGAGCCAAACAATTTTTTTAATAATCTAAGAAAGCCCCCAAAACACTGTAATATGGAGGAGAGTGGGAGATGATGGTTGTCCAATATTCTTCTAGACTTTGGGCTAGTGCTCCATCTTCACTCTAACACACTGCTAACATGAACCAAAACAGGATTAGAGAGAATAAGAAAAGAAGGCCAAGTCACTGGCATGTGAACATTACTTCCAACCTGTAATTAATGTAATGATGTTATCTTAATAGACCTCACCACCCAAATGTATCCTCATGCTCACATACCAAATGGGTTAGACTCTTCTACAGAACCCTGTAATTTCTCTCTACACTGCTTCAATTACCTTAAAAAGACAAATAGACTGTAACACACCTTATCATAAATTAACCAATCTTTCTTCATAGTGTTTCATATTACATTCAGTATCTTGGCTTAGAACACATACTACTTCAGGATCTGACCTTCACTCATCTCTTTAGTCTCAATCTTTATCAAACATTTAGAGCCAAGTCACATGGAACCAGAATCCTCACACTCGGCGACATATAATATGCTTCCATGATCCCTCCTGCCCCAACTTTCATGTCTAATAACATCCACTCATCCTTCAGCTTAAGTACAACTTCTCTAGAAAGCATTCAATGATTTTCATTCTAATAGAAAAGCTCCCTGTTTTCTATTTCTTAGTCTTTCTGTCTCCCTTTATTATAAGCTCTAAGGGCAGCTTCTTCTTATCCCAGGATAATATCTAACAAGGAGAAAATTTATTAAATAATTAAATAGATAAAATAATGAATAAAGAATAAGAAAACAGCTACAATTTATAAAATGGCAACCTGGGCCAGGCACAGTGGCTCATGCCTGTAATCCTAGCACTTTGGGAGGCCAAGGCAGGTGGACTGCCTGAGCTCAGGAGTTCGACACCAGCCTGGGCAACATAGTGAAACCTTGTCTCTACTAAAAAATACAAAAAATTAGCCGGACATGGCAGCGTGCGCCTGTAGTCCCAGTTATTCGGGAGGCTGAGGCAGGAGAATGGCTTGAACCCAAGAGGCGGAAGTTGCAGTGAGCCGAGATCGTGCCATTGCACTCCAGCCTGGGTGACAGAGCGAGACTTCATCTCCAAAAGGAAAAAAAGAAAAAAAAAAAAAAAGGCAAGCTGAGAAGATAAAGAATTTCAAGGTAAAACAATAATTACCTCCTGATTTGTATTGCCTAATCTTGCAAAAGAAAACTGGTTAGGAAATAACAGAACAGAAAACCAAAACTAGAAGAAACACTCAATGGAAATTATCAAATGACTTCATAAGGGACTGTCAATAAAATCCCAAGATAGGCTTTTATAACTTTAAAACCCCGATTAAGGTGCTCTTTCACTTTCTCATTTTCATCAGTAAAAATCAGCCAAAAATTACTGAAAAGAAAAAGATGTTAAAAAGTTTATCAGATGCAATTTTATAGAACAGTTTATTATTAAATAGACTTATATACACTTATCAACATCAACATTCCCTTGGCAAATACTGGAGCAACACCAGGTATCAGATGCAACACCAGGCATTCTTTTTTTTTTTTTTTTTTTTTGATACAGTCTCGCTCTGTCACCCAGGCTGGAGTGCAGTGGTGCGATCTCAGCTCACTGCAACCTCCGCCTCCTGGGTTCAAGTGATTCTCCCACCTCAGCCTCCCGAGTAGCTGGGATTACAGGTGCCCACCACCATGCCCAATTAATTTTTGTATTTTTAGTAGAGACAGGGCTTCAAGTTCCTGCCCTCAGTGTTCACACCACAACAGCTGAGGGACACAGCTCAGAAAGCATCAGGCGTCTGTTCAGTAGTACAGACCCTATGTACACTGCTGTTTTACTAATAGTATTCTGACTTAGAAAACTTTGTACAGCAGTTACTAATCAATTCTAAGTATACGGACCACTTAAAAAACCCATCATATCCATGGACTTAATTATTCTATAGGTAAATTATCTCTCTTATATATACAATCATACTTGCTATATAGTTCTTGTGAATGGTAAGGGATTATCTTATAAGGCCCAGGATTGTAACAGAGCTCTCTTGCACTTCAAGTAACTGTCAGGGCAACACACCACAACACCCTCCAGCTCAGGTATTTTTCCTTCAGAGAGAATGTACAATTACCTTGACTGAACAACCTTACACCCTTACCCAATCAATGCCCCACAGAGTATGGCAGAACTCTAGTTCATGACACTGTTTATCTATGAATTCTCATTTAAAGTATAAATTTTAAAATTTCACTTCTGAGAAGACTTTTTTCCTTCAATTTTATTGATACTATTTCTCACTACTTCCTACTAAAGGCCAAAGAAATAAAAAGGTGCACCAAATTACCAAATACCCATGCTTATCTCTCTTCTCCCATCCCAATGAAATGAGCTTTGCTGTATTTCTTTCTGATTCTGAATAACACATGTTCACTGTAAAAAAATTCAAATACAGAAAAAGCACAAGGGAAAAAAAAAACTACTGTGAGATTACTATATTTTTGTGACCATACTTTCAATAATTATCTTTATGCATTTATTTTATAATGAGATTCAGATCTTAATCATATAACACATGTTAAAAGTCTTTTCCTCCCTCTTTCCCTCACTTAGTTTGTAAGCTAGTATCTTTTCTAGGCATTTAACTTTCTCTTTGCTCATGTAAACATATACACAGCATTGTGTTATCTGGTTTTGTTTATGATGACTGCTTTTACAAAGACAGGGTATTCGTAAATGTACAGGCATACCTTGTTGCTTTATTGTGCCTCACGGATATTGCTCTTTTAAGAAAAAACAAATGTAAGTTGAAGGTTTGCGGCAAGCCTGCGTTGAGCACGCCTACTGATGCCATTTTTCCAACAGCATTGCTCACTTTGTGTCTGTGTGTACATTGTGTTAATTCTCACAATACTTCAAACTTTTTCATTATTATTATTAAATCTGTCATGGTGATCTGTGATCTCTGATGTTACTAATGTTTTGGGGTGCCATGAACTGCACCCATATAAGATGGCAAGCTTAACTGATAAGTGTGTGTGTTCTGAATGTTCCACTCCCCATCTCTCTACCTCTCCTTGGCCCTCCCTATTCTATGAGACATAACATTGAAATTAGGCCAATTAATACCCTAAAATGACCTCTAAGTGAAAGGAAGAGCTGCACATCACTCACTTTCAATCAAAAGCTAAAAATTGATTAAACATAGTGAGAAAGGCATGTCGAAAGCCCAGACAGGCAGAAAGCTAGGCTTCTTGGTGCCAGTCAAGTTATGAATGCAAAGGAAAACTTCTTAAAGGAAATTAAAAGTGCTACTCCAATGAACATATGAATGGTGAGAAAGAGAAACAGCCTTATTGCTCATATGGAGAAAGTCTGAATGGTCTGGATAGATGACCAAATCAGCCACAATATTACAGCCAATTCTACTCTAGAGCAAGGCCCTAACTCTCTTCAATTCTATGAAGGCTGAGAGAGGTGAGAAGGATGCAGAAGAAAAGTCTGAAGCTAGCAGAGGTTGATTTGTGAGGTTTAAGAAATGAAGCCATCTCCATAAAACTGCAAGGTGAAGCAGCTAATGGAGAAGCTGCAGCAAGTTCTCCAGAAGATCTAGCTAAGACCACTGATGGTCACTACACTAAATAACAGATTTTCAATGAAGATGAAACAGCCTTCTATTGGAAAAAGCAGCCATCTAGGACTCTCTAGCTAGAGAGGAGAAGGCAAAGCCTGGCTTCGAAGCTTCAAAGAACAGGCTGATTCTTTTGTTAGGGGCGAATGAAGCTGGTGACTTTAAGTTGAGGCCAATGCTCACTTACCTTTCTGAAAATTCTGGAGCTTTTAAGAATTATACAAATCAACTCTGCCTGTGCTCTATAAATGAACAACAAATCCTAGATGTCAACACATCTATTTACAGCATGGCTTACTATTTTGAGCCCACTGTTGGGACCTACTGCTCAGAGGAAAGAAGAAAAAAAAATAAGAACCCTTTGAAAATATTACTGCTCACTGACAAGGCACCTAGTCACCCAGGCTCTGGTGGAGAGGTACAAGATTAACATTGTTTTCATGCTTACTAAAGCAACACCCACTCTGCAGCCCATGGAACAAGGAGTGATTTTGACTTTCAAGTCTTATTATTTAAGAAACACATTTAATGAGGCTATAGCTGCCATAGATAGTGATTCTCTGATAAATCTGGGGTGAAAACCTGGAAAGTATTCACCATTCTAGATGCCATTAGAATATTCATGATTCACGGGATAAGGAAAAATATCAATAGTGAAAGGAGTTTGGAAGAAACTGATTCAAACCCTATGGATGATTTGGAGCTGTTCAAGACTTTAGTGAAGGAAGTACATGAAGATGAGGTGAAAACAGGAAGAGAACTAAGATTATAAATGGGGTCTGAAGATGTGACTGAAATGCTGCAATCTCATGATAAAAGCTGAACAAACAAGGAGTTGCCTCTTGTGAATAAGCAAAGAAAGTAGTTTCTTATGGAATCAACTCCTGGTGAAGATGCTGTGAACACTGTTGAAATGAAAACAAAGGATTTCAAATATTATATAAACTTAGTTGATAAAGCAGTGGCAGGGGTTGGGAGGACTGACTTCAATTCCGAAAGACATTTTACTGTACATAAAATGTTATCTAACAGTATCATATGCTACAGAGAAATGTTTTGTGAAAGGAAGAGTCAATCAATGCAGCAAACTTCATTTGTTGTATTTTAGGGAGTTGCCACAGCCAACCTAACTCACCTTCAGCAACCACCACCCTGGTCAGTCAGTGGCTATCAACATCCACGCAAGCCCCTGCACCAGCAAAAAGATTATAACTTGCTGAAGGCTCAGATGACTGTTAGCATTTTTTAAGTAATAAAGCATTTTTATATTAAGGTAGGTCCATTTTTTCTTAAACACAATGCTACTGCACACTTTACTAAAAGCATAACTTTTATACGTATTGGGAAACCAAAACACTCCTGTGATTCACTATACTGCGATGCCAGATTTACCGTGACGGTCTCTGGCATCGAACCTGCAACATCTCTGAGGTGTGCCTGTATATACCTCCAGGTCAACTAGTAGAGATTTAACTGACGTTGCAGAGCAACACGTCACTGAGTGGTAGAAGCATTCCTTAGTGCTGGGCTTGTTGTCTGCTTTTTTATTGCTATGCACAGAATACTGCAAAAATAAATGCTCATAGAAATAGCCTCAGGAATTTACTGGCTATTTGTTTATTTTAGATGTCACAACTAGTATTTACCACCATATTTCTAAACAATGTGTCCTTATTGCTATTTACCTTCAGTCTTGGACATTATCTCCAATCTCAAGTGTGTGCCGTTCAGCACTACTGCAGAGGAATCTTCTGGACTTTCCTTCCCCATCATCCTTGGAATTCCCTTCTCTTGATAGATTCTATTCTTGAATTCTCCCTCTCTCTCTTTCTTGGCCTACTCCATCATTCTGCTGGACAATGTCCTCCAGCACTTTTTTGAGATAGGGCACATGGGAGGTAAATTTTTGCCTTGTATGTTTTGAAATGTCTTTATTCCATCCACGTAACACCTGGCTGACAGTCTGGATGGGGAATCATTTCACTCTGCATTTGAAAGTACACGGCATGCCAGATACCATAGTTACTGTTGAGAAGACTAGCACCAGCCTTACTCCCCAAACCTTTATATGCAACTTGAATCTTTTTCTTTTGAATCATTCTTTTCAATACTAGTTTTCTGCAGTTTCAAAATAATAAGCTTTGGTTTGGGTCTTTGTCAAAGCAATTATACCATTATTCAGTGGGCCTTTTCAACCTAGAAACTAAACTTCTTCAGTCCTGAGAGATTCTAGCAGTATTTCCTTGATAACTTCCGTCTCTCCATTTCCTTTGGTTTTCTTTTTTGTTTGTTTGTTTTTGAGACAGAGTCTCGCTCCATCGCCCAGGCTGGAATGCAATGGCGAGATCAAGGCTCACTGCAACCTCCCGGGTTCAAGTAATTGTCCTGCCTCAACCTCCCAAGTAGCTGGGATTACAGGTGTGCGCCACCATGCCCAGCTCATTTTTTTTTTTTTTTTGTAGTTTTAGTAGAGACAAGGTTTCGCAATGTTGACCAGCCTTGTCTCAAACCCCTGACCTCAAAGTGCTGGGATTACAGGAGTGAGCCACCATGCCTGGCTTCCTTTTGATCCCCCTTTAGTATATGTTAAATATTCTACACTAATAATCTAAATATCTTGTCTGTTTTACTTCTTTTTCTGTTTGATCTGTATTTAGGTAGATTTCCTTATTTTCTACCTATCTTATTAACATTTTCCCCCCTCTATCGCTTATTTACTTTATATATTTTTTATTTCTAAGAGTTCTTTCTCCGTCTGTTTCTTTTTCCAGCATTCTAGTCTTATTTCATGGATGCACTATTTTCTTTATCTCTGTAAGTCTTAGTGTTGTCAAACTTCCATCTGTTCTCTCCAGTTTCTCCCTTTTAGCTCCAGTTTTCTTAATGTTTCTGTTATCTGTCCCCGTTTTAAAGGTACTTTTTTCAAATGTCTGTTGAACCTTGGCTATCAACATTTGACAGCAAGTCCCATGAAAGCTGAATGTAAAGGCTATATATGTGGGCAAGGGTTACTGTTGCTAAGTCTCAGAGTGATGTTATTAGACCAGAATTTTCAAAGGTCCATTTTTATACAGATCTTTCTTTCAACAAGTGCCTTCTGAGAGGGATCCATAAATCTTCTAGCCATCAGTATTCTGGGTACAGTCTTTCACTTCATCCTCCTGTTTTCAGTGAAGACCCTTGTCACCTTGTGCTACTCCTGTTACCTCCAAATCCACGGACTCCATTCAATACCCACCCACCTCCCATCAGTTTTACTCTAGCCTTCAGCAGTTAGGGTAGGGAAGTGAATCCGGTGGAGTCTGCCACTTCTTACAGAAACTTTCAGCCCAATTTCTTCTTTTCAGCCCAACTTTCAACACTGCCTTAGAAAGTTCCAAAGCCTCTAATTCCTGAGTCTTCCTGGGGCTGGGATACACTTGCCTGCTTTGTCTTGATGTCCTCCCAGCAAGATTTCTCTGGTCTGGCAAGTCAGAGACCTCTCATTTACATCTGCAAAATTCCACAGACTAATCTCTTGTCATCTCATCTCTCATTCTCTTTGTTCTTGTGCATTTAAACAAATTTTTATTCCTTTATTGTCATTTTAATGTGAGAAAAACATGATTTCCCATCTACTGTCAGCTAAAGTTGAGCTGTATTCATAAGCTTCAAATCACTAGTTTTTCCAACTCAATGTAACTTCTTAGCTTCTCAGCAAAAACATAAAAGTTATAAAACTCAAACAACACACCCTTTTATTTAATTCTACCTGTAGCTAACAAGAGAGGCACAAGACCTCTACACTGAATACTATGAAACACTGCTGAGAGAATTTAAAGCACTAAGTAAATAAAGAGATACACTCTGCTCACAAATTGGAAGACTAAATATTATTAGGATGAGAAGTCTCTCAAAGTTGATCTACAGAGGCAATGCAAACCCAATCACAATCTCAGAAGGTTTTGGGTAGACACTGACAAACTGATCCTAAAATTTATAAAGAAACATAAACAACCTAGAATAAACAAAGCAATTTTTTAAAATCATGAACAAAATTGGCACATACTTTACATAATTTTAGACTTATAAATCTACAGTAATTAAGGCAGCTTGGTATTGGTAAAAAGATAGACATATGTATCAATGGAACAGAAAAGAGACCAGAATAAGAACCACAAGTATATGTGGTCAATTGATTTTGGGGTAATTTTCATTTTCTTTAATTTGCCTTTTAATATTTTTCTTATTTTATAATAGAAATATGTATTGCTTTTGTAATGGAAGGGAGACTGCTTTTTAAAAATATATATTTAGCACATGATTTGTAAATTATCAGATTCTAAATGATATGGTAGGCTGAAAATCTAGGTTTAATTTGATTTAAAGAAAATCTACCATTTAAATGTGAAGTAGAAAGAACTACTGATTTGATAAAGTTCCTTACCCGGGCGATGCAGTAATCCTTAGGGTTTTCTTTTTCCAGACCATACTTCTCTAAAGCTTCAGCCACAGCAAAGTCTGCAGGATCTGTAGTAGACAGCAGGATTGTCTTGTAGGGAATATTTGGTTTTAAACTATCTGCATAAATTCTCAATGTTCCACCTGAAAAAACATTTTGACATCTTTGAGTACAACTTACTTTATGCCAGTAACAGAGATAGCTAACATTTACAGTCACTTGAGAAAAAGGTACCTGCATTCTAGCTAAAATGAGTGTAAAGACAATCTGCCTAATAACTATTGTTTCATTTCCTGTTAGATAACATATAATAGCAGTAACTAGTTGATCTAGTGACACTTAGAAACCATGAACAATCCAGCATGACAAAGACCATTTTCATCTTCTCTCTTCAAGCTAAAGGAGTTTTTAAAAACAATGAATTGATTTCCGTATCTATAGTGAGGAAAGAAAAGGAAGGAACTCCAGAATTTCTCTATGGTGCTGCTCTTTATTCAATTGCTTTGCGATTTCCTTACCTATATATTATTATATACCTATTTCTCCCATTTTCCTACTTCCTGATCATCAATCTGAAAAAAACTAAAAACCCAGATAAAGTTAAATATTAACCCACTAAATAAATCCATTTTTAAAAAGTGAAGTAGGAACCAGGAGATCTCAAGTGCTCAAGGCCAAAGATTTTTCAAAAGAGATTTGCCAACAGAGCAGAGTTCTATTTTTACTTCCAGGCACTACAAACTACAATGTCCTTTATAGCTGTGAACTTATTTAGGAGAAAAAAAGAAAAC
Organism: Homo sapiens; assembly: GCF_000001405.40. Classification (NCBI taxonomy): domain Eukaryota; kingdom Metazoa; phylum Chordata; class Mammalia; order Primates; family Hominidae; genus Homo; species Homo sapiens. Next base: position 167,879,711 of record NC_000006.12, on the reverse strand, counting down.
CAACTACAGCAGAGCAATTTGGATATCCTGACATTTTCTTTTGTTTCTTTTTAATGGAAATCTACATGTATATGTCATAATATTGTCACTTTTGGTGTCATAACCTGCTTTCTACCTATGGTCCAAGATTAATATAACCTGAAATCTGAAGTCCAGATGGAAGGATACTGAGGGAAGAAATTAAGATAGGTTCCACAGTCCCATTATGACACTGTGACCCTAGGTATGCACTCTGGCTTCTTTAACTCTCAATTTTCTCACCTGTAATTTAAGAGAGCTAGATTAGAAAATCTGTGGGTTTCTTGAAGCAAATTCTTAATTTCCATGATTCTATTACTTTTTAATTCTAATGCAGTTATTTCAGTTACTGAATATTTCTCATACTCTCTTTTTCAACAAGTCTGGCATGAATTGCATTTTGATAGCTTAGCTCACAATAAAATCATGTTGGTCTTTTAAGAAACCAACTAGTCCACAGTAGTATTAGAATATGGACCTGCTAAGCCAGACCAGGGGAATCACAGGTTGCAGCACATCTTTACCATGTGCACACTCACACTGCCCAGGGGCTCTCCTGTTCCAATGCAGAGGAACAGCAATAAGCAGGTCAGATGATATTCCTGCCTCAACAGCTTACATCCTGTGGTTGGGAAGTAGGATGCAGAGGAAGAAGACTAACAAGAAAACAAATAAATACCTTTAAAATAGTGACACACATTGTGAAAAATATAAGGTTGTGAGAAAGAACATGACCGAGAGCATCCTAAGCTTGGGTGACTGGCCAAGAACTCTCTGAAGAATAAACATTTGAACTCAGACCTGAACAACCAGACAGAAGTGGCCATGTGAAAATCTAAAGGAAGGGCTTTGTCTCAGCAGGGGACCAGCAACTGCTAAGGCCCAGGGCTGGGCAAGTCTGGTTGGGTTCACTGGCCAGTACGGACAGAGCGAGGGGAAAAGGGGCAGATGAGGTCAGGAACCAACTGAGACCAGATCATACAGGACTTCCCAGACCATGATCACATCATGAGTTTGAATTATTCTAGTTAAAGTGAAAGCCACTGGAAGGGTTTAAGTTCTATGTGTATGAGAGAGAGAGAGAGACAGAGAGAGAGAGAGAGAGAGTGGGTGTGTGTGCGTGCGTGCATGCAAGAGTGCACATGTATGACTGTGTCTGCGTGCATATGTCTAAGGAGGTGGACAAAATGTCACTTGTGCTTTCCAAAGAAGATCCTGGCTTTTGGATGAAGATAGGGACATTAGCAACAGGAGTGGAGTCCATTTAAACTGTGTTTTCCATGACACCAGAAGGCACACTCCTTATTTAATTACACTCCACATCCAAATACAGACCTCAAGTAATTCACAAAAAAAAAGATGTACAATAGGATGAGCAAACAATTGGGTAGACTGCAGTAACATCTATATGATTTTGGTTAGTGCCCCGTTTTGAAGATGAAGAAACTGTGGCTCTTGGTTTGTACACAGTGGTTCCAACTGCACCCTGACCCCAGGTCCATGTTCTTCTGCACTTCACAGTGCCCCGCTACTCACAAGACTGCGCGCTAAAAAACCCAAGAGGAAGAATCAACTAAAACTTCTCTTACAATTCTGTTAATTTATCAGTGAAAAAAAAAAACCATAACAATAAATGGTAGTAGAGTATTTGTACCACAAATGAATTAACTGAGATATATAGGGCATTTTGGGGTCAATTACATTTTGAAGCCATCATGAAGCAAATATAACTGAGTGTCAAAAACACAAAGTTCAGGGGCAAAGCTTGTTATGAATTGTGATGCCTGATCAGCTGTGAGGTGAGTTTAACAAAAACAAATTAAGGAGGACATGCAGGTTCTGTCATCAGAACTTGAGAAACTAATCCTTGGGGTAAAAGAGAAAAAAATAACAGACACAGCTGTCACTCTCAGAGAAGTGGTGTTCACAGGTGCCCTTGTCTCCAGCCCACACTAAAGAATTAACCTGATAGCTAAGCTGATAGCTGCAGTAGGCTGTAAGGATATATTTTTTCAGAGGAAGTTATTTGTTAAAACTAACAAATAAAAACCTTGGACTTCATTAATACTTTTGGCTTCCTTAGTATTAACCATAAAGGGCCATTTTTTGTTATCAATATTTAGTTAAGAGTTTCCTCAGAGTCTACATATAGAAAAATGCTCCTTCTACCCCCAATCACCCCTTTAACAGACAAGCTGTACTTTGATGTTCTGCTATTTCTCCTCCTAATTCTTTGCAGCTTTTCCTGTTTGCTTTGATGACTCCTCTTAACAATCAATGGCTTTCCCTTAAGTTTCTGAATCATCTATACACTGTCTCCTAACACTGATCACTCCCAAACCCTAATCGCCATGTGCCACTGGAACAGTAGCCTAAAATATATCCCATATCCTACCAGCACTTTATGTGACAAACATAAACAAAACCTACCTTCCACCCCCAAACATTCTTTCATTCTACAGTCCATCAACATCTTTCCAATAAAAAGCAGAGGGGCCATCCTAAATGCCTCCCCTCCTCAGTAAAATCCAGTCTATTGCCAGTTCCTGATAATTCTACCTCTTAAATATTTCTTCAGACCCTTCTCTCTTTACAGTCCCACTGTCAATGACAGAGCTCAGAGGCCCCTTATTCCTTATATGGCCAAAGCAATACTTTTAATGGGCATGCCTGCTCCTAATCAGAATTCCCTCAAATCCATCTTCCACTCTGCTTCCACAGTCATCTCTCCAGATATAAAGCTTAGGCTACAATGAAAGCCTTCTAAACCCCTAGCTTAAAACTCTTCAACAGCTTATTAACAAAGCATATCAAATTTTTCCATCAAAATACCCCCAATGGCAGTGCAAAATACATGGGGGAATCTGGGGACATAAGCTAACTGACATACAAAAACTTCCTATTTTATCGTAAAAAAAAAAAATGTAAATGTTACATTCTAACCACATTAAAGCATATTTCATTCTAACAAATATTTTTTAAAGTTAGATATAAAAATTGATACTCTAAGCTAGCTATGTTTACCATGACTCACTACCTCTAGCCCATACCTGAGTATTCTTTAAGGGAACCATAGAATACATTCAGAAATTCATTTCAGTAATAATGTCAAACTCCTTCTTACAGCATACAAAGTGCCTTCAGGTCTGGTACGTGGTTAGCACATGTAGCCATTTCTTAGCATTCCTCTTGTCTTTTAAAAAATTTTTACTACTGTTCTTCTTTGTATTTTCTTTCAGACTCCTTGTTTTGTCTTTTTTGGTGCATAGATTTAGAAATTATTTCAAATTCTTGACAGAACAAGACAAAATATATATAAACAAAGAATCACTTGGGTCTCAAATGTAATCTATTAGAATATTTATGGAACCAAGAAGTCCCGTACTCTCTGAGATCTTTTTTGAATCACTGGCACTACAAGTCCTGTGAAATATGTTAATTACGACTCAGTTATAGGGTGCTAAGGGTCAAAATAAGCACTAACACTAGGGTGGGCCAACGTTCCCCCCAGACGGTGGCTGTCTGGACACTAGGCTGAAATATGCTCAGGAGAAATAGAGTCCTGAGCAGTGTCTGCGATGGATGCAGAAGCAAGTGACCATGCATTCAATGTGTTACATCTCATTTAGATCCCATCTCAAACAGAAGAATCATCTGAGGCAATCAGGAAAATTTAAACAATGACTAGTTATTTGATAGTATTAAGGAATTATTATCAATTATTTTATATATGATAATGATACTATGGTTATATTTTGTTTTGTTTTTAAGGAATCTTTATCCTTCAGGAAAATATACCAAAATATTTATAGTTGAAAGAATGAGAAGTTAGGGATTTGCTTCCCAATAATAGTTTGAGAATGGAGGCAATGTATTTTGGAGAACAGAAGAAACCTCAGTGATACGTACACGGGAGTTTATTGTATCTTTCTCTTTTTTTGTATATACTTGAAATTTTCTAGTTTTTTTTTTTTAAGAGCTGTATTGGGTAAAAGTATGAAACTAAACATATCCCTATGTGAACAGGACTCTTGTACATAGGGTAGGCTGATTTTGTACCAGAAGTATATGGTACACATTTGTTATGAAAAGGTTACACCACCCATTGCTTTAGTTAAAGCAAGTCTCACGCACGTACAGTGTAATTAAACAATGCTCTTTGTAACAGGTAGAACAGAGAAAAAATACCAAGTTGTACCTGAATCAGGCCGCCCATCTGAGCTCCGAAATTCCTGCATTCTCTTTTCCAATTTTTGCTGCCTCCGTCGTTTCATAACCACCTCAGGATTAGAAATGGTTCGAGTAAAGCTGGTTTCCGGCATGTCTTTGTAAACCTCAGCAGCCAGTCGAGAATTTTCACTGTAAGAAAAAAAAATACCAAAAATATTTTAAACACTGTTTTCTTATTAGAAATAGACACATTGCAACCGCACAAAAATCAAAATGGCAGGTGCTATTTGGCTACATCTGTACCTAAGAGGTCTGTTACGTACTATTTACCACATGCTAATTACTATATGATAAAGAATATAGTTTCTCTCAACACAAACTAATATACTGAACTAAGCAGACATCTATCATTAAAAGTTTACATTAATAGTGAGTTTATTCATGAATAATGCTAAAAGAAAAATATATTGATTATACATTTCAGTAACTTCCACCAGTGTTACCCTAAAACAGACCAATATTTTACCATGACCTTCCAACCACAAGAAAGAAATATAGGACTGAATACTTAATTTTGCAAAAATCTGTCTTAACATTACAGTAAATTTAGGCTGGGCATGATGGCTCATGCCTATAATCCCAACACTTTGGGAGGCTGATGTGGGTGGATAATCTGAGGTCGGGAGTTGGAGACCGGCCTGACCAACATGGAGAAACCCCGTCTCTACTAAAAATACAAAATTAGCCGAGCGTGGTGGCAAATGCCTGTAATCCCAGTTACTTGGGAGGCTGAGGCAGGAGAATCACTTGAACTCAGGAGGCGGAGGTTGCAGTGAGCCAAGATTGTGCCACTGCATTCCAGCCTGGGCAACAAGAGCAAAACTTCATCTCAAAAAAAAAAAAAAAAAAAAAATTATAGCAAATTTTGAAAAGCCCAAATTAATTGAATGGAATGATTTTTTTTAACACCTAAAAGATTTAAAAGCATTAACTTTCTTGAAGTTAAATTTTCAAAAAGAATTAATTGCTCCAACAGTTTCTGTGAAGAAGTCAAATGTACAGAATGATGAGCTGAAAACAATACTAGGTAACTGACATACTTAACTAAATTTTGGTAAACATACTTTAAAGACACAATTTTTCATCATAAAAAATAATTTAATTAAAAATAGTCAAGCTTTTAATCAAGTTGAACAACTCATTTTAAGTTAAATAATTTATCACCCCATAAACAAGATGATAAATAGAGCGAGTCATAAAGTAGAAGCTTTTGGTTTGTTTTGGTTTATTTTGAGACAGGGTCTCGCTATGTAGTCCAGTGGCACAGTCATTGCTCACTGCAACCTCTATTTCCCAGGATCAAGCAATCCTCCCACCTTAGCCTCCTGACTAGCTGAGGCTACAGGCATGAACCTAGCCTGTTTTAAACTCTCCTTTTCTTTGATTTTTGTTCATGTATGAGCAACGTATCTTTGTACATTTTTTTCTCTTGCATAACTGCATTTAATAGAGTCTTATTATGTAATACTAGACTCAAGTGATTACATAGGCATCACTGTCTAGTAGATTCATATCTAAACCCCCTTTTGATGCAACACAAAATAGGCTCAAATTCCACTTTAAAGTATACCTTATTCACTGACAAATGGTTAATATCCTCAATACATACAGGACACTTAGAATCAATTTTAAAATGGGAAAAAGCCTTGGACAGGCCACTCCAACAAAAGAATACAAATGGTTAATAAATATGTGGAAAGATGTTGCCTTATTAATAACAAATTCAATTTATGGAAGGTATTATATACTGTAGAGATAATATACTGTTCTGTGACACCTAAGAGTTGCAGGTGTAAGGAAAAGAGAAGTCTTCTGGGCTCCATGACAGTACGGGGCTGTCTGCCGATGGGTTCAGAACACATGAGAGTATCTGAACCCTGTCACCCAACCATTCTTCTAGAATGCACCCTAAGAAAATAATCAGATAAGTTCCCTAAGTCGTAGAACAAGGATATTCACTGGAACATTTATTTAAAAACAAAACAAAGAACCACTATGAACAATCTATAAGTACACCAAAAATGGACTAGTTACATAAATTATGGAAGAACTATATAATACTGTATAATCGTTTAAAAATGTTTTTGTGAAATATAAACATCTTAGTGGAAAAAATATCAAGTGAAAATCCAGTTGAAGAAACTGTGGTTACATTTCTGTTTAAAGCCTCTCCAGACAAGTATATGAAATAGAAACATTTATAGAGAAAAAACAAACTAGATTATGATTCTCTCTGGGTTCATGTGATGACAGGTGAGTTCTTTACGTTCTTCACCCTTTTTGGCAAATCTATATATTCTGACTTTCTAAAAAGAGTATACATTATTTGATTACGGAAAAGTAATGTATAGAATACCATGTAGTCAAGACCAAGGCAACAGCAAGCTGCCTAAGAACAGGCATATGATAACCAAATGCACTAACTAAAAAACCAAAAACTGCTGAGGGTGAAAACAGGAACTAGAAACTCCACATTAAGGGGAAAGTCTAGTTTCTCCCAGTGACTCTTTTTGTTATAGTAAAAATGCAATGATTTAACTTATTCCCTCAGCTCTGTGTCAGATCCTCAAACACTTAAAATAGGTAACCATCTACAATGGAACTGGTGTGACAAAATAAGAAATGGGAGGTGGAAGTGGAGGGAACTAGATGGTGATCTGAAGCTTAAAAGGGAAAACCTGCTTTTCACCTTGTCAGCCTCTGACTAGGCATTAAGTGTATCTGAGGTACATATGAGACAACTGCTGCCTCATGGCCAAAACCACAGAAATGAGGAAAAAACCCAGCTGAAGATGAAAAAGAAAAATAATAATGTTAACTAGAGTTTGCTTATTTAAGACTAGCAAGACTGTGGGTGCAGAGATTCTTCCCAAGCACAGCAAGACAGGCACTGCCAGCAATGAACCCTGCTTAGGTAAGACCCTCTATCCTCCCTCCACACAGAAGAGCTGGGAGTAGACCCAAACACATTTCCTGACTGATACTCATCCTTTCCATAATTTATCTGAAAATTTAACAATTTTGGTGCAACAAAAACATCTGATTTGGAGCACAAAGAAAGGGGAACATTTCCAAAACTGACTTACACATCCTCCCCTTGGAAAGGTCTATCATCTTTATCAGATGCCTGTCGCAATGCCTCTTTTTCTCTCTTCTTTTTTTCCTTCTTTTCTTTCTTTGAGAGAGTTCTCTTGAAGTTCTGGATAACCCCTTCTTTTTCCTGCTTTTCAGGTCCATTACTTTGAGCCTTCTGATGAAAGTAACATTATCACCATATTGACTACTATGCAGAATCACATAAAATTGCCTACGGCTTAGGTAACTTCATCTCACATGCTGCCGAACATGTGAACAAAGCTACTGAAACACAGGAAGGTCTGGAGTAATGAGAATGGTCTTTATCTTGATTCAGCTGGCAGTTACATGGGTGTATTTATCAAAATCAATTGAACTGCACACTCAAGATCTGTGCATCTCACCGAATCTATATTTTACCTCATTTAAAAACTAGCAAGCAAGCAAGCTAAGAAACAAAAATCAAAGCCAGTTAGAAAACTGGGGGAGAAATGATGAAATCTGATTTTCAGTAAATAAAACTCCAAGTAATTTACATAAAGTAACTTGAATAAAAGAAACCTAACAAAATTATAAAAACAAAGAGTGAATAATAGACAAATCGCCTATAGTAGTTTTTAACTTTAAAGGAATTGTTAAGAGTAGCCATAATAAATTGGCTTTTATGAAACTGTTGTAAGTATTATGTTTGTGCAAAAATCTCTAACTTCGTTTCCAGATCTGATTTATTTGCTTGCTTCTTCTTAATTTGTATTTTAACCTCGAACAATGGCCTGCTAGCAGATGACAGAGATGCATTATTTTTACAGATAACTTAATAAGAAAATAACTATGAAAAATAAGGAAAAGAATGGCTATTGTGATGGGAAAGAAAACTACCTTCTGCTTTATAAGTTATGGGAGAAAAGCATGTGAACACTGCCATTTGATTCATAGATACTTGGAGCACTGCACTGGTCTTAGGAGTTCCAATACATGTCAATGAGGGTCTGTGGTCCATAGCAAAATATACAGAATGAAAGAGCATCTGCTGAAATTGTGGAGCAGAAATGAAATAAAACATGTATAGCAAAACAATGGACATGCATTCTTAACTTTTTTTGTATTTGCTGCAAATATGACACATCACTAAGCACAGTAACAAATAAGGTCAATACATTTTGTACATCTCCATGACTCTTCAACATGGAACAGTGACATCACACAAAATAAAAAATTTCTGCTGCTAAAAGTGATTAACGACAGCCTTTTCCCAATCTGTTGGGGGGCGGGGCGGGGGGGAATGAAATGGAAGATTTTTCATAAAAATATTCTTAACCTTTGCATTTGCTATCACTTGTCCATAATGAATTCTTGTGTAAGATGCCACTTGATTTAGCACAAAATAAACATAGCAGCACAGAATTCCAGATATCCTACCACCTAGGAAGTTGTAGAATCACTCTATTCCATCATTCAAGAAAGTTTACTAATTCCTAACCCTGCACATAATGAAAACGTTTTAAATGACCAAAGTTGCATCTAAAAGTTCACAAATAGATATAAAAGCGTTATTTTCCCTTTTGATCCTTATTAGAACTATTCTGATTTTATATTTTGGAAAAAAAAAATAACTGCAGCTGATCACCTGATCATTAAATCTCACAGTAACGAGTTTACATAAATATTCTTTGAAAAGGTGAGAAACAATATCTGGAATTACTAGTTGAGATAAAGGATAAAGTAGAGAGAAAAAGGCTTCTTTTAAATTATTTTCTGGGAGGAGGGTAAAAGGGTTTATAAAGAGAAGCAAAAAAGAGAAGGAACTCCTGTAACAAAACATCAGTCTCCTGTTTATCAGTCAGACCTGGCCCTGGACCAAGACCGTCATAAAATACTGAGGGTTCCTACCTTAGGAGGAATGGCGTCATTCTCATTCTTAAGAACAAATCTGCCTTCCCGATCATCTTTGTTCCAATTCAGTTGTACAACTAGAGGTTTCTCATCTATATCCAATCTTCTTTCTTCTTCAAAACATGAAATGAAAAAAAGAATAAGCTATGGTTATTTCATAGAACTAGCTAATACAAGCATTCTGATATACATTTAATTTTATAGACAAAGCACCTACTTGCAGACTGAAATGTATTGTTCAAAATGTAAAATCATTTGTTTTAATTAATTCAACATTTTGTTGCTACTGTATGTTTATTACCACATATCCAGTGCCAGACACTGAACAGAGGCAATTCCCTCATTTAGATCTAACTGGGAAAATAAGAGAAATATACATGCAATAAGAAAAAAAGTATACATGGTTTTTGCTAAAAGCTTATTTCTGTAAATCAAATTATCTCATATGCAACTGGAAAATAAGGACATAATGTTAATACCACACAGAAGTTCCACTGATTCTATGAGATTGTTCTCATCACATTAATGTTATACCCCACACAAAGCGATGGCAGCAGCCCTCACCAGTCTTGGAAGTGATGACTGCACTATTCTTCCTGTCTCTGTGCATCTGATCCTTGTCTCCAAAATTTGCCCACTTCAACACTTACCTCTCCCTTCCACCATAAAGTTACCATCACTTTTCTTATGTAAAGTATTATGTTTGGTATATTACTTCTTTCATTAGCAAGCCTCCCAGGCACACTTATCAGGAACATGGTACTCCACGGAGGGTCTCCGTGAGAGCCTCACACAGCCTGACCACCTCACAGAGGCCTACGGTCGCTGGAAGCTGTGGAAAAAAGGCGGCACTGAAGGATGGACCTGCTCCTACTGGCCAAGACACCCATCCTAGGCTGGAGAACACTAAGGAAGCAGGAGCTGGCAACAGATTTGACGCTGCAAGCCCCACACACAACTCAGGCTACATTCCCCAGGAATTCTCCTTGTCGCTCGGAGAAATCCATTCACTCTGCTCAAACCTTCAACTGTTCTTTGAGCCAGTGCTACAAATTTAAACAGGTATTGAGTGACCTACCCAAATCTTTCTTTATCTTAAAGTCCCTACCTTTTAGTGTACAATTTGGCAGAATTTTAGTTTTTTTTTAGAAATGCCTCTTTCAGAAACATCTGTTACAGGAATGCTCTGTAACCTGAATATCAGTAACACAAGACCCAGCACTTTCAGAGTTGAGTAAGGAAAGTAAAATTCACCATAAAATAAAATCACTGACTCCCTATCCAAACATCACTCCCTGTCCAGCTCTGCCCACTGCCCAGCACCCCATCAGTCACATCACCTCACAGTCAGAATGCATATGACAGTGCCCTGTCACACAAACTGCAAACTGCTATACTTTGCAGAAAAGGACAAGACTGCACGATGCTGGCTGGACTCACACCTATAATACCAGCACTTTGGGAGGCCAAGGTGGATAGATCGATCGAGCTCAAGAGTTTGAGACCAGCCTGGGCAACATGGCAAGATCCGATTTCCACAGAAAAAAAAAAAAGAAGAAGAAGAAATTAGCCGGGTGTGGTGGTGTGTGCTTGCAGTCCCAGCTGCTTGGAGGGCTGAGGGGGGAGAATCACTTGAGTCCAAGAGGTTGAGGCCACAGTGAACTGTGACGGCACCACTGCACTCCACTCTGGGTGACAAAGTGAGACCCTGTCTCAAAAAAAAAAAAAAAAAAGATTGCACAATGCTGATGATAGTAAAAACTCCATCAAGCACAAACTCGGCCAATGATAAATGAGGATCAGACAGACCAATTAATAACTAAAGAGACAACTGATAAGGATGATGATAACATAGACTCCTTGCAAGAGAAAGATGTGATTTTCCAAGGACTGGAAGACGTTCTGAGAAATACTGGTTCAAGTCCTAAACTCAAAGTGCTCTTCATAATCACACCCCAACAGTCACACAGAAAGTCAAGAAAGACAACCCAAGATTAAGTCTTTGTTTTTTCAATTAGTCCATATTTGAAGCAATAAATGATAAATATGAGATACACTTTGTTTTTCTAACAAAGGTCTCCAAATGCTGTCAGCATTTACTATAAAATTTGATTCCAGATGAGGGTCTCACTATGTTGCCCAGGCTGATCTGAAACTCCTGATTTTAAGTAGCCCTCCAACCTCAGCCTCTTGAGTAGCTGTGACTATAGGTACATGCTACCACATTCAGCTTTGATCCCAGTTTTAAATGTGTTTTTCTAAGGGGCCTTTTACAGATACTATCTCTGGAAAACAGTACTTTGCTGTATTAGTAATAATATATTACAATAAAAACACTAGATGAGGCAGTACAAACGATCACTTTGGTTAGGTTATTCAACGAAAAGATGCCCAGAGACTATATGACCAGGTCAGCCCTTGAAGGAAAGGATAAGCACAGGTTGTTCCAGAAAACTGTCAGAAAGAGAGGCAGTAACAGCATGGTGACGGCACAAGGGTCTTACTACAGCCTCACGCAGGGGAAGAGAACTATTAATTTGAAAAAGCACTTTCAATGCTATGCCAAAAATTTAAATTTTAAATGAGCAATAGTTTACCACCACCCTCCCCATAAAAAATGACACCATAATGATGACAACAATGATGATATTGACAGTACTACTAATAGTGTTGACAAAGATTATCCAGGTAATTATATACAGGATATGCTACAAGGAGGCTGGTAAAAATAGGAGGCCATGAGACTAGCTAGAGAATTATCATGTAACCGGGCGCGGTGGCTCACGCCTGTAATCCCAGCACTTTGGGAGGCCGAGGCAGGTGGATCACAAGGTCAGGCGTTCAAGACCAGTCTGGCCAACACAGTGAAACCCTGTCTCTACTAAAAATACACAAAAAATTGGCCAGGTGTGGTGGCGGGCGCCTGTAATCCCAGCTACTCAGGAGGCTGAGGCAGGAGAATCGCGTGAACCCGGGAGGCGGAGGTTGCCGTGAGCCAAGATCATGCCGCTGCACTCCAGCCTGGGCGACAGAATGAGACTCTGTCTCAAAAAAAAAAAAAAAGAAAAGAAAAAAAAGAATTAGTCCGTAATAGAAACAATAGAAATGCTAGTTATCAAAATACAGAAATAAAAAATTTTGGATAATTATTTTATCAACTGAAAATATAAGAAGTTAAAACCACAGTAAAAATTAGGGATAGAACAGTAAGTCTGAATTCCTTCCATAAACCAAAATTACCAAATCGTTCTTGTTGCAAAATTTTTACTAGATGAAAATCCTTCAGAGTGCAACTTTTAGAGAACTACCATTAACAATTATGTATACATCATAAAAGTAAAGCAAGAAGAGGGCTGAGATATTCTAAAGCAAGTGTGAGTAGGCACTGAAGGTAAAGAGGGAACTGGGTCCTACTGTAATCTTTACGCATTTAAGATCTCTTCTGCCTTAGTGGTTTCATTCACGTTTTTAAAGTAGCATGATCCTTTTTTATGTTTCCTACTGAATTCACACAAAGACTTGGACTATATAAAAAGAATAGATGCAGAGCTTCCCTGGTGGCTGAAGGTTTGGGGCTGGGGCTTTAGCTCACTAGGGCTGCGGTATGCAAACGTGCTGAGGTGACCCCAGGGCACTGAGGAGCATTTAAATATTCAAGAGAAACAAGGTGCATGTGCCAGACACCAAAAGAACTGGTTCGGGTGGCTGCTGGACCACAGCAAACTGCACAGCGTCTCTTCTGTCGGCATCACATACATACAAAGCTGGGTTTTCCGTAACGCTGTAATAAACAAGCAGTACTCTCTGAAAATCAACATGGACAAGAAGTCAGGGCTCCCAGGGTCTGAGGAGCTCGGAAAGGCCCAAGAGGCACAACTGTCCCAGCAGACAGCAGCTGTGATTAAGAATAAAATGAAAGCTTCAGTTTTCCATCATTTTATGTGTACTATTTTTCAAACATCTACCTAACTGTTCACTGTTAAACACTTACTAAACCTGTCTGAATCTAACTACTTAATGAAACGGACTATTAGGTATTTCCTCTGGCCTAGCGGTGCCATTATTAAAAAATGACTGAGACGCTAAGGTTTCTGTAACCCAGAAAAGACTGAGAACCTGCATGCTAGGGCTTTCCTCATACCTGAGGCACTGGTGAAAAAAAACCAGCACTTTAAGCCCAAAGGTGTGGAAGGGTACCTGAGGGAGTGGGGAAGACACTATTTCCTTCTTCTTTAACCATCTTTTTGTTTTCACCCTTTTCTTTAAAAAATCAAATTCATCCAATTTTTAGACCTCAAACTCCAATCTTACATATTATTCAGACTTCACACTCGACAGTATTCAACTAACTGAACAGCACAGACTAAAAAGAAAAAAAAGGTGGAAGTGAGAGAGATTTTATTCTTCTTTGTAACCTATTTACAAAAATTCTAAGGTAAAGGAAAAACTCAGCTTCAGAAAAATCACCCAAAATTGAGAACACCCTCTATTGTTAAATTTAGTTTTGGCATTAATGATGAAGATGATAACCTTAAGAAAAAAAGTAAACAAACAACAACAACAAAAAATGGCCTGACTTACATACTACTGAGGGAAAAAGGATTTAGTCACACCTGAAAATCCCACATATTACAAACACTTTAGTCTATTTTCATATGTACAAAGAAAGCAGTATTTTTTGAGTAAAAAAAAAAAAAAGGTTCAAAAAAGATCTGTGGATGGAACTTAAAAGAGGTATTCAAATTAGGTTTGTGCTATACATAAATCCTTTATTTGCTGCACCAACTGTAATCTGTATTTTATTAAAACAGGTTACTCAACATTTCCAAAACACCAATGAAAAAATTTAAAAATTTCTACATTTCATTTTATTAATTTTTTTAGAGACAAAGTCTCACTGTGTCACCCAGGGTGGAGTGCAGTGGCACGATCCTAGCTCACTGAAGCCTCAAACTCCTGAGCTCAAGTGATCCTCCTGCCTCAGCCTCCCAAGTAGCTGGGACTACAGGCATGTGCCATCATGCCTAGCTAACTTTTTTTTTTTATTTTTTTGTGGAGACGGGTCTCACTATGTTGCCTCAAGCAATCTTCCCACCTCAGCCTCCCAAAGTGTCAGGATTACAGGCATAAGCCATGGCACTTACCTAAATTTCCACATTTCTTAATCAGTCTAATTTTAGTTGTCATTTGATATTGCTATATAAGATATTTTCAGAAATTTCTAATGTTAATACAAGCAGAAATTACTAAATACATAAGGAGGTTTCCTTAAGATACATACCCTAAATTATTCCCAAAGAATAATGAAAATGTATTGTTTCAGAAGGCAAAAATATTACAGCAAGATTGATGACTCATACCTATATAATATTTAACTGTGTTACAATTATTATAATCTCTACATAAGAGCCACATAAAACATTCTCAAAAAGCAGGTAGCATACTACACAATGTATGTGACACCCAGATATGTTGGATAAATGTAACGTTACTTATCTTTGGAGAAATAAGCATATGCAAAATTAATATATTCATTCTAACTTCCAACAGATATATGTGCCAGGGATTTATAAGAACACTTCCCAGACATAAAACAGTTTTCTCAGCCTGCCAGCTACTCTCCTACCCACCAAAAGAGAAGAAAGATGGAGACGAGCAGTAAACCTGACATGACCACAATGACCCTGGACAAGCTGTCTCTTCACAGGTCAGGTCATGCCTCTAGCAAACCCTTCCTGTATACACTGACCTCCGCTGACATGCACTTCATAGAGTGAATACTTGGGAGAGGACAGCATTCGCATATCAGGTCGAAATTTCTCCGCGAGCGTTTCGATTACATCTTGAGTGGTGGCAGTACTAGAGACCCGAATACATTTTGTTGCAAAGTTTCCAGCAGCTTTATCTTGAAAATAAAATCTCATCACTCCATGGAACTCCAAATCCTAAAAGAAAACAAAATGGTACATTTTTGGAAAACAACATTCTGAAAAGGATTCACTTTTTGTAATAATAAATGAGGAAGTCTGTTCACTTTTTTAAAAAATGCTTCATCATAAACATCTGAGACTAATGTAGAGAGATGGGTTTTTAGTCTTCAAGTTTCATTTCTGACTTTGAACAAGTTACTAACAATTTCTCTTTGCCTCACCTGTGTCACGTATGAAATAATGGCTGTCAAATAGATGATGTTATCAACAGCTAACATCTATTGGTCCTTGGCAAGTGGTAGGCACACCATGACACTCAATATTTATAAGAATGCAGCTCAACAGATACTATTATTTAACCCTATTTCAAGATCTAGTTGTCCAAACTCATAGAGTTGAGTTCGGTGCTCGAGCTGGTATGTGGCAGATCCAGAGTTAAGACCCAGATCCACCAGACTCCAAAGTCCGTGCCTGTACTGCCCGTGAGGTCCCTTTCCAGCTCCAAGGGTCAAAAGCCTAAATGAACAAGTTCCTTTTAAAAAGCAAGAGGGAAATGTTGGTCCCAACCATTAATGTGAATAAATGAAAACTCTTAATTTTTGAAGAATATATTATGTTGGTGCAAAATTGTGGGTTTTGCCATTATTTTCAATGGCAAAAAGCACAAGTACTTTTGCACCAACCTAATAGTTGTAACTAATTTTCTAAATGAACTACTTGCCCATAATCAATGAACGCATTTTAGATTTGTCTCAAAATCTTACCTCTAGAGAAAAAGCACATTGGTATTCCAGCCAAAGGTATCCCCTCCACAGGTATCATCTACTGCAATGTGGGCTGACACTCACAACTGTGGGATGTCCTTTCCCATTATTTCCTTGCACACAGAAAAAGCACAACTCCCAACAAAAATTCCAGAGAATATTTCTAACTCCTAGGTCACTTTTACTGTCTCAAGCAAGATTAAAGATTCAGTTGTTCAACTAAAGTCATCCTTGGTTCCACATCTGATCCATCAAAATACACCCAGAATCCAACCAAAGTCCTGTTCAAACTAAGTCACAACACATCATTCCTTGGCTTTACATTTTGCAATGGCTTTCATGTTCTCAAAAGTCAAACCATTTGGTCCTCAAAGCCCATCACACTGAATGAAGCCTTTCTTTAATTTTCCCCAATCCACTAGCCTCTTTTTGACTAATAAGTATGAACTAAGAAGTACTTATTTGAAGAAAAATAGGAGAAATGGGATACAGGTTGAGAATACTTTATTCAAAATGCTTGGAACCAGAACTATTTTGAATTTTGAGTATTTGCAGATTTTGGAATATTTGCATGATACACTTCAGCATGTCTGATCTGAGAATCTGAAATCTGAAATGCTGCAATATGCATTTCTCCTTTGAGTGTCATGTTGGCGCTCAAAACATTTCAGATTTTGGAGCATGTCATATTTCAGGTTTTCAAGTTAGAGACACTTAACCTGTATTAGAACAGGGTTAACAACCATACAAACTTATGAAAATCAAAACAAAAAAGTGAGACAGTAAGGCACATTTCTAGCCCTGAAACTTTATAGTGCTTGCTCAGGGTGTCTTGTTACCCACTATACCAAGAGAAAATACAAAATAAATGAGCATGTATGTTCAGAAACAACACTTACCCATAGATTCTGGAGTAAAGGAGGGCCATAGTTTTGGGTGCGAGACCTGAGAAAGCTTAAAGAGTTGGCAAAATGGGAGCTACATGAGTAGGAGTCCTGCTGTCTCTCAGAAATTCTATCAACAACCTCTTAGTCTGGTCTGGGTCAAGTAACAAACAAAGCAAACCTGACATCCTTTTAAACATGTCCATCTCTATGTTAGTCTGGCAACCCTAAAACCTTTATAACTGCCGGGCACGGTGGCCCATGCCTGTAATCCCAGCACTTCGGGAGGCCGAGGTGGGCGGATCACCTGAGATCAGGAGTTCGAGACCAGCCTGACCAAGATGGTGGAACCCTGTCTCTACAAAAATACAAAAATTAGCTGGGCGTGGTGGCAGGCACCTGTAATCTCAGCTACTCAGGAGGCTGAGGCAGGAGAACTGCTTGAACCCAGGAGGTGGAGGTTGCAGTCAGCCAAGATCGCGCCACTGCACTCCAGCCTGGGCGACAGAGCAAGACTTCATCTAAAAAAAAAAAAACCAAACCTTTATAACTAAAAATGCATGCGAAACATGCTCCTACACTATAAACCTGTGAGTCTTAGGTAATATTAATGACAGGCCACGCTCACCGCCTATGTGCCAGGTACTGTGCTGACCACGTCCTACGCACTGTCTCCCCAGCTTTCCTTCACCTTCGTTCTCCCCACATCTGCTGGCTGTACCTCTTGGAATCATTCAAGCATCTGCCGCTACCCCCTTCCACGGACTCCTAAAATGGCACTTTAGAAAACAAAAATTTCTATACAAATTTAGCTGTATAAATTTAAGATTTTATCATGGGAGCTGTATTTTTATTCCAGGATTCCAATACTTTCACACTACCACCCTGAAACCATCTTTATACTAAACCTAATAGTCTCTAAAATATTCATTGGCAAAACTACCCCCAGGCTTCTCCAAAGGCTCACCCTTATACAAGAAGTTAAAGCAAAAAAGCAATTAATCTCCATAGTACTCAATCATTTTGCTAACAAAATAGTTTTACATTAGTTGTGATCAGAATAAAACAGGCCAGATGTACCAAAGGATGACAAGAAATACAAAAGCACCAGTTTCCCTGAGAATTGCCAACAAATAATTCCAAATTACCAGATATTAAAGAACCAAAAGAAAAACAGAAGCATCATCTGTGGCTGGCAAGGGTGAGAGGGAATGCCCATTAACATCAGCAACACAAAGGAAAGAATCCAGAATGAGCTGATAAAGACAAACAGGGAAAAGAGGAGAATCCACTTAAAGTCACCTTCATGAAAATTCCTTACATATAAATTACTGCCCTTCACTGTAAAAAAGGAAACTGCAAACATAAAATCTTTATTACCAATGTGGCCCAGCTACTTACCTTACATAAAATGTTAAGAGATCAAAGAGAGAAAAAAAAGAAACCCAAGGGAGTAAGGAGATACTGGTGTCCTCATCAGGCAGTAGCATTCCTGTGTATAGAAAAGTAAGAGTATTCCTGGAAACAATGTTCCAGGTTCTACCAAGCCTAAATAAAGCCTATGAAAACTATGTTTTAGTATATTTCATTTGCACTACATGTTAATAAATATTAATTTAGTTTGACATCACACAAGAATGTATTAATACCTGTTCCCAGAATATTCCCTTAATAAACAGATTAACATTCTGCTCAATTATTTTGCCAATCATGTTTGGCTGTTGTGAATAATTCCACAGAATCTTATCAAAACTAGTCAAATGGATAAAATCAAGTTCCTAAACCTGAAAACTGGGTATGAAGGGAGGGGAGAGGAGGGGTGCAGAGGGTTGGGGAGAGGAGGGGAGGTCCAAAGAAGTACACTGACCACCAACACCTAGCTTGCCCAGCAGCAGGGCTGAGGTACAGCCAGCATTAACTGGCCCCAGACCTGCCTACATCACCATGCTCTGCTGGGAGTTTGACACTAATTATTTTTCTCTGATCTTACAACAGGTACAAGAAAAGTTCCAGAAGAAACAAATGAATGAATGGTTAAATGAGAGAAAGAAATTGTTGGTGACTTGAGACCATCACCTACCTAGACAGGCCTGGCATTCAAATACAAGTATTCTTCCTGCTCACGAGGGACTCCGAGGCAGCTCACGCCCCACACAGTGCCTAATCAACCTCATCCACCACGTCTAGACATCTGTCTGTCCTACAGTGCAGCAGAAACATCTGGGGGGCTGCAACAGGACATGAACAGGTTCACATTTCAACATGACAGCCACATCCTTGAGTGAGTTATTTAAAGTCTATGTGAACTCAAATCTCCACTTTATAAAATGAAAACAAGCTTGTTTTGAGGATTAAACAAAATATATAAAGCAACTCATGCTACCTCACACACAGGTAAGTGCTCAACAATGAGAAGTTTTCTTCTTTACAGTCTCTCCCACTAGAATATAGCTTTTCTGGGACAAGGAAACCTCTTTTATTCCCTATTCTAGGTCCTCCCTCAGGATCCAATACAATGCTCTGCATATAACAATAAAAACAAATATGAGTCAAGATGCCCAATAACAAGACCTAATTCTGCCAGCTGTGGTTGTCTGTTCTCAATTGATAAGAATGCTGGAAAGCAAAACTTAAATTTATAATAAACAGCCATAAAGTCTCAAGGGCAGAATTAATAGTCTAATATGTTGCAGCCAACCTAGTTATAATCTTACAAAGACAAAGGTTTCTAAAAAAAAAAAAAAAAAAAAAAAAAAAAGCATTGCTGTAGGTACTTAATACCTAAATGAAGAGCTTACTTGGAAGCAGCACGTTTTCAGAAAGAAGTTTCTATTTAGAATAGGTAAGATAATAACTGCCTATGATCACTTCATCAGTACAGTCAGCGTACAATGCTCATCTCAGTATGTCTCAATAATTTAATTCAAAGGGAAGGAAACCTTTCCTTAATGGTTATTTCTCCTGCCAGGAAAACAACTTTGTTTGGTAAACATTTACCTTGATACACACTTTTCCCTGAGAAATATTATCACCAATGATTACTGAAACAGAAAAACTGCTTTAGGTCAACTCCAAAACAAAATTCTTTTCATGCTTATCAAAAGAATACAATGATCCAAAACTAAAAAAAAAAAAACAACAATAACAAAACCAAGCTACATTGTGAAATTATTAGAGTCAATATAAGAAATAAAGAATTAAAGGTGGAGATTTTCTTTTAAATATCAGTATTTCATTAATAAAACTAACAATCAACTGGCTGTATTCTCCAAGCCAGCAGAAATTCACCAGGACAACCCTAAACCTCCTTTTGATAAAGCTAATCAGAATCATTCTTTCTAAAACTTAAATAGGTCAACCATGCACAATTTACTTTTCTTCTATGGTTAGCACTTAGACGAAACCCATGTCCTAGCCAGTAGCAAAACAACGCTAACTTCAAACAGATCACCAATTCCTACTCCCCATGGAGGAAACTGACGGACTGTCCACTTTGTTACACATGCACACAACCAATTTATTTCTTATGCTGGTGTCTACAAAATATGTGCAAAGGTTAAAAAAAATACAGCTGTGCCTTCAACACACACCAGTTGCTAGTACACAAAACAACCTGGCGGCAATAGCCATTTGACCTACTTAACATTAAGGTGTTAACAGCTTTAGGTAGAGGACAGAAGAAATATTTGAATATGGGCTTTTGAAATCTTTTCTATGAACACTATTTTTAAATCCTAATACTTCAAGAACACTATTTGAAATGAAATGTATTTCATTACCTAAAATTTTTACAAGACAAATAATATACCTGGAAGCATTTGAAAAAGAAAAAAAAAAAAAAAAAAACAAGAACGGCCATAAAATTTCTTCACCAGGCTAACATTCTTTCCACTGTATTCATTCCCAAGAAACCGTCTTCCTAGCCCTTTCCTCCCACTCCTCATTCCTATAAAGCTCCTAGAAACCCAGTTTTCTATTAGCACTAATTCCATTACCTTAGAATTTTCTGACCTTCCCGACCACAAAATAATTTTCTCTAAAAATTCAATCAATTTGCTTTGTCTTTAACCTTGGTTTCCTCATTTATAAAATGAGCACAGTAAAGTATGGACTTACACACAGGGCACTATTATTCTGTTGCCGGCAATGTAAACTGGCAAACAAGCAACTGAGAGCAACTTAGCAAACACAATCCAATTCTAGAAAAAGAATTTACACCTTCATGTGTACATGTGGTCTTTAAAATCAAATGACTTCGTTAAATTTTTGTCTGAAAATAAAGGCATAAGCTTAACACACAGCAATGCACAACTGTGTAATGTGAACCAACCACTGTACTAGAAGTACATCTTAATGCTTATTCACCAAATCTGAGAAAGACCAAGTTCACTGAAAGTGGGAAAAGGTCATCTTCCAAGCAAAGAACAAAATATTTCTGGACTTAAGAAAACTAACAAAACAGAGAGAAAGCACACGATTGCACAGATCTCCCTTTTTATGAACTCTAACAAAAATCCATCCAGTACCCAAACACCTAAATGTTATAAATAAAACAAAATTCTCTGCCAGAAAACACAGCCTGCTGTGAAAACCAACAAGCCAACATACTTTTTAAATTGCCCCAGTTATAACTGCCAACATTATCTACTTAACAATCATCTGCTCACAGCAGCTACACATTTGTAAGCCATAACCCTGCCAACTTTCAAAGCAAGTGAAATCAGTGCTCTGCTGCTGGACTTCACTGGAATTAGAAATCTACCCAAACTCTTAGTCAGCATTATGGAAAGGGGATCAAAAAGTGAAAGTTTTCCCCACAGTACTCTTAAAAATGTTTAACTCTTTTTAAATAACTACCCACACAGACATACACTGGAAATTTGAAAGATAATCAATTAAAAACATTTTAAACCCTCATGACAAAAAAGCAATTATCACATCTGTGATTAAAGATTATGTTTATAACTCAATCATAATCTTTAAATACTATATTCGTACACATGTACATAACACAGAACCCTAAAGCCAACTATCTAGTCTAGGGGTATAACTGATTTTGCCATGCACTGTTTGGACATCTAGTGAAGGCTATGAGTTGGTTCTCAAAGGACTACATTAAAACATAACTAAAATATCTGTAAAACCTAGAATGTAGTAATATAAGTGCTTCTTTATTAACATATTACATAAGATCTACAGTTGGTTCAGGTTCATACAGCTCGGATTTTGAAGTAATCAGTATAATAAACTCATGAGTGAAGAAAATGCTACATTATCATTAATAAGGATGTATTTATTGGAAATACAAATGTAATCCCCCTCTCATCCAAGTTCAAAGGCCCCATGAATGATACTCATAGACTTCAACTTAAGAACCCCCTGAAAAAAATCTAGTGACAGGGAACTATCTAGCCAGTAAAATTAAAATTCCCAAGTCATTTTCATGTTAGTTTACCAAGTAACATTTCTCCTGCTTGGCAAAAATCTGTTAAACAGTCTTTGAGTACAACTAATCAACTGGTTTCTACTTCATCTAATTATTTTAGATCCAGCCCTTAAACACAATAACGTGGTGAAAAACATTATTGAAGTCCTTGATATAGTCCAGATACATTATGACTAAGGCACTTCCCTGAACTACAAACCTGGTAACCCTCTCTCTCACTCTCTAATATCAACTATCCCCACCCCCATCCTATCTCTCGCTCTCTCTTTCACAGGAAATGACAACACTGTATTTAGTAAGCCATACTGGTTCCTACGAATGGAATTACACAGCTTTTAAGCCTCAAGATACTTTCCTCTTCCATCTTACCGTAATCATAGCAAACATTTCCATGAACAGTTCAGTTTTTTACAGTGTGAGTATAAATAACGAGGTTAACATTGCTTTTAAACTTTTTACTGTGTAGTAAACATCTTTCTTACAAAGTGATGCTTCAAAAATTATCCATTAAGATATATAAATATATGCCATCATATGTGACAACAAAACTATACAATTTTATAAATATGTACAAAAGCTCAAAAATAGTCCTTTTTATGCACCCAATTTCCCTCAAACATAAAACAGGCTTAATAAATATATTTGTCATATATATATGACACTAAAACACTCCTTTTTCACAAATTGAAAGTTTCTGTTTTAGCCTTGTCTGGTATTCAGCCTCAGATACCTCTTGTATAAAAATGGAGATAACAGTACCAACTTCTCCATGTTACGGTGGAGAATTAAATGAGACAGTATGCACAAAAGCACCTAGCACAGTGCAGTAGGAACTACATATTTCATCAGTATGTTACTTTCTTCAAATACATGGCTATCCAGTGACCTATAGTTCTTTCTATAAAAGAGTGAATTACCCAATTTCTAGCCAAATACTATAGTAAATTAGAGTAGGCCAAGACTTAACTACCAATTTAATAGTACCTAAGAGTATGTGCACATAAAGAATTATACTTCACTTTTCTAGTTCAAAGCCTTCCAACCATAATGTGTATAGTAGTTCCCCCTTATCTGTAGGGAACATGTTCCAAGACCCCCCACCCCACTGGACGTCTGCTATGGCAACTAGCACAAAGCTCTATATATACTACAGGTTTTTTTCTCCTATACATACAAAGCTATAATAAAGTTTATAAATTAAGCACAGTAAGAGATTAACAATAATAAACTAGAACAGTTATAACAATATGTCAGCATCACCCCTCTTGCATTTTGTGGCCCTTAAGTAAAATAAGCGCTACTTGAACACAAGTTCTGTGGCAGCGCAGCAGTCTATCTGATAAATGAGGCAGCTATATGTGACTAACAGGCATATACAGCATGGAGATGACAGACAAAGGGATGATTCACATCCCGGGTGGAACATAGCTGGACAGCCAGAGGTTTCATCACTATTTAAACTGTCATGCAATTCGAAACATATTAGTTGTTTATTTTTGGATTTTCCATTTCGTATGTTCTGACCACAGTTGATCCTGGCTAACTGTAACCTCAGAAAGTGAACCAGTGGATAGGTGGGACTACTGTACTATGACTTATCATTTCTCAGAAAAGTAATGATGCATCACAAGTGAACACAATTTGCTTAAAGCAGAATTTTACCCTAAAAGTGTTGTATTATCCACTACAATCCTGAGGTTTAAATAATACAGGCCCTTGTCTAAACATTCAGGTCACTATTTGGTGTAGCTAAGTGACCACTGGAGTCTAAAATTCCTGATGTTATTCCAGCTCCGAGAAAAATCAACCACAGTTGTTAAAGCTATAAGCTATCTTCCTACTGTCTAGAATAAACCAGGCTGTTCTAGTACTCTCAAAGTCAATGAATGCTAGCTAAGGGGGGAATCCTCATTTTAAATTAAATAAGAAAGGTGACTGGACCTGACCAAACTGCAAGAATAAGTTCAATTCACAAAGACTTAACTTTTGGTCAGTAATGCAGAGTGGATTCTGAACTCACCTACTTTTTTCACTAAGTAATGTGGCCAGGCTTACTACTTCGTTTTGTAAGATTAAACTTATCTTCTGATATATAATTTTTAAAAATATTTTAAGAAAGAAGACATTTGCCAAGGTACTCCTGGAGGCAGGAGACAACTTGGCTCATTTCAACAAGTAGTTCAACCGTCCAATTAACTAGATCAGTATTGTCAAGCACACGAAAAACAATTTATCACAACTGTATTCATTTTAATAGTTTTAAAAAAGATTAATTTATGAATTCCATGTCACTTCAAATACTTAAGTAAACTAGAATACCTTGAAAACTGTGTCAACTAAACTCAATTTCAACAAAAAATTATAGTTATCAAGGACATGAAGACAAATTTGAAGTCAAATTACACTGAATATCATCATTGAACAGTTTGTTTTTCAAAACAGAATTTCTCTTGTAATATTAACAAAACCTTTTGCTTATTTTCTTCTGAAAAAAATCAAGTTACACACTTAATTTATAAATTTAAGAAAACAGTAACTAAAAATACAATGGTTTTGTTGGTTTTTCTTTTTTTCCTGGAACTAAACAAGCTAATTTAAAAGATTTTATTTCCTATGAGGAAAATAAGCAAGAAATCCAGAGCAATCCAGGAAAAGAAGAATTATAAATATGAAGGGTCAGCCTACTAGATGTTTAAAAAAACTATAAAAATCTCTATTTAAAACACCACCTTGACATAAATGAAAGAAAAAGTCTAGACTTTTAGGTGGGTCTCAAATCAGTGTGGAAAAGACGAAGTTCTTCATAAATGTGTTGGGACAGACAGACGGCAAAGAGAAAACTGGATCTATACATCACACTGTACATTAAGATAAATTTCAAATGGTCAAGGGATACAAAAAAGAAACAACACAAGTACAAGAAAAAATGGATAAACTCCATGAAAACTTAGAAATAAGAAAAGCTTCCTAACCATGACTTGAAATCCAAAGTCAATTAAAGAAATGTTAATAAGTTTGACAATGTAAAACTTTGATATCACAAAAAATTCAAAAAGCACACAATAGGTAAAGTACCAAGACAAGTAACACACTGGGGGAAAAAAATTTCCAACTTGTTTCACAGAAAGAAATATAATTTCTTTAACAGATAAAGAGTTTCTAAAATTTGTGAAGAACGAACCAATAACCCAATAGAAAAATGGGCACCCAAAAAAACCTTCAGGCAGCATACAAAGTAGTGAATCGGCCCTTAAATACACAAAAAGATGAACAACCTCACCCACAATAAAACAACTTTAAAATAGACAATACTAATAGTAAAATGCCATTTTTCAACACCCAAATTGGCAAAAATCTGAAGGTTTGAAACCAGTCTTTTTGTGGGGCTGAAGGGGAAAAAAAAGTATATACCCAAGGTGCAGAATTTGGCAACATTTGGTAAAATTAGATACTCATGTACATTTTGAAACAGCAATTCTCTTGTGGATCTATACCAAAGATACACTAAAAAAAATACATATGAAATGCGAAAGGCTATTCACTGTGGCAATGTTTATAAAAGCAAATGTTTGAAAATGATCCAGCAGTAGGGAACTGGTTGAAAAAATTCTCGTATATTCACTGAGTGGAATAAAACGGTGCCATTAAGAGTTAGGGCAAAACTCTTTATACTGTGATATGGCATGATGCATAAGATACACAGTTAAGTGAAAAAAGCACAACGCACAACAGCATGTGTCATAAGCATCTATTATATGAAAAGACAGGACACAAACACACAACCTGTATTTGGTTACATCTTCAAAGAGATGCCTTCCATGCATGAACAAACCAAAACATAATCAAGATGGAAGCAAAGCTTTTCTAAATGTACTTTATCACACAGTTTCAGCTCTGGAACCATGTAACTATTTAACAAAAAAAGACAATCGCTGGAAACATAAAACAAACTGAAATGAATGAGTCTTAACTCTCTATCAAGTTGGTCATATTAGCATACAGAAAAAAGATTTTTTTCTGAGTGATTTTGGACAACAGCTTTTGACTTTAAATTGCCAGCAGACTAGTCTACTGACAAGTCAGTATCTGCAAATAATTTTGCAGAATTTTTTAAATGCCCATTCAGATATCCTGTTGTTAGTAATAATACTGGCAATATGTTGTAATAATAACTATATGATACAATAAAGCCAACAGGTAGTTGTGTTTATACAGTGACAAGGTTTTCAATGTAAGAGAAAAGAGATATAAAATTAAATAAATTAAGTAAAAGCCATACAAGGCCATTCTGAATTGGAAACATCAGTAGAAATATACAGATTTTTCTCCCCACAAAATATAAATACCTCCTAGTTTTTCCCACTGAAAAGGCCCAGAAGCAAACAACAATCTGTAAAAATGAACATCTCTAGCACTTAGACTGTAGTCTCTTAAATACCACTAAAAGAAACCACAGCTACTTGGAGAAATGGCTTAATCCAGGTCTAGGTCAGAAAATGTACAAGATGAGTTTGGGACATCTTGTTATGCTGGAAAACAAGGAAGTTCTCAAAGACTAACTCATATCAAAAGAACCCTCTAGCCAACCAAAAACTGCAGCTGGACAAATTTGGGACAATCTGAATACCAGCAGAAATGACCTCAAGTTACTGAAACATGGAATACATAAAAATCCACCAGCTCATTATACCAAAGAAAAATGAGAACACCAACAAAACAAAATCAATGTTAGCACTGAAGGTAACTAGAGCAACCAACTCCTTACTCTGGAAAATAAGCAATACAGGAGCTCAGAATTTATGTCTACATATCTTTTAAAGAATTCCAGCCAATAAATGTAAAGAGAAATAATGGAATTAGAAAAACGCCATTTTGTAGCCATTAACTGATTTAGACAAAGATCTCCGAATGAAACAGTGATAAGGAACTTGACAGTACAGGGGCTGTCACCACTTGACCTTCTAATGGGATTCAATATGAAATACACAGCACTGCTTATAAAGCCTTGTCCAACAATTGGACCTGAATCCATTCAAGCCTTTAAAGCTAGAGAAACATGTCAAACCACTACCACCCTGTAAAAGATACAGGTAAGTCTAGAACAGAGATGTTCTACAGAAAAAGTAGCCCAATATTTTCAAAGTGTATGGCATGAAATAAACGCTCTAGATTAAAAGAGATGTAGGAGAAGTAAATATAATGTGTGGCCCTTGTTTGGATTCCAATTCAAATAAATTAACTGCAAAACCACATTCTTGAGAGATATAGGGAATCTCAGTATGGACCGAATAACAGATAATAACAAAGAATTCTGGCTAATTTTGTTAATGAGATTATTGCATGATGGTTGAATTTTTGTTAGATGCACACTGAAGTAGGGAAGAAATAACATGACGGGTTTTAGGATCTGCTTTAAAAAACAGTGCACCTAAAAACAACAAAATTAAGAACGACAAACTGAAAATTGTGAAGTCTAGGGAATGAGTTTCATTTGTGTTTGAAAATTTTCACGCTAAAAAATGTGTAATATGAAAATAATTCAGTTATAATTACCAACTATTAAGTGCAAAATAAAGTAAACCTGTTTTTTTTAAAAATGCGCTACAAAAACTCAAGAACTTTGGTTCTGAAAATGGATAATGAATTATTTAACATCAGAAGCCAAACATAGCTTGCTTACACTCAACAAGCAACAGGTGTGTCATACAAAAAGCAAGTGAGGCAGAGCCTTGGAAACAGCCAGACATTGGGTAAAATCCCACTTAATTTTACTTTCACTTAATACCCACATGAATCTGTGCCAAACACTTGAGTTCTCTCAAGTTCCCTGTCTATAAAGTGGAGGGGCTACTATTTCACAGGGTTTGGTGGTTACTAACTGATTCACACTATATAAAGGAACCTGCCACATATGAGGCACTTGATAAATATTACTTCCTGTCTACAAATTCTCAACTGCCTACACTTACACAAGAACTAGTTGAAAAGGTGGGTGTGCATAGAGGCGAACAACACATTGGGACCCACTGGAGGGTGGAGGGTGGAAGAAGAAATAAGATCAGAAAAAAATATCTAATGGATACTAGGCTTAATACCTGGTTGATAAAATAATCAGTACAACAAACTCCTATGATATACATTTACCTAGGTAACAAACCTGCATACCCTGCAGATGTCCCCTGACCCTAAAAGTTAAAAAAAGAAAGGTGTGTGTTTGTGTTTATGTGTATGTGTATAAAAAACCTATCTCTAGCAAAACTAAATACAAAAGCAAAAAATAACAGAGTATATATTAAAGATCTGTATATATGACGTGAAAAATGAAAACCATCAAACTTTGTAGAAAAAATAGAATGGCACTATACATATTTCAAATTCTATTGTTGAAATTAGCTGGGCATGGTGGTGGGTGCCTGTAACCCCAGCAGGAGGTTGAGGCAGGAGAATCGCTTGAATGCAGGAGGCAGGAGAATCGCCTGAATGCAGGAGGCAGAAGAATCGCTTGCAGGAGGCAGAGGTTGCAATGAGCCGAGATCGGCTCCAGCTATGGGCAACAGAGCAAGACTTTGTCACACACACACACACACACAATAAAAAATTATATTGTTGAAATACAATTTCTGAGAGTTGAAATCATTTCCAGTGATATAACTGATCTACCCAAATCAACCTATACACAAAATTATAAAATGTTTTGGTGTCTACAGAAAATAACCATGTTCTTAAATTCAGCCTCAAAATTATAATACTGAAAGAAAACCCAAGAAAATGTTTTATAATCTTCATCTTGAATCTGCAACTAAGATTCTTCTTTAAGTATGTGAAATAATAAGAAGGTTCTAAATTTGAACGATGAAGATAATGTACCATACAAATTATATACATGAACATTGGTAGATCAGCATTTACTTGGATTTACAGTGAGTTTCACATTAAAGTAAACACTCAAACTATAGCAAATGATTCAAAGAAACTTCCTATAATCAAAGTGCTTCCATCTATCTTTTTATAGTACACTAAAAATTGAATTCACAGCACTCAACCTACTCCAATTAAGAAAAAAAAACTTAAAGCAACTTACCTAAACCTAAAATATCTTCAAAGTACTGCATTAGGAAACAAACACAAGCACATTTTAAAACACAGGCAGTTTTTTCAAGCCTCCACTATCTTAAGACCTTTCACATTTCACACAAAACACATCCATGAGCGAGAGGGGGGTTGGGACAGAGGTGAAAAGAACAAATGAGAAAGAAAATAATTTTGAGGTAGAGTAACATGACTATTACTGCCTTATAACTGGAATTTTACAAACTAAAACAATGTGTTGTTCTGGTTCAAGTATTTGACATTCTCTCCCTGGTATCATGAGTGATCTTGAACTGCATATTTGGTGCCAACCGGTACCTCCTGCCTACCCTTCCAGTTTCACTCTTTGCATTACCAAATGACTACAGCAGATTGGAATGTCACTTAGTACCAGGCATGAGAAAAACAAAAAGGTAAGCTGTGTAAATCAGCACACGGACTTCTGAAAGGAGGTCAAGCTGTTTAGGAGGATTCTTATCAGTAGTAACTTACAAAAGGAACCTAGAACCTCGACAGGAAAAGTGACACTAATGAAACCAGCTCACTGTTCAATTAAGTTTTCTTAATTAATTCTCTTTGCAAAACAGAATCATGGTGAAAAGAACCAATCAGTGAAGTAGATTCTCATTTAATTTTATGGAAACACTCTGTTCACTAGAATAATACTCTTAACTCCTGTTTTTGAGAATCTTCTATACTGTTAAATAAATATCCTAGGCTAACACATACACATATAGATTTCTAAAAAGTACATTCTGAAACAAATTCTTTAGGTAAGTAATGGAATACACAATAGGCATGAACTCAAAGACAGGGATACAGAATATGATAAGAATATGGTAAGATGTGTAAAGTTCCATGAAACAAAAACCTCAAAATCACTGATTGGGTTTTTATAACATTACACTGTTCAAAAAAATCTCATATAAGGATACTTTTGAAGAAGGTACTATCATTTCTAGCTATAATTGAACACAAAATAAGAAACGGCAACAAACAAGAATGCAGAGTCAACCTAGAACATACAATACTAAACCTAAACATGTTGCTGGAAATCTCTCCCCCCCCACAAGTTACATTACATGATACAAAGATAAACATATAAAATCAAGGGAAAGAAAAAACCCACAAATACTAATGATGACAATGCACTACAAATAACAACAGTATAAATGCCTGCCTTATGCTAAACATTGTGCTAATAAGTACTTTTTATGCGTTATCTACTCCAATTTTCACAACAACCCCATAAGGTAGGTATTATTACTGTTCCTGTCTTACAGATGAAGAAACGGGGCCTAAGGAAGATCAAGTAAGTGGACCATGTTCACAGAGCTAATACCAGTGGGCCAGAATTCATACTCTGGCAATTTTGAAACAAGTCACTTTCAACCACTATGCGGCACTGCGTCTCATCCTGCTGTATAAAAATAAGGGTGGAAAACACCCAGTTCCAGCAGTATGGCAGACTAAACAATCAGTAATCATTGTACTATACAATAATACAAAATGAACATTCTGTTTAATACACAGCTGAGTCTGTAAAAAAGAGAAATCCAATTAAAGGGAAGTAAAGGCTAGATGAACATATGAAAACATGCTCACCGACGGAAATCAGGGTAACAAATTGAAATTATTATTTCAAATACTTTAGAGCATATCAACAAATCTGAATATATTGAGGAGGGTGAAGACTGAAGTTTGGAATATAAATTGGTAGAACCATTTCCAAGATCAATTTTGCAGGACCTAAAAAATCTGAATCTAAATATTCCACTTCTAGGTATTCATCCTAAAAATTTTACATCAGTACAGAAGAAAACATGGACAAGACTGTTCATTAAATCCACATTTGTAACTGTGGAAAAGTATATACAATTTATTAATCTCTGGATAGGGACAGAGATAGAATACGGACAACAGAATAATGCAAAGCTGTTAAATAAACTATATCTACTCATATGAAGTTTCACGTCAGTAGTTTTCTTGGGGGAGGCAGAAAGGGAGAAAGAAAACCCTTTCGCTATGTCTGTAACTCTTAATTCCTTAAACTTTCTGGACACTATTTAACTAAAAGAAATGTAAATAATAGTAATATATCCTTTGCTGATGTGGGAATCAAATGAAATAAGAGACTGGTTGTAATGCCTGAATCACTGCTAGGCATGGAACATGTTGTCAAAGAAATGTGACCATGATAGTTACGAATAAACTCAAGCCAAGGTATTCAAAAAGCTTGCCATTTAGGGAGGAGCTCCTGTTTCACCAAAGTGCTACCCCCACAGTTTCACATAGGGTAAATCAACAAAGACTTCTAGGATACTTGAGCAAAGCCTAATTGTAGGGAAAGAACATTCTAAGCCCAGGGAACAAGTACTAAGATCCCAGGCAGAATCCTGGTTGGCATAACTGACAAATAGCAAGCAGGCCCCTTGTGGCTATAGCAGAATGAGAAAGTGAAAAAACGGTATTAGGAATAAGGTTTGTAGGTCAAGGTACACTGAGTGATTAAAAAAAAATTGGGGAGTCTGAATAGAAACATTACATTATTTAACTTAAGGTTTAGAAGTGTATGTCTGTGTAGGAAACAGACTGTAAGGGGGCAAAGGCAGACAAGGGAAATAAATTAAGACTAAGTAAGAGGTTACTGGAACAACCCAGGTGGGAGATATGAAGTTAGCCTGGATTAATTCAGTAGTAAGAAGCAAAGATGGTGAAAAGTGGTTAAATTATAAAAATATTTTGAAAGTAGAGCTGACAGAATCTGCTGCTAAGATTAGATATGATCATGGTCTGAGAGGAAGAAAGGAATCCAGAAGAATGCCAGGCTGTGGACATTAGCAATTGGTAAAGTGAGCTGCTGTTCACTAAGACTTAGGAGAGGGCTGAAGAAGAAGCAGATGAGAGTGCGGTGCCGATGAGAGTGCAGTGGTGGGAAATCAGAGTTTAGTTTTGGACAGGCTCACTTTGAGATGCCTAGAGTGCACCTAAATAGAGATATGAGGGACTGGCTATATGGGGCTGAAGTTCAGAACAAGGGCCAAACTTAGAGATGTAAATTTGGAATATATTAGCACTTAAAACCACAAAAATGAAATATTTCACCTAGGGAATAAGTGGAGAAAAGAGTGTGTATTGGGATCAGACCCTGAGGTCTGGGCAACAGGCCAGTCCTGAAGACCAAGTGAAGGAAGAATTTGATGGAAGATGTGATCAACTGCTGCTGCATCAGAAGATAAACGACTGGATGTGTCAGCATGAAAGTCTTTAATGACTTTGAGGAGAGTGGTTTTCGTGAAGTTAAAAGCTGCTCCCACTTACGGTAAAAAAGCAAATGAAAAGCGTTCTAAAATTTAACTTTCAGCTTTAAAATTAAACAAACTGACAGAGTATAGACATACCTCACTATTTTTTTATTGTACAGATGACAGGTTTGCATCAATCAAATAACTAAACTGGCAAAACAATAATACAATTATTGAATGTCTTAACGCAGATTCAGTTGACGAATTATATTAAACAATATTTGATTTCTACTAACTCAGAGTTTTAATTATGACTTTTCTAATAGATTAACTCCCCTGAAAATGCCATTTCCTAGACATCCTATACTCCTCCCCCAAATCTCATAGAAGATTCTCTAAGATACATTGAAAAAAAAAAAAAAAACAACTTGGTTTTTTTTTTAAATATTATACTTTTTTCAATCTTCAATTATTTTCTTTACTGTGATGTTTGTGGAAATAAACTGAAAAAAAAAGCCATTTCATAAATATACATCACAACAAATAAAAAGTTAATGAGAAGTTTTAAGTAATCAGACAACCTTAACTATTTACAACTATCAGTAAGGCTAATTTCTACAAAGCTCATGGCTTATTTTTGAACTTTTAAAAGTTCACGCACTGGTTTTCGGGGAGTTTTGTTTATGTTCATTTATCCCCAAAACAGAAAAAAACACCCCTATAGTTCATTTTGAGAATCTTCTCAAAGTCACTGAAGTAAAATTATTTTAGTATTTTTGTAGTCATATGAAAAATTAGGAACTTAAAACATCTAAACTAGTCAACATTTAAAGATCTCATTAACAAACCTACATCCAAGGCTTCTTTCGATACCACGCAGTCCAGTCACAGAGAGTTTAATAAATTTGAACCTCATTTAAGGAAAAAAAAGACCGCCCAAGCTCTGATAAACTGCTACCTACTAGATGTAAAAGGAATGGGGTCCAAGCTATCCGCTGTAACTCAAGTGATATGGTTTGGCTGTGTGCCCCCACCCAAATCTCATCTCGAATCATAATCCCCTTATGTCAAGGGAGGGAAGTGATTGGATCATGGAGGCAGTTTCCCCCATGCTGTTCTTGTGACTGAGTGGAGATCTGATGGTTTTATAAGCATCTGGCATTTCCCCTGCTTGCACTCACTTCTCTCCTGCCACCTTGTGAAGAAGGTGCTTGCTTCTCCTTTGTCTTCCGTCATGATTGTTAAGTTTCCTGAGGTCTCCCCAGCCATGTGGAACTGATTCAACTAAACTTCTTTCCTTTATAAATTACCCAGTCTTGGGTAGTTCTTTATACCAGTGTAAAAACAGACTAATACACTAAGATATTTTGGGTTTTAAAAAATAAGTGCTCACTCAGTCTTTTTAGTTAAATTTCAAGTCCCCTAAAAATAAGAAAACAAAGTATTAAGAAATATTCATTTAGGCCAGGCGTGGTGGCTCACGCCTGTAATCCCAGCACTTTGGGAAGCCGAGGCAGACGGATCACCTGAGGTCAGGAGTTGGAAAGCAGTCTGACCAACATGGCGAAACCCTGTCTCTACTAAAAATACCATCTGCCTGTAATCCCAGCTACTAGGGAGACTGAGGCAGGAGAATCGCTTGAACCTGGGAGGTGGAGGTGCCAGTGAGCCAAGATCGCGCCATTGCACTCCAACCTGGGAAACAAGAGTAAAACTCTGTCTAAAAAAAGCAAGAAAAGAAAAGAAAAAGAAAAGAAAAGAAATATTCATTTAATAGCAAAAATACCATAAAATCAGAAGACCAAAATGACTGAGTAGGAAAAACTATTTATAAACACAGTAAAACATCAAAATGTTTATTTAAAAAGGATTTTCCATAAAAATTGACGAGAATAAAACAAATTTCTTGACAGAAAAACAGGCACTTCACATAGAAAGAAAATAAAGATGGCAAGAAACATTCATGAAAGATGCCCTGCTAAGTGCAGTGGCTCGTGTCTGTAATCTCAGCATTTTGGGAGGCCAAGGCAGGCAGACCATTTGAGCCCAAGAGTTCAAGACCAGTGTGGGCAACATAGTGAGACCACATCTTTATACAAATTTCTTAAAAATTAGCTGGGCATGGTGGCACATGCCTGTAGCCCCAGCTACTCAGGAGGCTGAGACGTGAGAATCATTTGAGCCTGGGAGGTCGAGGCTACAGTGAGCTATGATCGCGCCACTGCACTCCAGCCTGAGTGACAGAGTGAGACCCTGTCTCAAAAACCAAAAAAAAAAAAAAAAAAAAAGAAAAGAAAAGGATGCTCATTCTCAACAATGAATAAGGAATTACAAATTTTAAAACCAATGACACATTACTTTTTACCTGTCAGACTGAAAAGTTTAATTCATAATATGCAGTGTTAGGTAAAGGGTCATAGTCACAACAGTGGCAGCATAAACTGGAGGGCCCCCTACCTTTTGAATAATAACTTGGTAGTCTATCAATATTTTCAACAAGTACAGCCTTTGACTCAAATTGCACTCATAGGAATCTATTTTATGGAAATACCCAAGTATAGAAAGATATGTGTATAAAAATGTTCATAGCAGCATTACTGAAACAGTGTACTGTGGAAACAGTCAAAGTGTTCATTAATAGTTAAGAAAATGATTACTACATGGATTATACAGCTACTAAAAAGATAATTATATTTATACATACTTTTGTTTTATAGAAATATGGGAGAATTTCTTTAATAAAGCATGTTGCAGAAAAGTGTATATCCTACGATCCAATTTTTGTAAAACAAAATTCAAATACAGCTGTGCTACAATGGTGCATTCCTGTAATCCCAGCTATTTGGGAGGCAGGAGGATTGCTTGAGCCCAGGATTTAAGAGACCAGCCTGAGCAACACAGCAAGATCTCATCTCAAAACACACACACACACACACACACACACACACACACACACACACTTCATTTTTGAGTCTACAAGAGCAAAACTGGGAAAGACACACTGTAAAAATTCCTTACAGTGGCTATGTCTGGATAGCTAGAATTCAGAGGAGAAAGGGAGACCTTCAAATTTACCCTACAGACTCAATTCAAAAAACACGAACTAAATTTTATCCACATAAATCTTAATAAATACAAGCTCTCCATATCTCTTGCTATAAAACTTAAGTTTCCCTTTGAGTAAAACAGGTCAGTTACTGCCCACCTGAAAAAGCTTACATTAGTCTTCAACAGCCTAACTATCCCAAGGTGTTTCTCCTTTAGTCAGATATTGAAATGTTAACACAAAAGGTTCTAATTATATGAGCAGATTATAGTACCAGGTGAAAAGCAGCAGCATATTCTCAGAATAAATCTATTATTTCTTACAATGTACTACCAAATCATGAATATCTGCAATGAGCTACTTATATTTAATAAATTTTTGCTGTAAGTTATCCTATTTCTAAAGAAATCTACACAAGCCCAGCAAGGGGCCAGACTTTCAAAGCTTTAAATAAAAGTCTTCAAATTTACTGTGCTGAGTTTGTGTATGACAGTTATGTCCTTACCGATCAACTTTCATTAATTTCTTAATGCATGCATTCTTCAATTATCCACTGTGCACATTGTGTCCTCCTCTGGAAGACCACACAGCCTGGTCTCTGTCCTCAAAGAGCTCAAGTTTAGTGCAATACCCTTTTAAGTGCATTAACAATGTACTAATGCCCATTCATCAATCTTAGCAATAAAATAGCTCTCTTATACTTAGTGCTTAATTCAGTGAGGAATACTGTCACATCCTTGACTTTTAGTAGATTTCCCTACAGCAACTTTTTCTTCTCATATTGTAGGGAGAAGAGGTCAGGAATTGCTAAAGGGGCATTTTAGCAGTCTGGAGTCCTCCAGGTGATGAAATATTGGGGACATTAATGTAACATTTGAGTATAGAATGGACTAGAAGCAAAGAGACCAATCAAGTTTACGATGTGGAGGTAATATTTGCACATAGGCTAATCTAAGAGAGAATACTGGAGCAATAAGTCAAATCCCAACTTTGTCAGCTACCCAAGTGCACTTGATTCCTACTGAAACTCCAGGATTCAATTTATTTTCCTCCCCTATCCTATGCCACTACTCATTAACTACTGTATTTCCTCAATTCCTCTCTTCCAAGACTGGCCACCAAAATCAAACATAGTTTTAGTTTTTTTTTGTAGACCTTTATTTACAGATAGTAGCAAATGACTAAAAGCTCATGTGTTTTTATAAAACTTTACTGGAGATGCTAAAGACAACCACCAAGGCAGAGGACTTGAAAAACAGCAAAAGCCAGCATTTCCTGAGCAATATTCTCAATTGACTGCCAATCTAAAATTGAAAATCAATACTGGATTTTAGTATAGGTAAATCATCACCTAGATTACTTCACCTAGAAATATGCAGTCCAGATTCTGTGATGAAAGCAATATGTCAACATAGTGAGATGAAACCAAGTATGTGAAATAATACATCCTAGTGGAGGAGAGGAAGGAAGACAGCCCAGTAAATAGCAGCTACCACGAAATCAGGCTCTCCATCAACCCATCTTGCAGAGTATATACTGTGACCCAGGAATGCCAGCCAAATTTTTAAATATCTAAATAAGCATACACAGTTTGAAGTCAATAAATGCTAAGTATATTATGTCAGCTAGAGTCATTATCAATGTGCCTCCTTGACCTCAGGATTGTGGCCCCATAGTTAATTATGGGGCATTTTTTAATTGAGAGAATGAGTAGAAGAACATCAAGAATCCAGCATTACAATACACACTGTCCTGAGACATGAGCAAAATGGAGTCAACTAAGGGAGATAAGGAAAGAATAGCTCCAGAAAGAGGCTAGTATCATTACCAAGAAAAAAAAAGGGTGGTAAATAAAGCCTTTTATGGTCCCACAGTGGGCAACTGGTTTTGGTAATCAGGAAATCAAGGCTATCAAGAAAGGCAGTTCTAGCAGTGTTTTGGGGATAGAAGCAAGAAAGGCAAGGGTTAAATGAGTCAGGAGTAGATGGGGGAAAGGGATAATTCCTGCAGTAAGTTGGAGTAGAAATGTTTGTTTAATG
Source organism: Homo sapiens (assembly GCF_000001405.40). Taxonomy (NCBI): domain Eukaryota; kingdom Metazoa; phylum Chordata; class Mammalia; order Primates; family Hominidae; genus Homo; species Homo sapiens. Next base: position 167,842,052 of record NC_000006.12, on the reverse strand, counting down.
AATGATGAGACAAAACATGAAGAGTTACAAAACTTTAGCAAAGTTTTTTTTTTAATTAAAAAACAAAACCTGAGTGCCTTTTAACAGAAGAGAAAAGCCCAAAGATGAGTGAATGGGAGGTAAGAAGAAAGGACAGAGAGGAAGGGAAGTAAGACAGAAGGAATGAAAGGGCAGCTGCAAAGTCCCAGAGGAATGGGATCTCAAAAGAAGAAAGGCATCGGTGAGAATCCAGAGCGCTCTTGAAGTAATAAAATAGATAACAATCATAAAAATGTTTCCAGTAGTAGAAAAAAAAAATTAGCAACATAAATTGAAACACTCTAACTGATATATTATGGACATCACAGATGATCAAAGAATAGGAAACTTTACAGAATGCTAGGAAGGGGGGCATTTAAGAGGATACCGAAAAAACTATGAAGCAAGACCAGAGAGTAGAAATTAAATTAAATGCAATTTAACAAACTTTAAAGCAAGATCATGGAGGACGAAGTTTAGTAGGTGACACTTTCTAAACTTTCCTCTCCTGATCTGACATCGTTGTACAGTATTTTTTTTTTCCTGTATTGGACTTCTATGCCCATTCCCTTCCAGTACACTTAGCCAGTTCCCCTTCCCCAGCCCACAAGATATTTTGTTCTCAGGCTTTCTGTCCTAGGTTCTTGTCTCTCTTCACACAACTTTTTCCTTGTAGTCTCCTCTACGCCTTGGCTACCTGCTACCTACACAATCACCCTGAATCCCCTGGCTCTCTTCCTAAGTGCCTATGTAGGATGCCTCTGGGAAATCCACAAGTACCTCAAATTTGGTGTATCTCAAAGAGAACTTTTTATTTCCCCACTCAAATCTAATCTACCACTGACATTTTTGATTCTGGTTAATGACACCATCACCTACCCAAAGTAGCCAAGCAAAAAACTGGGGTTTCCCTGGAATGCTTTCCTTTCTCTCCTCGTCAGTCTCCAAATTCCAGTTTACCTCCTTCAGTTTCATTTTCTCCTTCCCTGTTACCTTAGTTCAGGCCTTTATCTCACAGACACAAGCGCAGGAAGGCCTGAAGGCCCCGCCTCCAAGCGTGCCCTCCCTTCACTCCACAGACTCAGATGCCACGGAGGTCCATCTGAACTGCAAACTTCCTCACATTCTTTCATCTCGAATGTTTTTAACTTCCCTCCCTTCACTCCACAGACTCGGCTGCCAGGGAGGTCCATCTGAACTGTCAACCTCCTCATGTTCTTTCATCTTGAATGTTCTTAACTTGGCTTACAAGGCCCATAAGAACTGACCATGATTTACACCTTTGGTTTCATAACTGGCAACTGGCTCCTCAGCCCCAAACCAACTAGTATGTACACTTGCATGTACACACAGACACACATATAGTACTCTTCTCAGTCACAACATGATGCTATGAAAACACATGGCCCCAAGATCTTAGCAGCTTACAACAACAAAGCTGTATTTCTTTCTCACAATAACATATCATTCTGTGAGTAGCTGGAGCTCTGATCTAGTCATCTTCATTCTGGTACTATGGTTCAAGAATGAGCCCCAGCATGGGACACACTGATTCACGGATGACAGAAAAAGGCAATGACAGAACCATGAAATGGACTTCAAGCTTCTGCTCAGAAACCGTATCTGTCACTGGCCAAAGAAAGTCACATGGTCAAACTTGATGTCAAAAGGGCAAAGGCCATATAATCCTCTTACAAGGAGGACAGTGAATAACGAGGAACAGTACAATCTGCAAGCCACAAAATGGGCCTGCATATTCACACATGTCTGCGCACAGATTCAACCAAATTGAATGTTTTTAAATAAGGTCTCAAGCCTTACCCCTTTGCCCAGCTATTTCCTACAAATTTTTCAGGATTCAGAATAAACATCACTTCCTAAAATGAACTCAGTTAAGCTTCCCTGACTTGACAAATCCTGGAAAGGTCCACCGCCCATGAGCTACCTACCGGGTCTCCCCTCTTCACAGCCCTGAACACACTCTGCTTGCTTGCTGTGCCTGTCTTCCACCACAATGAGATTCTGCCGCAGCTGCAGTGCTCCTCTTGCTCAGCGCGGCACCACTGTGCTAGTACAGTGTGTACACACAATGGGTACAAAGAGGACACATCTCTGCTGCAGGAATGCCGGTCCCCTCTTCCCCATAGAATATTCCTTCTCATCTAGAGACTCCAGTCTGTAACCATGTGCCTGATTCCCACCACCCAAATAGAGTATTTACCATACTACTGCCATTTTTCCCCAATTTATCTCCCATACTGAAATGGGAGCTTTTTGAGAAAAAGACCATGTGTCAATTAAGTGTCACATGCTCAGCAAAACTTACATATAGTGGATGACCACTCAATGAGTGAACGTGGAAATGGAGACAGAAAGGAACACATGTACTGAGTGGGAGGGCTAGGAGTCAACGTCAAGCCCCAGATCTCAGTGCCAGTTACCGCTCCCTCTTCTTAAGGCACAGCAAGCTCATTAGGTAATTGTTCACTTCCTCCCTTGAGATCACAGATTACTTCATTCCTTCATCTCTGACAAAGTCTGACTCCTAACAGGCTCTCAATAAATACCAGTCTGAATGAATAAGTACATTATCCTCATATAAATCCCTACAATTGAAGAAAAATGTTTAAATGTCCATAATTTTAATAGGGCTAAGCCATTACTGGAAAAAAAAAAAGTAAACAACAGAAACAATTTCCCATGCTTCTCGGCCCATGAAACAGGCACATAACTATTTCCGAAACGTTTGCTGTTCATAGGCATCAGTTCATGAAAACAATAATTTCCATTACATTTAATGTAAAATCTGAAGTGTTTCTCAAAAACATGCATTTGTAATTACATACTAAAATAAAATGTCTAAGATGCCATTACACTAATAAAATGTTAACATTACTGATTTATCAGAAGCTACTGTTCAGCAGCTACACAAATTATAAACAGGTAGCACTTCATGGTTGGGTGCCACTTGGTTAAAAAAAAAAGTTTTTGAAGTTAAATTATATTTTATGCAAGAATATTGGCCACAAGAATCTAAAGGCAAACGCTACATTAAACCGATAGAAATAAGGAAAATATAATGGGTGAGCAATTGAAGTTACCTGCATCTAAGCATCTTACAACACTAGCAGAGTGAGTAGTCTTAGTTTATTCTCATCACAATATCAGGTAGGCTAATATGTGGTTCTTAAAATCAAATATTCAGAGCACCCATGATTCATGAAAGAAAAATATTCCTAACTTCCTACCTAGAAACCTCCTCCAGGGTTACTCGCCAAGCTTCACTGTTTCTTACAAGAAGGAAAAACAAAGGCTCATCACCAGAGAAGATGGGCTGTAGGATGTAAGAAGGTACAACAGGCCACTGTGTCTGAGATTCACCCTTTTCATTTGGAAATGCAAGTATTTGTTCAGTAGATGTTGAGGAACTGTTGGTAATAAAGATAACCTCTCGAAGATTGTTAAAATTCAAATGTTATCTGGGGAAAAATTGCTAGTTAATGTGTAAATAAAACTTTATGACACAAAATTAACTGAGTGATGGCAGTAAGGAGAACCAGAGTCTCCAAGAGTCACAGAATAAACACATTTTGTTTATTGTTTAATTGTAAGCACAGACCAGGGAAGGGCTAGGGCAACATCCAGAGCAGAGTCAGGCAAGGCAGCACCAAGAGGAAGCCCAGTAAGAGGACAGGGACTAAGCGAGATGGCGAGATGGCATGAGCAGGCACAACGATCTCCACAAGCGCAGCGTCACAGCCAATGCTGTCAAAAAGGCATCTGAACCTTGGGTAGGTCTTGACCTCCTTTCTTTCCTATAGGCCTAAGAAAGTAATCAGTGAAGCTATGAAGACTTCTTCACTGAACTCCTCATTCATATTCCAATTTCTGGATGCTATATAAGATACAAGGTTTGTATATAGTTACAAAATAAAATATGGCATGTGTCACCTTGGCTACAAAACACAGAATCTACTATCACAATGATAAAATTATAATAGGGCTTTAAAAAGTCTAGATGAAAATCAATACATCATGTATTTATGTATGAAATAAATATATATGCACATAAGTATATGATCCAAATAAAACAGAAGAGATGTTTTATTACATTATGCCTGTGGTTCTTCCTGAAAATTACATTCCAAATTTTCTACTTGGATATTATTTTCCTATAAAACTTCCAAACACTGGTTTCATTGCAGTGACCTTAAATTTTTGGATTTTACAAACATAGTGCTTAAGAGAAGGTTCCAGAGTCAGAGGATCTGGGTTCCAATCACTGCTCTGTGGCTTACTAGTTTTGCATACCCTGAAGCAAGTTATTTAATCTCCCTGTGCCTTGGGTTCTTCATCCAGAAATGGGAACAGCAAAAGGACATACCTCACAGGAGAACGTAAAAAGATAACATACACAAAGCATTTACACTAATGTCAGGTATATATCACATGTGTTCACTACATGTGATGTATTACAATTACTATCAGAATAACTTAGGTGACTTTAAAAACTAGATTCCTGACAGATGCATGGCTGGTTAAGAAACACGATTCAGTACTAAAGATGTAAACAACTAATAAGCAGATACAGCTAAACATACACGCAAACTTTTTTCCAAAATAAAATAAAATGTTAAAAAAAAAAAAAAAGCCTGAAAAGCAACTCATTTCTTCAGATGGCAGAACACTAGGTAATTTGTTACCTTCATTTCTGTTTGTATTTTCCAAATGCTCTAAAATAAGCATATTTGAATAATGGAAAGAAGCAAATATTTTTTAAATGTATCTTACTATAGTGAAGCAAACATACTAGCTCCTTCATGTCTAATCATATTTGCAAGAATATACTTTAAAAATAAGCCATATCATAAATATTTTTTAATGTTTTTCCTGATTTACTAGTCTTAATTTCACTGTCCTTCATATTCTCAAAACTAACAATGTCATGAAGGTAATAAAATATATTTTTTATAAATTAAAATCAGCAAGTTTGTCACAAAAACCACTTTAATTGTACTATGAACTCACTGAAGTCACCTTTGCCAATCTTAAATTAAAAACACATTTTTAAATATTCGAGGTCATAAACATTAAATTCAGTAAAAACACTGTCCATGGTACTCCTGGCAGAGTTCTGAATCAACGAAAGCTTAGCTGCTTTACAAAAGAATCATTACAAATTCATATATTCACCAACTACAATTTTTTATCTGTATTATATTGTTCTGATAAATTAAAACAATGTTTGCTAATAAGCATGATGCACTAAACGGTTAAAAATTGTGTACCATCATAATAGTTTAGTAATGCTATCTATAACAATTAAATTGGTGACTTAAAAACTCAAAATGCATTTGCACTCATCCATAAATTAACAACACAATATATTTTGTGCAAAACAAGGTGCCACTACGTAGAAATAAAACTAATCTTAAGTGATGCTAATCTTAAATATAAATGCAGTACTCTGACATTTTGTTTTTACTACACGTATTTTTTTAATATATCCACATATTATTTTGAAGTATTAAAAATCCATATGTGCGTGATTGGTCTTAGAACATAAAATACTGTCTGTGTTTGTGTGTCTGTTTCTCAGGAAATAAGCCAAGGGAAAATACAACTAAACATAGTAGGAGAAAAAGACGTCTTTACACAGCCGATGGTTGGCTAACTCAAGAGTTTATATTTGGGAGACGGAGACTGAAGGGGCAGACAAGTGCCAGAAGGCCTAAGCCACATTAAACAACAGCATAACTCCACATTGTGCTGAATACATGAGACGCCACTGCTCCCTGAACTACAAGATCTATAAGTAGAACTTGAAAATGTCCCATAAGTAGGTGTGGCTTAGGTCACATCCCGAGTGAATTCAAGTAATAAAACTTGATGGTCATCACTCTAATAGCTTGTGGCCAGTATTCTCAAGTCACAAAAATGTAAATGTGTGCATCTTAGCACTGATAACTAAAAATTAAAAGGAGGCATTTATAAATACAGAAAATATATAATGCGTAAAATAAATGTTGAAATGTATACTTCCATAATAATGAGCCCTATGTTTACATTTTAAATATTATACGTTTATATTATAGCCTTACTTGGAAAACCACATAATATCTACCTTAGAACACACATATTTTTTAAATCAGCCCTAAAACTCATCACTAAACATTCTAGGGCAGCAGCTCATAAACTGCAGTCCATGAACCCCCAAGGTTCTCTGAGACCCTTTCAGGTCATCTGTGAGATCAAAACTATTTTCTTAGTAATATTTTGACAGTATTAGCCTTTCTCATTTTGTTGGAATTTGCATGAATGGTCAAAGCAATGATGAGTATAGCTGATGGCACCTTAGCACCAAATCAAGGCAGTAGCATCAAAATGCACTATATACAAAACGTATTTTTTACTACCATGCAAACTTTTTTAAAAAGCCAGTTTCACTTAAGAATGTCTTTGGTACAACAGAAAAAAATGACTGATTTCCTTGAAAATTGAGTACGTTTCTTTGTTCAATTATGTGCCAAAATGGGAGGCATACATAAAGCCCTTCTGCATACCACAGCTTGACAGCTGTCTCAAAAAAAAAGTATATGAGCAATTGTTTAAGTTGTGAATTGAATTAGTCACTTCTTTCATGGAACACCATTTTTTTACTTGAAAGAACAACTATGCTTATTTAGGCTTAGATATTTGACAGACATTTTGTCAAAAATGAATAACGCAAGCTTATCTCTTCAAGTGCTGCCTATGACAGTGATGTCAATAATAAAATTTGAGCTCTGAAATGAAAATTTTTTAAAAACTTGTATCCACTACTGAGAGTTTGAGAGCTTCCCTATACTTACAATTTTTCTGATGAGATCAGTGGTGATATTAACAAAGGTTAACATTTTGTTATTGTTTAAGGAAATTTATCAACATTTAGTAGATCTGCATAACTCAGTGAATCAATATTTTCCTAATAATCAACAAGAGGGAAGAAAATCACACGTGAGTAAAAGAACCATTCAAAGTGCAAGGCAGACAAATGTTTTTCTTTTTTGAGATGGGGTCTCACTCTGTCACCCAGGCTGCAGTGCAGTGCAGTGGCTCCTTCATAGGTCACTGCAGCCTTGACCTCCTGGGCTCAAGCAATCGTCCTGCCTCAGCCTCCCAAGAAGCTGGGAACACAGGTATGTGCCACCCTGCTTGTTAATTTTTTTTTAAATTTTGGTAGAGACGGGACCTCACTGTGTTGCCCAGACTGGTCACAAACTTTTGGGCTCAAGCAATACTCCTGCCTTGGCCTCCCAAACTGCTGGGATTACAGGGATAAGCCACTGTATAGAGTATGAAAAGTATTTAAAAGAATCTTCCAAAGGAGGACAGCAGAAATGAAAATAAAGTAAGTTCAAACTAGAATCCTTGACACAACTGGTTTTATTCCCAATGCCTCTTAAAAAGAATCGTTCCATGGGTGGCAGGAGGGGTGTTTTCATGGTGTGATGCACCGTGACTTGTTATTCAAGATGTAGTCCAGTGTTCCATCTATCACGTTTTATACCTTTCGAAAAAAAAAAAAAAAAAAAAAACCGAAACAACAACAACAACAAAAATCATTCCAATTAATGGCATTCACAGCAACCTGGATGGGACTGGAGACTATATTCTAAGTGAAGTAACTCAAGAATGGAAAACCAAACATATGTTCTCGCTCCTAAGTGCGAGCACTTATGAGGATACAAAGGCCTAAGAATGACACAATGGACTTCGGGGACTCGGGGAAAAGGGTGGGAAGAGGATGAGAGATAAAAGACTACTAACTGGGTTCAGTGTACACTGCTAGGGTGATGGATGCACTAAAATCTCACAAATCACCACTAAAGAACTTACTCAAGTAACCATATACCTCTTGTTCCCCAAAAACCTACAGAAATAAAAAATTTAAAAAAAAATTCCAAGTTTTTCCCAATGAAATTAATGTAAAAAGTGTAATGTAATGTAACCTAATAACTCATTAAAAAGCTCGTGTAAAATCATATTATTGAAAAACAAATGTTCTTTGCAACCTATGTAAAATCATGGTATACTGTATGAGCATCTAGGAGTCTGCAGCACTCAGAAGTTTATTTGGATAATAATAACAATATTTAAAATAACATATTTGAAAGATATGTCCTCAATCTATGAATTTTATACTAAGCATGTTTATAAGAGATTATAAAACTTAAAAATACAATGTTTTTAAAACAGTGGATAGTGTCTGAGAGTGACCATATTGTTACTCCCATTTCATTTTCTCTACTTAACATACAGAACCGAAGTCAAAGAGGAGGAGGGAAACTGGCAACCTCAAAGCTCAGTACCAAAAGCTGGTTAACAGTGAAAAAATTGACAGAATTTTTGTTGGTTCTCCTATAAAAAAATCAGGAACTAGAATAATAAGTAGACCACAATGGAAAGTACCACTATGAGCAAACAAGAATAAAGAGAAAGCAAATTCTTGGAAGAACCAAAAGTTTTAAGTCTGCAAAGAGCAGAAACCGCCTGATTTTCCTTTAATAGAACATGTATGAACTCAAGCAAGAGAACTTGCTAGGATTCTGAATAGAACAGCCCACTGCACCACTCAGCCAATAAAACACCCCCCAAACAACAAACAAATGAGCATTTTTTTCACGGATCATAATGTTGGGTCAACCTTTCTTCTATTCTGAAAATCAAAGGCACTTTCAGGTGGAGTTTTAGGAGGCAAGGCACGACTTCCTAATTTGGAAACAACCTATCCTGCTGTTGTTACTATAGTCAGTGGCAGAGCTAGACTAGAGCTAGCCTCAACTGCAATATGTACTTTTCAGCCTGCTTCCACCCTACCGAAGAGGAAGATGGTTTTTAAAACACCCACAAAAAAGTCTGAATATTCTGTGAAAATGGTCTTGTCCTGTCAGCCTAGGTCAGTCAGGCACTAATAAACTTCAGGAAGTTTGAAACTGCAGAAACTGAAAAAACAGTGCCAGCAAGTCCAACCTGTTCATACCTAGAGTTAAAGGAGACAACTCCAGTTTATGGCTGTTGTCCTGGTATAATTATTAATAGTGCCCACTTGTACTCACAGGGTTCCACATAGCCACTCTAACTACAAAGGAGTGACGCTTACAAGGTAAAGCAAGTTGTGTATATTCAGCCTAAAAACACAGCAAAGTGTAAACATGTGCAACCAAGGTTGACATTGCTTATTTTCTGTAAGCCATACAATTTTAACATTAAATTTCTTGTGAGCAAAAGCACAAAAATTTTGGCTCTTTTCCAGCCATAGTAAACTATTCCATTTCAGTTCCTCAAAAGAGTTTCACTCATGACATACATGCATAAATTTGTAAGTATAAAACTTCAAATTATCCTTTTTGGAAATACACTGGGAAAATACCTTCCTGCTTGTATTTGAACCACCTCTCTATATGCTTATTCTCACTTTATTAAGCACATTCACTTTCTAAATTAAATTCTAATATGGTTTTGGTCAATCACATATGTCAAAATGATTAGTGAATTTTATGTTCTTATGGTTGCTAGAATAAAATCTCAACCAGATGACTTCAGCTAGGCAAAGATCTCCCTTGCCACCTCTCAGCCTGCTTTAGCCCAGTTACACACAACGAGAAATGTTCAGAAAAATCTTCTACTCATTAACAAAGACGGTACAATTCTTAGAACACGCACACTCCTGCTATGAACTCCCACATAGAGAGACACGAACTGGAAGCCCACCGGTAGATTTTTCAGGCCCTATCAGCACATCAGCGTTAGCCAACTCCGACATGCCCAGAACTGGTTAAAGGGTCTGTGGGATTTGGCACACTGCTCAGTATCCAACTTACAAGTGTAAATGTAGGTCAGACAGATACATTTGATCTCTGTCTTAAGTATCTACAAGGTGAATGGGTATATCCTATATACTATCAGCCAGAAAACTAACAGAAATAGCAAACATTTGAACAACAGCAGAAATCAAGACTCAATCTAACCTGAAAATAATTTTCAAATGAGTTCAGTCTCATATGTTCAATAACTGCTACCTGCATATACATTTTATTTATAATAAAGAAACATGTTTATATCAAAATAAATGCTATCCTACTTATTAGTACACACTGTCTGACATTACACCAAAATTCAAGTCTGGTAAAACTGTTTATAAACAAATTAGTCTATGCTACCAGATTAACCAACACCTAGAAATAATGCTTTATACACTACAATTGCTCAATCAAATCCTTAATGACAATCATAAACGTTTCTTAAGCTTCTCACCAATTTGGTATCATATCCTAATCATTTATGATCCCTGTTTTTCAAGAATATGAAAGACCCACTTCTGCTAGTCTGCCACTATTAATTTAACCACAATCACAGTTTGATAGTGTTATAAAAGTCTACAGTTATAACACTTATTTTCCATCAGGTCTGCAAATTATGTAAAATAAAATTATTTTTCACTGGCAGGAAGACAGCAAATTGAAACTAGCCTAGATGTAGTTTCAACTTAAGATGACTCAACACTGTTAGATAAGAGCTGTCCCTCAGACTTACAAGAACACACCGAATCAAACATAAAACGTAACCAGTTATTAAAGGAAATAAAAGATTTTTAAAAGGTTATAACCACCAATGAGATTCAACTTATCAAAAATAAAAAATAGGGATGCCTATAAATACTAAAAATACATCATTGGCAATCATCCATCTCATTAAAACATCAGTCACCAGAAACAGATCTTCAGCAGTACCAATATTTAAAAATACAACTATTGACAGCCAGGCACAGTGGCTCATGCCTGTAATCCCAGGACTTTGGGAGGCCAGGCAGATCACCTGAGGCCAGGAGTTCAAGACCAGCCTGGCCAACATGGCAAAACCCCGTCTCTACTAAAAATACAAAAGCTAGCCAGATGTTGTGGCACATGCTTGTAATCCCAGCTACTCAGGTAGCTGAGGCACAAGAATCACTTGAACCTGGAAGGTAGAGGTTGTAATGAGCTGAGATCGTGCCACTGCACTCCAGCCTGGGCAAGAGAGTGAGACTCTGACTCAAAAAAAAAAAAAAAAAAAAAAAAAAGTTTCAAATATAGTTCAGTTGTATGATAAAGCATAGTCACAAGCTAATATTAGTCTGGAATATAGATGTAGCTATAAGTTATGCAATTATTACCACTTCACCTGAAGACTTCCTACTCCACCTCTGCTGACAAAGTTATTTCTTACACACATCTCCAGAAAACATGAATCACCACATTACTTCTCGATTAATCAGAGTATTAAAATGTAATGTATTCACCTGTAATAAAGCATATGTAGGTGTCCACATAAATTCTGGGTTATTTTTACCATCAGGGCAAGAAGGAGGCAATAAATCCAATAAAAAATAAATGACTTTAAGAAGTATCTCGTGAAGCTAAATAGTCAATTACCTAGCATAATTTCTGCATTTAAGTGTAAGCTTCTTGCAAAACTAAGAATAAGACATGAAAACATAAATACTCACTGGCCTAATAAACACTCTTCACTACATTTTTAGAAAGCATATATGCCATATTTTGTCATGAATAAAGGTATATACAATGAAGGCCATATTCAACATTCTTTCCACACAATATTTATTGAGCTCCTACCATGCAAGATACAGAACAATTATCCAAGAAAATTCTACACTCTTGCCTTCGTGTAATAAGAGGGAGACAGACATACCAATGACAATGACAAGTCTGGTAAGTTAAAACCAACAGGGAGACCTTTGGATAACCAGAGAAGCCCTCTTCTAAGGAGGTGACAGGAAAGATTAAAAGGACTCTGCTGCCATAATTATCCAGGAATCCCTAAAAGAAAACAAGCTGTAACATTAAAAATAAGCAAAGGAGGGACTATACATACTTTAAGGAGTTTCTGTGAGCTACAGCTTTTCATAGTAATCAAGACATTAAGTCAGCTTAGCATCAATCTCCTGGTTATAAAATAACAACATCAGGTTCAGATCAACTCTCATTTTACAAATTCCAAATGAATCTAGGATCCAAGTGACAAAGAGCCTGAAAAATACTCCAGTGATAGCCTGCTTATTCTTTGTAAGCCCTTCCTTTACCCACAAATGTGAATACAAAGGAAAAAGCAAACTTAGCCAGGATGATGTTAAAACATACTCTAGTTTTCTTAAAAAAAGAATGTAATCCAAAGAACCAAGTTTATCATCTTCCTAAACACAGAAACCACAAAATTATCAGTGGTTATCAAAGCTGCCTGAAACCACCAATCATAGATGATTAATGAAGTTATAAAATTTGAAAACAGATACTTATCACTGTACCCAAAAAAAAAACAACAAAAGAAAACCCACAACTATACTCTCATACACATAAAAAGATTACCCAAGTAAATAAATACAAGGCTTAAATCTTATTTCTACAAATCAACTCCTGCAGTGAATTTGTTCAACATCTACTGAACATCTGATAAGGACCAGTACAATGCTTCTGTTCTTGCAGAAAACTAAAAAATTGGACTTGTGATGGCCAAATAGAGTAAAAATAATCATTAGATGGTTAAAAAAAAAAATTCACACGAGCTTAGACAAAGCAAATTGAAACTGTTGGCCTTGAAATACTGGCTGAGAGAATTACTCATATTAAGTTTACCTACATCATAATAAAAGATACAATATGTTAAATGCAAAGCTTAACTAGGACCAGAATAAATTTAATAGTACAGGAAAGTTCTCGAGAAAACAAAATAGAAATGTGAGCCAGCCACTATATAGTAAAAAAGCTAAAAAACCAATATATGGACATTCTTAAAAACCATTCATTTCATTATGAAAGGCTTCTAATACAATTCTGAAGAATAATTTCTAAAAATGGAAATGTTCAGATATAAGTAGGGAGAAAAATTAGGAAATGAAATATATCATCTTTTTTTCCAAGTCCTTCAATTCTTGTTTTGCTTCAGTGTATGTACAAAGCAAACTTTCACCTACAGTATAACTGAAAAAACAGCTTTCCAAATGACAGGCCAATTTTAAAAACTAGTCATATCACTAAGAAATAAAAAGTTTCAATTGAGTGCTTAAAATAGAATTTAATTAAATCAATGAACTATAATGTTTCTGATTTGAGATTTTTTTAATGCTAACTCAATTCAAAATCCCAAAAAGCTGAATTCTCTTTATTAAACCGAAAAAAGATTCCTTTCCACCAGACTTGAGAAATCTCTCAAAAAAAAAAAAAATCCATTCAAACAAAAAAAAAAAGCTACACACCAAGAAAATGTTTTATGGTCAACTTTTTTTACCTTGTGATAAAAAGAAAAATGAATTCATTATTCTAAAAGAAAACATAATCCTGAAACTAAATTATCATGTCACCTTTCTAAAGATACACTAGTCTATGAACGAACACTTAAGTACATAGTACTAACTCCCTTACTAGAACCTAACTCATAAAATCATTACAGAAGATGAATGAATCAGGAGTAACTTAACATAACATCTATGCTCAAATTGACAACCTGAGCCTAATGGCGTGTGTCAGTATTCAACTCAGTATTAAGACAAATGGCTAGCTACCCACGTCAAGTGCAGTCACAGGTACAGATGAAAACAGAAGAAATAGAGTCCTTCCCATGACTGGCAAAAACTCAAGAAATCAGAGAAGCAATAGTCAAATTCTCTCAAAAACATAAAGTGGAATTTAATGATAAAAGGATTACATTTCGTAAGAATGTTCAAATCTGCCAAACATGTTTTGTTGCCTAGGAGCTAGTATTTTATAGCAAGTATTAACTATAAATTACCTATTACAACAAATCAAAAATAGACGCTATTAAAATGATTTCCTAAACGGGCACAAATATTGAGTGAAATTTTTTTATGCTGGTAAAGTCTGTGCAGCCACCGAATGAACAGAGCGCGGAACCGACCCTTGCGGAGCGATTTACAGGGTTGCTCCCCGACCCTTCACCTCCCTCCCCTCTCCACGGAGCCCTTCCTAGTGGACTTGGACTCAAACATTTTTTTAAAAGCTGCTCGGAACGCTTTCAGCAGCTTTGCTATAAACAACCCCCATTGTTACCAGGCCAGGAGCGAGCGTGATTTCCTCCTCCTCTCAGGGAGCCAGCCTGGGGCCGGCGCCTCCCTCCGGGCAGAGGCCGCCGCAGAGGGCCCTTCCTCGCGGCCCCGAAGGTGGAGAAGGCGCGCCTTTCCTCGGAGGCGTCCGACTCCGGGCCTGTGCCATCAGGCAGCCCGCACCTCCCGAACTTTGTGATACTGACTTTCCCCTCCCAGCTGGCAGCCTGCAAGTTTATGAACCCGAAGCACAGCGCGCGTCACAGGCTCCATCCCGGCCACGGCGAAGGGGCGCCGCGAGCCACAACCGGGCTGCAGGTGGAGGGCGCCGGCCCCGCGCGCCGCCGCGCCCCCCGCGCCGCCGGGGATGAGGCCGGGGCCGCGCCGCGCTCGCGGGGGTGGGGGCGGCGGCCCAGGTGAGCCACCAGGTGAGCGGCCGGAGAGGGGAACAGGTGACTGCCGCGCCCCGCCAGCCCCCGCTCGGCCCGCGCGACCCCGGGATACACCGCGGCAGGGGGACGGGGGCTGCGGGGGACGCCGGGGCCCGCGGTGGGCCTGGGGGAGGGGGAGGGGAGAGAAGGGGCGGAGGGGGGAGGGGGAAAGGAGGGCGGGTCCGCGGCTGGCGGGCGGCGGCGGGGGGGAGGGGCGGGGCGCGGCGCAGCGGGCGGGGGTCGCGCAGGCCCCGCGCCCGGCGGTGCTCACCTCGGTCGGCTGGCTGATCTCGAACAGGTCCAGCCGGTTGGCGTTCCAGTGGTGGATGATGTCGGCCAGCTTCCGCCGCTCCTCGTCACGGCCGCCCGCCGACATGGTCCTGGCCGCGCCTCCTCAGCCGCGCGGGGCCGGGGCCGGAGGACGGGCCGAGGACGACAGGTCCGCGGGGGCCCGGCGCCCCTCGCCACCCCCCGCCGGCCGCCTCCGCCTCCGCGGCTGCCTCCGCCTCCGCGGCCGCGCCGCGTCCTCCGACTTGGCCTCCGCCTGGGGCTCAGTCCGCGCCGCGCCGCGCCGCCTCAGCCCCGCCGGCCGGTGTGCGCCCGGCGCCCGCCGCCCGCCGCCCGCACCCGCCCGCGCCCCGCCCGCCGCCGTGCGCGCCGCCGCCCGCCGTGCGCGCCGCCGCCCCGCGCGGCGCCGCCGCACCTCCGGGCCGCTCCACTAGGTGCTGCTGCCGCGGCCGCCAGGGAGGGAGGTGTCGGAGGGCGGGCCCCGCGCGGTGCTAGGGTTCCGTCTGGACTGGCGGTGGTGGGTCCCAACCGGCGGTACCGGGTTCCTTCCCGACCAGCGGTGCTAGGTTCGGTTCGGACGCGCGCTGCTGGATCTAAATGGGCAGTGCTGGGTCCGATGGGTGGTGCTGTGTTGGGTCCGGACGCGCGGTGCAGAGTCCGGACGGGCGGTGCTGGATCCAAATGGGCGGTGCTGGATCTGGACGGGCGGTGATGGGTCCGATGGGCGGTGCTATGTTCGGTTCGGACGGGCGGTGCTAGGTCTAAATGGGCGCTGCTGGGTCCGATGGGCGGTGCTGCGTTCGGTCCGGACGGGCGGGGACGGGCGGTGCTGGGTCCAAATGGGTGGTGATGGATCTGTGGACGGGCGGTGCTGGTTCCAGACGGGCGGTGCTGGGTCCAGACGGGCGGTGGGTCCGATGGGCGGTGCTAGGTTCGGTTCGGATGGGTGGTGCTAGGTCTAAATGGGCGGCGCCGGATCCGATGGGCGGTGCTGGGTTCGGTCCGGACTGGCGGGTCCGGGTCTGGACGGGCGGTGCTGGATCCAAATGGGGGTGCAGTGCTGGATCTGGACGGGCGGTGCTGGGTCCGAACGGGCGATGGGTCCCATGGGCGGTGCTAGGTTCGGTTCGGACTGGCGGTGCTGGGTCTAAATGGGCGGCGCTGGGTCCGATGGGTGGTACTGGGTCCGGACGGGCGGTTCTGGGTCTGGACGGGCGGTGCAGTATCCAAATGGGCGCTGCTGGGTCCGGACGGGCGGTGCTAGGTTCGGTCCGGACGGGTGGTGCTGGGTCTAAATGGGCGGTGCTAGGCTCAGCAGGGGACCGGTGGGCGTGGCGGCACAGGTACGGAGCGCAGGGCCGGTGGAGCGCCCTCTCCGAAGGGCCCTGCGCTCCCCGCGCTCGCTGCTCCTCCTGCCCGCGCATTGCCCCGGGGCTGCTGCGTGTTTCTTCCAGGGTGATTCCTTTCCGCTGGGTCACTTCAAAGCCGACCTTTTCAAGCTGTTTTCTTCCGCGGAGGACACGTTGTTAGGCTTTGTGTGCATTTCAAGGGTCATGTTTTCTGAACCGCGCTCTGCCGCTCTTGGGGTGTTCGAGCCCCCACACTGCTGTGCGGTGTTCCTCTCACAGAGTGAGGTTGGAGGGTCCCACTCCCTTTGTGTGTCTCCTTAGAAAACGCCTCTTCTCTCAGACACATCGTTATCTGCCAATTCTTCGCAGACGTAGAGAACGGACTGCAGAGTTAATAAACGTCGAGGGGAAGCTTTGATGCGCCCCATTTGGCCCTGAGAGATGCCACGTGATCGTCATTTTAAATCCTGTACGTGTCCCCGTGGACGTGGAAACCTGAAATTAATTTCAGTAGCAAGCTTTGTGAATTGTAGGGATTTTTTTTCATAAGGTGTCTTTTTTGTAATTGCCCCTCCCCTCCCCCACCCTTTGTTTTGGCTGCAGAGCGCCATCTCTGCAGTCTCCCCACGCCGGGTTCAGTCAGGCGAAGTTGCGTTATCTGTGATGTGTTGTAACAAAAAGCGTTTATCTTTGAAACACTAAGGCAAGTAATGAGAAGAGTGAACTATATTTGACAAAGCCTTTTTATTTTTGTCATTACTTTTTTTTCCAATGTGGAAATAATTTTTCTCTCCACCAACTGGATTTCCTCTTTTGCAGACAATTAAAGAATTCTGTCATCCCCACTGGGTTCTGTCTTTTCTACCGCACTTGTCCAGTACAGCTACATAAGGAGGCTTCTCAGCAGAGGAGCCTGGGGTGTTGAACCAGTGCCATGAGGGAATGAATTATTCAATAGATCGCTAGTCTCCTTTCTTAAAATTAAAGTGTGGTGACTTGCAGAAAAGCATCTGTGTCTAAATGTCATCTTCGTGTTCTAGCACTCGGTTTCTTTATGCCTTTCAGTTCCTGGGCTTCCCGATGGACTCGAGTTTTTACTATGTGAGCATCCCGGTGCCTGCACAGCAAGGACTCTCATTGGGTTCCACACGTGCTGCGCAGATCCCTGACGCAGCGTTCACTGAACCTCAACTGCAGGAGCTTCATTCCTGAGGACGCTGTTACCAAGAATGACTTGCCTCTTGAAGAATGAGTTTGCAAAGCCGGCAGTTAGATTGCTGATGTCCAAAGTAAGTATGTGTAGCATCACTAAAGAGAAAATTCAGGATTCCTGGAAAACAGTTATGGGCTCTCTGCAGTGTTATTTTTGTAATAAAAAACATATAGCATATGTGAAATACCTACTGGGTGATGCAGGACACATAGAAGGCTCGAAATTAATGTGAATCATTCTCGTTTTTCTGACTGTCATTAAAAGTCCCCATTTGTATTATGTATGAGTGGTATATCAATATCTAAACTACACTTTATTGTAGGTCCCAACCAACATTAGTTTATTGACAAATGTTTAAGAGCAGCCAAAAATTCATAGAATACCTATGATTCTTAAATCATGAACACTCCCATAACTGGTATATGTTTAGGACATGAAAATTTCCAGGCTGACAAATAATTTCGCTGTCATCGGTCAAGACTCCAGGATGATATTCTGAGCCATATGTTAATTTTGATAACCACCTAGAACAATAAAAGGTAAACATGCTACCATCTTCTATTCTCATTGCACCACTGGATTCTGGTACATCTAAAAATTGTACTTAAATGATATCCAAGAAATGCTGTAAAAAACAAAATAGGGCCGGGCGCAGTGGCTCACACCTGTAATCCCAGCATTTTGGGAGGCCAAGGCGGGCAGATCACGAGGTCAGGAGATCAAGACCATCCTGGCTAACACGGTGAAACCCCGTCTCTACTAAAAATACAAAAAAAAAAAAAATTAGCCGGGCATGGTTGTGGGTGCCTGTAGTTCCAGCTACTCAGGAGGCTGAGGCAGGAGAATGACGTGAACCCGGGAGGCGGAGGTTGCAGTGAGCTGAGACCGCGCCACTGCACTCCAGCCTGGGCGACAGAGCAAGACTCTGTCTCAAAATAAATAAATAAATAAAAGAATGGGCTTTTCTGTTATTAATTCCATTTTATACATGGTGAGACTGAAATGCAAGATAAAGGACTGGACTGAAGCTAAACAAACCTGCACTGGGCGAGGTTGAAAAAGACCTTTTTAATCTATAAGTCGGTTTTTGAAAATTCAAGTTTCTACTTTATAATTTTAGTTTTCCTTTTAAACGTATATTATTGTTAGTTGCACTGTTCAAAAAGTTTTACAGCTTCTATTTCAATCAGCACTGGTATACTAATATTTTTAAGTATCTCCTATCTAAAACCAAAATCTACGTAAAACCTAAAAGTACCAGGTAATAGAGGACAACAGAGCAAGACTGTCTCTTAAAAAAAGAAGTATCACATAATAGGAATAAATATGAGGACAGAAAGTAATAATATTTTTGAATTTCTGATTAAACTTTGCACTTACTTTAAAATTTTTTTCGAAATATTATGAAAACCAGGTTCTGAGACCAGCCACATGAAATAAACCTTTTCCTGCCCCAATTTTCACAGCCTCTAGAAAATAGTAGGTACCAGGGAAAAGATTAATACATCTAAAAAAAAAAAGATACAAATATATCAACTATGTTTAACTATATCAACTATATTTAGTACCCTAGGTCATTTAATTTTCTAGCCACCAATAAATTCCATATTTTATTAAATTAATCAAATTTTGAAAAGTGTCAATATTACTGTATAAATCATCTTACAAGTCCTTTTAGTAGATATATCAATTTAGAGGATGGTCTTTAGCAAAAAAAGTAAAGGAAAAGGATTTAATAAAGGTCCAATAGCAGACCTTCTAGGGCAGGCAGCCTTCTATAGTAGCCCATGCATGTGAAAGTTAATCTAATTAGTTGATCTATAAAGTTAAATAACCAAACTCTCCTTTGCTTAACCCATTGCTAGAAAGGCCAGTGTTGTTAATTTCATTTTTTAAACAAACAAGCAAAAAAAATTCTAGAGGATGAGTTTTTCATAAGTAGGGTATGTGCTACTTTATTGGAAAATGAAGAAATATATCTTTCAACTCTGCTTCCTTCATTGCTTTCCCGTGTTCCTAATATTTAGTCACATTTTAGGTTAGAACTTTCAGGAAGTGAGTTTTTACACAGAAATTAGTGCTATAAACAGCCCTTAAAATGGGAATTTAATCGTACTTATTTAAAATATATATGTATATAATCTTACCAACCCAGAAAGACATGTTCTCTGGCATTTTATAAACTAAGATGCTACTGGAAGGAAAAAGCTAAATCTGAAATACACAAACAACATATTTACACTGTGATATGGTTTAGATCTGTATGCCAAAGCTGAATCTCATGTCAGATTGTAATCTCCAATGTTGGAGATGGGGCCTAGGAGGAGGTGATTGGATTGGATCATGGGGGCGGATTTCCTCCTTTGGTGCTATTCTGGTGATGGAGTTCTCACTAAATCTTGTTGTTTAAAAGTGTGTGGTACCTCCCTTCCCCAGCTTCCTCCTGTTCCAGCCAGGTAAGACATGTCTGCTTCCCCTTTGCCTTCTGCCATGATTGTAAGTTTCCTGAGGCCTCCCCAGCCATGCTTCCTGTACAGCCTGCAGAACCATGAGCCAATTAAACCTCTTTTCTTTATAAATTACCTAGTCTCAGGTATTTCTTTATAGCAATGCAAGAATGGAATGGACTAATACACACTGAATGCAAAGAAATGAAATGGTTGTGTGTGTGTGTGTGTGTGTGTGTGTGTGTGTGTGTATGGAAGGTATTAGAAGGGGATTATACCGTAAACATGGGTCACTTACCTTTTACTGTGTTGGAGAATTGCTTTGCACTATCTTCTTTTTATTCAGTACATGTTGCAGACTAAGTTAAAATGTGATCATATATATCCTGAAAATAATGAAAGAATATCAGGCTGTGAGTAGATTTGTGAAAGGGCGTCTCCCCTGCCTGCCTCCTTGTCCTCCTTTCCGCATTCTGTCCATCCTCAGCCGTGCGAGGTGTCGCTGCATGCTGCTCTGGAAGTGCTCTCACTTCCAGAATTTCTCCGTCCAGTGGCCCATTTCGTCAGTTTCGGTTTCCCACTTTGAAAACCGATCAACTGGCCGGGCGCGGTGGCTCACGTCTGTAATCCCAGCACTTTGGTAGGCCGGGATGGGCAGATCACGAGGTCAGGAGATCGAGACCATCCTGGCTAACAGGGTGAAACCCCGTCTCTACTAAAAAATACAAAAAATTAGCCGGGCGTGGTGGCGGGCGCCTGTAGTCCCAGCTACTCCGGAGGCTGAGGCAGGAGAATGGCGTGAACCCGGGAGGTGGAGCTTGCAGTGAGCCGAGATCGCGCCCCTGCACTCCAGCCTGGGCGACAGAGCGAGACTCCGTCTCAAGAAAAAAAACCGATCAACTAAACTGTACTAGTTCTTTTGTTGCCATCTCCCCATATTTTCCTGATCCCTTAACACTTGGCACTTTGATTTTAGCTGCTACCTTGAATTTGGTTTTGACTTGAAATTCTGAATGTGCCTTTTTCCTCACGAGTTCTGTTCCCCGTGGTGTTGGGGACCCATCTTACTGATGTTTGATTCCGTGCCCCGCTTCTAGCAGAGAGCACAGTTTTTTGTACCTAGTGGATGTTTAATAAACGCTTATTGGCTAGATTGAAGATGGCTGTGTACTGGGGTGCGGGGTAGGGGTACCCAGCACACAGCTTCTACAGCTAGTCTAGTCCCAGCGGCTGAGACTAGACTTTACTCAGGTGAGTGGTCTTTACAAGGGTAGAGAGTCCACAGTCCGGAGGCCGTGGAGGTTTTCCATCCAGCCTTTCACCTTTTTTCTTGATAATAAAAGGTACAGTTCTAAACAATGGGTCTAGAAGAAGAAAGAATTGTGCTTGCCTCATCCCTAAAAGAGAGGGCTTGACCTACTGAGCAACTTTAATATGACTCTATGATCTCGCTGTCATTAATAGAACAAAGGCCAGAAACATTTAGGAGGCGTTATGGAAACCAGGTGCTAAAATGAACTAAATGTCATAAACCTAATTCCCTCCCCAGTTTTCACAGGTTCTATAATATAGAAAGTACTAGGGAAAAGAGGAGGAACTTTATACACCTGAGAAGAGCAAAGGGTACAAATATATCAACTATTATTTTTTACATCTTATGCCCTTTTCTGCTAGAAAATTATATGTATAATATATAATATATGCTGAATGTATAAATTTTGCTAGGAAACTAGTATTTTGAAATGCAAACTCCCATTAAATTTTATTTTAACAAATAAAAATGTTAAATGAAGGGGAATGTACTATTAACATGCTATTTACCAGCAGTAAAAATAATAGAAACAAAAAAGTGTTGAAAAATGTGTTGTTCATGGCAAACCAATGAATGGAATACCCAAGGACTTCTCCCAAGAAAAATATTTTCTTTATCCGCTAGTGTCTCTGGAAATAAAAATTACCAAGTTACAGGGTTTTGCTTGTTTTTGAAAATAGAGTGCAGCTTAGACATTTTTTCAAGTGCTTTCAACATTTGCAGTAGTTCTATGAGAAAGGAGAAACCTGGCCTAAGGACTTCCGCTAAGATGGTTCTATAAACATGTACCCTGAAGCACCCTTACCACACGCACATACCTGCTCTAAATATATGCCAATGGTAGATGACAAATAAAGAGGGAAAACGTAAAACTGTAGGAGACTTGAAACAGCATGGGCACGGCTGAGGATCAGTGTTGGGATGGAGATGCATGATGGTGAGAAGGAGCTGAAGGAAATGTCCTGCTGGAGTCTGGAACCCAAAGGCAGATCCTGCGAGGAGCGGGGCGCTTGTTGGGCAGTGGGGACTATGATGGGGACCACAAGTGCTCATGAGAGGAGAGGAAGCTGCTGCCAACTGCAGCTGCCGGCACAACTGACATGAAGCCATGTGTCTGCGGGAAGAGAAAACGTGCATGTGGCCCCCTGCCAGGAACTGCCATGCAGCAAGTAACTGCATCTGATGCCTTCAACCACGGCAACACAGCTTGTTCCTGGACGAGGGCCCCACACGGACGAGGTGCCTTTGTTAAGCAGAGGTGTGAGCAGAGAGACACTGAGAAAGATAGACAGTAGAGAGAGAATCTCCCACTTACGATGAGCTGGCAAAGAAATAATTACCATGCACGTGAACACAGCAAATGCTAAGGGGCCACCCGAATCAGCAACCATTCTGAAAAGAGCTTTAAAATAAACATGTTTGGAAACCTTGAAGAAATGTATGCAGGAATAACATGCATCAAAAGGGATAAGAAGTTATGAAGAACTGGCAGAAATATATTATCCTAACTGAATTAACACAGAAGCAGAAAACCAAATACTGCATATTCTCCTAAGTGGGAGCTACACACTGTGGACACAGGGACATAGGGATGGAAACGGTGGGCAGTGGAGTCCATGGGAGGGAGAAAGGGGCAAGGAGAGAAGAACTGCCTACTGGGAACTGTGTTCACTCTTTGGGTGAGGGGTTCGATCAAGGCCCAAACCTCAGCATCACACAGTAAATCCACGTAACAAACCTGCATATGTACTCTGACTCTAAAAAAAAAAATAAGGGGGGGTGGGGGCCAGGCACAGTGGCTCAAGCCTGTAATCCTAGCACTTTGGAAGGCCGAGGCGGGAGGTCAGAAGTTCGAGACCTATCTGGCCAACCTGGTGAAACTCCGTCTCTACTAAAAACACAAAATTGGCCTGGCACGGTGGCTCACGCCTGTAATCCCAGCACTTTGGGAGGCCGAAGAGGCCGAAGTGGGCGGATCACCTGAGGTTGGGAGTTCCAGACCAGCTTGACCAACATGGACAAACCCTGTCTCTACTAAAAATACAAAATTAACCCGGAATGGTGGCACGTACATGTAATCCCAGCTACTCGGGAGACTGAGGCAGGAGAATCGCTTGAACCCAGGAGGTGGAAGTTGCAGTGAGCAGAGATCACACCATGGCACTAGAGCCTGGGCAACAAGAGCAAAACTCTGTCTAAAAAAAAAAAAAAAAAAATACACAAAATTAGCCGGGGGTGGTGGTGTGTGCCTGTAATCCCAGCTACTCTGGAGGCAGAGGCAGGAGAAACACTTGAACCCAGGAGGCAGAGGTTGCAATGAGCCAATATCGTGCTACTGCACTCCAGCCTGGGCAACAGTAAGACTCCGTCTCAAAAAAAAAAAAAAGACTGGCAGAAATAATAAAACAAGAACATAAAGAAATCCAATCGAAAAGAAAAAAGCTGAGAAATGCATCTGGAAAGTAAAATGAGTGGAAAGAAGAAAAGATTCATAAAAGCGAGAGATCTTAAGGAGCAAGAGCTGTAGGCTGAGGGAGTTAATCTCATCTCGTCAGAATTCCAGAGGATTAGAGAGAATGATGGAGAGGCATAATTAAAGAGATGATCGCTGGGAATTTTCCAGAATGTAAGAAGCATAACAGTCTTAAAATTAAAAGTGCTTTCAAATATCAAGCAGGACACATGGAAGTCAATTTGCACCTGAATAAACCATAAGGCAACTCTAAGGTAAAGCTCAAAAAGGAAATGCTGAAAGTCACCTGAGAAAGAAAAGGAGAAAATTGCCTGAGAGAGAAAGTTCCTGTAAAAGAAGGAAAGAGAGTGGACTCAAGAGGGGATCTGAAAACCTGTCTCTGAGTTTGAGACAAACCACAGATGAGAAATCTGAGGCCCAGAAGTGTCCCCTGCTCATGACTCACCTACACTTGTCTATATTCCAATGCCCTGTTTTGGTAAAACTATTTCCTGATTTTACCACCACTGCAGAGAAGGGCAAACAGGTGAGTGACCTCGAACAATACAGCTAGAATGTAGCAATACAGCAGACATGGCAGTGTACAGGGAACCTCTGTAATTATAGTTATGTGGTTGGATTAGATCAATGATCCAATCTGTAATTATAGTTATGTGGTTGGATTAGATCAATGATCCAATGGGTGATCATCAGAATTTCCTGGGGAGCTTTTCTTGCAACATTTTTGTTATACAAATGTGCAGTGATACGAATAGTATCGAATACGAATAGAATGCCAGAGGAAGTCCCTGTCCCCACTCCCCACTCACCACCTGGCTTCAGTTGTCACAGCCTGTTTCATTTATCCCCTTCCCTCTCCCTCCGCTCCTGGATTATTTTTAAACACAAATCAGACTTTACATAATTTCATTAGTAAATGTTGCAGATGTATCTTCAGAAGACACTCTTTAAAAATATATTTTCTTCATATCGTTTTCATACTTTGAAAAATGACAATAATTCCTTAAAGTCATCAAATATCAAGACACTGTTCAAGTTTCAGAAAACTGTTTCAGCATACACATCCCTTCAACTCAGTGGCAGACACAGAGAATCAGAGTCTCAGGGCAAGTCCAACAATCTTTTATTCTCAGTCTCCCTGAGTGACTCTGATGTTCAGTTGAGTTCGAGAATCACTGGCTCAGATGACCTTGTAGGTTTGACCTTGAGACTCTCCCAGTGTCACACACCTCCTTTCTCCTAGGGGAAACTTTCCACCAATTCCTAACTAGCACAGAGATCGACTCTCTGTGGTCAGAGACATTGTCGTGGGAAAGTAGTCTTGGGTTAAGCGCCACAGTTCCCAACCTTGAGCTCCATCTCTTACACTAATTGTAGGGCAGTGAAGGGTCTGTACAGGTCTGAGACTCAGTTTCCTCAAGTGAAAAATAAACATGATGGCTGGGCGCGGTGGCTCAAGCCTGTAATCCCAGCACTTTGAGAGGCCGAGGCAGGCACATCACGAGGTCAGGAGATCGAGACCATCCTGGCTAATATGGTGAAACCCTGTCTCTACTAAAAACACAAAAAAATTAGCCGGGCGTGGTGGTGGGTGCCTGTAGTCCCAGCTACTTGGGAGGCTGAGGCAGGAAAATGGCATGAACCCAGGAGGTGGAGCTTGCATGAGCCGAGATAGCGCCACTGCACTCCAGCCTGGGCAACAGAGCAAGACTCTGTCTCAAAAAAAAAAAAAAGAAAAAAGAAACATGATGATGGCAACAGACCTTCACTGCCCACCTTACAGAGCTGTTATAAGGATAAAATTAAAGTAAGGCATATGAATGTTCTCTCCAAGTATGCATTCACATAGAAATGTTTTCATTCTTCATTTGAATGTTGGCACTGCAGGGGTTAAAAATGTACATGAGAAAAAAGGAAGTCCAGAAAAGTTTTCTTTTTTTTTTTTAAGTAGTCCTGCATGTCGGAAACCATACAGAAGTATTCGCCCTTCTGGAAAAAAAGAAAAATCATTCAATTTTAACATTTTATGCATATTTTTAATTATTAAAGGGCGCTACATTAGAGCTTCCATTTGTTCAGAATATTGCAGTAAACTTCTAAAGTCTTTGGAGGCTTTCAAAGCCATACATATATGTAATACTACATAGCACCCCACCCCCCAGAAAAACCACAGCAATATAGTATTATAATTGTTTTCATTGCAATAAGTCATCTATGATGAATTTGGTAGATTATATGTTGTGAGTGTTTCAACTACATATTCTATAGGAAGGAGAAGACAAGTGCTCTGTGTCTGCCTCCCCATGACCTGCTTCCCAGTTGCTTTCCCTCTCTGAGTTCACCTGATCGCGCCTCTGGACGTCTTGGAAGCACGCCTCTGCTTCCCCGCCTCGCCTGCGGGGCTAGACTCTTCCCTCCACCCGGAGGACCCCTTCTCATAGCTGCGGGCTGAGGTCCTGACCATCTCTGCTGGACACCCGTTTGAATTGTCCTCTGCTAAGCACACGGAATTTCACCTTCCGCCCTGTGAAGGCGGGCGTGGCCACGTGACTAGTTCTGGTGAATGCAATGGCAGAGGAGCCGGCGTGTCACTTCCGTATGGAAGTGTGCAGGAGCCAGGAGCGACAGTCCAGCCCCGTCTTTCCTTGCCTCAGTGCCTGTGGAAACGCCAGTGTGGGTGTGGAGAAACTGGAAAGTCCAGCAGCCAGGTCTCAGCCGCCGCCTACCGGACAGCTGCCCTGGAGGGGCGCTGGGTCCCACAGAGGGGTTCGGGTTTTGCAGTTTACAAGAAAGAAGTTTTGGTGTTAAGACGCTGAAATTTCAGGGTTGCCTATTGCAGCAGGAAAACTTGGCCCATCTGCTCAAATATCATCGACTCAAGGCCCAGCTCAAACACCTCTCTACCACCTCCAGGAGGGCACCCTTCTGCTGAACCCTCTAGAGCCACGTGTCCGTTCCTCTGGTTCACAATCAGACCCCTGCGCGGTGAAACATCTGTTGGGTTAGAGCCACACAGACCTGAATTCGAATGTCAAACTGCCATCGGCCATGTAATAGCCAAGCATCTTTCTGAAACTCAATTTTTTAATCTAAATGATTGATGTGATGCCTCATAGAATTGTCAAAGAAAAATGAACACTGCAATAATACATCTGTAGTGCTGTTAAATCCTTTCATATTGATATATTTTTCTCGGTGGAGAAAACTTACAAAACTTAAAGCAATTTCAAAGAATAACATTTTCTTTTTATTTTTCTGCAATTACAGGACTGCACAAATTTCTCTGCCTAATATTTTTACCAAAGTATAATGTCTTTAAAGTAAGACACAGATGTATATTTATTTTTAAGATAATTAATGAGGCAAAACATAGCTATGTACATAGTTTGATTAAATTGTTACATAGTAACACTCTTGTCTTTTTAAAAATAAATTTTTTTCTTTTTCTTTTTTTTTTTTTTTGAGACGGAGTCTCGCTCTGTCACCCAGGCTGGAGTGCAATGGCGCGATCTCAGCTCACTGCAACCTCCACCTCCCAGATTCAAGCGATTCTCCTGCCTCAGCCTCCCGAGTAGTTGGGATTACAGGCACCCACCACCAAGCTCAGCTAATTTTTGTATTTTTAGTAGAGACAGGGTTTTGCCATGTTGGTCAGGCTGGTCTCGAACTCCTCACCTCAGGTGATCCGCCCACCTCGGCCTCCCAAAGTGCTGGGATTGCAGGCGTGAGCCACCATGCCTGCTAGCATAAGGAATTTGAAAGTTATTCAAATACATATCCAATAACGTTTGACCTGCATATCTAACTATTTTGAAGTAAATGACCATTTTTGGTTTCAAGGCTTTTTATGTGTATTGTTTAATAGAGATTTACTTCAGATCAAGAAATGAATAAATATACATTCATTATATATTAACTCACATTTTAGACTAGAAGAAACCAATTTATTGTTTAGCTATTAAATTCCTTCTTTCTTTCATTTATTTATTTATTTTGAGATGGAGTCTCCCTCTGTCGCCCAGGCTGGAGTGCAGTGGCTCTTTCTCAGCTAACTGAAACCTCTGCCTCCTGGGTTCAAGCAATTCTCCAGCCTCAGCCTCCCAAGTAGCTGGGATTACAGGTGCCTGCCACCATGCCCAGTTATTTTTTGTATTTTTTAGTAGAGATGGGGTTTCGCCACCTTGGCCAGGCTGGTCTCGAACTCCTGACCTTCAGTGATACACCCACCTCGGTCTTCCAGAGTTCTGGGATTACAGGGCTGGCCAGATACTAAATTATTTAAATAATTATATATCAATACATATTGGAATCATAGCTTTTTCATTAGGCTAAAGTAAACCTACAATGTGCTGAGAAATGCCTTATTAACAACAGTGTTAGGTACTAGGGAGTTTCAATAATTTGTGGTTATAATTCCTATAAGAAATTTAATATATTATTAGCATCTTTTATACCATAAATTTCAGAAGATAATTATAAGGGAATTGTATATGATTCTAGGCTTGGATTTGGATGGAGACTCCAGACATGAACCCTTTCAGCTCAATAATACAATTATTTTTTCACAGTCATTTTTAACTTTTAATTTCCCATACATACATTATTTCCCATTAAATAAAGATAAGATTACAGTTTAAATTTCAATGTCTAAATATAGTGAAGTGGCAATAGAGTAAAAAATATAATTTTAAAATGAGCTGTAGCCAAGGGTATAGATGACAAAATATCCAAAGTATAGATATTCAATTATGAGTAAGAGAAGTGTTTTAGCTAAAAACTATTTGTTTAAACATAGAAAATTCATGAAGAGATGCTTGTTCAAAGATTAATGTCAAAATGTTAGTTATTTTTGTTTAATTGTTTGGTTTATTTGTTGTAAGGCTGGTCGAGTATTCATTATCCAAAATGCTTGGGACCAGAAACGTCTCAAATTTCAGATTTTGGAATCTTTGCATGATCTATTTACCAGTTCAGCATCCCTAATCCAAAAATCTGAAATCCAAAATGCTCCAATGAGCAACTCCTTAGCATGTCCTGTCAGCACTCAAAAAGTTTCAGATTTGGGTGCATTTTGCATTTTTGGATTCGGACTACTCAACCTGTATAAAAGAGTGACACAGCAGGGTGAATTCCACCATTAAAAACATTCTAAATACTTTTAGATGTATGTCATTTTCAACACCACAGACTACATCTTCTCAAGCAGCTCCTATTTCTGGGATCCCTTAGACTATGAATTAATATGTAGAAAATCCTTAATATTCTAGACCGGGGTGGACAAAGTACAACCTGCAAGGCAAATCCCTCTTGCCTCTTATTTTTGTATGGCTCACAAACTAACCATCTTCTTTACATTTGTAAATGGTTGGGAAAAAAAATCAGAATGAGAGGTGAACATGGCAAAATATTAATTTTGAAGGCTAGATATAAGGTATCAGTTTAAAAAAAAGACAAAACAGATATTAAGTTACAGACAAGGCCGGGTGCAGTGGTTCACACCTGTAATCCCAGCACTTTGGGAGTCCGAGGCGGGGATCACGAGGTCAGGAAATCGAGACCATCCTGGCCAACACCGTGAAACCTCGTCTCTACTAAAATACAAAAAATTAGCTGGGCGTGGTAGTGCACGCCTGTAATCCCAGCTACTCTGGAGGCTGAGGCAGGAGAATTGCTTGAACCTGGGAGGCGGAGGTTGCAGTGAGCCGAGATCACACCACTGCACTCCAGCCTGGCAACAGAGTGAGACTCCATCTCAAAAAAAAAAAAAAACAAGTTACAGACAGAAAAGAGGAGGGAAGCATCCAATTCTTATCAGTGAAGAATCATTTAAACGAGACTGGCTTTGCCGAAACCAAAATGGACGTCAGAGTTGATGGCTTTTCTTGGGGGACGATGGTAATTAACCCAGAAGAAAGTGTTTCAGTCTAAAATGATTCTCAAGGTTTTCTACTAGCAAACCAGATGAGGGTAAGGGTTAGGATAAGGGTTAGGGTTAGGTATTTGCACATATGTATTTTTAATGATAACTCACTCAGAAAGATCCAGCAACCATTAACTACATGAAATTCCCCTGAAGTCATTTGGAGGTTTCCTAGGGAGGGCACTGGGGTAACAGGATTAATCCTTAATTAGGTTGCCTGAGGAAACAGCTCTAGGGAAAAAGCTGAATCATTATTTTTTAGTTTACAGTTGTATTTTCTTAGATGGAAATAGACGATAGTTATGAATTCACCTCTAAATATCCTTGGAGAAATCACAAAGGTGGATTAATGGGCATCCTCCACTGATGCAGGCAGAAGAACGTTGAGAACAGGGCAGGGATGTGAAGACACAAAAGCAAGAACCCAGGCTCACCTGGGCATGCTGTCTTCCGGGGAAGAAGGCAGCACCATGGCACTGGGAAACTTGGTGAAAAATTCCATCTCTGGAGTCACATTGCTCCCATCTGGACTAGGACTCAGTATCTTGTATGAGTTGTCATCCTGAGATCTCCCTTCAGCCCCCTCATGGGAGGTTTCTGTAAACATAACTCCTGTTTTCTATCTTCTGTTTCCTCTGTTCTTTCCTTGGCAAGAAGCCAGGCCAACCATGGCAGTTGATAATATGTTCTCCTCTGAGCTCTTGCTATACTTTCTACCTCATCCATTTTCCTCTTCATACTGATTAAGTTATTATGATAACCTAATTGATTCCTGTTCTTCTATGTTGAACACATACAGGAAAGTGCATGCCCCATCATTATACAGCTTGATGAACACTTGTGCACACACCCAGGTTTAAACACAACAGCAGAATATGGCCAACACCCCGGAGCCCCACTCGTGTCTCTTCCCAGTCACTCCCTTCACTCCCTGCTCAAGTTAAACGCTGTCCTGACATCACAGACTCATTTGTCTTGTTTTTGAAGTTTGTGAAAACGGAATCCTACAGTATATATTTTTGTGGGTATGTTTGGCTTCTTTTCCTCAGAACTGAGTGTGACTGTGTATGTATGAAAGATTCATCCTTTGGTTGTATGAGGCAACAGTTATTTCATATAAATTGCTGTTTAATGTCCTATTGTTTGGCTACTGTGATGTCCACTGTTAGTGAACATTTGGATTGCTTCCAATGTTTGACTGCCCATAAGAATGCTGCCGTGAATAGTTACGTATGTGTCTTGATGTGCAGCACGAGCTCACATGCTGGTTGGGCACGTGCCTATGAGTGGAATTGCTGAGGCATTGGGTAGGCACATACACACACTTAGTAAATACTGTCAAATTCCCAAAGAGGTTGAACCAATCTACGTTTTCATCACCAGCATAGTGGGATTTCAGTTGGTATTATCAGCCTTTAGCCATCCTGGTGGATGTGTAGTGATATTCTATTGCCTTAATTCACATTTTCCCCATTTCTAATGAGAATGACCATCCTCTCACATATTTGTTGATCATTTGGATCTCCTCTTTTGTGAAGTCTTAGTGTCTCTTGCTTGTTTTTCTGTTGGGTTGTCTGTCTTAATTGATTTGTAGAAACTATTGATATATACTGGATAGGACTTTTTGTCTTGATATAACCACGCTACCACTCAGTGGCTTGCCTGTCACTCTCATAGTATTATCTTTTACTCTTAAATTTAAAAAGTCTTTAATTTTAATATAGTCTAATTTATCAATCTTTCTCTTTATGGTTAGTGCTCAAAAGAGCATTATTCCTATTCAATTTTCTCTATCCCAAAATCTTAAAGGCTTTTCTCTTATATAATTTTCTCAAAGTCTTGTTATTTGACCCTTCAAATTTAAATAAGCAGTATACCTGGAATTAACTTTTGTGTATAACTCTTCAGGGTAGGGTTATATTTAATTTTTTTCATGTTGTTATCCAAATTATTCAAGCACCATCTACTGAAAAAAAAAAAATCTCCACTACTTTGCAGTACTATTACTTTTACCAGAAATGGAATATCCATATGTGTGTGTCTGTATGCACCAATTATTCCATTTTTTCGGTCTATTTGTTTATCATTGCACAAAAAACTGCCTTAATTACTGAAGCTTTATAATAAATTCTGATATCGAGTAGACTAAGTCCTGCCTTGTTCTTTTCATTAAAGTTTTCTTGGCTTTTCTTGGCCCTTTGTGCATCCACATACGTTTTAGAATTATTTTGTTAATTACCACAGAAAATCCTGCTGAGGCTTTTATCAACATGGCATTAGATTTATAGACCAATTCAGGGAAAATGAATATATTTACAATAATAACATTTCTAATCTATGAACATGGTATATCCCCCCCACTTAATTAGATTATCTTGAATTTTTCTAAAAAATGTTGTAGTTTTTTCTGCATAGCCCTTGTGCATCTTTTAAAGAAGTTTTAGTGTTAAATATTTAATATTTTATGCTTTTGTACGTGAATCTGTTTTAGTATTTCATTTTCCAACTGTGCTAATACAGAGGAATATAATTGATTTTTAAAAATATTCACCTGTGTCTAACAACTTTGCTAAACTAACTTCTTAATTCTAATAATTTATGCTTTCTACATCGAAATATTATCAACAAATAGTGGTAGTTTTATTATCTCTTAGCCAGTCTGCATCTCTTTACTGCACTGGCTAGAATTACTAGTTTAATGCTGAATAAATGTGGTGATATAAAATATTCTTGTTTACTTCCTAATCTCAGATGGAAAGGTTTCAACATTTCACTATTAAATGTGTTTTTTAAAATACTCTTTACTATAATAATGATGTTGCATTCTATTCCTAGCTATTTTAAAATGTACTCTGTATCATGATAATGAAGTTCCACTCTCTTCCTAGCTTGCTAAGAGGTTTTTTTTTTTTTTAACATAAATGGATTTAAATTTTTAAAAAATGCTTTCTCTTTATCAATTGTATGATTACTTACTTTTCCTCTCCTTTATAGTGTTAAGACACTACTTTGAAGAATAAGCCCCAAAATGTGTGATACATTATCCTTTTTGTACATTGCTATATTTAATTTCCTGATATTTTATTTATAAAGTTTACATACATATGTACAAGGAAAATTGACCTATTATTTTTTTCTTATAATGTCCTTGTTAGTTTGATGCTTAAATTGTACTGATTTTATTAAAATTGCTGGGAAGTGCCCACCCTTTTTTATTCTCTAACTTTCCCCACACTCTCTTAAACATTTAGTTGGGCTGGGACTTTTGTTTTGTGGGAGGATGGGTGGGGTCAGAGTGGGAGAGCTTGAAGTACAGATAATTCCTGAATATTTACAGAACTTTTAAAATCTCCTATTTCTTCTTGTGTCAATATTGGTAAGTTTCACCTTTCTAAGACTATGTTCAGTTCATCTAACATTTCAAATTTGAATATATGGTCTTTTGTGACTGATTTCTTTCACTTAGCATAATATTTTCAAGGTTCATCTATGTTGTAGTACAACTTTTTTTGTTTTTTGTTTTGTTTTGTTTATTTTTTTTTGAGATGGAGTTTCGCTCTTGTTGCCCAGGCTGGAGTGCAATGGCGCAGTCTCAGCCCACTGCAAGCTCTGCCTCCCGGGTTCAAGCGATTCTCCTGCCTCAGCCTTCGAGTAGCTTGGGATTACAGGCTCGTGCCACCACACCTGGATAATTTTTGTGTTTTTAGTAAGAGACAGGGTTTCACCATGTTGGCTAGACTGGTCTCGAACTCCTGAACTCAAGTGATCCTCCTGCCTCAGCCTCCCAAAGCACTTGGTTTACAAGCGTGAGCCACCGCACCCAGCCCAACTTTGTTTTAAAGTGAAAAAAATTAACATGAATTCTGTAATGTGATTAAAGTATATCAATTCTATTGCACAGGACAGGACAGTATTAGACTTTGTTATCCCTACTCAGTATGCTTAACGAGGTGCTAATATTTATAATACATTTTCTAGATGTAAATATTCTCATCTTGGTTCATTTTACTGAAGGGAAAAAATCAAGCTGAGCATTATGTTAGTTGTACAATTAATATTTCTGAAATAGATCCTTATTCAATAGAAAATTGTTCTTAAATTATTAAACATAATTTCAAAAATAATATAACATTTTTGTGGGATAAACATCAAATTGAACAGCTTTAGTTAAAAATGGAGTATAACGTATCTTCCTTTTCTATACCAATTAATAATATAAAACTTCACAGCCATCTTAGAAGCTTTAATTTGGAAATATTTATGGCTGAGTTTTTTTTGAGCTATCAGGATTCTACTTCAGCCTTGAAGAAAATATTTGCAAACCATATATCCAGGGAAGGGGGAGAAGTAGGAATTACAATCGATCCTGAGGCATTATCTTGATGATCATGTTTTCATGGATGTATGCATGTGTTAAAACTCAACAGATCAAACCCTTTAAATACATGCAGGTTATTATATGTTAACTATACCTCAGTAAAGCTGGAGAACAATATTTTACCCAATGTGCAATCAAATCCTGTTCTATATATAGCCATGCCACACGCCTGGGCAGAGTGGTTCCCGTTGTGGTTTTCACTTCTTGAGGTGGTTAGATTTAGCAAAAATGTGGCTACTTTATTCTTTCTGATCCTTTTTTAGACATTTAATTTTGGCATTTCACTCCCCTCCTATTTTTTTTTTAAATGGACACATATGGTATAAATATTTTAGCACTAAATAGATAATCATTGAGAATAAAAATCATACATTTCAATTGTGTAAAATTGTTTTCTATGTCTAGAAATAAACTATAATCTTTTAAGTTTAAATACAATTTTAGAAAGCATTTTCTAGTAAATTTCTGCAGAAATGCATATATAATAATGACATAAAATTTTTTCAGAAACTCAATTTATTTCTTAATTAAATTACCATATTATCAAAATGCATGAATATGATATTATTGTCTTTATAAGAAAAAAAATTCACAGTGTGCCCAAATGCAAGTACCACACACTATGGCATTGAGGGTGGCCTGTTTTGAACAGGTGGTGAGTCGGGACAGAGGTGGCCCTGCTCCGCCCTGCACTCCCAGGTGGGTCCAAGCACATGGAGGCTGTGCCCTCCAGGGGCAATGGCTCTGATTTGACTTTCTATATCTCATGCTCTGCGTATGAAGAATTCATATTGCTAGACTCTGGGGTGAGGTTAAAATGCATAATGCTAGATTGCGAGGCCTGGTTAAAGGGCCGGTGATCATAGGTTTGTTCTTGAAACGCTCTAAATATTCAAGGTGCCAGTGTGGTAAATTCAGGAGTTTGTGGTCATAATGCCTTTTGTTTATTTACTTATTTATTTATTATTATTTTTTGAGATGGGGTTTCACTTGTTGGCCAGGCTGGTCTCAAACTCCTGACCTCAAGTGATCCGCCCAGGCTGGAGTGAAGTGGCGTGATCTTGGCTCACTGCAACCTCCGCTTTCCCAGTTCAAGCGATTCTTGTGCCTCAGCCTCCCGAGTAACTGGAGTTACAGGTGCATGCCATCACACCCAGCGAATTTTTGTATTTTTAGTAGAGACGCGGTTTCACCATGTTGGCCATGCTGGTTTCGAACTCCTGACCTCAAGTGATCCACTCACCTCAGCCTCCCAAAGTGCTGGGATTACAGGCGTGAGCCACCTCGCCTGGCCCATAATGCCTTTTATATATTGATTAATCATGCTCTAATGTGGAGGACTACTATTTGGCTGTAAGATACAGAGGGGAGAGTTCTGGAGTCAAACCCACCCGGATTTGAGTTCTGATTCTTCAATTTAATAAGCTTTGTGACTTGAGCAGGCTGGTTACCTTTTCAAATGCTTCCTTTATGAATCTGTAATAAGTGGAATAACATTGCCTGCCATTGAGAGCTAATTCTCCATGCGTCTCCACTTGCAACTCATCGTGTGTGCAAAGCCATCAACAGCCCTTTGTGACACTATCTTGGGAGACAGAGATAATGTCTCCCTCTGGGGCAAAGGTCAAGTTTGCTTGCAGCCCATCATAAAAAAATGGGGTTTCCCAAGCTTGGACTTTGTCAGCTGTGACACACACCCACCAGATATGCAGGATCCAACTGGAACTTTCCACCTCACCCCCATGGGACTTGGAGAGCAAGGGGAACTGAGGCACATATACAACTCCTCTGCCTGCTGTGTGGGAGTAATAAAGCTACTTGTCCTGAGCTCAGGGGGCTCAGGTCTGCTGCCAGTGTGTACAGAACCACTGCAGGCCCACCTGTTGGCTTGCAAGTAGGGTAAAACCCCGTAGCCTTCAGAGTCCTGGCACCCACCTTTCAGAGTTACTGAGAGAATAGGCAGAGGCTGTATCATCTGCCAAGCAGCTTGGCAGATGGCAGTCCGTCAAAAATATGCTATTTTTTTTCTTTTTGACACTAAGGTCTGATTATATCTACATAACAAACAACCAGATGAAAGGTTAATGCATTTCCAGCATTTTCCTCTTAGTTCAAGTCGGCTATTCCGATACTTCCAAACAAGCAACTAAAACTTTCACTTTTGGGTAGGCAGCCTGAATATCTGGCATCGGCGCATATTAAAATGTTATCAGAGCTCTGCTGTGTTGTGCGGTACAGTGTCTGCTTATAAGAAAAAAGACTAAAGAATGCTCAATGATTCTAACTTACTGTGTTTTCTTATTGTAGTTTATGGGAAGTAGGAGAGTAGACTGTGAATAGAGTATGACAAGAAAAATGGAAAATCAATCTCACTGAGAGATAAAAATTGGCTCTTCAGGCTAGCCGTGTTGTAGAACTCTGACACTGTATCAGTGATGATGCGTACCTTTTCAGTAGTAAATTCTGCTTGGAGATTCAGTAGCACTGGAGTAGTTTCTTCTGTTTCTAGTTCCTAATGGAATAAAGAGCAGAATCCTCCTAACTTTTACCTCCTCCTCCTCACCTGCTGGCCGTCTGCCAATATGAAATATCAATCACACACAGTAACATTGCCACCAAACAAGAGTTTACTGTGTTTAAAAACTCCTACCAGAGCTTCTTGTAAAAATTTCACAGGGAGATCAAAATAGCACTTCTTCTTTGTCAAAACATTTTATTTTAACTTCTGTTTAAGGAAAGAATCCAAACCACCCCATTCTCCTTGATGTTTACTTTCTCTGAAAAATGTCTTTATGAAATGTTTCTGGAGGCTTTTATTTTCAAGCTCTCCTCCCAGAAGATATGTCCTTGCATGTCGTCTTCAGTTTGTTGGAAAAAAGAAGATTCAAGTTTCCTTCTTGTCTGTGGCAAATTTCCCAATCTAAACCGCTTGTCGCTAACCTTTCCACATTGAAGATGCTTGTGTTTTATTGTTGGGGAATAAATACTAGGAACCCAAAACTTCAGCTTGTTTTATGTGTTCCAGACGCCTGGTAGTTGGGTGCACTGTCTTGGCCACTGTACCTGAGCCGGGCCTGGTGGCAGCAGGTGACTGAGTCAGGCGCCTGTCCTGACTGCTGTGTGAGTGCTGCTGACTTCCTAAGACTTCGGGCTCCTGGAGTGGCGAGCTCTGGGGGACAGGCAGTCTTAAGACCGCACTTTCTTGAAGTTTGACAGGGGTGGGTGACCTTGCTGTTTTCCGAGCCTCGTGGCCATTTCCTTACCTGTGGAACAGAGATGTTAACATGGCTCCTGGTGATGTGTGTGAGGCCTGGTGTGCCTGGCACTGAGGCTGCTTTTCCACCCGCCTCCTGCCCGCGTGGCCTTCCTCGCCTCACGCGAGGCTCTGCTGCAGCAGGTGATGGGGTGCGGGTCGCAAGGATGTTTCCAGGACATTCTCTCTCCTTCTGCCCTCCTTTGACTGATGTTCTTTTTGGCACCAGGCTGGACTGCAGGTGGGCCCAGGGAAGATCAACCCATGGCGTGCACAAGGAGTGGGGTACAGGGCCCCCCTGCATGGGGCAGGGCAAGGACACCTCAGGGCTGCCACATGTGGGACTGAGAGGACAGGTGCCACAGGTGTGGACATCACGACAGCCACACGCTGAGGTCTGTTGGCCCACAGGTGGGCCCTTCGTGGAGAAGCTACCGCCCTCGGCACAGCCCTGCAAGGCCCAGCATCCTCATTCTACTTGTGATGGAGACAGTGACAACAGCCAGCGAAGGGGCTGCGTGGACACTGTGCACGGCAAGAGCCTGAGAGAAGAGTCGGGGCTGAGGACAAGCCGGGTGTGTATCTGCCACCCCACAAAGCCCAACAAGAGGCGACTGGTTCTGGGTTCGAGAAAAAAAAAGAGGAAAGCAAACGGTTGGGACAAAGCTCTGAAGATTCTTGCTACCAGCCTAAAGGAACACAGGTCAGCGGTCAGAAGCTATGTCCTGCCGGGAGGTGGGAGCTTTGTGTTTGGGGTCCTCCATGTCCTTCTCTCCCCCAGCACAATGCTTACCCAAGAGGACCCCCGTTATGACGCAGATGGCAGTGGGTCTGGGAGCCCTGCATTCCTGCGCCCCGGCTCTCTCACTGGGCAGAGGTGGCCAATGGGCAACCCTCAGGCTGTAGAAATGCTTTTGCTTCGTGGTCTGCATTGACAGGCCACGTCTTTTATTATTATTTTTAATTGTATCTACAATCTGGGACACCTGGCCACCCTGGGTCAGCATTTCCTCTTGGGAACAGCCTGTGGGGACTGACCTGTTGATGAGCAAGTGCCCCCCACCCTAGCACCCCAGTTGCCCCAGTGTGAGGAGATGTGGATTGCTGAGAGACTGGAGACAGGATTTCACGGGGATCTTGAGAAGGTGGTGATGGTAGAGACAGGGAGATGGCCATGTGCAGTTTCTGAGCCAACAGGGCTGGGGAATGGCTGCTCTCCTCTGCTGGCTCTGCCAAAGCCAGGAACCCGCCTTTCCTCTGATTCAGAAGTATGGTCTGGGCCAGAGCCTGGGGGCTAGGGGAGGGAGCATGGGGTCTTTCTTCCTGTTTACTCACTAGCTTTCTGGGTCTGGCTGTGACTTTGTTCTTCTCTGCCTGGGTAACCCTCAGGCAGGTGGCTCCAGGTTTCAGAACCACTGGTCTCTCCCCTCTGCCTCCAGGCCCACAGGCTGCTGGCTCCTCAGTCCCTATTACTGCTCAGTCTGAATGCTCCCATTGCCTCCTCCTCTTCCCTGTAAACAACTCTCACAGTTTTATTGAGATGTAATTCATGTACATGCAGTTCACTGGTTTACACCGTGCCATTCATTGGTGTCTGGCACATTCACAGAGTTGTGCAGCCATCACCATGGTCCATTCTAGAACATTCTGCAGTGTCATCCCCAAATGAACCAGTGAACCCATACCCCTCAGTGGCCACTCCCCATGTCCCCCAACCCCTCTACCCCAGGCTGTCACCAGTCTGCCTTCTGTCTCTAGATTGCCTATCCGGACATGTTCTATGAACAAATTTCAACACTTTGTCTTCTCTTTTGTGTTCCCTCAGCCCGCCCACACTCATGTAAATAGTCCCTTCATAAAACTCTTTTCAGTTAAACCCTCTAAGTGGGCCACCTTGTCCTGCCAGGACCCTGGCTGATTCACACTTGTCTGCCAATAGGATGTGAAGAATAAGAGGACAGAGAATAGGAGGAGACAAGACCTTATGGGGTCCCAGCCTTGGCCACTAGGTCATGGGTAATGTCATTCACAAAGATCAGAAAGACAGAATCAGAGCATTTTTGAAGGTGAGGAGACAGTGGGTGCTGTTGGAATACAGCAGGTTCAATTTGCTTGCAGGGGTTTTGGGGAGAATGTCTACCAGGCAGGTAGATACATGAAAGTACAGTTCAGGGATGCAGGTAGAACCATTAAGCTCTTGCTACCACCACCAAAGAGGCTGAGCCCTGGACAAAGAGAGACTCCACAAATACCCGACTGCTTCTCTGTGCCCCTTGAACAATGCGAAGATGTCAGCACCCCAGGGGAGCATCCCCATCCACCTCCCCCACCCTCCATAGGCCCAGAGGCTGGTGTCTTCAGGAACATTTCCAGTGCCCTTCCCTTTCCCAGGTACTTCTACCTTTTCAGGCCTGTCTCCCCACTGATTCTTCACAACAGAGGGCTGGCTCCGGCCTGACCACAAGGAGAATTGTATTTGCAAAGAGAGAGGTAAAGGTGACAAATTAGATGGACAAAACCATAACCTCTCAACAGATGTCTTAGTCCATTTCATGCTAATATGACAGAATTCCACAGACTGGGTAATCTACAATGAACAGAAATGTATTTCTCACAGTTCTGGAGGCTGACAAGTCCAATATCAAGTTGCCAGCATCTGGCAAGGGCCCTTGTGCTCTGACATCCCATGGTGGGTGGTGGAAGGTGGAAATGCAAAGGAGGGGGATGGCGGCTGAACCCATTCACTTATCAGGAGCCCACTGCCCAGATGTAATGACGACAGTAATCCATTTATGAAGCAGAGCCCTCATGACCTAATCACCTCTCAAAGGTCCCACCTCTTAGCATGGTTGCATTGGGGATTAAGTTGTCAAAACATGAACTTCAGTGGACACATCCAAACCACAGCACCAGGATAGGGCTCCTGGCGCGTTAGTAACACTTCTCAGTTAGTATGGAGTTGGAAGAAGATTGTAGATTAATTTTTGGGGAAATCCCAACACTTAAGGAGCAGGCAGAAGAAGAGAAAGCCATAAAAGAGCGTGGCAAAGAATCTGTCATAAGAGATATAGGAAGAAATCCAGAAAGGAGAATTTTTGTGGAATTGAGAGAAACGCAGTTTCAAGAAGGAGGGTAGTCACTTGTACCAAATGTGGAAGAAAGGTCAAAGGCGTTGAGATGGGAATTGTATGCACCAGATTTATCACTTAGGAAGCTGTGTGAATACCTTCAGCAAGGGCAGTTTCTCCACTGGAGTGGTGTTTGGCAAATTTTATTTCTTTCCTGGTGGGGTTGGGGAGTGAAATTTCAGCTTTTAAATGTGTGAATGAAGAGTGAGGAAGTAGAAAGGGAGAGTGTAAGGTGTTTACTGGGAAGCTTGTTGGTAGAGGAAGGAGAGGGAAGGCAGCTGGACTGAAGACTGCAGGTGATGGAAACATATGTGTTGATGGTGCTGGGGAAGGTCAGAGGAGAGGGAAAGGGCAGGACAGGGACAAGGACAAGCGTTTGGGGTCAGAAAAACTCTGAGCCTGGAGGGTCTATAACATCAGCAACAAGTCATCACTCTTTTGATATTTTCTCTCACCTCTTTATTGTTTTCTCTGTTCTGAAAGGTATTTTTTTTTAACTTTTTCTAATTACTTAGCCAACCCATTTCTTATCCTAAG
Source organism: Homo sapiens (assembly GCF_000001405.40). Classification (NCBI taxonomy): domain Eukaryota; kingdom Metazoa; phylum Chordata; class Mammalia; order Primates; family Hominidae; genus Homo; species Homo sapiens. Next base: position 167,801,210 of record NC_000006.12, on the reverse strand, counting down.
ATTTGTCGGAAAATACAGCAGGAAGTGTGAAGAAGAAGAGGAAGAAGGAGGAGGAGAAGAAGAAAAACTATAAGAAGAAATATGAAAGTTAAAGTAATTAAAGCCTGAGAACATTTAATGTGGGTTCAAAAATCCTTCTAGAATTCAATGGACCCAATGATATAATTGCTCCAAAATTTACTTTCTTAACACTCACACTGAATCGCACACACACATTATATTGCTATTTGTTAAAGAATGTAAAAAAAGGTTTCATATATTACAGGCCATCTAAAATGGTTTAAAAGTTTTAAAGGAGTCAACTTCCATTATTTAGAAAGATAAATTATAAGAAGCAGTTTAGTCTCCAATATTGCCAACCAAATAAAGTGTGAGAATATGGTTAGGATAATGAAATATTTGCTGGAGGTGTGGCAGTGCACACTTGTAGGATGCAACTGGCCATGTGCGTGTGGCTGGAGCTGGTGGCATCAGAGCCGAGCTGGTGTGTTCTGTGTGGCTGCCGCCTCGGTGCCCAGGAGCTTCTGTCCAGCTTCACGGCTGGAACCCTGTGATTTCCTAAGCTATCCTGTGCTCTTCTTTTTTTAAGTTTTTCTTTTTTTTAGGAAATGAACTAGAATGGCTCATAGTTTGCACCTGTGAACCCAGGTGAACGAATTCTGGCAACCCAGGTTGCTAGCGTTCTTGCCAACTGAAATAACTTTAAAGTTGCTTTGGTTTGTTGCTAAATAATTTAACTGTTCTTGTGGCGAATGGGCCCAATATTAACAGGGTTTTTGTTTTTGTTTTTTTGAGACAGAGTCTCTCTCTGTCACCCAGGCTGGAGTGCAGTGGTACGATCTTGGCTCACTGCAACCTCCACCTCCCAGGCTCAAACAATTCTCATGCCTCAGCCTCCTGAGTAGCTGGGGTTACAGGCATGCACCATCACATTCGGCTAATTTTTGTATTTTTAGTAGAGACGGGGTTTTACCCTGTTGGCCAGGTTAGTCTTGAACTCCTGACCTCAAGTGATCCACCCGTCTCGGCCTCCCAAAGTGCTGGGATTACAGGCATGAGCCACCGCGCCCGGTTGATCGTAACAGTTTTGCCTTTTAATTTTCCTCTGTGGACTAGTAGGTGTAAGGAAAGATAATTACAGCTCAGAGCCCTGCCCTGACACTAGGCATTAGGCACTCCCAGTGAGGGGGGAAAGACGAGAGTCCTCTCTCTTCTAAGGAGGCTTTTCTTGAAAACTTCATGCTGGCATTGTTTTCCTTTCTACAGTTTTACTCCTATTGTTTCTGCTAGGTGTGTTTCCTGGTCTCACATCTGAATTTTTAAAGGATGGTGACCACACCTGCCTCCCTCCTTCCTCGTGGCCCCTCGCATGGTGCTAAGCGCGCTGTGGGCAGCTGATACTCAAAGCCATGGATTGGTTGATCTGGTAGAATATGAGCCTGGAAAAACAGGAAAGCTGGTGTATTTTAGTTGCTATATACTGTTTCCATGACGTCAGCACACTGCTTATTTTCTCAATTTCCCTGGTCACTGAACAACAAAGGATTCCCAAATGAAGCAGAGGAAGAGACCCAGAGATGTCAGTCCGGGGACAACCCAGGGGCAACCGAGAAGCCAGAGTCCGGCCACGCCAGGCTCTGAGGGCGCGCCTGGGTCACACTGCACTGGCTGGAGGCCCCTGGCTTGCTCATCACTGTGGAAACTGTAAACGCTGCCATCTGTCTGCTGCATTGGGCTGTCAGGAGGGAAGCCAGATGGTGTCAGGGAGTGTGGACCCATGAGGGGAGAAAGACGCCAGGCGGAGGTGCACTGCGGCCCCCTCCCCAGGGTTGATCCCCCTTGGCTGTGTGCCTGGAGCAGCGCCCGCTCCTGTGGATGGCGAAGAGGGCCTGCTGCCAGTCACAGGAGGACATTCTGGGAGAGTGAAGGTCGTCATTAGAATCTGAATCACCAGGAAATGGAGCAGAACTTGATGTGGCACATTCCAAAGATTAAAAAAAAAAAAACCAAAAACACCTCGTTATTAATTTGAGTCGTTCTCCTCATAAACAAATTCACACGCTGACTCTTTGGGCAAAAGAAAGGCAAAGATTAAACAGGTGCAACCCAGCAGGATACACACGCAGAACTAGACTCCGCTCAGCAACTCCATGCCACAGAAGGCCGCTTTCGGAACCGCAAGGATCAGTTTTGGGTTCTGCTTGACTTTGATGATAAATATGGAATTAAAAAATCAATCTATGAAAATGTTATTTAATCTCAGAAATCTTTCCTGCCTTATTCATTAATGTGATTATTTGTTTCTTAGTCAATGCCACCTTCTTCTATAACTTTCTACGTAGAGGGGGAAAAGCCCCAGTATTTAGCACTCTGAGTTTTATAAAGCGTCTTCACACTTCTCCTGTCTCGCGTCACTACCCTTTGATAGCATTGGGGAGGGACTTTTGCTATTTCCATGTTACAAATGGGTCACGCAGGCACCCGGAACTCGAGTAACTAGCCCATGCCTGCGAAGCTCCCACCTGGAGTGGGGGACTAGAGCCAGATCACCAGACCCAAAACTGAGGCCTTGAGGAGGAGACTACGAACGTGGCGGTGGAGATGTTTATCTCTTCACAGCGGCTGAGTTGTCTCTACTTTATGGGCTGCGAATACTTTCTGGCTTGTCATCTAGGAATCTCTTGGCATCTTTTTACCAAGTTTAATATCACAGAGCTATAAGGCTTAGAAGACCTCAGAGGCCATTACAGCCAACCCCCAGACTCCTATTCTGCATCCAAATTAGTGATAACACGTTATATAATTCCATTAAAAAAACCCAACCAACGAACCTTTTAGTACCTTCCTAAAAGAAGAGTTTTTCTTGAACACGGTGCTAACTAACCAATTTGATTGAAACCACCCGATATTTTGACATGGTAAAAAGCATATTGTGTAATAGAAATACAATGAGAGTCACATATGTGATTTAAAATTTTATTGAGCCATATTAAAAAAGTAAAAAGACACACACTCTTCTCGTGCGACACAGAACCGGGACCCCCGTACAGAACATTTTACTGTTTTCCCTTAATACCCAGGAAACATGCACTAACCTGGTAAATACCTGCTTCATGGAGAGTAGTCTTTCAGGATTCATACCCTCAGGACATTGTTGGGGACCTACTGGACTGAACAAAGGCGGGCAACACGGGAATAAAAGACAAGAGACAACAGAGTATATTTGGAAGAAGGGGTTAGGGGCACCTTGCCTTTAGTGGACAAGGGCCCTGAGCTTTACACAGCCCTCCGTATTTATTAGGCAAAAAGAGATAGCGAGAAAGCTGGGGGAGGGGGGTGATTGTCAGTCTGCCGTTTGGTTCACAGTAGTCTTGCATTTTTTGGACAATAGGCACTAGATTTTTTAGGCAGATAACTTTAAGGAGCCCGGAGCTAGGGAGTGATGTCTGTTAGCAAACCTTTTGGTGGCAGGGCAGTGTGAGTTTGCCCACATCCTGCATTCATGATAAACAGTTTGCTGTTTGTAGCCTCCAGCGGAATGCTGAGTTGGTCACGTCCCCCACGGGCCTTCGGCTCCCTGCAGGACACCACCGCCTAGACATTTGCCCACATTTGCTGACCTACACGCAGACACTCTGGCTGGTCTAGACACTCAGGGCCTTTACTCCGGCTCCCGCCAGAGGCCTGAGAAATCCACACCTCACTGATAGCTCCATAGCTCACCAGCGTCCGTGGTGAGCCAGTTTCCTTGGCGGCAGCATCCTCCGCCTTGGGAGAGGCCGTGGGGACCGTACTGAAGAAACTGCCACTCCGAGGCATTGCTCCGTGCTGGGCACTGCCATTGAGAAGTGCACCTAAGCGGCCACCAGTGAGCGACGACCACGCATGAACAGGAATGTTCTAGAGCGGAATGCACCTATGAAGGCTGAGGCCTGCGCGAGAACCTGCACCTGGAAGCCACCCTGACACGCTCCTCCCCTCGGGGCAACGTCCACCTCCTCGCTGTAGGGTGGGGAGGATGCCGCTGCTGCTGTGGACGGGGAGGGCCAGCGCGTGCGCCGCGGCCAGGGAGCCGTAGAAGCTCAGTCCCATCCGCCTTTCTCATGCCCCTTCCCTTTCCCGTCCTCCCTCCTCTCCTCTCACCTGCGTGGTAACAACGATTGTGACACTCGGTTTTCTTAAGAGGTGCACGTGATTCATTTTTAAAATTCCCTCAAAAGAACGTTTTCTTGAATTGAAACTAATGATCAAACAGAAGCTAGGCCGGGGGCAATGGCACCACCCTCTCTGCTTCCCTCAGTTCCACTCCCCTCCCCGCCACGCCCCACCTTCCTGCTCAGTGTGGGCTGGGGCGGGCAGCAGGCAGGACACGTGGAAACGCAACCGCCAGGAGGAAAGGCGGGACACAGCGGGAAGGGAGGTTTGCCTCCCCTCTCTTCCTGTGGTGACCCCCACCTCACTTACAAAAATCACCACCGACGTTTGGGAACCGTGCACGCCGACTGAAAGCAAAGCTCAGCTGACCTGCGAGGAGTCCCCGGGGAGCTGCCGCGGTGGTCGCCGTTGAGTCCGTCCGTGCCGCTGGGGCCGAGGCAGCTGGAGGTGAGCAGGTGCGGGCGGTGCGGCCGGATGGAGCCCACCAGCAACCGGGTGGAGGAGCCCGCAGCTCTCCCAGCTGCTGCCTAGCTGCTCCCTGCCCTGTTTTGAATTAGCGGTAGCAGAAAGAAACGGCGGAGCAGCGGCCCTCGGTGCCCAGAGGCCTGGCAGTGCAGTGCATCCTCTCCTTGTGCTGCAGGAGGTCAGAGCCAGCCAGGGAGGCAACTGCCTGCTTGGTCTGCCGGTGTCCAGACCGTATCCAGAGAGGGCGTGGCTGGATCTGAGAAAAGGCTGGCACCGGCCAGACTGGCAGTGGCTCAGTCCTGCCTGGCAGGAGCATCCACGGACTGGCTGGCCAGAGTGCAGGACAGCTGCCCAGGTTCCGCCTGTTCCACAACGTTCTATTCGCAAGGGGCCAGGGGCACTGCCCGCCTGGCCAGGTCTGCTGTGTAGAGGCGTGCAGGTGGCCAGTGACTGGCTGGGCTCCCGGGGCTGCTGCCTTTGCTCTGGGAAGACCACAGATGCCTCCTCTTGCGAGGGGCCTTCTTGTGTGCCGCTTGTTGGGAGATGTGGCCCACCTGCCTCGGGGCGGCTCCTGCAGGGTGGATCTCTGGCCACCCGGCCAGCTGAGAGGTGTCTCAGGGCTCACTCCGAAGCCTTGGCTTGGCTTTGTTCTCATTTCTTCTTTTGACCTCAAACAGGCCACGGTTCATGACTCTCTCAGGAAGGGATTTTATCTCCATCACTTGCAACTTCTTGGAGCTGAAGTCTGCACAGCACTGTGGAGATTGTCAGATCTGCGTGGACAAGGGAGGGCAGGCCTGGTGGTTTGGAGAAGTAGGGCTATGCCAGAGTGAGGTGGCACGGGGTGCAGGCGGCTTCTTTGAGGGGGACCCGGGGAAGCAGGAACAGGAAAGCCAGCTAAACTGCAACCTCAGTCCCCGTTGAAGACAGCAGGGCCTGAGGCAGCTGCACCCAGACGTCTCCGGAGTTCGTGTTGGTCCAAAGGAGGGAGGCTGGGTGGAGACTCACCTGCTGCAGTCCCCATGGGCTGAGTGTTGTGGAGCTGTCGGCTCCCTTTGTTCGGGGGTCTGTCCAAGCCTGGGCAGCGAGCTTCCTCGGCCTGGGAGGAGCCCACGAGGGGGACGCGGGAGGAGGGCACTGCCCCTCATTCGCTCCGGATGCTTGTCTCATTAGCCGTCAATTCACAGAGAGCAGTTTCCAGTAGAACAATTCCAGAAAAAACCAGAGCCACCACCAGGGCCTGTGTGTTTCATTCCTGACCTGGGGAAGGTAGCAGAAGCTTTCAGCAGCAACTATTCAAATAACCACCTATTTAACACATGGACCCGTGAATGGCGGCCCTGGGTGCTTTGTCCCATTGTTTTTCTTCTTTCCTCTCCCCCATTTCCTTCCTCTCTTCCCCCTCAAAAACACACGTGTGCATAAACATTTGCATACCTCAGCCACACCACCAACAGCTTCTCCATGGGCTGGGGTCTCTGCCTTGTCGAAATGATATTAATAAATGATAAAGCCAGGGTCATCTCTATCTCTCATCTATCTCTATCTATTAATTATCTATCTATCTATTATCTATCTCTATTAACCTGTTATCTATCTACCTACTAACTACCTACCTATCCACATCTACTGTCTATCTATACCTAAGTTCATTATCATCATTATCTACCATCTATCTGTCTCTATTAACCTATTATCTATTTATCTATCTCTCATCTGTCCATCCATCATCTTGCTGACGTTAGCTCTGGGACTCCTCAAGCCTGTGTGTGATGATGAGCGATCATCCAGCTGTTTGACACTATGATTCTAGTGAATTTGCATTGGGCAACAAATGTTTGGATGAGCACACGAATAAACACTATTTATTTGCTAAGTGTTGTAGGGAGCCTGCCTTAAAGAACCTTATCCATGTGAAACCAAGACGTCCCACCCTCCCCTTGGCAGGGCTGTTATATGACAACTCTCTGCAAAGGCCACCTCCCAGTGTGGTGGGAACCAGGGCCAGTCCCACACATGTGCACATTCTCCAGGTGGCGTGCGAGGCTGCTACGCTTGCAGGAGGGCTCTGAGGTGGCCGTGTGCCCGGACCTCTGCAGAGGCTACGGTGACAGAGGGCTCAGCAGAGTTACCTTCCACTGTGCACAGGAAGGAATGTGCCCTGAGTGCTGAGCTAAAGAGGAATACAGGGAGGTTTTCACCTGCGCCGGGCCCCTGTGCCACTACCATCTATTCATTAACAGATGTTTATTGAGCAGCGACTATAATTCAGGCGTTGTGTGCGTGATGGTAGCAAAACAACAGGGGAAGAAAGTCCATCGCCTCTCCCTTCCTGGAGCTTCCATATTGGTGAAGGAGATGGAAAGTAAAATGAAAAGCAAATATAAAATTACATATTTTACTATGTGCAATGAAAAAATATAAAGCGTGTGGTGACAGAGAATGGCAGGGAATGGATACTTAGTGTCATCAAGCAAGGATTTCAGAAGAATGCATCAACTTGGGGCTTGTGAGAATTAAAGACAGTTTTCGAAGCACTGAAGTGAATGAATTAATTTGGGCATAGGGGACTGGGACAGCTAGAGGGGTCTCAGAATCACACTCTGTGATGTGAGCAGGAGAAAATCCACCAGAAGCATGATGATGACTCCCAGGCTCTAGTTGGATCTTCTGGAATTTGAACAGAAACCTCAACAATTTTCTTTTGAAACTCTAAGATGCTCCATGTGAGGAGGACTTTTGGGCAGGTTCTTATCAAACATTATTTCAAGTACCATCATAAAATAAAGGAAACTGTGGCCTCCGTGGAGGCAATAAAGCGTCAATATTTCAGCAGTTATTCACACGCTTGTTTACACTGAAACCTGCTCCATCGACAGGTGGTAGAATCATTGTCAGGCTGGGCTCACAGACGTTGGTGTTACCAGGCGTAGGTTATCAACGCCCATGCCCAGAGGCCCTGGAAAACGGTGACCGAGGATGAATTAAAGGAAATTACACCAACAGGGCAACATGCCTGACATATTTCCAGAAACAGAAACAAAAGGATCTGCATAGCTAGGCCAGACCACAACACCATCTTGTAGAAGCACATCAGCCTCAAACCACTGCAGAAATGGACTTTGTACACCACACTTAGAAGAAGATATTCTTAAGGACTGTGTTTCAGTGTTAAACTTTACAGGCTAGGGAGATTTTTAAAAAAAATCATAATTCTTTGATTGTCTTTTTTTCAGCACAATGGTTTAAAATGATCCAGCTGGTTAGAAAAATGTCAGCATTGTCCTCACATGAAACATTGATCCACATGGGCACTGACACATTTCAGCTTCAATATTTGACATCAGATCAATCTTGCCTTCTCCTGCATTAGCAGCCCAATATTCAGGCCTGCAGACTGGAGGCTGCTGCACCTGGCTTTTTGCCATACGGGCTGACCCTCCCTAATTCAAAAACCTGGAATCCCAAATGCCCTGACATCTACAATGTTTAGAGCACTAACCTCATGCCACAAGTGAAACATTCCACACCTGACCTCATGTATTAATCTGTTTCCATGCTGCTGATAAAAACATACCCAAAACTGGGAAGAAACAGAGGTTTAGTTGGACTTACAGTTCCACATGGCCGGGGAGGCCTCAGAATCATGGCGGGAGGCAAAAGGCACTTCTTACATGGTGGCAGCAAGAGGAAAATGAGGAAGAAGCAAAAGCAGAAACCCCTGATAAAGCCATCAAATCTCATGAGACTTATTCACTATTAGGAGAACAGCACAGGAAAGACCGGCCCCCGTGATTCAATCACCTCCCCCTTGGTCCCTCCCACAACATGTGGGAATTCTGGGAGATACAATTCAAGTTGAGATTTGGGTGGGGACACAGCCAAACCATATCACCTCATGTGACAGGTTGCAGTCACAATGTAACCAAAATTTCATTACATTTACAAACTATTAAAAATATTGTATAAAATTACCTCAGGCTATGTGTATATAAAGCATGAATTTATTTTGTGTTTCAACTTGGGTAGCATCTCCAAGATGTCTCATTATGTATACGCAAATATTCCAAAATACGAAACAATAAAACACTCAAAACACTTCTGGTACCAGGCATTTCGAATAAGAGAGACTCCACTTGTACCAGCTCCGTATCCCACGGCTTTTGCAAAATCTCTATGACCTGGTGCTAAGGGACCTTTTGGGTTTAAAGCACTGCTTGTGTTGCTGATTCTGAAAGGGTTAAAGGGAGAGTAATCATTGATGGTGTCCCACAGCCATGCCCGCAGCCTGTCAAGCACAGGGAGGTTGAGAGAGAGAGCGGATTGGTCCAGGCGCAGCCACCCCTTCACTACCAAGCGTGCACTCATCCCAAGAGCCGCCACCCCGCACCCGCCAGGAACTGATCAGGAAGGAACAAGAAGGACATGGTTCTGTCCTCAGGGAACTTGGGGATAAATAACATATGCAATTAAGATGTAAGACAAAATATATTCGTATAAAGTGCAAAAACACAGGCACATCACTCTCTGCCTTCAGAAGTGAGGGTGCCAGAGCTTGGTGCCTGGGAGTGGCCCGCAGAGGGTTCAGGGCTGCTGTGTGTTCAGGTTGTTCATCTGGCTCTGCTGATGAGGCTGAGTGCAGGCTGTGAAAATTCATCAAGCTGATACTTTAAGTGTACTTTCTGTATGTATGTTCTATTTCCATAAAAAGGGAGAAGTGAAAAAAATTAATGAGAAAGAAGGCTTGAGTTACAAAATCAGAAATTTCATCAGCTAGTCTACCTCTCTGCCGCCTTCTTCTCTGCCTGGGGTCTCTGCCAGAGTGGGCAGCACAGGAAGCTGCTGGACTCTAGGTGCCTTGCCGCCCTCAGAAACTCCACATTTCACAAAATGGTCAGATGCCAATGCAAATTAATGACGTAAGTTTATGTTGCTAAAATGATGACCCCAGGCAAAATAAACTCTTGCTTAATCCATGCTTTTTCTGGCAGCTTCACTTACCAAGGCTCCAGGTGACGCTGGGGTGTGCTGCTGGCCACTCACCTCACATGCTGCCCAGGCTAAGCTTGGATCCCCGGCTGCCCCCAGACCCCACGTGCTGTTGCCTGTACTGGGGCCGCCCCATCACCTGCTTGGTGCCCTGGTGCTCAGGGCCAGAGCTGGTTCAACTTCTGTATCACTGTGATGTATTTTCCTTCAGCTTTTTGAAAACAAACTTTTCAAGAAGGAACTAAGATCACGCAGTGTTCCCAGCACTGGTTAATATTAGACTAACACCTGCCCCGTGGTACATTTGATTGAACTGTGTTGTGGGGGAGATAACTGTCCTCCCTAAGTTCCCTGAGGACACAGCCATGTCCTTCTTGTTCAGTTCCTGGTGGGTGCTGGGTGACAGCTCATGGGATGAGTGCCGTGAAGGCTGTGGTTGATGGGCTGATGAAGGGGTGGCCGTGCCGGGACCCACCTGTCCTCCCCTCCTTCTCCCTGTGCCATGCAGATGTGGTCAACGGGCTGATGGGCACGGCTGTGGGACCCCATCATTCCCCTGCCCCGCATGACTCTGCTCTCCCAGCTCGACTGCTCACTTCAGACTTCCCTTATGGAAGGAGTTGCCAGATAGAGCAAGTAAAATACAGTGTGCCAGGTAAGTGTGCATTTACAATGACCATGGATTATTTTTTGGCATAATCTAATACATGGTAGTAGAGTAGGGTTGTATATAGTGTTATCTCAATCTAGTATAAGTTAAGAAATTATCTGTGGTTGATTGAAGTTCAGGTGGACCCAGGTGCCCTGTATTTGCCTGCTGCATGCTAGGGTACTGCCTAGCACACTATGCTGGGCCAATGTGTGTGTGTCTTAAGGGAAGGGCAGCTTTTCATCGTTCAACTCCCTGAAATTTTTTTAAGGGAGAGGGGACCAAAAAAACCCTTCATTCCCTCAAGTGAAATGTCTCACCCACTGCAATGGCGATAACTCGGAGGGTGAGTGGAATGGATGGAAACCCTTGAAGAGCAGATAAGAATTTAGGTGGAGGGTCCTTTGCTCTCTCAGGCAGGTTGGTGGATGCATGGGCTTTGGGCAGATGCCTGAAGCGGGGTGGATGTCCTGAGTAAGAGAGAGTAGGGTGGGTGGTGGGGGGTAGGGGCAGATGGTGAGGGGTAGGTGTGGATTATGGGGGGTAGGGGAGGATGGTGGGGGGTAGGGGAGGATGGTGAGGGGTAGTATTGGGTGATTGAGATGGGGTGGATGGTGAGGGGTATGGGTGGATGGTGAGGGGTATGGGTGGATGGTGAGGGGTATGGGTGGATGGTGGGGAGATGGATGATGAGGGGTAGGATTGGATGGTGGGGTTGGGGAGGATGGTGAGGGGTAGTATTGGGTGGCTGAGGATGGGGTGGATGGTGAGGGGTGGGGTGGATGGTGGGGAGCAGGGGTGGATGGTTGAGTGCAGGGGTGGATGACGGGGTATGGGGTGGACGGTGAGGGGTAAGGGTGGATGGTTGAGTGCAGGGGTGGATGGCTGAGTGCGGTGGTGATGGTGGCATGCAAGGGTGAATGGCAGGAATGGATGGTGTATTGTGGGGATGGATGATGGGGGTGGGGGTAGGGGTGGGGGGTGGTGTAAGGGTGGCTGGTTTAGTGCAGAGGTAGATAGTGGATAGTGTGCAGGGGTGGATGGGGGCATGGGGGTGGATGGTGGCATGCAGGGGTGGATGGGGAGGGTGAGGCTTGCATCTCTGGTGAGCCTTGAGTGAGACTGGAGCCTGTGGGTTGGAGCTGCTTCATCTACAAGGAGACAGGAGAGTTTTGTGTGGTGTTGACATTGCTATTGTATTATTCTGCCTGGGTTGCTGTCTGTGGACTGGGTAGTTTCAGCTTAAACCACATACATTGATTCCTCACAGTTCTGGAGGCCGGAAGTCCGAGATCCAGGGGGCAGCAGGCAGATTGCATTTTGAGGCTTCCAGACTTGCCCAGCAGCCCCTGTCCCTCTATGCTTGTGTGCCGAGACAGCAAGCTCTCTGGTGGCTCCTCTTATACGGACAGCAATCCTATTGGCTCAGGGACCCACCCTTATGACCCCGTCTAACCTTAACGACCTCCTTACAGGCCCCTGCTCCATGCTGAGGGGTGGGGCTTCCCCTGGGAATTTGCAGGGTGGGAGTGCACAGTTCAGTCCATAGCAACTGTTGAGTAGAAGTTTCTGAAATACTTCTGTCCATTTTCAAAAGCTATCTCACAAGCTCTATACTACATATTCCCTGACTTCAGAGGTTTAGTTTCTAGTTGGAAAAACAAAAGTAAACATCAAAAATAAAAAGAAAGAAAAAGGAAGGAAGGAATGAAGGAAGGAAGGAAGAAGAAAGAAAGAAAGAAAGAAAGAAAGAAGCACAAAGGAGCTACCCTGAAACTCAGAACTATATTTTATTGTTAGGACATTTTAAAGTTTGGATTTATCAATCTGGAACATAAGTGTACAAATCATTTTATCTAATTAATCTTATTCACTTACATCTTCATCCTATTTATTGAATTTTTAAAAAGTAATGTTGTATTTCTCTTAATATATTTTGTAATTCAGATTTTAATGAATTAGATGAGGCTTACTAGTGTAATTCTAAATTAATGAGGTTTGGTTATAATTTGCTTTAGTCACATGTGAAAGTAGAGAATGAGGGAAAAGTAGGTATCTCTAAATCAAGACATTTTTACAATCATGATAACTATCCAGTTGAATCATCTTATTTTGTAGACTTGGAGACTGAGTGTACAAAGGGTTAAGTGACATGCTGAAAACTCATTCATTTGTGCATAAATATTTATTAAGTGTCTCCTCGGTGCCAAGCATTATGCTGTATGCTAATAAAGCTAAGCCTGGCTCAAAAAGCCAGGCCTTGGATTCTATAATAAATCCAAGGTTCTTTCTTCTGTTTGTCTTCCTAAGGCTCTTTGTTTAACTTGTTACAAATTAGACCAGCCTCTCCAGCAGTTGCCACCAAATTCTAAAAGAGAATCCGAAACACTCTGCCTCGTCCTACCTTGGGATGCTTGTTGACACGGTCTCTGTCTTTGTGCATGGCCGTGAGAAGTCTCTCTCGGTCACATGAGGACAATTAGCCTTGCTTCAGCAAGGGCACCACAGCATACTGGGTCCCCAGATGGTGAGACCTGAATGCGCAGTGTCCCCACCCCACCCCCCGGCCCCGTGGGCGTTCCTCCGTGGCTTCGGGAGGCTCTGACTCAGGATAGTAAAAGAAGCTCTAGCCGCAAAGGCGTCGCGACAGCAGCCTCCAGGCTTTAGTTACACCCCCCCCACCAGTGCGGAAGAAGACATTCTTCAAATTTATAAATTATAAGAAATCAGAAAATGAAAAGATCAAAATGCTAAATAAACTGGCGTTAAGGAGCTCTCGCTCTGCTCTTGCGCGTGGTAGTGGTGAGAGCGGGGCATCCGAGAGCCCTAGAGCTGGTGACTGGGCGACCTCAGCCTAACACCTGCCTTTGAGCCTGTATCCTCGCCAGGTGGCTGGAAGAGTAACTGATGGGGATTGGGACAAAGGTCCCCACAGGTGTCTTCTTAGTTTATATTCATTTCCTCATTCCAAGAGTGCTATTTTAGGGCATTTAAAAGTGAAATGGTTCTAATAAGATAAAATTACATTTCCATGTAGACAGAAACAAATTTAATGGAATTTTGTTAAATTGCACCATTATTAAATGTTGAACAAACACCCATTGATGGCCACAGTGCAGCAAGTACTCCGGCAGGGAGTACCAGATACACGGAAACGGATTCTACATTCAAAGATGTCACAATCTCGAAAGGGAAGTAGATCATCTATGCAACTCGTAATCATGGGTGGAAAACGGAACATGTTTGCAGAGAAATATAAGAAAAGCATCCTAATAGTTCATAGGAAAAGTCAGACAAATACCAAATTACAAATGAATTCTGTCTTGTTTTTGTTTTCTTTTGCAGACACAGGTTTATTTCAACACTGGGAAGGCTCCATTCCTACTTAAACCCAGCAGGGAACAGGGAGCGGTGTGCAGAGGAGGTGGCCTGCCCGGGAAGCCGGCCTTGGTGCTGGGACTGCAGGGAGAGGGCTGTGAGGAAGAGCACAGGCTTCATGCACATTGCACAGAGGAGGAGATTCATGGGGACAGCAGGCACTGGTTAGGCACAGCGGGAAGGTTATCGAAGACAAAACACATTTCTACCCAAGTTTAAATGACCTGCTATGCCCACAGAGCTTGATCCAGAAGTGCACAGGTAAGTATTTAGCAGGCTGGCCGATGTTGATTTGAACAATCTCAAGAATGTGCTCTTTAGTGCATTAAACATATGTGACGAGAGCTGAGCACGTTTAAAATCTCAGTAACTTTGGGGTTTGTAAGTGTTGTAGCTCATAGTGTCGGTTAAGGTTAGACATCTCAGTCACATGCTGTCTTGGCACCAGCTGTGGACTGTGCTGTGAAAGAGATCTGTGACCTTGCACCCTGAGATCTCAGGCTCAATTAAGAGACAAAACAGGCAATGCAGTATCAGTGCAGATGGGAAAGAGAAAGCAGAAAGTATGAAGAGGGAAAGGAGGAGCACAAAGGAGTTAGCATTAGTCTCTACTGAGCAATTCCTATTCCAACCACGTCCTAAATGATGAGTTGGATCCTAGCAGAAAGGGAACACATGTTATTTTTAACTGATTTTAACTTGATTTATTGTAACCTATCAGGAGCTCTTAATAAATATGGCTCTTTATGTTGTTAGCAAGTGTGTTTGATTTTTGCCACTCTAGGAGGTGAGCTCTGTCCATGTTTTCAGAGTAGAAAGTGATCTATGATACAATGAACTGTTTTTAGCTTCATGAGTTAGAAGTAGGAAGAGGAGAATGTATCAATTTGTTAACTGCCTTTTCCTGTTCAAAAAAAAGCTTTTTCAGCAAAACATAGTCCTTAAGTTTAAAAAGTCAGTGTTTATTATCTGACAGATATGTTTAAATTAGTAAAGAAAACATTACATTTTCATAAACATTGAATGAACATTATGTGAACATTGAGTTTAACTTTTGGTTGTCTCTTGGGAAATTTTTGTCAATTTGAAAAATGATGAAAAGCATCAATAAAAGATGCAAGCAATTGTGTAATCTCAATGTGCTACCGAAGTGGCTCTCTGCTTGGGTATGAGAAAAGCTATCAAAGGAAAATTTGATTTAAGAAAGGAAATCTAGGCCAGGAGCAGTGGTTCAGGCCTATAATTCCAGCATTTGGAGAGGTTGTAGTGGGAGGATTACTTTAAGCCATAAGTTTGAGACCAGCCTAGGCAACATAGTAAGACCTCATCTCTATAAAAATAAAATGGAAAGAAAGAAATGGAATCTAAAATAAAGAAAAACAATATTAATGGCATATCTTATGCCAGATTAAAGGCTTCATTTTGTACTTTTAAAAATTGCCGGCCGGGCGTGGTGGCTCACACCTGTAATCCCAGCCCTTTGGGAGGCCGAGGCGGGCGGATCACGAGGTCAGGAGATCGAGACCATCCTGGCTAACATGGTGAAACCCCGTCTCTACTGAAATACAAAAAATTAGCCGGGGGTGGTAGCTGTAGTCCCAGCTACTCGGGAGGCTGAGGCAGGAGAATGGCGTGAACCTGAGAGGCAGAGCTTGCAGTGAGCCGAGATCGTGCCACTGCACTCCAGCCTGGGCGACAGAGCAAGACTCCGTCTCAAAAAAAAAAAAAAAGGTGCCCTCTTTTTTCAAATGATAAATGTACTAATGTAGGGCAAAACACAATGAGTGTTTTCTGGATTTTGTTTCAATGTTTTGTACGCAGTAGAATTGGGATCATATGGCATATTGTTGGTTCTCAGTAGGGGGTATATCTAAAATATCAGTGAGCAGAACTTTTTTTTTTTTTTTTTTTTTGAGACAGAGTCTCGCTCTTTCGCCCAGGCCGGACTGCAGTGGCGCGATCTCGGCTCACTGCAACCTCCGCCTCCCGGGTTCACGTCATTCTCCCGCCTCAGCCTCCCGAGTAGCTGGGACTACAGGCGCCTGCCGCTGCGCCCGGCTAATTTTTTGTATTTTTAGTAGAGACGGGGTTTCACCATGTTAGCCAGGATGGTCTCGATCTCCTGACCTCGTGATCTGCCCGCCTCAGCCTCCCAAAGTGCTGGGATTACAGGAGTGAGCCACCGCTCCCGGCCCAGAACTTTTAATAAATATAAATACACAGGTAATTTTAACACATATTCCTGATGAAATCATTATTATCTGCAATGCTTTCATTCTGCTTTTTCTCTTAACAATGGCATAAACATTTTTCAAGGTCAATAAATGTTTTTCAAAATCGCATTTGTATTAGTGGCTGTATAGTTTTCTATCAAATGTGGAATAAACTCAATTTATTTCTCCCTTTTGTTCTTGAACATTTAAGATCATTGGTTCATAGTTACTAATCATGTTACAACAAATATTCATGTATTCCAAATTTTGCTCATTCCTGATTATTTCCTTAGATTTCCAGGTATGGAATAATTAGGTTGAAGTGTTTGAAATCTTTTTTTGTTGGTTTGTTTGTTTTTGAGATGTAGCTTCCCTCTGTTGCCCCGGCTGGAGTGCACTGGCATGATCTCAGCTCACTCACTGCAACCTCTGCTGCCTGGTTCAAGCGATTCTCCTGCCTCAGCCTCCTGAATAGCTGGGGTTACAGGTGCGCACCACCACGCCCGGCTAATTTTTGTATTTTTAGTAGAGACAGGGTTTCATCATGTTGGCCAGGTGGGTCTCAAACTCCTGACCTCAGGTGGTCCTTCTGCCTTGGCCTCCCAAAGTGCTGGGATTACAGGCGTGAGCCACTGCGCCCGGCCGAAGTGTTTGAAATCTTTAAGCATCCTGGTAAATATTGAGTTTTGTCAATATTTAGAAAAGTTGCATGATTGACATCGCTTCCACCCATGTTTCAGAGCATCTGATTTGTCAGACCCTCACCAAAAATGGGCTTTTATCAAAATGTAATAAAAAATAAATACAACTTTTCCAATGACAAAACTGGTTTCTCATTTTTTTGATACATGTTTCTTGAATTCTAGAGAGATTGAATATTATGAATATGTTTTCTGTTATATCTTTTATATTAATATAAATGTTATATATTTACATATTTTTAATGAGTTGGCAATTATGCCCTGGCTTCATTTTTTTTCTCATGGGAGTTATCTTTTTTACTTACTGATTGTTAAAATAATCAAATATTCTAGAAAATAAATGTTTTGTTTTTCATGCATAGTGCAAGTATTTCATTTGGACTTTTCATTTGTTTGTAATTTTGTTAATTGAAGTTTGGCATCTAGAGATTTTACACTTTTAGGTATAAAAGTTGTGACTGTTTTCCTTATTGTTTCTGTCTTTGCTTTTGTATTATTTATAAAAAAAAATAGGCCTTCCTCATCAAAAGATTATATAAACATTCACTGAAATTTTTTTGCATCTGTTTCCTTGTAGGCTAAACATATATCATCTCCTCATAGTTACTGATGAAATGATGTTCTTTCTGGGAGGTCCTTGGAGTGATTGATGTGCTTCCAGTTGTGACACTGGACAGAATAGGCTTTTTTGGGGGAACGCAGCACAGGACTTGCTTTGACTTCATTCATGCTGAGTGCCTGGTGCAGGCATCTTGAAGGTTAAGTGTATGCAAACATTTTGAAAATGGTAATATTTTTCAAAGGATTCAGTTATGAGCAAGGCCTTAGATAAATGGGAAAATTGGGAAAGCATTTTAGATGGGGTGTAAATTTTGAGGAGTAGATTCAAAGCAGCATACATTATTTCAAAAAGAGTCATTTTAGCTGTTGACTGAAACTCTTGGAGGTAAGAAGCAATTATGAAATATCTCTGCACTTACAACTTGGCATTCAATAGAAGGTGAAAACTTGCTTAGATATTGATAAAGACTTCTTTATCAGAGACTTCCATTGGAACAGATGTCAATTCCTTCCATTCCTTCCATTGGAACAGGTGTCAATAATATTCCAGAATGGTTAAAGTTACTGCTGAAGGTGACACTAAGTGCAGCAACATAGGCAAAATTTAGCCCAAATTATCCCTTGTTATTAAAGAGGACAGACCTACCTTCCTTCCTTCCTTCCTTCCTTCCTTCCTTCCTTCCTTCCTTCCTTCCTTCCTTCCTCTCTCTCTCTCTCTCTGTCTCTCTGGATTGTTTGCCCTTCAGGTTCCAGATGAACTCCAGAGCTTTGCTGGGGACACTGAGTGGCAGTCTCTGCTGGAGACTGGAAGCTGTTAAGCCACAGTCACCTGTCCAGAAGCTGGGAAATGAGCTGGTGGTGCCTGAGCACATTACCTACTTGACAATTACATTACAATGAATATTTTTAAACATTCAAAGATGAAATGTTAAAAATGCCAATTAGAATAATTTCAAAAGTTCTTAAGTCAGTGGCTGGTAGAAGACCAAAGTGCAGGCAAACCTTTCTGCACCATGGACTAGACACAGGAGGGAGGCAAGTCCCAAGTGACTGCACAAACATTCTCCTGTCATAGAGCGCTGCTGTGGACATGGAGAGCAGGTGTGTAGACAGAAAAGGGTATTTTCCCTCCTCTGGCCCACTGAGGGCCTGAAGAGGCTTCACTGGGACTGAAGTTTCCAGAGGGAGAAGGAATTCTGTCTCCAGTTGGCCTTCGGACTCCAGACTGAAATATCAACTGTCATCTCCATCTCCAGGCAGCTGACCTGCCCTGTGGACTCCAGACTTGCCAGTTCCCCGAATCACATGAGCCCCGATTCCTCCCACTCTCTCTCTCTATCTCTGTATCTATATATCTCCTGTTGGCTCTGCTTCTCTGGAGAATCCTGACTCATACAAAACTGAATCACAAAAATGAAAAGGTAGATTCATTCGTGTAATCAGGAAAGTTGTAGAAGATGTTCTAGAGGACAGATCAGAGAAGTACCAAGAGTGGAAAAGGGCTTTGTGGCTCCTAGTAAGGTTCGTCAACCATCAGCATGGGTTTTACCTGGGAGGTTGTTTAAGACACAGATTGTCAGGCCCAGCCCACGTGCTTTCATATAATATGTGAGGGGCACTACTATAGCCCAGTCACTGCAAGTGCAGATGCTGGAGTCAGACCCCCACATCCCAGCTCCTCCCCTTCATGGCTGTTTAAGCTTGGCTGAGTTAGTTGCCTTCTCTGATGCTCAGGGTTCTCACCTATAAAGAATGTATCTTATTGCAAGGATTAAATTCCATTAGTTAATTTATGGATCTAGCCCTGCTTCAGAGACCTGTGCAGCCATCATCTGTTTTTATAATTTTGTAGGGCTAGGGAGGGTTGAGACAGGGAGCTGCCGCCCTGAGAACTCTCTTCTGTGGTGGGGATTTGCCGATCTGGTCAGTAGAGCAAAGACAGACTTAAGCCTGCAGAGCTCAGTGATTTATTCATCCAGCCACTTATGTATTCGCCAAGCTCTTGATGAGCCCCTACTAAGTGAAGGTGCTGCGTTACTCACTGCCATGATTCACAGATCTTTTACATACATCAGGCCAAATAGCCCAGCACAAAGATGTTGTCTGCATGGGCCCATTCGCATGCCTGGAAGGGAGAGCATCAGAAGCGATTTAATTTTGTGAGGTTTGATTCTTCTCATTCTCTACAAACAGTGACGACTAAGATCCCTGGTCTTTAAACCGGAGTGCCGTGGAGGCACCGACTAGGTGCAGGGATCCTTGGATGGAGATTCGTGGTTTTTTTTACTACCTCCTGGGATTCAGCAAGAAGTCCCTAACTTTTATCTGTGGGCATAAAAGAGAAAGAGCCTTTTGAAAGAGCATAACCGTTCCCATTGTTACGGTCCAGACCGACTCTGAGAGGTGCACCTTCTCTCTTCTGGATGTTCACCCTCGGGAGTAGTGGGTGGCTGTCAGGGCAGCTAATGCAGGCAATTTTCTTTACCTGTAGGGACATAAAGAAGGATGGATTGAGGTGGGCGTGAGCCTATGAGTGGAAAGGCAGGTGACTCATCAGCTCCCCGGGAAAACGTGATGTGTACAAGCAATTAAAGGTGCATTTGCAGCAAGTGGAGAAGGCAACCCGAATCTGCAGCTTGCATTCATTTCCAAGCATGAGGGGCATTGACAGGAGCCTCTAAACACCTTGAAGCTGTTCTTTTCATTCTAGAAAACAAATGGGGACGTGTATTTCCCTGAAAAGGTAACTGACAACCTTTAGTTTCCGATTCTTCCTTTGCCCACGTGTGACACAGCAACGGTGAGTGTGGGAGTGGACAGGCGGAGGGTGTGGCTTCTCCACCTGATGGCACATCACTGTGGGGAGGGCCTGGGCCTGGCTCTCCTTGTGAGTGCTCAGGCAAAGCTGGAGTCATTCTGTGGGGAGGGCAGGTGCAGGATGGGCTTTGAGAATCATTCAGGCCTTCTTCCTCTGTACGTGTGCTTTTAAAAGTATTAATTTATTTTTGAGACAGGGTCTCGCCCTATAGCCCAGGCTGGAGTGCAGTGGCACAATCGTGGCTCACTGCAGCCTTAAACTCCTGGGCTCAAGTGATCCTCCCACCTCAGCCTCCCGAGTGGTTGGGACCACAGGCATGCAACCACCACGCCCGGTTAATTTTAAATATTTTTTTGGAGAGATGGGACCTCACTGTGTTGCCCAGGCTCGAGCTTCTGGGCTGGCCTCAGCCTCCCAAAGTGCTGGGGTTCCACGTGTGGCTGCCACACCAGGACTTCCTCTGTGTTTTGACCTCTCAACTAGCTCTTTTCACATTCTCATTTTTACATTTGACAATTCAGGGACTTATCTGGTCTAATTTTATTGATTAGTAATTACCAGGATTATAAATTCACATCTTGATTGATAATGAGCTGAGTAGGAATGCATGCAGTTTTATGGTTGGGGTGGTTTGTGCATTTCTGCTAAGATTCATGTTCCACCACAGCAGACAAGGGGATGGCTGCTAGTGGACGGATAACCCAGAGCTGAGGTCTCTCCGCCGGCCCCTGCTGCTCAGCTATTCACAAACAGTCCCCGAGGGTAGGCTTGGTCAGCCTGGTGAGTGCCCAGTGTATGATGCCACCAAATACAGACCTCCTGCCTTAGGAAAACAGCCTGGGGAGGAGAAAGACCACTGGGGCTTAAAGGCTGCCTTGTAAGTGCATAGGAAAGCCCCTAGACCAGTCTTCGAAGGTCCGGAGGGCTCCGAGAGACGGTCGTGGCTAAGCTGAGATGTGAAGAGATGGTGTAGGCAGGCAGATGAGAAACACTGGGTGAACAGGCCATCTAAGCTTTGGGGGCAGCAGAAGATGAGCAGTGGGTGGTGGGCGTGGAGGTTCCTAGCCAGGACCCCCGGGAGAGTGAAGGAGGCCTGCGTGTGAAGAGGGGAGTGAGTCTCTCAGGAAACCCACAGCAGAAGGCCCAACGTCAGTCCAGACAGGAGGCTGGCCTTTTGCTACTAAAATTGTGACCATTTTTATGTTTTGAACTATCCTTTCCATTGCGTCTGCTGTGGCCTGAATGTGTCCACCAAGATTCATATGTGGAGACGTGGTCACCAGTGTGACGGTGCTGAGAGGAGGGACGTGCAGGAGGACTAGCTCCTTATTAGAAAGCGGCTCAAGGGGCGAGTCTGTTCCTTCCTCACCTCCTGCCATGTGAGGACGTGGAGAAGGTGCTGTCTGAGAGGAGCCGCCCCTGACCAGGCACTGAACCTGCCGGTACCTTGATCTCGGACCCGGCCTCCGGAGTGTGAGAATCAACGTCTGTTCTTCACAAATGACCCAGCCTCAGATATTTTGTTATAATCACATAAACAGGCTGAGACCTATTACTCACTGCACTGAGTTAAATCAATGCACCTGCCAGGCAGCTATTAATATTCCCATTCACCCAGAGTTTGGAGGGAGGCCCAAGTCAACCGTCAGCTCTTCATGGGTCCCTTGCTATAGGCCCCAGTGCAATTCCGAGTTCCCTGGGGACCCCGAGCTGCCAAGTCCCATGCCAGCCCTCGCAGTCACACTGCAACCTGGCTGTGAAGGAAGTGAAAGTGTATATTTTAAAAATTTGGGCATTTTTATATTTGTAAGATAACACCTTCAGTGTTGTCGGGGAGACAGACTGAATCTTAGGAAACCATTAGGCAGCAACACACAGAAACACAGTGCTGAAGCCCAGGGCTTGAGAGGATGCTGTGGTCCTTCCAGGGAAGGCCTCTCCCCCGGGGTCACAAAGACACGGGGGCATGCCCACTTGCCAGCCTCGCTCAGAGGCCACCTTCTCCAAGAAACTGTCTCTGCACCACGCCAGCCTCAAACACATATTTTCCGTCTTCCACAGCAACTACTATCTTTGCCACTTCTTTGGTATTAATCATTTTCTACCTTATATTAATGACAATTCTTTATATTACTTCTGTCTTTTCTGCTGATTTAATTCATTACCAGCTCTTTTAAGCCAGGGACCCCGCCTCATGTCTAGTCTACGTCCTGCACATCGGGGGCTCTTGGTCACTGCCCCAGGAACTAGAAGAGAGCGAGGCCTCCGGGCTTCGGAGGAGGTTGCAAGCTATGGCCGTGAGGAACCACAGGCCTCTTAGGAAGGGTGGGCCAGGCTGTAGCTACGCAATCCTGTGCAAACTGCTAGACTGTTCTGAGGCTGTTTTCCAGTGTGTGAAATGGGAACTGAGCTTGCCTGTCACATGTGGCTGAGTGTGGTGATCGGGTAAGGTAAGAGGCACTGCAGAGCTCTGGAGGCAGCGTTCTCACCATACACAGTGGACATTGCTATGGCTTTGCTTTGGTGGCTGGAGCCACGGCTTGGGGGAAAGGAGAGAGGCGTGGAAGAGGCTCGGAGGCGACCAAGCTCACACGGGAGCCAAGATCACATGGAAGTCTCCGGAACAAGACAAACAAGCTGGTGACCTGGCGTGGCCAGTAATTACCAGCCCGAGTGCATTCCTGAGCAGAGGAGGGCCGGCCAGGCCATGTCTGGGGAGGTGCGTCTGGCCGTGGCTTTGGGAAGCAGAAGAGGCTGGAGCAGGCAGGTGGGGGTGAAGGTGGGTGGGCCTAGGGGGGGATGTTAGGGACCTGCACCCAGGAGGGCAGGAGCTGCAGGATCCCAGGACGCTGGAGGTGCACTGGGACTCTTTTTGTTTGTTTTTTGAGACAGAGTCTTGCTCTGTTGCCCAGGCTGGAGTGCAGTGGTGCGATCTCGGCTCACTGCAACCTCCGCCTCCTGGGTTCAGTCGATTCTCCTGCCTCAGCCTCCCGAGTAGCTGGGATTACAGGGGTGAGCCACCACGCCTGGCTAATTTTTGTATTTCTTTAGAGACGGGGTTTCACCATATTGGCCAGGGTGGTCTCGAACTCCTGACTCAGGTGATCTGCCCGCCTCGGCCTCCCAAAGTGCTGGGATTACAGTTGTGAGCCACCGTGCCCAGCCTGGGGCTCTTATCTTATTGCAGTGACAGTGCTAGGGACAGCAACAGAGTGGAGTGGGAGTGTTTCCAAAAGTGAGATGGTAATGACTCTATGCGGATGACTCCAACTAGGGCAGCTGAATACAGCTTTGGAGCAAAGGAAAGCAATGTCACCTTGGCTGGCCTGGATGTTGTCGGAGACACGTCTGTCTCTTCATCAACAGATAATGACAGTGCGAGGCGACATTAGAAACACTAATTAATATTTGCACCACGCTCAGAGGGTTGTAGACAAGAGAACATTTGGAAAAGGCTCGTAGTCCTGAGTGCATGGTAAGCCTCATCCTCAGAAGTGGCTAGCTGTGAGGCCAGGGAGTTTAGTCTGCTGTTGTTTTTGACAGAATTGGGGACAGTCACATTACTCCTCCATGGCCAAGTTGATGTGAGCTTGCTTCTCAACCAGAATAAGCCCAGTTAAACAAAACTCACCCCTCACCAATCACTCATTTTATTTGTGCTGCATTTCTCGATGAAAGCTAGTTTAGACCAGCTCACGGGTACTTTTTGTTTGCTTGTTCTTGGCCTGTAAATCCAGGTTTTATTGATCAGGAGATGAAGGAAAATTATAGGGAAAGAGCTTCACTCGAAGCAAGAGGAATATAGGTTGGCAGAGATGAGGCGAGGCCAGGCGAGCCATGGGTGGGGTCATGGGTGGAGGCGGCACCAGATGTTTAAATGACTGCGGCAGATATTTCTCTCTCTGGGATTACCTCACTAACATTTCTGACTGCAAGCAGATTGATTCCAGATCTATGAAACCAAAATCAAAATGTAGGCAACTGCAGGGGGTAGGCAGGAGACGGTTAGTGTCATAGCTGGTGGCGTAGTTAACTCGCATTGATTTTGGGGAGGACACTTTTAAGTTCTTGAGTCTGAGCTGCATTTTCCCCATACTTCCGTTTCCCTTTCCCTTTCCCTGCACTCTCTGTGCTTTGGGGTGAGCTGCCAGACTGCCCTTTGCTCTCCAGCCTTAGGGATGAATGGCAGCCATGTCTATACTCAGCTCATTTGTTCTTTTCTCCTCGTCCTCCTTGGGCCAGGGGCCTCGGAACTCAGGGCTGGCAGAGCCTCAGAGCTGGTGCTTTTGCTGGAGAGGAAGTGGGGCTCAGGGGTCTGCTCTAAATGTGGTTACTTGTAGGAGTCAGGACTGCCGTCCTCATGGTCTGCAGAGTCCTGGCAGGTGGGGCAACATCGCTCTGGAAGTCCCGGAGCAGTGAGTGCCGGTCTGATGTGGAGACTGAGCGCCAGTCTCAGCCTTGAAATACCCCCTTGGGCTGATAAAAGCTCCCTGCTCCCCACCGGACTTCAACAAATCCCTCTACTTCCAGCAACTCTCCCACCTTCAGAAAGAATCCCAGCTGGTTTAGAAAGCCCCGCTCTCTAGCTCTCTAAAAAGGCCTTTCTTCTCCACTCTAAACAAAACCCTCATGCTGTTTGTGGGCCAAGCTGGGAACTCAATAATTGGGAAGAGAAATGTGTATGGCTCAGATACCACATGTCTAAATATTTAGACAGTTGAGAGGGATAGCAAGAAATCCCTCTTCTGTGTAATAATTGTCGTGCTCATCAATCCTATGGCAATAATAGTCAGCAAATGATACAGTTAATGAGAACAGCTTTACTATGTATTCTCCTTCCAGCTGCCTTCTAGTTGGATGCTGGACAATTGTCTAAGTGGAAACATCAGAAGAAAGAAGAGAATCAGAATATTTAATTAATTTATTTATTTGAGACAGGATCTCGCTCTGTTGTCCAGGCTGGAGTGCATTGGTGTGATCATGGCTCACTGTAGCTTTCACCTCCTGAGCTCAAGCCATCCTCCCACTTCAGTCTCCCAAGTAGGTGGGATGACAGGCACGCACCACCACACCCAGCTAATTTTTGTATTTTTAGTAGAGATGGGGTTTCACCATGTTGGTCAGGCTGGTCTCAAACTCCTGACCTCAGATGATCTGCCCGCCTTGGCCTCCCAAAGTGCTGGGATTACAGGCATGAGCCACCGCGCCCGGCCCTAAACCTGTTAATCTAATGCTACGATGACTAAGCCCCCAAACACACGGAAAGTTACGGCATAGCCTCATATGCAGAACAAACAATGCAGTCTGGTTACTGGGCCGGAATGGACATGACAGAGGTAAAGTCTATCAGGACACAGCAGGGCTAATACGCCAACACCTCAGAACAGCTGGTGTAGGCAGGGCTCGGGGCTAAGGCTTGGCGATGGTGGTAGAGGGACAATGGCTGTAAGCAGCTCCTTGCCCTTCTATTAGGTGAAGACATCATCTGCAGTAGGTGGATATTACAATGGGGGTGTGTGTCATTATTATTTGTCCAAACCCATAGAATGCACACTATTAAGTGGGGGGCTCTCCTGTAAACTGTCGACTTTGGGTGACGATGTGTCACTGTAGGTTCATCAATTGTAACACATGCTCGCTGTGGTGGGGATGTGGGTTGTGAGGGAGGCTGTGTGTGTGTTGAGGGGCAGAGGGTAGGTGGGAAATCTCTGTACCTTCTGCTCAGTTTTGCTGTGAACCTAAAACTACTCTAAAAAACAAAGTCTATTAAAGAGAAGTACAGACACATTCTCCAACACAGTGTACCTTGAAAACGTGCCTAGGGGACGAACCAGGTACAAAAAGCCACACACTGTCTACTTCCATGTGCATGAAAGTCCAGAACAGGCAAATCCAGAGGGAGAGAAAGTCAGGCAGTGGCTGCCAGGGGCTGGAGGATGGAAAGGAACTGCCAAGGAGAATGCAGTTTCTCCTGGGAGACTGGAAATTTTCAGGAGTCAGGGAGCGGTGATGGTTGCACAATCTCGTGAATGTACTAGTACCACTGAATTATACACTTTAAATAGGTAAATTTAGGGTATGTCAATTATATCACAAGAAGTTGGTTAGAAAAGTCATGTGCATATTAAAAAGGATAGCCCTTAAGAATGATAATGAACTCCATCCAACGCGATCCAGAATCCTGGGGCCAGGCGAGCATTCCCACCGATGTCCGTGCATTAACACGCCGTCAGGCCGGACTGTTGGTGAAAACACTGAAATATTTCCATAGTGCTTGGTATGTAGTAAATAGTATAAGAGTAGCTGTGATAATGGGCAATCTTTAATTATAATATAAATTCTAGGGTAAGCTCACTGGGTCACACTGATACTGACCATTGCGACAAGTATAGACACATGGGCTTTCTGTTGCACTGTCTTCTGAGAAACTTTTGGTTTTATTGTTATGGGGCATTGCATTTTTTATGTAGGTGGTAGCTATAGAATCTAAGATAAAATATTGTAAAAAAATCACTCTGGATAAGTGTAGGAATGCTTGCTTTAAATTTCATAAACATGCGTCTTCTGAGAGAGTGTGAATCAGATCTACTGCCTGGAGCATCCTCTGGTGTTGGAAACACCAATCTGGCCTGGAGCAGGGTTTGATTGGCAAGAATTAGTTGTTGTTGCTTTTTTTTTTTTTTTTTTTAGAAAAAGCTGCATTGCTGGAATTAAAAACAACTTGATTATTTCAACAAAATTGAATGACCTATTATTGATACTGACACAAATGCCAGATGCAAGTGGTGCCAACTGTGTAATGTCAAAAGTTAAAGTTGCCAGCCATCTACACACTTAGTGCAGGGATAACCACATCGTGCAAAAGACTCAGGTTTCCATATGGAAATGTGTAAAATTAATGAAAAAAATTAGAAGAATGATTTTCTTAATTCATAATTCAATTTCACATGTAAACATTTCAAATCATAAAAAATTATTTTAAAATTTATTAAAGAGTATTAATGAAGAAACTGAAAAAATGTTTAGAAGTGTTGCTTTTATAATCTTTTATACCACCTATTCTGTGGCTAAAAATAATCAGGCATTTCAGACATAAATAGTTTTATTGTTTATTTGTTTTTTGTTTTTGAGACAGAGTTTCACTCTTGTCACCCAGGCTGGAGTGCAATGGCATGATCTCAGCTGAGTGCAACCTCTGCCTCCCAATGTCAAGCGATTCTCCTGCCTCAGCCTCCTGAGTAGCTGGGACTACATGCGTGTGCCACCACACCCGGCTAATTTTGTATTTTTTTACTAGAGATGGTGTTTCGCCATGTTGGCCAGGCTAGTCTCGAACTCCTGACCTCAGGTGATCTGCCTGCCTCAGCCTCCCAAAGTGCTGGGATTACAGGTGTGAGCCACCGCACCCAGCCTATAAATAGTCATTAGAGCTTCAAAAACAGAATAACGCTAATATAGATGGATTATTGTAATCTAGATTTATTTATTTATTTATTTATAGTTGGGGTTCTTGCTCTGTTGCCCAGGCTGGAGTGCAGCGGCACAATTATAGCTCACTCTATCTTCAAACTCCTGAGCTCAAGCATTTCTCCTGCCTCAGCCTCCTGAATAGCTAGAACTTCAGGTGCACACCACCATGCCTTTTTTGTAGAGATGAGGTCTCCCTGTGTTGCCCAGGCTGGTCTTGAACTCCTATCCTCAAGTGATCCTACTGCTTGAGCCTCCCAAAGTGCTGGGATTACAGGCATGAGCCACTGCACCTGGCCATAATCTAGAATTTTGACTCGTCTACTTGAAAACATACATCCATTGAAATATGAAAACAAGTTTTAAGGAAGCTTACAAGTCAAGGCAGTACATTTCAATCATTATCAGCCAAATTTCATTACTTTCACATAAGACTATTGTAATAATTTATTTGAAATACAAAATTCAGAACTTTGAAGACAGTTTAATGGTTTTCTTGATTTTGTGAACGTCATAAAATTAAATGTCAATCATTCTTTTTAGTGTCGGAGAAAAATAATTTCCATGAGAAACTTCTTATGTAGAATACATTAGGTATGTATAAACAGTGTCAGTGTAATTGTGTGAAGAAAATATGTCATTTCTGCCAAATTTTTATAAAGTTTCAACATGTTTTAATTTAAGTTGTCTAATTTTGATTGTCTACTCAATTTAGACTAATTTATAGTCTGAAATGACTGTATTCAATTATATCTGAATGGCGCAATAACATTTGTAAATCAATCACTGTATCTGTTCCCAATAAGCTTTATGTTTGTATTATACATCAAGTAAACAGCAGAGAGAATTAAATACTATGTCTGAAGAGCTAGAATAAAAACAAAAACTGGAAGATAGCTGAGATTGTAGTGGGTACCCTGTGCAGGATAGAGCTTGTTAGAGTGTTTTTTTTGTTTTGTTGTGTTTTGTTTTTTTTGAGACGAAGTCTGGCTCTGTCGCCCAGGCTGGAGTGCAGTGGCGCGATCTCAGCTCACTGCAAGCTCTGCCTTCTGGGTTCACGCCATTCTCCTGCCTCAGCCTCCCGAGTAACTGGGACTACAGGCACCTGCCACAACGCCCGGCTAATTTTTTTGTATTTTTAGTAGAGATGGGGTTTCACCATGTTAGCCAGGACGGTCTTGATCTCCTGACCTGGTGATCCGCCCGCCTTGGCCTCCCAAAGTGCTGGGATTATGGGCGTGAGCCACCACACCAGCCTAGAATGTTTTAAAAAGTATATCAAGATTCACAGAGTCCCTCTGATAAAAACTGTGTCATGGGAGTGGTTAAACATTTGAAGACTGTGGCTTTAGTAAACACCATTAATGCTTTGTTAGCCTGACAAGAAAAACATATTTCAGTTATTAAAGCAAAGATGAAAAAGGTTTTCACATGCATATTCCTCTAGGTGAGTCCTACCCTGACTATTAAAAATTCCAAGGAACGAAACTCCCACTGTCCCACAGAACTCCAGATTCCCTTCCCTGGTCTATTTCTTTTGCAAAAGCATTTATCAGCTTTAAATCATACGTTGTAATTGTTTGGTTATGTTTATTATTTGTTTCCTTTTCTCTACACTGTAAGTCCATGAAGGGCAGAGATTTTTGTTGCTGTTGTTGATTTTGGTCACTGATGTGCCTAGCGTGGTGCCTTCTACCTGGTAGATGGTCAATATATAAATGTTTCTTGAATGAATGAATATATAAAATAAATAAACAAAATAGTGAAGGAAAAGTAGGAAGTATTTAAGTAAAGAAATAAGATAAAAATTGAAATAAAAACATAAAGTAGCTATTCTAAGAGAAAAAACTATCAGTTTGTGTAATAAGTTATTGGAAAATGCATTTTTGGTTTGAAGAGAAAAGTTAAACAATGAAATGTTAAGATGTTTAAGTAGTTTGAATTCTGAAACTAGGTCAGAGGACATTTGTGAATCTCTGTGGATAAAGAAAATTCAGCTGACTAATTAAATATAGTGAGCTAATAACCAATTTTCATAACAGTCTAGTAGTAGAGAAATCACATATAGCTAAATGTCAGACAGTGTTAGGAGGGCTGGATATTTACGTGTCATTAATGTTAGCGCAGCAAAGGCTGACACAGGTCTTTGCACCATGAGTAATGGCAATAATGTTAAAAGAAGTTCTTTTTGGAGACTTAGGTTAGGTGGCTTTATGGAGACTTTAAAATTGTGTCATGGGAGTGGTTAAACATTTGGAGATTTGCTTTAATAAACACTATTCTAAAGTGTTAGAATACATCATAGTCACCTAACGACCGTGTAATGGATAAGGAAGTTTTTGGGAGAATTTTCGAGGACTTTCCATGTCTAATCATGGCTAACTCAGAGCCATCTTCAGGAAGAGCTGTGCCAAACAGATCGTATGCCAATAATTTTGGGATGTTTATTGATGATTTGGAAGCTCTTAGAATGATCTGATAAAAAATTCGTGCTATAATTCCTATACCCTGGTAAATGGCTATCTAGGCATGCATGTTTATGTAATAATAATAGAGTTTAAAAAAGGGGATCTATTTTACAATTTTTAAAGGCTATATTGATTGACATATTTGTTTTACTGTGCTGTTGTTAACTATTTTGACTCTTGCTCATGGCGCTGAGTGCTGAAATTGGCTGGGACCAGGCTATCCAGTTTATAAAGACGCGGAGGGCAGGTCTTTACCATTCCTAAGACATTCACATCTTCACGGACGAAGTCCAGCCAGAGAGGCATGCAGCATTAATGAGGGAGCCCCACATGGCACCCAAATGGTGAGGAGAGAGACTCCATCCTGGTCTGGGATGTTCAAGGCCCAGAGATGCAGGTGATACATGAACGCCAGCGAGGTCTCAGGACTTGGGAATTAGAGTGAGGAGTGGGGCCTGTCTGGATGGAGGGAAGTGGGGCCCGGAGGCTGACCTAACCCTAACCCTAACCCTGAGCAACGCTGGAGCCGGGGGAGGAAGCACTCCCAGGCTGGGGGTGGCTGCTCTGAAGCTGCAACTCAAATTATGAGGTTGGAGAGGCAGAAAAGAGCTAATGCTTGGAAAGCTTTGAGCACCAGCTCGGGACTTTGGGCCGTGGGGTGGGAGACATGGGAATTCATGCTGGGAGTCATCAGGCCTGGGTGTGTCGAGCTGGGCAGGAACAGGAGGTGCTGTGGGCACAGGAAAGAGGCAGTGAGGCCTGAGGCTCCCCAGAGGCGCAGGAACGGGGCAGCATGAGGAGACGCCCCTGGTGCTGCAAGGAATAGACACCAAGGCCAAGGAGAAAGGAGGGGGGAAGGAGCCACAGCACTCATGCAGGCACCCGGGTGAGGATAGAGGAGCTGGGCTGGGTCCCAGGCCACTGGGAAAGGCAGAGACGGGTATGGACGGAGTCAGCCTGGAGGAGAGAGTTGAAGTTTGGAAAACAAAACAGAGGGAGATTCTATTAGAAGCCACACTTTCACCATCAGGGAACATAAAACTGCTGGCCAAGGTCTGGCCAATCGTTAAGGAGACACATAGGGTGAGAAAGGCTGTCCATCCATCGGTCAGGGCTCCGCAGGTTGGGGAGTGACAGTAGGTGATGGACCCTTAGGTGATAGACCTTTGTGGTGATCTCACCACGAAGCTCACTTCTCACCTCTGGGATGGGAGTCCAGGCATGAGGAACGGGAGCTGCCCACCCTCTCCCTCCACTGTCTTTCTCCCTGTGACAATCTCCATCTTTGGGGTAAGGCGCCCGGAGTCAGGGTTCCTAGCCAGTGGGATGGAAGCGTGGTGGCCTCATCCACACCAGGGGCCTCCTTTGGATAATCCTGCCTGTGCAATGCCCTCCCCATGGGAAGACCGAGCTCTGGGCGGCTCTCAGCAGGTGGGCTGGAAGTCCTGGCCACTCGCAGGATAATGATACTTCAGGCCGGCCTCACTGACCATGTTTGTGAAGAAGCCTCACCTCTCTTCTCTTCCTCTTCTTCCACCTTTGTCTTCCCAGCATTTCACATCCTCTTGGTGAAGGGTGACAGGAAACCCTCTAGGTGTGCAGGGATCTCTGGAATGTGTATCAGGTGAAAAATCTGAGACTGTTCCAGGGTAAAATATTCCACTGCAATGAAGAAATGTCAGCCTCAAGCCAGCTTAGGAGCAGATGGGTTCCTTATACCACCCTCGTGGTAAAAACGAGCCGAGTTTGCATTTCTCTAGTCTACCTTTGGTCATTCTTTCTATTTATTCAGCTACAACTTGGTCTCTGAACAAAGCTAAATGAAATCTTGGCATATTGTGCTGCCTATCGTAGAGGGGGATTGAGGGCTGAGAGATACCATTTCTTGAAAAATAAGACCATTTTACAGAAAATGGTAGCAGTAACATCTCTCTTAGGGTTGTTTCAAATACAGCCACACACTAATTACAGTCAAAATTTAACCTGAAGAAAAAAAGAAGGGAAACTGGAAAAATAATATGTGCGTTTTTAGATTATTTTGATAAAACAGAGAGGGAGGCTGGGAGACTGGGCTCTGAGTCCAGGAACATTCGAGAAGGCGAACGTCGATTTTGTGAATGCGTCGTGCATGGGGCAGGGGTAAGTTCTCCCCACCATGACTCCCGTCAGCCCTCCCAGCCCTGCGTGGCTTAGTGAATATTTCTGGGGCCTTTCAAATGGGTCACTCTTTGGAGGGAAGTCTGGGAGGCAGTGAGGGGCCAAGGAAGGGGCTGTGCTCGGACTTTTCTGCACCCTGACACATGGGACTGGGGTGAGTGCCCAGGTCAGACGTGCGGCCTGTTGGTGGGTGAGGGCATCTTCCTGGGGGGACTGCTGTGAAACTGAGGCAGCTGGTGACACACTGACCCAGGCAGGTCTTTCCCGGGGCAGGGGATGGAGAGGGTGACCCTTCTTTCTCTGGCTGGCCCCCCAGGTGCTCATCTCTCCGTGGGGCCTGTGGTGCACCCCTGTCTTGGAAGGGAAGCCCGACAGGGAGGGGAGTTCCTGAGCCACCTCTGGTTCCCACCTCCCCTGATGAAAACCTCCCCGTATCAAAAGAAACCTGGGATGGCCACAGGGGCAAGTGCAGAGGGACTACCAGTCCAGCTGCCACTACTCCCGGCTCTGGGCCAGGGGCTTCCCCTAGCGTCCCTGAGGCGCCGTCTCTGCGTCTCAAGGAGGGAGAGGGAACCTGGCTGAGAGCACCCGGAGGCTTGAGCAGAGGGTCTGTCATGTTACACAGAACAGAGTAAATGGCGTAAAAGAGCATTTCATGAAGCTCTAGGAGAAATACACGTCCTGGGTGCTGTGCTCACCTACATACTAGGGGTCTGGCGTACCCACCCGCCTTCTTTGAAAATCTTTGATTTCTTGAGGCATTGGAGAAATGAAAGTCATCACCATGCAACAGAAAGAGAAGAACACAAGGGCGTTGTGCCATTGTATCAGGATTTGAAAACTTGTATACACGGAACCTCTATGTGAGGCTAAGAGACAGCGGGAATGGAACAGTCTGGAGCAAGCCAGGGTGGACATGCTGCAGAGACAGTCTCCTGTTTATAACTGCTCCTTCAGGTATACAGGGAATGGAATTAAAGGTGCCAGAGACGTGGGTCCCTACAGCTATCTTGGACCTGCACCGAACACTGGATCATGTCAACAAGCAGCCGGCAAGTTCCGGGGAAGTACGGAGTTGGAGTGTGCAGCCCTCGGCAGGACTTTGGAGGCCTGGCCAACATGAAGAACTAGAGAGGCCTGTAGTGCAGTTCTGGGTTCTGTGGCATGTGGCATGAGATCTGCAGCAAATTCAGTGAATGCTCCTGCTCCTGTGGGCAGCGGCGCCTGATTCTGAATGAGGAACTGAGCCCTGCATCACTAGTTCTAGGGGCTACGCTGCCAGAAGCAACCACTCGAATTGCCAGATACGATGGCAGGCAGGGCCTGGGCGAGCTGTTGAAAGATGCTGTTGTTTACGGTCAGTCTCGGATGCGAAGGCCCCGGAAGAAGACTCTAATCCTTGTGGAAGGAACATACGGCATGAGGAGTGTATTGTTGACCTTCCTGAAGTGGTTGCCCTCAAGAAGAAACCCGAGGCATCCTTGCATCTGGATGAGGCTCACAGCACGGGGGCCCGGGCCCTGCAGCTGAGCTGCTGTGGAATACCTCAGCCTGGATCCGAGGATGCGGACGTTATGATGGGAGCATCCGCAAAGAGCTCCCGTGCTTCAGGAGGACACATTGAAGGCAAGGAGGAGCAGACGGACTCTCCGTGGACACCTTCTCTCAGTGCGACGCACGCCACCCTGCTGTCACCACCTGTAGTGCAGCGATCCCTCTATGGAGTGTGTCATGGAGCAGGATGGCACGGCCCTGGTAAGGAGCGTGTGCAGCTGTCAGCAGAAAACACCTGGCATTTCAGGAGACGCACTTCTCACCTATGGCAACAAAGATTCTCTGACGCTCTGCGGGATGCCAAAATTGGTGCCTTTGGACCAGCTGCTGGAGCAGAACCTCGGTGCGGCTGGGGTGGGATTTCCTGCCCCCCGAGTGATTGAGTCCAGAGCCAGGCTCGCCTGCATGAACTCATGCCAAAGAAATACTGCCTGCTGCTTTAAAGGAGAGAGACGAAGCTGGGGACTGATTGCAGCTGGAGCGCTCCTGTCATCCGTTGGTGCCTGTACTGGACAGGCTCTTGGACGAGGCTACACGTGAAGAAACAGAAGACTGGGTCTTTCTCGTGCTCCCTTAGAGGAACTCTCCCTCACCCAGGACAGTGTGTGGCCTTTCTGAGCCAGTTCAAGGAACTGTGGCCATCTCACGGAAAAGACATTTCCTCAGCTACTGAAGGTGGCTGCCTCACTCTGCGTGGCATTTTGCAAACAGTGAGGAAAGGCTTCACATCCTTCCTTTGCTAAGTCTCACCTTTAACAATGAAGGTGACTCTGCTTGCTTTTCTGGTTCATTAAACAAATGTTTTATTTTAAAGAACCCCAGAAATCTAGGAATGTCATATCCTTGCAATCTGAAGAGTCCACTAGTACAGGGTTATCAAAAATGCAAGTGGAAAAGCATGTTGTCCGGCGAGTCAGCAGATCGTCACCATCATAAATAAAATGCCCGCTGGGTGCGACACGCCACTTTACCTCTAAATCTAATAGCAGCACGTGGGGAAGGTGTTCCTGTTTCCAGTTTATAGGTGAAGACTTGAGGTCTCGGGGCTTTAAGCATCTGGTACAGGCAGGTTAGTCTGACTTCAAAGAACCTGCGCCAACGAACTGAAAGATGTTGTTTCTGCCCATTTCTAGTTAGGGCATGGGCAAGCGTATGGCAGAAGGACGCTATCAGCCTCCATGGGAAAGCACTCCATGAGCCGTTGTGGGTCCAGGTATATATTTCACAGCTGCTGAGCAAAAGCCAGACCACAGCAGGTTAAGTGCAAAAGCTTACTTAACAAGAGCCACAGATCATAGTTTGTGGTGCTGTGAGGTGGATCCTCTATTGGGAAAATGGATCAAATTAGCAAAATGATTAAGTGAAATCTGTAAAACGCAGTCTCAGATCAGTTGACCCCAGGCCAGACCACACTCACACATCGCCGAGTGAGCCCACTCAGGGCCCTTGGGGAGAAAAACTGGAGCACGAATCATTCACTTAGTGCACGAGGTAGTTCAGATGCTTGTGTCCTCCAAGTCTCATGCTGAGATTTGGTCCCCAGGGTTGGGGGTGGGACCTGGTGGGAGGGGTTGGGTCACGGGGGTGGATCTCTCAGGCATGGGTGGGTGTTGTCCTTGCAGTAATGAGTGACTTCTCTATTAGTTCACACGAGACCTGGTTTTTAACTATAGAGTGGCACTTCCTCTCCTGTCTCTCTCGCTCCCTCTCACACCACGTGAGGCTGGCTCTCCTTCACCTTCTGCCCTGAGCAGAAGCTTCCTGAGGCCTCACCAGATGCAGATGCTGGTTCCATGCTTCTTGCACAGCCTGCAGAGCTGTGAGCCAAACAAACCTCTATTCTTTATAAATCACCCAGCCTCGGGGATTATTTATAGCAATGCAAACGGACTAATACATGCATGAAGGTGAAGTATTTATTACTGGTTAAAAGTCAGATCTGGGAGGGATTTCCAGACGCTGCAGACAGGGGGGCCTCCTCTATGCCAAGTATGCTGCCCCATGTCTGCCTGAATCCATCTTCGAGCCCAGAGACTTTCAGTCACAGACCACACAGATACACAGTCCTGTAGCCCCTGCAACTCTGTCTCTGTTGGGAAGAAAACACAGAATGACAAGCAAAGCCGGGCAATCCTCATGAGTTTGATGATTTATGTCACACTGCGGCTCACCTGTGATGCGTGGAGCTGCAAATGAACTCATGTCAGTCCGCCCATGTCAACCAGGGTTGAAGTCCAGAAATAAAGACCCTCTGTACCCAACTCAGGGATTGATTTAACTCTTGGAATTTAGATTCATCCCCAAAGAGCCCACATTCCTAATGGCAAAGCTCGAACCCTGATGAAGAGATTTGATAGAAAATTCTGATTCAGCTTGGCTCTGTTTCCATGTGCAAATTATTCTTCTTAATTGAGGCCAAGGTATATTTTAAAATCTTGCTTTTCGGTCCTGAGGGCTGTCACAGTGCTTTAAAGTCTGGAGGGGACAGCCCAGAATGGGAGATTTTTCTCTAAGAGACTGATTTTATGATTAATTTAAGTATCCTGGGCCAGCGAATTTCTTTGAAGATGACATTTGCAGTAACTAATATAGGAGTCGAAGTCCACTGGGATTGAGCAAAAAACCAAGCAGGGGTTCGGCCAGAATTCAAAGCACCTTTGATTAGAACTCTGTTTTTCCAGTGACACACTCCTCTTTACCCTCTGAAGCTGAGTACGAAAAACACAAGCATTTGAGCAGGCGGGATCTTTTCACCTCGTGAGTGGGGGATAGACTTCGTCTTCCATTTGCTCCCTTAGCCCAGACGTCACCTCTTCCAGGACGGCTGCTGCCCCCAGTCCTGTCTCAAGGAGGCCTCTGACATCTCTCCCACCCCTAGCAGTTCACAGAGGGCTGGAGTTGTTCCCGACAGTATCTGGTAGGCATAATCACCCTAATGTCTTTCATTTCTAAAATGAGGACACGAAAGTAATAGGGAGGTTAAACTACTCACCCACGGCTGTGTGACCTGGAAGCGGGAGGCTGGAATCCAAGCCCACTCTGGTTCCCCAGCTCAGGTTTATTTTACAAGCCCACTGGTTTCAACATTTATTAAAGTCAGGGAACTGTTTCTTCAAATGAGATTGAAAATGGAAATCCAGTCTGTATGTCTAGGAATTGGGGCTGGGTATGCGGGCCAGGCCTCTGTGGTGCCCTCACTCTTCCTCCTTGGGTTTTCGGAAACAACTGGAGTCGCACGTACCTCACTGCACCGAGCCGAGAGTAGCAGGGCGACAGGGAAGTGCACTGTCTCTGTGCTTGGCCACTGATGGCACACCTGGCCCAGCAAGGTCCTGGCAACTGGATGTCCATGACATAGTAACTCCTCGGGATTCCAATACTGTTGTGTGATGATTCTGGTACGAGTTTAATGTATGCAGTCCCTCTTGATGGTTATGGGGTGTGTTCTGCTGTCTTTTTCCAATCTTTATGTCCCTCCTCTAGCGAGAAGTAGGGAAAACAATCTTGCTGCTGTCAGCCACAGTTGTGTATACAAAAGAATATTTAAGGCCATAAAAATGGAATCTGGCTTTAAAAAATGCCTTAATAAAGTAGCATAAACTTCAGTTTCATTTCTTGTTACTTTCCATTCTGGCCTCAGTTTCTGCATTTGTCAAATGGGGGGAAGTGGGGTCAGCCTCAGCGGCTGTTCTGAGGACAGCAGCAGTGACCACAGCTGCAGGTTTCAGAACAGCATCCGGCACAGAGTGTGCACATTTGCAGGACAGACCACAGGAGAGGCTGTGCTGACCAGTTTATAGGACAGGCCTCACTATCCTGTTGGATGCTGCAGAATCCAGCAGCCTGGTGTCTTGGTTCCTGCTCATTCCAAGTGTCCCTTAGGGACGACCCGTGAGTCCTCTGGGGCTGCATTGTCCTCATCTGGGACCAGGCCTGGCAAAGCCAGCATTTGAGTCTATTCTCACACTGCTAATGAAGACATCCCCAACACTGGGTAATTTATAAGGAAAGAGGCTTAATTGACTCACAGTTCCGCATGGCTGGGGAGGCCTCAGAAAACTTACGATCTTGATGGAAGGGGAAGCAAACGTGTCCTTCTTCACATGGCAGCAGCAAAGAGAAGTGCAGAGTGAAGAGGGGGAAAGCCCCTCATAAAACCATCAGATCTCATGAAAACTCACTCATTATCATGAGAAAAGCATGGAGGTAACTGCCCCATGATTCAATTACCTCCCACCAGGTCCCTCCCACGACACATGGGGATTATGGGAACTACAAGTCAAGATGAGATTTGGGTGGGGACAGCCAAACCATATCAGCCAACGACCAGAGAAGAGGGAAGGAGAAGGCTGGAGGGTCTTATCTTAGCAGGTCCCATGCTCTGTGCAGATGCTGCACACACACCTACCATCCAGGCCACACTACGAGGCTATGCCCACTGTGGGGCTACAGGAAGGCCAATCCTCCACGTGCTGGAGAGAAGAGATTGGATATTGGTGAGCAGCACTGCTTACTAACGCAGCACTTAATAACTATTAGCCTGGAGAAACCCCATCTCCACTAAAAATACAAAATTAGCCGGACGTGGTGGCACATGCCTGTAATCCCAGCTACTCAGGAGGCTGAGGCAGGAGAATCACTTGAACCTGGGAGGTGGAAGTTGCAGTGAGCCGAGATCGTGCCATTGCACTCCAGCCTAGGCAACAAGAGCAAAACTCCATCTCAAAAACAAAATGAAACAAAACAAAACTATTAGCCGTGACTATCCAGGAAAACATTTACTCAGCAGGGGACAGAGGATCATCGGGTATGTCATGTAACATGGATGCTATACACAGGGTCTTTGTTTTAAAATCTGAAGGAAAGTCGAGATTATTTTTGATTTATTTCACTCTATTTTTTGGCTTTCAACTATGTTCTTGTGGGTAGCCACTTTACAGAAGCTCTAGGTAGATCAAGTCCAATAAAAAGAAATGAAGGATGAATGTAGCATTATATAACTCAATTTTAAGATTGTGTTTATTGGCTGTATTGAAAAACCGCAACAGCCATGCGTATTATTTATTGACCAAAGCTGTTTTCCTTTCTTTTGCACCAGATGGAAACACAAAGACTGCATTGTGTGTTGGTGCTCACACTGTCTCCTGGCAGTGGCTGTGTGCTGACACTGGATTTTGCACCGCTGATAACATGATTGAGAAACAGCTCATAGTTTGTCAGGACATTTGCAATGGAGCCTGTCCCAGGAGTGTGAGTTTCACCTGCCATAGAGTCTGTTGCCCGGCTTATGGGAGACTGGATATATCTGGTGATAATTTCACTAATCAATCAATGCAATCAACCCCTTATGCTACTCTTATCCGGGTAATTTATCATGGACATTCCAGTTACTTTCCTTCCATAGGTGAAGTTTATGCTTCACTAGTATAAAACGCAGCATTGTTCAGAACTAAGGTGACATTTAGGAAGGGCAAACAATGGGAAGAAAAGCTTTCCTGGGGGGCGTGTAAGGTTAGCGAGGGGTGGAGATGAAAGGTAGAGGGAGTACAAAGATGGGACCCAGAAGTGGGGGTGAACAGGGAGGCATCTAGGGATGTTTCCTCTTGGTCACAGAAAGATGCCCATCCCGCTTCGGCCTTCTGCGCCAGCCCTCTCTGTGCACACAGCCTAATGCATGTGGTAGCAGGTGCACAGTGTGTGTCCACATCTCTTCTTCTCTTTGCTACCACCCAGCTTGGTCTGCTGCCAAACCAATGGGCTTGTTAGTAATATATAGATGGGTGGATGGAGGGATGGGGGGAGGGAAAAAGGGAGGGAGGCATGGACGGGTGTACAGTGGAGAGCTGTAATCCGGTGTTCTGGGTTGAGAGAGGCTGCATGGCATGGTGACTAAGAGCCAGCCTTTCAGGGCTGCGCAGCCTGAGTTTAAATCCCTGTGCCCAGCATCCTCCCCGTATGGCCCCCTGCCTCAGTCTTTCCAACTGTAAAATGTCAATAATAACGGGCCGTCGTGAGGATTGAGTGAGTTAATCCAGGAGCAGTGCCTGGCTCAGCGTCTGCTGTGCAACCGTGACTATCTCCCCAATCCCTCCTCACTCAGTGGCTGGCCTCCTGGCTGCTTGAGCTTCTGTGGCAGAGCTGGGCTGGAGAACGATCGTGCAGACTCCCATCCAGAGCACACGTCACATGGGCACTGGACAGAGTCCTGGGAACCAGAGAGTCAGCTCAAAGTTTTCACAGTTTCAAAATACTTCCTCACCTCTGACCTCAGCACTCCAAGGCAGCCATGTGGATGCCGGCTCTTGGCAGGGAGTGAATGGAATCTTTAAGGAGCGCTCCAGCCGCCTTGCCCTGGGGCGACCTTGGCTCAGCACACATCCTAATGCTCAAGGCCTTCAGGGCCAGGGTCTTCCCATGAGGCCCCCTCTGTGCATCCATCTGTTCCGCAAGTATTTGTTAAGCACCTACTGTACGCATGTGTGTGGTTTGGGGTCTGCCACCTCTACCTTCATTCTGAGTCAGGTCTTTTCCTATGAAATGTTTATCTTTCTGTTCTGCACTGTGTGGTCTTGATGCTTGCCAGGGAATCAGGGTTGGGTTTGGCAGGCATGAGCCTGGAACCTTCCAGAACGGTGTGGGAGGTAACAATGAGTGATTACAACATGGCTCTTGATTTTCTCCCCTCCTCATACCTAACCTCATTTTCTCACCCTTAACCTAGGGTTCCTTAACTCCAGATCTGGGTGAACTTCCTGAGGAGGGTATAAAGAGTGATATGGGACATTAGAAGGTTTTGGAAGGAAAACTTGAACATCCCACTGAGCCCTCAAGTGAGCAGAATGGCTATCATGAGGGTGTGCAGTTGTCCTACAACTTTATCTGTATGTGGGTGGGGTGGGGTGAGGTGGGGTGGGTGGGTGCCAGGAATGGAGTGGGACCATCTGGGTCATTCCATGCCCCTTAGTACCAGAATGACCCTGTCTGGACCTGGGGTAAACTGATCTGAAGCAGACAGACAGGTAGTCTCCACAGGGAAGGCTTTCCTGACTTCAGGGTCTTTGTTGGGCTGGGCCTTGACGTGATTTCCGTTCCCAAAGCCGACGAGCAGTGTGGAGGATGGGGAGGAGCCCACTCTTACATGTCCATGGGGTCCGTGGGGAAATATTTCTGCAGACTTGGAAATAATGAAAGTTAAACTGCACATTGAAATAGAAAATGGACTATAATATCGCAATCAGTGAATCAGAGCAGAGCTAGGTCAAGAAATCCTTCCTGGAGTGAACAGTGACAACCATCTTCTCTGCCAGCTCCACACCAGGCACTGTTCCTCGCCTTTGCCCCTGACGCCTGAAATGGCACCTGAGCCCCAGGCCATCCCCCACACCGAACAGGTCCCTCTGTCTCTCAGAAGCTGCACCTGCGTGTCGGCATCCCCAAAGCCCGAGGCGAGGCAGGCTGGGAGGCGAGGGCCGTGAAACATCTCTTGGGCAGCTTTTGAAAATGCACGTGTCTGCCTGCAGGTTTCGAACATGTCATCCAGCCCACCCCAGTCCACCCTGCCAGAGTGCTGACTCCATCTTCATCTGGGAATTGCCGCCAATCACATTCAGGAGGGGATGAGCCAGTCTCACTCCTGTCAAAGGCCAGACCCTTCCCCCTGCACCCGCCTGGGAAGCCCTGTGGCGCCTCCTTCTCCCGCCCACATCGTCATATTCGCCCTCTCTCCCTGATCTTTCTCACCAGTGCCCAGACGTGCTACTATTTCTCCCATCTCGGGAAAACGAAACCAAAACATTCCTTTTGGCCCATTTTTTCCCTTCCGGATCCACTCCATTTTCCCACATCCTCTTGCAGCGGACTTCTTCACAGGTCGCCTAAATCAGATGACCAGGAATCTTCCTGCGCTATATCTTCCCTTGAGCCTGATCTCCTCCTCCACAGCTGCTCTGAATTCTCCATCCTCTCCCTGAACTCTCCCTCATCCTGCCCAGCCTTCACGGCCTCCCCAGAGCCCCCGTTCCACCAGCATCAGGGACACCCCTCCCTTGGCCATCTCCCGCCTGGTCAGGCTGCACCTTCTCAGCCCCCTTTCCTGGGTCCTTTCCTGACCTCCTGAGACCTGCGCGCTCAGAGGTCCACCTGGGATCTTGTTCTCTCCACTCAACCTCCAGGCTCTGGGCCTCAAAGCTCATCTCTGAGCCGATGGCTCTCCATCTGGGCTCCAGCTCCGTCCCTTCTCCTGAACTTTGGACTCACAAAGGGCTCCTGGGAGCCTCCACTTAGCTGCCCAATGGACATCTCAGCATTGCCATGTCCCAAGTTGAAATCCCTTCCTGCAGAACCTGCTCCTGGCACTCCGCTCCCGTCCTGGTAAACTCGATGTTCCAGGTGTGCCAGCCTCCCCTGGGTGCCACCCTGGGGAACTCTCTCTCTCAACCACCACATCCAACCCAGCAGCAAATTAGGTTGGCTCTAACTTCCAAATATATCCAGGACAGAATCACTTGCAGGCATTTTGTGCCAAATCCTCACAAAGCTCTTTAGACATTTTCCTAAGTCACAGGTGAGGGTCCTGGTGACTTTCCGTGCCCTGGGGCTGTCAGGGCAGCAGGCCCTGGAGCGGGGCAGAACTGTGCCCTTTCAGCTCCGGCCTGCCTTCCTCATCCAGCTCAGACGGGGGGCAGAGGGAGGAGGGCAATGTCAAGATGGAGTGCCCCAAGCTGGGGCCGCAGAAGCAGGCTCTGTGCAAGTGGGGTGGGGGCGCCCGGAGGACTTGACGCAGAACCCCTCTCTCCTCTGCCTGCACGCCTGGCTCTCCCCTCCTATGGCTGCGTGGTTGTGAGGGGAGTGGGCGGCTGTTTGGACATCAGTCCCCCAGTTTAGCCTTGTTGTCCTGGAGGGATTCTGAGCAAGCATCCCAGGCTAGGAGGGGCCATCCCAGTGAAGCCTTGGGAAGAGTCGCCAGGCTTCTGGGGCCCTCTCCTGGCTCGGTTCATGGGCTGGGTATGTGACAAAGGGATTTTGAAGGCCTCTGTGGGCCCTGCTATGGGCTCTGCCCTCTGAGGTGTTCCTGGTGGTCAATAATCCGGGCCATCACTCGGGGGCTCCGTCTGCAGGGACAGGCTCTGGACATGGAGCCCAGCAGAGCCCGTGGCTGCCCAGGGATGAATCCTGCGACACAGTTATGCCCTCCTCTCCACCGGGTTGCCTCAGACCACAGCAAATGGTCTGGCCCAGGGGTCTGAAGGAGCTGCCGGCTGCCGTGGCATAGAGGGCATCCCCTAGCCTTGCTGTGCCACAGCCAAATCCTCACTGCTGAGTCCATTTACACTACTTCAAGCGCACTAAGCACATGTATTTACTTCCTACTCTCTGCCACTGTCACTGTTAGTGGCAGCCTCGGTTCCCCTTCCCAGTCCCTGCAGGATGATGTGGGGTCAGTGAGCAAGAGACCCACAGCTCACCCGAAACCATGGCGCAGAAACCATGGCAAAACCGGTTTCAGGCTCCACATATGGTGAGGAAAGGAACCTCCTGGAGCTTCTTCCGCAGGGCACCGGGACTGCCTGGGGCTTCGACGTCCACAGGAGCCCCGTCTGCAGAGGACAGAGGTTCTACCCAGGCCCGGTAGGGATGAGCTGGGGCCACCTGCTCACACGTCACCGCTGCCTCTGGGTGCTTGTCTTGTGTCTCCCAAAAGACGCTCTTTTCCAGACAACCTGACTGTAGGATCA
This sequence comes from Homo sapiens, assembly GCF_000001405.40. Lineage (NCBI taxonomy): Eukaryota > Metazoa > Chordata > Mammalia > Primates > Hominidae > Homo > Homo sapiens. The sequence goes on along the minus strand of NC_000006.12, from coordinate 167,757,901 downwards.
GCACCAGCAAAGCCTTCCCCGCTCCACCGTGCTAAATATCACTATGTAACAGGCAAATCCCTGCACACGCACAGTGGGTCTTCCCATACTTACAGGTTTAATTTTATCAGAAGGAGAATGACCTGGAGTCAGATAATGAGCCATATTCCGCCTGGTGTCTGGTCTCACTACTGGCTCTCTAAAATTGATATGGAATGTTTAGAGGGACGTTGGATGCAATACCTAATGATCATTCTCTTAAGAATACACATTTCAGTGGCTCTTTATCATTCCCAGTAAGAGAAATGCAACTGAAACTAAATTGAGATTCTATTTCTCAGGGATGAGATAAGCAAACAACTGAAAGGGGTGAGAATGCATTCTGTTGGAGGTGCTGTGGAAAGCAGGCACTCGTGTGTTGTCGGGAGATATGCAAAATGGCATTCCAGCTAGGGAAGGGAATCTGGTGTTGTCCATACCAGCCCATGTGCAAAATGACATCTGTGCACCACTCACCGTGGTGTGTTTGTAACAGCACAAGGCCGGGAGAGGAGCAGATGTAAATCCATCCAGGGCTGCTTGAATTATATGCAGCTCTAGGGAAAGAATGAGAAAGAGCTCCGTGTATGGATAAGGAAAGATCATCAGAATATGACGTTCAGCAAAAAAAAGCAATATGCTGCACTGTGTGCACGAGGAAGGGGAATAAGAATACGAATGGGCACTGCTTGCATCTTCGTAGACATAGACAGGCGAGCCAGACCCAGTGCACGCGGCACAGCAGGAGGTGTGACAAGGGACCCGCATGCATGGGGGTGGAGTGGGAGTGAGACCTCCTGAACACATCTTTAAATATCATTTAAATATTTGAGCCATGGAAAGTATTATCTGGCTAAACAGAAAGTTAGAGATTAAGTAACAGTTCATGACTAAGGTTCTACCTCTCTCTCCTCTGCCTGCCATGTCTTTTGAAGCCCAGCTCATCCTGAAGCTTCCCATCAGATTGAATCCCTGACCCAGCATCCCCACCATGTAGTTTGTACACTTATTATAGCATCCATGGCATTCAGCCTGGCGTGATAGTTAGTAATTAACCTGCCTGTCTCCCCTAAATTATGCCTTTCGTGGAGGGAAGTTTCTCATACTGCTCATTACAGCTGTTTGCACAGAGTGAGTGACTCCACAGGTATTTGTTGAATGAATGAGTAGTTTAGAGACTCCCAAGAAGGTTCACATCTTCATTAGGTGGTTCTGGAACTTTGTTAGGGACTGGGACTCTCTCTAGGATGAACTGGGGTACCTGAGGATCTCTGGGAGCAAATGACAGTCTCTGGACTGGCCATGGACATCCTCAGGCCTCCTTCAGACCCACGTTCTGCTGGTCCTGGGGGAGCTGTGGATTGGGGGGTGGGGGACTCACTTTACTAGTTAAGTCCCATCCCTGTGTCAGGGGAACGAAAATTCTGATGTCCAGTGCAAAGTCAATGACGTTTTCTGCATTTTACTTTTCCAAATGACACAATGCGTCTACACAATGCTAAATAGATGAAGAATTTCATCAATTAAAAAAAAAACTCAGCTAATGAAAATTAATAATAAGAATAATTAATGAGACATTTGATTTGATCCATGTCTGATCAACTTGACAGATCTCTTTTGCACTCAGAAGCTCTTACTGGGGGAACTTACTGTGTGCAGGCTGAGCCAGGGTATGTGGGTGTTATCACCCCAGGCTGACACAGCCCCTGTCTGCTGAGCAGTGGGGGACCTTGAGGGCTCATCTGAAGGTGGCCGGTGCTAAGACTGATGACTATCTAATGACACCCCTTAGCATCCCAACAGGGCTTCCCTCCCTGAGGCTGAAAGCAGGAAGTAAAGAGCGGACAGGCACTGGGGTCCCCATGTCACCTTTCTGGCCTTAAGGTATCAGGGGTGGCCCGGTAACATCAGGGCCTCTGCTGGGTAAAATTGAAGGGAGCTTTGGAAGCATCCCCTTTTACTCAATGATTCATGAGAATCAGATCATGGAACTGATCTGAGACAGGAAGGGCTTTTCCAGGTCACAGCAGCGAGCCTGTCCTCGGGCCGCAGCAGCCCCTGCAGCTCTGGGGTGCAGACGAAGGCTCACTGTGTCCTCAAATTGCCTCTTTTGAATGATTGTTTTCCATTTAAAACTTACCGGTCAATGAAAATCCATTTCTCCTTGTCTGCTGCGTTACCTTGAACTCGCCCCCACTACCAGGACGAGTCCCACCCGCTTCTGCCTGCGTGCCCCTGGCATTGCACTGACGGATTCCAACACACCTGCAGGCATCCCCGCTCCCAGGCCCCAGTGAGAGAGGTGGAGTGAGAAGCAGCAACAGCAATAACATTATCAATGAACGTTCAATGAGGGCATTCGGTATTAAACGCGCTTCATGTTTGTATTTTCTAAGTGTTACATGCAGTAACTAATTTAATTTTCTCAGCAGCCCTCTGGGGTAGGCTCCACTACAATCCACATTTTACAAGAACATGGAAGCACAAACGGGGTGAGTCCCCTGGCCTGGCGCACACCTCACAGCTACTCCAGCACTCCATGGGCTGGTCCCAAAGAAACAGCTTCATTTACCTGCAGCATTTTTTTTTAAACATTTTCAAAGAGAAAAATACTTCTGAGCTCATACTTGAGTTTTGCTTTAAAGTTGTAGAAAAAAATTAAAAATAAATAAAAAGCCTTAAAGTCATTTTTAAAATTTCAACATTTGGAGCCATGAATACAAAAGTTTGAAGAGTTCATGCTGGGCGTTGTGATGGTTCAAAGGTGTAAACACACTGGAACCTCTCCATGACAAGCTACGCTAAACGCAGCAGGGTTGGACCCTCCCCAAGGGTCTCTATACCTGAAAATACAGAAAAATGAGTTCTAACATGTTTCCTCTTATTCTGCGGGGTGAAGCTGAGTCTACACTGGAAGCCCTGGGTCCTCTGAGGCCTTGCCATCCCAGCATGGCCCCACAGCGGCCTCCCCAGGAGCTGGTTAGAGATGCTGATCCCTGCCCCCTGCCCTGCCCCTGTCCTCCGACTCAGAACTCTCCCTAACGAGATGCCCAGGGGATCGCATGCACGATGACATTTGAGAAGCTCCACTCTAAGATACGGGTCTTAATTTCTGAGATCTTTTCTAAGCTTTAAAGTTTTATGATTCATTCTCTCTTTGAAACTCTGGTTATGATGAAACTACGGCTGACATGGTTAATTGGCCACCATAATTCGTGACAGGGAGGCTTCCCTGGGACTACTGTCCATGCCCAGCCCAGAGCACTAGCCACAGCCACTCAGATTTCTCCTTTGGTTGATTAATTCTTTCCTTTTTTGAGAGACAGGGGACACTACTGATATGGTTTGGCTGTGTCCCCATTCAAATCTCAACTTCAATTGTATCTCCCAGAATTCCCATGTGTTGTGGGAGGGACCCAGGGGGAGGTCATTGAATCACGGGGGCCGGTCTTTTCCATGCTATTCTCATGATAGTGAATAAGTCTCACGAGATCTAATAGTTTTATCTGCTTTTGCTTCTTCCTCATTCTCTCTTGCTGCCACCATGTAAGAAGTGCCTTTTGCCTCCCTCCATGATTCAGAGGCCTCCCCAGTCATGTGGAACTGTAAGTCCAATTAAACCTCTTTTTCTTCCCAGTTTCAGGTATGTCTTTCTCAGCAGTGTGAATACAGACTAATGCAGTAAATTGGTACCAGTAGAGTGGGGTGCTGCTGAAAAGATACACCAAAATGTGGAAGCAATTTTGGAACTGGGTAACAGGCAGATTTTGGAACAGTTTGGAGCGCTCTGAGGAAGACAGGAAAATGTGGGAAAGTTTGGAACTTCCTAGAGACTCGTTGAATGGCTTTGACCAAAAGCCTGATAGCAATATGGACAATAAGGTCCAGGCTGAGGTGGTCTCAGAAGGAGATGAGGAGCTTGTTGGGAACTGGAGTAAAGGTGACTTTGTTATGTTTTAGCAAAGAGACAGGGAGCATTTTGCTTCTGCCCTAGAGATTTGTGGAACTTTGAACTTGAGAGAGATGATTTAGGGTATTGGGTGGAAGAAATTTCTAAGCAGCAAATCATTCAAGCTGTGACCTGGGTGCTGTTAAAAGCATTCCCTTTTAAAAGGGAAGCAGAGCATCAAAGTTCAGAACATCTGCAGCCTGACGATGCAGTAGAAAAGAAAAACCCATCTTCTGGGGAGAAATTCAAGCCGGCTGCAGAAATTTCATAAGTAGCAAGGAGCCTAATGTTAATCCCCAAGACCATGGGGAAAATGTCTCCAGGCCATGTCACAGACCTTCATGGCAGCCCCTCCCATCACAGGTCCAGAGGCCCAGGAGGCAAAAGTGGTTTTGTGGGCCAGGCCCAGGGTCCCTGTGCTGTGTGCAGCCTAGGGACTTGGTGCCCTGTGTTCCAGATGCTCCAGCCATGACTGAAAGGGGCCGACATACAGCTCAGGCTGTGGCTTCAGAGGGTGGAAGCCCCAAGCCTTGGTAGCTTCCACGTGGTGTTGAGCATGAGGGTGCACAGAAGTCAAGAACTGAGGTTTGGGAACCTCCACCTAGATTACAGAAGATGTGTGGAAACACCTGGATGCCCAGGCAAAAGTTTGCTGCAGGGGTGGGGCCCTCATGGAGAACCTCTGCCAGGGCAGTGCAGAAGGGAAATGTGGGGTTGGAGCCCTCACACAGAGTCCTTACTGGGGCACTGGCTAGTGGAGCTATGAGAAGAGGGCCATTGTCCACCAGACCCCAGAATGGTAGATCCACAAACAGCTTGCACTGTGTGCCTGGAAAAGCCACAGACACTCAACGCCAACCCATGAAAGCAGCTGGGATGGAGGCTGTACCCTGAAAAGCCACAGGGGCAGAGCTGCCCAAGACCATGGGAACCTACCTCTTGCATCAGCATGACCTGGATGTGAGACCTGGAGTCAAAGGACATCATTTTGGAGCTTTAAAATTTGACATTCCCGCTGGATTTTGGACTTGCATGGGCCCTGTAACCCCTTTGTTTTGGCCAATTTCTCCCATTTGGAACAGCTGTATTTACCCAATACCTGTACCCCTATTGTATCTAGGAAGGAACTAGCTTGCTTTTGATTTTACAGGCCCATAGGTGGAAGAAACTTCCACCATGCCTTGTCTCAGATGAGACTTTGGACTGTGGACTTTTGGGTTAATGCTGAAATGAGTTAAGACTTTGGGGGAGTGTTGAGAAGGCATGATTGGTTTTGAAATGTGAGGACATAAGATTTGGAGGGGCCAGGGAAAGAATGATAAGATTTGGCTGTGTCCCCATTCAAATCTCAACTTCAATTGTATCTCTCAGAATTCCCACATGTTGTGGGAGCAACTCAGGGGGAGGTAACTGAATCATGGGGGTCGATCGTTTCCATGCTATTCTTGTGATGGTGAGTAAGTCTCATGAGATCTGATGGGTTTATCAGGGGCTTCTGCTTTTATTTCTTCCTCATTCTTTCTTGCTGCCGCCATGTATGGTGTGCCTTTTGTCCTCCACCATGATTCTGAGGCCTTCCCAGCCACGTGGAACTGTGAATCCAATTAAGTCTCTTTTTCTTCCCAGTCTCAGGTGTGTCTTTATCAGCAGCATAACAATGGACTAATACAACTATGTTGCCCAGGCTGGATTCCAACCTGGGCATAACTGATCCTTCAGCCTCAGCCTCCTGAATAGCTGGGACCACAGGTGCATGCCGCTGTGCCTGGCTTGGTTGATACATTCTTGTGATGGGTTTAGATCTTGTTTGTATATACATATTTTTACTATTTAAAGGGGTAGCTTAATTGTTTATTTAGCAATAAAATTTGTGGGGGAGAACTAGAACTAGGAGCTTGCTTTACAATGGCTGAGATGGAGCCCGCATGAAGGCTGGGTCAGGCTGAGATGGACAAGCAGCTGCCTTTGGGCTGCTGTGCCAGCAACATCGTGGCCAGTGGTTTGGCAAAGAAGGCAACATCAAGGCTTGGTCAAGGCAACATCAAGGCTTGGTCAATGCAGCCGGGGCAAGAGTCCAAGCAGTGCTACCCCAACTTGACAGGAGAGGCAGAGAAACTGAAGGATTCCAGCTCATCTGTCTGGACACTCCACAGCCACCAAAGAGCCAGCACCATCTCCCTGGATCTGGGCACCTTCCAACCTTGAGAAGACTCAGGACGGCAGAATGGTGTGCCGTGAGGAAGTTAGGAGGCAGCTAGCCTCGGAGGCCCCTCTGTGGCAGCTGCCCACTTCCTGGACCCAGGCTGGCCACAGGCTCTCCCGGGCCTGCCAGCCTTGCCCAGCATCCTGCAGTCAGAAGGAGGAAGAGGAGAGAAAAGGGATAAGGAGAGAACAAAGCTGTCAACACTCTTTTGGAGGGACTTGAATTAAATGCCCAGAATTCTGGCATGAATGGAGAGGGCTGCTCCCACAATATACCTGTGCCATGCCGTGCATCAACTCTCTGCATCCTGATTTTAGACAGGAGGACTCACCAGTTTGAAGAAATGATGCTATTTCTAGGGCTAAGAGCCCCGAAAGAATCCAGATGGGTCCGTCTGGTGCATTGTAGAGCTGTAATGTAATGTAATGTAGAGTCTCTTATGTAACTTACTCCTGAGGCAACAATCCAGCCTCACTGCTTGCACAGCCCAACAAGCAACAAGCAGACAAACAGGTTAAGCTGCCCTCCCAGTGGGACTGAGAGTCAGATGACCTGAGAGGTGTGAGGTTGTTCCCAAAGCACTTCCTGAAAGGCCAGCAGTAAACAACCTGAGCAGGCTTCCCAGGCTTGGCAGGCAGGGCAGCTCCGTCCCTTCTGTGGCCTTGCTAAGCAGCACAGCCCTGGCCAGCACCAGACTGGCTGCCCGCCCTGGGGAGTGTCTCTGGCCACCAAGAACCTGAGGGCAGAACCGGCAGGGAACTTGCTCTCAACCAGGGGCTCCTCATGCAAACACAACACATTGCCCATTTGTCGGTGAAAAGAGTCGAACTCTGTAAAATATTTGAAGAGATTTATTCTGAGCCAAATATGAGTGATCATGGCCTGTGACGTGTGCCCAAGGTGGTTGGAGCACAGCTTGGTTATACACATTGTAGGGAGATGTGAGACTTCAATCACATACATTTAAGAAATACCTTGGTTCGGTCCAGAAAGTTGGGACAACTTAAGATTTTATCATGCGGATGAAACCTCCCTCCCGGTAGCAGGCTTCAGAGAGAAGAGATGGTCAGTGTTTCTTATCAAACTTCAGGTCTGTACTGATGTTTATGCTGGTCAGCTTTCCTTGAATTCCAAAAGGGAGGTGGGCATGATGAAGCCTGTCCCACCCCCTCTTCCCATCACAGCCTGAACCAGCTTTTCAGTTGAACTCTGGAGTGCCCTTTGCCGGGTTCATTCAGATGGTTGGGAGGGGTGGAGCTTAACATTTTATTTTTTGTTTATGCATTTAAACTTTACAAAAGATGGAAAAATTAGGTTGTTGCAGCAGTGTGGAGTCTAACATTCCTAGAGAAAAGGTGGAAAATTACCAGATTCATGAGGAACGCAAGCAAACATTTTCTGTTTATCGGCTGTGTGCCGTGTCAGGCTCTCATGCCAGTCACACCCGATCTAGCCTCAGAACCAACCCCAGGAGGCAGGCGCACCCTCATTTTCCACAAAAGGCAGCATTCAGGGAGGCCAAGTCATTTTCCTGAGGTTGAGTGGCTTACATATTGCTGAACATTTTGCATTGTTAACAAAAAATTTACTAAGTCTGGGCTGGGCACGGTGGCTCACGCCTGTAATCCCAGCACTTTGGGAGGCCGAGGCGGGCAGATCATCTGAGTCAGGAATTCGAGACCAGCCTAGCCAACATGGCGAAACCCCATCTCTACTAAAAATACAAAAATTAGCCAGGTGTGGTGGTGCACCCCTGTAATCCCAACTACTTGGCAGGCTGAGGCAGGAGAGTTACTTGAGCCCAGGATGTGGAGGTTGCAGTGAGCCAAGATTGCACCATTGCACTCCAGCCTGGGAGAGAGAGCAAAATTCCATCCCAAAGAAAAATAAATGTGTATATATATATATATATATATACACACACACACACTAAAACTGACTTTATAGGTTACCAATATGACATTTCATTTAAATATAGTAAAACATACAGGTTCTGTTGCAGCAGTATGTGTGAGTCTGGAAGCTGCAGCACTGCATGTGGTTGGATAAATGGGGATGGGGATTTTCAGTAGAATATAAAGGAAAGAAAAGGAAACTTTCAATATAAACTTGGAATCCCAAGGTGAGTATAAAATGAAATCATATGGCTGTTTATGTAGTCATTTTTAAAAAAATTGAATTGTAAGTTTTCTTCCTTCAAACTTCTAAGAATATGACAGTGATTTTTAACGAACCTCTGTGTACACAGATGCTCTCTGGCAGCTTCGTTTTTGCTCCTTACAGGAGACTGTTTAGAAGTCTGCTCTGAAATGTTTTTAGAATTAAGAATATGTCTTCTGTATGTTTAAAATGTTCCCTTTGCATAAAACATAAGAAAATGTTTTATAACTGGTTCTTAACCTTTTGGGTTGGCAAAAATCTTTGAAAATCTGAAAAGCTGCAGGCCCTCTCTCCAGAAACATGTACACAAACATGACAGCATCATTGTACATCAACTTGCAGGGGCTTTCCAGGTGCGCCTGGAGCCTGTCCGAGCCCCACGCTGACCCGCCCTGAGCGCGTGGTCCTGGCCTCCTCTGTAATAACTTTCCGCGCGGGTGTACCTTGCTGTGCCCATGGAAGTTGGGTTTACTCCCTGAGCATTTTCTCATCAGCCAAGCCTCGCCTGTGTTTTCAAGTAATCAAATAAACTGAGGGAGTGTTTTTTCCCACTGCCCTGAGAATGATTCATCTTTCCAAGTGGAAGGAAGGCTGTCTTTAGGGTGATTAATGGTGTTTGGGAGCAAAGGGCTGCAGCCGGTTGCTGCGTGACCCTGGCAGGCCAGCTCTGCTCCCTGGGGCCTGGGGAGCTGGTTGCAGCGTGACCCTGGCCAGGCCAGCTCTGCTCCCTGGGGCCTGGGGCTGCGGCGGCACTGACCCCGTGCCTGCTCATCTATGTGGCCAGTGCTTGTAAGTGGGGCCCGACCCGACGGCCTCTGCTCCATGGCTAAGAGCATTGGTTGCAGAGGATGCAACACATGGCTGGTGCAACAACCCACACATGCTTCTCGGCCTTTCAGAGTGTACTCTCTGCAGGGGTCTCAGCATTTCCCATTCCAGAGGGAACCCCAGGCTCCTCGCTTCCCGGGAGAGGCCTGTAGGTCAGAGGGCTCTGAGAGGGAACACCCTGGGGCATCCCCTTCCCGTTGGAGCCCCGGCCCCAGGCTCAGGCTGGGGACTTCAGATCGGGGACCTCAGCGTCTTGGTGGTTTGGGGAGGTCCCCTGCAGTCCTGGCATTGGGGACCTCAGCTTCTTGGTGGTTTGGGGAGGTCCCCTGCAGTCCTGGCATTGGGGACCTCAGCGTCTTGGTGGTTTGGGGAGGTCCCCTACAGCACTGGCACAAGGTCGTTGTCTCCCCCGTGCCTGGAGCTGATGGGCTCCACTCCGTGAGCACAGAATTGGCTCTGGTTCACTTCCTTCTGTGCACCCACGCCTGGCACACCATTGCTACATTTTCATGTTCAGTGAAGTGAGTAAAACCGCATCACCCCAGCCAGGACTGGAAGTCAGGAGTGGGCAGTTGCTGGATGTGTGTGGTGAGTTCAGTTTGGTTCACGGGTGAGACTCGGGGTACAGACGAGAAAGCTGAGCAGAGAAAGAGTTTGGGGTCTGCCCAGTGCCAGGCACCGGGGTCGTGACAAGCACCCATAGGCATAGGGTAGGGTTGTTCTCCACCTGGAGGGAGACAGAGCTTTGCTGGGGAGAGGGAGAGCTTTGCTGGGGAGAGGGAGTCGGGCACCATCTCTTTCATGCATTCCCCTTTCTTCCCAGCACTCACACATGTACACACATGTGCACACAATACACACACATGAACACACACACACCGCCGAGCCGAGTCTGAGCGTAGAAATTAAGTGTGACTGCCTGCCTCCCTTCCCTCCATTCTCCCTTCCCTCCCTCCCTCCCCTTCCTTCTCCCCTCCCTTCCTCTCCTCCTCCCCTCCCCTCTTCCTCTCTCCCCTCCTCCTCCTCCCTTCCTTCCCTCCTTCCTCCCACCCTCCCTCTCTCCCTTCCTTTCTCCCTTCCTTCCCTCTTCAATCCCTCCCCCCCTCCCTTCCACAGCATGGACAGGAGTCAACACAATAACACACAACACAATAAGAAGTGTTTAAAAGTAAGAATTTGTTGTCTCTTTACCGAAACATTGCGTTAATTCAAAAAAAGTATTTTCAAATTGTTTTAGTACAACAATTCACCTATCCAACCGGTAAATAGGCACAAATCGACACTGTTCGAAGTACATTATTTATTTTGTTTAAAAATGCATGGCGTGGCCATCAATAATGGATCCAGCAGGAGGACGTTAATTTACTGCAGCTAATAGCACCTGGCTTAGTGTCTCCCTCCTCCCGGTCCTCCATTCCCTAATCAATATGTTCCCTGAGTCCGTCCAAAGACACGACGCCAGGTCCAGCCCAGGTTGGCCCAAACACCGCAGTCCCTGTGCCTATCCAGCCCATCTGGCAGCAACGGCTCCCCAAGGATTCCATGTACGTTGTGGGCCCAGCTTGTGGCAAATAAGAAACATAAGAGACTTAGCTCTTGAAGACTGGAAGTTTGCAAAGCAATCTCAAAAAGGGATTAAGATCCTTTGTGGATAAACATCTTGTCATGTGTTCTTGGAAGGACTCGAGGAGGAAGCACAGCAGCAGGATTAGGTTGTACAGGATGAGGCAGGAAAAGGAACGTACTTGGAGAGCTGACTCTTTTCTTTCCACCTATTATAGAAGTTTTCAAGGTTCATTTAAAAATTATTGTTCTTCACTAAAAAAGCCCCAGAGCACAAGTCTTATAAAATCCAATTATTAAAATAATCTAAACAACCTGGAGTCTCTTCGAGTCAGGTTAAAACGGCTCTGCCATCTTTCCAGCCTCCCCTGGCTTGTGCCAGTTTTGAGAAAGGAGGTGTGGCACGGCACACACATTGCCACTCTACAGTGGCAGGGTCCGTCTTCGTCTGAGACGCCCGCTCGGGGCGGGGGGAGGTGAGGCCAGGTAGAGACAGAAGCGCCGGGGTGGGACTTGTTCAGCAGAGGCTGCGGCTACGGGTCCCATTTTGAGATTCTTGCCTTTATCACCATCCCATGAGGAGACGCCATTGGTGTTTGGCTTCAGAAAAGCGTAGGGAAACGCAAAGCCATGAGGGATGGCTCTGGTTTGTGTCATTCAAGAGATGCCTGGCTCCATTTCCATGGTTTAGCGGCAGACTTTTAGTACATCCAGACATTTTTATGGTTGAATGTGGAAAAGACAGGGTACATATTTCCCCTGAAAGTAGAGTTGCTCTTTTTTGCTGGTCTGAGCAACTTTGCTTCCCCAAAGCCAAGGGAACATTTTCTTCAGCAGGGGTTGGACGCTGTGTGGGACCGACGCCAGTCTGTCGTGAAGCCCAGCTCTGGCCGGGAGGGCTGAGGATGTGTGGACGATAGTCTGATGGGTATGACCTGCCAGCACCCAGCAAGCATGAGTGTGGAGCCTGGGAGGGCTCTGGGGCTGGACTGCCCAGAGGGAGAGGCAGGAGGGAAGGGCCTGGGCTGCTGGAGCTGCTCCTGCTTCTTGTTTTAAAGCAGAAACCAGCAATTTGGATTTTTAAACGAAATTTCATAATTTAAAATATTGGCAATGCAGTCAACCAGTGGGATGGAATTCCTAGCTTGTGCTTGAGCCCAGTTCCACATCTGACAGACGTGTGTGGAACGGCTTGTCCAGGGTGCCGCAGGCATTTCATGGGGAAGCTGGGACATGAACTCTGAGTTCCAGGTGATCAGTCCCCAAGTCTTCCCACAGTGCCGTTTGACAACCGTCCTCAGAGACAGTTGTGTCCTGGTGGGGGCAGGGTTCTAACTTACACACTCAGTGGCGGAGTTGGGTTATTGTGCTCAATGAACTTGCCACCCCTTGGATTGGACGATGTCTCTTACAGCTGGCCGCCCCTGAAGAAAATGTGTATCCCAGAGGCTTTCGTCCCCACCATCTTCGGAGCGAGGCCAGCCACCAGATGCCCCGGGATTCTTTCAAGATGAAGGGAGGAGCCGATGGAAGACTTCCACCACTGATACTTCAAGCAGAGATAACTACCCCAGCCTCTGATCCAGGCAGTCCGAGGAGATCTTGAAAACATGCCTGGAATTCACTTCAGCATGTCCACGTCTAAGGAGAGAGTCAGCAAGTGCTTCCTCTCCTGAAGCCTGGAGCCAGCTTGGAGCTGCCCACATGGGGAGTGGTTGGCTGGGGAGAGCTCTGGATGGGGGGCTCTGGTCATAGCCTTATCTATGTCACACTGGGTGACGTCCTGTGTATGGGTGGTTTTGGGTCCTTAGCCTTCGGCATTTCTAAAATGAGAAGGCTGGATTGTTCTCGCCCAGATCCAAAGCCTATCATCTCTGGAATCTTGGAGCCCTGGTTTGAAGTCTCAGCTTGCATATTACCCGGGGCAGATTATTTATCCCCTCTGTCCTTCAATTTTCTTATCGGTGAAATAATCCTGTTAGGATTCGTTGAGATAATGTGAGCATTCCTAAGATAAGCTCCCCACCCTCCACAGTGTGTCATCACCTAACACAGCTCTTGCCCCAAAGAAAAACTGACGGCAGAATAATAGCCTGGGATCTAAGGTGGCAGTCAGATGCATAGGGTTTGAAAACTCACAACCACCAGGACATGCTAAGCCTGCCTGGAAACTTTAGTGTTGTACAGTGGAAACCACAGAAGAGTCTGAAGGGTTTGAAGTTTGTGGGTGGGGAATTGGGCAAATCATGTTCCCTCTAAGAATAAACAACAACAGTTCTTCACTTTTTTTTCCTGGGGCTTGGGCAACTTCACAGTTGCAACTGAGGATGTGACGAAAACTGTATAACCTGCCCCGGAAAGAGGCACATATGCTTACACACACTGAATTCTGTATTCAAACCTGCAAGTTTCACGGACTTTAGGACACCCATTCCTGAATACTTAATGGCTTTGGAAGTTTCTCTTCAAGCAAAAGGAGCCTCGGGAACGGGTGGCTACGCAGAGGCTTCCTGGGGAGCATGGTTGGGGCTCACTTGAAAGAGGTGCCACACAGCAGACTCTCCCGAAGATGCGGACTTAGCTGAGGGTGGTTTAGGGAGCCCAGGGAGGTTTTTCTGCCACCTTCCATGTCTCTTTAGAGAGTCACAGATCCTGGTCTTCAGAAGCCCCTGTCAACAGAACAAGTATGGATGGTATCCCTGGGGGATACCAATCACCCAATCACCAACGGCAGCCATCACCGACTGAATACTTCCTGCTGGAGACGGTGCTTCTGTCCAAGTTGAGCCCGGGTGCAGGTTCAAGACCGCCTGAGTCCAACGCTATTGACCACTGTGGCTTCAATAACAGGGATGTTTAAACATTGTTCCAAAATCGTTCTGCCATATGATGCAAAAACCTCCCCGTCCCTACTGCTTGGGGGTCCCCAGCTCTATTTCTCTGAAGTGAAATGGAGCTCAGTGTCCTTGCTTTTTTGGCATGGGTTCTCAGCTTTCAGTCATTTTGCTTTTCTCTACACTTCTGGTGCCAAAATCTGTGTCAGTCAGAGTTCAATGAGAGAAACAGAGCCAGTAGGAAGCACACACTGACTCAGCACAGAGAGCTGGCCTGGGCAACAAGAGGTGAGGTGAGTCCGGCATCTTAGGGCAGACACCAGGCTGAGTAGGCTGAAGCAGCCGTCTGCCAGGAGCTTTTCCTCACCTGAGAGGCCCCTGGTCTCCCCAGAAGGCCTTTTGGCTGAATCAGGACCACCCAGGTTATCTGTTATAATTTTTTTACTTAAAGTCAACTGATTATGGACTTTAATCACATTGGCTTCCTTCACAGCAACACCTGTTGTTTGATAGAATGAATTAATGGGGATGGTAGCCTTGCCAGGTTGACACAGAAAACTAACCATCACAGTCCTCCCCTTGTCAACCTGGCACTCATGCACAGCTCTTTAAACCATACTTAGTTTCCATATAAAGACAACAAGAAGTCATACCTCTGCACCCAGTGGTACAGTTTCGTACAACCGACAATACACCAGCTCTTTCCCCAGAAGAGGACACGAAGTTCTTGGTTGATGTTCACTTTTTTTTGACATTTTGTAACTTAAATACAGTCAAGTAAAGTTTATTATTATTAATTCATCTTATGTTACATTATAAGAAAAAGACGGAAAGGAAGAAAACAAAAATACTGTATTAACATACATGCAAACATATTCATAACAAAATAAGGAAGAAATACGCAGACTCCTTTTATCCTTTAGCTGTAACTGGTCCCAAGGTTGTAGCTGGTATTTGTAACAGCTCTTGTCCTTTACCCAGGCTGTATTTCCTGTACCCTTACTAAGCACCTCAGTTGGTCACGATTCTTTACTAGTTCATCCCCAAAGGGTCTGGGCCATCAAGTAGCCCTATCTGAACTGGGTTGCTGTAGTTTTCCATTAACTTAAGCTTAGGACATGGTGGTACTATGAGATGCCCTAAGGAATTTTCTGTATTTCAGACACACTCTTCTTTCCCTCCATTGTGGAGTAGCAGCTCAATTTCTTCTAGTATTCAGGACTGTCACCCAACTAGTAGAGCCCCTTCTTAGCTTGTTGATTGAGAAGCATCAGGAGCTGAGAGTAGCCAGGCAGTTTTAACTTCCAGTTCAATGGAATCATTGTTGTGTCTGCTGGTGGGAGCCCTCCTCCCCCTGGAATGAGAACTTCTGGTCTGGCAGAGCCTAAGGTCAGAGCTGAGAAGCAAACATTTTGCTTGTGAGTCACTAGGGGTGATAGTGAGTGGAGTCACTCCTACTCCACTCTGTTGGTGTGAAGCAGGAAAGTCCCCCCACTGCCCTTTCTCTTGCTGTGGATGACAATAAGCACATTTGACCTTTATTTTTTCTTAAGGCAGAAAGAGTTAGGGTTAACTAAAAATAATGGACATGTGGACACCCTCAGACCCAAGAAGGCAACAGAAAGAGTTAGGGTTAACTAAAACTAATGGACATGTGGACGTCCTCAAACCCAAGAAGGCAACATAAAGAGTTAGGGTTAACTAAAACTAATGGACATGTGGATGTCCTCAAACCCAAGAAGGCAACATAAAGAGTTAGGGTTAACTAAAACTAATGGACATGTGGACGTCCTCAAACACAAGAAGGCAACATAAAGAGTTAGGGTTAACTAAAACTAATGGACATGTGGGCATCCTCAAACCCAAGAAGGCAACAGGAGCCCTTTGGGTGCCTGCCTTTCCCTACATCTAACTGCGAGGTGACTCTCCTGGGTCTCCCAGCCACACGTGCATATGGTGCTTGGATCTATTCAGTCACATGCTTGTGTCCCAAGTGGATAATTTGCATTTTACCCACTTAATCATAATCTTTCATTCACATAATCACTAACTCATTCATTCACACATTCATTTATTTAACAAATATTAATTAAACCAAACAACATGCCAAGCACTGTTTTAGGTACAGGAGACATCCCTCTGAGCAAGGCACAAAAATAACTCTGCCCTCATAGAGCTCATCATTGGGTCCATTTTAGAGAACATGGTGGGCCAAGTAGCCCCAGGTTTCTGACCCCATGATCTACAGGGAAAGGAAGGAAGAGAGGCCTTTATTCTCACCACCACTTTTACTTTAAAGAAAATGCAGCCAGCAAGAAAGGGCAAACTCCAGCATGGTGGCAATACCATCTTTTTGGAGCTGTATGTTAGCCTCTCTCCTTAAAGAATGTTTCTGACAGGAACTTTAGATCTGATATGCAAGCTTACCAAAACTTATCTCAGCCCCTTAAGAAGCCGAACAATATGTTTTTACTTGAAGTAAAGGAAATAAATTAACAGAATAAAAGAAAGAAACCATACGATCTTATCACAGATGAAGAAAAAGCATTTGGCAAACTTCCTAATAAAAATGTTTGGCAAACTTAGAAGAAAACTTCCTCAAAGTGATAAAGAGAATCTGTAAAGGATCTACCATGAGCCAGGCCCAGTGGTGCCCGCCTGTAATCACAGCTACTTGGGAGGCTGAGGCTGGAGGATTGCTTGAGCCCAGGAGTTCGAGACCAGCTTGGGCAACATAGCAAGACTCCATCTTTAATAATAATAATCATCATAATATTTTAAAAATCTACAATAAGCATTCTACTTAATTGTGAAATAACAATTGTTTTCTCCTGAGACTGGGACCAAGGCTGTTCTCATCACTTCTATTTAACATTATATTAGAGGATCTAGACAGTTAGTAAAAAGGGATAAAGGTTAGAAACATGTTAGAGGATCTAGACAGTTAGTAAAAAGGGATAAAGGTTAGAAGCAAAGTAAAACTGGCATTATTCACAAATCACATTATGGCACATGTAAAAATCCCTACTGAATGTACAAAAAACCTTCTCTAGAATAAATGAATTTAACAACGTCATGGTGCACAAAATAAATAATAAAAATTAATTGTATTTACATACGTTAAGAATAAACAGTTATAAAATAAAATTTAAAAACCACTCTGCCATTTAAAATAGCATCAAAAACATTAAATGCCTGAAAATAAATCTAGTGAAATATATGTAATATCTCAGAAAGCATTGCCGATAGAAATTGAAAAAGATCTAAATAAATGGAATGTAGACTATGTTAATGGATCAGAAGACTCCATATTGTTAAGATGTCAATTTCTCCAAATTGATATAGACTCAATGTAATGTTTTTCAAAATTCTGGAAGGTTTTTTCTGTAGAAATTGACAATATGATTCTAAATGTTATTTGGAGATTCAAAGGACCTAAAATAGTCAAAACATTTTGGAGAAAGAACAAAGTTGGAGCATTAGCCTACCTGAGTTTACAACTTACTATAAAGCTACAATTATTAAGACAGCCGGGTTTGGCAAAAACATGGACATATACATCACTGGAACAAAATAGTCCAGAAATAGACCCATGCATGTAAGGCCAATTTATTTTCAACTAAGGTGCCAAGTCAATTACATAAAGAAAGCGAAGTCTTTTAAAACACATGCTGTTGGGAAAACTAGATATCTGTATGGAAACAGAAAAGAATTTTGAACGCTTTCTCTCTACACATAAATTAATTGACATGGAGCATAGACCTAAACACAAATTTTAGAACCCTAATGCTTCGAGAAGAAAATATAGAAGACAAATCTGTATGACCCTGAGATAAGCTAAGTTTTCTTAGACAAGACATAAACATACTAAATATAAAAGGAAAACACGATACATTGAACTTCATGACAATTAAAATTTTCTGTTCATGGAAAGATAGCATTAAGAAAAGGAGCAGGCAAACCACAGACTGGGAGGAAATACCTGCAGCAGATGCAGCTGACAAGGGACTTGCGTCCAACGTGAAGCACCCTGCAACTCAACAGAACAACATGAACAGCCGGCGGGGAATGAGCAGAAGACCTGACATGGTGCATGAGTAGCAAGCATGAAAACACGCTCAGCATCGAGCTACCGTAGACATGCAAATCAGAGCCATAAGGAAATACCATTTCACACCCATTAGTAGGACTGAAGTATTGTGGGGAGTATACAGTGAGACAGCTGCTTTGGGGAACTGTTTGTGGTTTCTACTCAAACACATCTTCCCTATGACCTGGCAATTCCCTTCTGGGTACTCACTTCCTCAGGAGGAATGAACATATACCTCCCTGGAAAAACTCGTTCAGGAACGTGCAAAGCAGTCCAGACCGGGAACCGTCCACACGTCAAATCACGGGATGTGGACAACAAATTGGGGAGCAGCCACACCATGGCGGGCTACCCAGTAGCGAGGGGATGGATGCTGATCCAGGCAACGGGGTGGACGCACCTCGAAACATGACGGTAGGCAAAAGACGTCCGAGGCAAAAGATGGTACACTGTGTGACTCCATTAGTGGGAAGTCCAAGAACAGGCAAATGAAGCCATAAGGATAGAAATCGGGGCATTTGATCAGAAAGGCCCAAGGGAACTTTCTGGCTTGGTGGAAAGTGTGTTTTATGCCTTTCCTTGTGTGGTGTGACATGGGCCTGGGCAAGCGTGAGAACACATTGAGCTGAACATATATGATCTCCATGTTTCCTTTTACATCAATTATATATTGATTAAAAAAAGAAAAAAAAAAGGAACACATGAGTGTTTTGCTCTTTTTGTCATCTTTGGGTTCAACTCCAGACGACTTTTCCTTATGTGGCCTGGAAACCACAATCTCCCAGTGAAGGAAAGACCTCTCTGGGCCAGGCCCTCATGAACTCTCAGCTTTGTTCCCTCTGGCCCTGAGCTAGTGCTTTTGAATCAAAGTTTCTCCAAACGTTAATTGAGGTAAGACTTTCTTTGCATATTTTGTTAGTATATTTAGAGGATGAGCTTTGAATACATATATTTATTCAAAAACACATATTGGGCTGAGCCCTGCAGATACCAAGATATGAAGACCTGACTCATACCCCGAAGGAGCCATGCGGTGCTGGGCCTGACAGGGAAGTCGGCTCACTCTGTCTCTCACGTGATATGGTCATTGTCCTAATTTTTATATGGTGCAAATTCATTGTAGAAAAAAAATTTCAATGCACAAAAGCACAAGAAGAAAACTACAGGTGCCCATGACCCCAGAGACAGCTCCCACCGTCATCGCAGGTATTCCCGGCTGTTTCACTCCACCCAAATTGTGACTGCCATGTACATACTATGTCCATGCTTTTCCACTCAACATATACTGAAAAAACTTCTCCACACGATTCAATGCATGACGTTCTGTCATAGGAAGACACTATAATTTATTAAGCTAAATCTGTGCTGATGAAAATTTGTTTGCAGCATCTGTAAAATTGTGTTTGCGTGTGCATGCACACGTTTCTCTGGCAAGAGGAGGCAGAGGCCCCAT
This sequence comes from Homo sapiens, assembly GCF_000001405.40. Taxonomy (NCBI): domain Eukaryota; kingdom Metazoa; phylum Chordata; class Mammalia; order Primates; family Hominidae; genus Homo; species Homo sapiens. The sequence goes on along the minus strand of NC_000006.12, from coordinate 167,738,803 downwards.
TGTGTTGCTTTGTTTGCAATTCCTCTCACAAGTGCATGCTTTTCACACACTTTAAAGCGCCTCTTAAGGAATGAGACACTGATTTCTTCCCTTCGTGTGCCACCCCATGGTGCTAGCACATGCTGGGTGGGGGTGCTCTTCAGGGTGCCCTGGGAGGAATGGGCCGGGTGGGCTCTGAGAGCCTTCACAGCACAGGCGTTGGGTGGGAGAGCGCTGGGCAGAGGCGCCAGCAGGACCCGGCTGCCAAATGCGAGAGGCAGCCCAGTGCTGGGCACACGTGGGCCGTTGTCAGGCGGCAATACACCCTCCGGGTCGGTGATTCCCTTGGGCAGGAAAATGCATTTTGAAAAATCTATCCAACAATTATACTTTTCTATCTAGAAACATAAGCAACTCTTGGTTTAATAATAAAAACTAGAGTGCATACATCTCAACAAATCTTCCGTGCTGGTGAGGTAAGAGAAGAGGATGGCCCACCGGACCAAAAGGGCTGTCATGATGGGGAGGAAGAGGCTGATGATGAGAAGCATCGTCGAGGACCTGTTCCTGGGAAACCTCTCCTGGTCATTATCCACACCTGCTGGAAGAAGAAGATAAGGTATGTCTGCTAGCCAGTCAGAGGCGACGTTCTCTTTCGCTTGCTTGGTAAATATTTATGGGATGTCTATCTCCTTCTCAGCATAGGTCTGGGTTCTGGATACACAGATGAACACTGCCTGGTCCTTATTCTGGAGGAATTTCTAGTCCCATAGGGAAGATGAGCACACAAGCCTACTGACGAGAAATGTTCTAGAGCCCAGAAGAAGGGGCAGTTCATGCAGCCCCCAGAGAAAATGATAGACACGTGGACACAAGAAAAAAGAAAACAAGCCAGCCTGGCAAATGAAGGGGGCAGCAGGCAGGGCCGGGAGGGCCCAGAGCTCCAGGAGCATGGAGTGGAGGGTGACAGACGAGGAGGCGAGATGGAGCCCAGGTGACTTCCAGCTCCTCCCACTGCAGGGTTTGTTTTGGGGCCAGCTCACAGCACAACCTGTGGAGGACGGACTACGGGGGGAGCCTGGCGGGGTGCACTGGGAGAGGGAGGACGCAGCCCTCATAAGGCCCTGACACTTGGGGACGTGGGGCTGCGTGGAGATGCAGGGTGGCTCTCATCCCGGACTGGGCACCTGCTTGACTAGGGGTGCTGGGCAGACTCTGCAGCCTGCCGGGGCTCCGCACTGGGGCTGATGGTGAAAGCTCAACTTTAGCATTAGCAGTCCAAGGCTGAAGCTTGAGATGGAAGCTCTGTCTGAGTGGGCTCTGTCCCTGTTGCCTGGCATGCAGCGTGCGCCGGTGGCAGCAGGTGCAGTGTTGGGAATGCTGCAGGATGGAAGGGTCTCCACCGCTGTCCCCTGCAGTGGCCAGGCTTGGGAGAAGGTGCAGCAGCCACGCTCCGAGCCACCCTGGGTCTCTGCTGCAGCCCCCACTGTCCCAGCAGCTCATCGTTACTCAGCCCAGGCCAGGCGGCGCCCTGGCCCTGCAACCCCACGGTGGGCCCGTGGGCCATGCCCCTCGCACTCCGTCAGCCTCTCTGAATGGGGGTCACGAAGCAGCCACATCACACAAAGTCCGCTAGTCCTCTGGCTATGCGGGCAGCAGAACTGGGTGTGCTGGGCTGGGTCGCAGCATCAGATCCCAGCCCAGCAGGCAGAGGGCAAGGCCCAGGCAGGTGCTGGCACCAGACCAAGAGCGGGGCACCCTCAGAACACGGTCGGCACTGTCCATTCCCTGGAGTCGGGGTGCACATGGCAGTCAGGAGGGAGCAGCCTCCCCACCTGCTTCCCGGGAGACTGTGACCTAATTCTTATTTCCAGCCACCTCGCTTGGTGCTTGGCACACCTGGGACCAGCTCCACTTCCACTCAAGAGAGATTTCTGGCTCAGCTTCAGTAGAGGGATTCCAGAGAACTCTAGAAGATGCCGTGACAGGGAAGGAAGGCACAGGCTGTGGAATCAGTCTGGGTTCTGCCCTGATCTCATGCGAGAAGGAGCTGAGTTTGCCTTGGCAGTCATCTGGTTTCTTAGATTCTTAGTGGTTTAATCTCAAAAGAGCTGCAATAGCAGTGTTTGCCTCGGTCAGTGTGAAGCTGCAAGGGAGCGTACACCCGCCCCAGGCCGCATCTGGAGCACTGTGGGTGCTGGCAGCTATCACCCTCCATTTCCTCTCTTTTGCTGAATAGAAAGTGGCTTCACCTGGAGACCATGGCGTCCACTTGACGAGTCCACGTTGCTGTCATCTTTTATTGGAAGTGTAAGTGATATCCACACATTTGTATTTTTTTGGCATTGCAAAAGCTTTAAAAAGTCATTTTCCTCAGGAGGAATATCCTGGTGAAGGTTTTTTTTTTCTTCCTTTTTGCCATCAATAAGCTCTTCTAGAAATGCCTGTTCTTTGGCTGGAAAAGGTTAAGATTCAGGTCATTCTACAAAACCCACCAAGCAGCCATGGGAAATACGAAATGGATCTTCAAATTACAGACCCTACTGAAGGGGGTAAGGAGTAGAAGGCTGAAAGAAAGACTGTTCGTTCACTTTCAAGCATGCATCTTCCACTGCTGTGAGACGCCGATGCCCAAGTGTAAGTGGTGACTGGCACACATGACAGCCACCAGCTTCTATTCTCTGGAGCCAACAAAGGCCCATTCCAGGTGTTGCCCTATTCCAGGATTCCGGCCGGCAGGGCAGCTTCCAGTGACACCTGTTTTCCTGTGATTCTAACAGCACATTCAGTGCAAGGCACTTTATTATGAGTGGAATCTTTCAGGCAAGGATAATATGTTTCCAGAGTGTCTTAGGGACTAGAAACGGAGTTAAGGAATATGAATAATATCCACGAGAAAGACTGAGGAGAGAAAAGTAAACAAAAACACATAAGAAAGCAGACACGAAGCCAGGTGGGGGTGCAGGCCTCTCTAGCTGGGGAAGGAGCTCACTTTGTCCATGGGGTTGACGGAGAGGGGGTGGCCTCAGGGTTGCAGGGTCTCTTGAGCAGCTGGAGCTGGACAAATAGAGGGAGCAGAGTTCAGCAGGGGAGGTCAGTGGCAGAGGTCAGTGGTAGAGGCCAGCGGGGGAGATCAATGGCAGAGGTCAGTGGGGGAGGTCAGCGGGGGAGGTCAGCAGCAGAGGTCAGCGGCAGAGGTCAGTGGCAGAAGTCAGCAGCAGAGGTCAGCAGGGGAGGTCAGCAGCAGAGGTCAGTGGCAGAGGTCAGTGGGGGAGGTCAGTGGGGAAGGTCAGCGGGGGAGGGCAGCAGCAGAGGTCAGCAGCAGAGGTCAGTGGGGGAGGTCAGCGGGGGAGGTCAGCGGGGGAGGGCAGCGGCAGAGGTCAGCGGCAGAGGCCAGTGGGGGAGGTCAGCAGTGGAGTTCAGTGGCAGAGGTCAGTGGCGGAGGTCAGCGGGGGAGGTCAGCGGGGGATGTCAGCTGCGGAGGTCAGTGGCGGAGGTCAGAGGGGGAGGTCAGTGGGGGACGTCAGCGGCAGAGGTCAGCGGGGGAGGTCTGCGGTGGAGGTCAGCAGGGAAGGTCAATGGCGGAGGTCAGAGGGGGAGGTCAGCGGCAGAGGTCGGCGGAAGGTCAGCGGGGGAGGTCAGCGGTGGAGGTCAGCGGCAGAGGTCAGAGGGGGAGGTCAGTGGCAGAGGTCAGCAGGGGAAGTCAGCGGCGGAGGTCAGTGGGGGAGGTCGGTGGGGGAAGCCCTGGGGTTTCAAAGTGCTCTGTGATGACCCCTTTGGAACTGGAGACAGAGGAAGGAACTGGTGGTCAAGGACGGGCTGGGGGCCATGCCCATTCCATCCTCCTTTTGACCCTCCTCGCTCTGTTGCAACCCTGGGAAAGTCGTGGAAGCTCTCTGGGCTCCACTTTCCTCATCTGTGAAATGGGGACACATCCTATTTGCCAGCTTGGTGAGGGTGTGTATCTGACAGAGGACCCTGGAGATGTCCTGGGACCAGGGTGTCACTTCCTCGCCCCAAACCAGGAGGATCTTCGTCCTGCCCATTCTGTGGGGTCCGGGGTGGCAGGTGTCTGGGTGAGGATTTGTAGGTCAGCACCCACAGCATCACACTGAAGGGGGCTTGGCTGTTGCTGAGTGTGAACAGGGGGATTTTCTGAGTTTTATTCCTACAGTGGCCCCTTGTGCCCTACTGAGGAGTCAGGTGTCCCATCCCAACATCCAAAGGACACTTACAAGCTCAGGCCCCAGGAGAGGCGCCTGCAATCTTTGCGCAGCTGCACCCTGAGTGCTGGGGCTCCACCCAGACCACAGTGAGGTCTCGGGCACCCTGGTCACGCCCTTGGCATTGACTTTGTGCAGTCATGTGGGACCCAGAGCCACAGCTGTGCCGCAAAGCGGAGGCAGGAGAGGAGGCAGCCTCCACATTCCATGGTGGACTGGGGAGTGCCTTTGAAAATGCTGTTATTAAACCCAATCGCCAAGGGACATTTTGAGTTCAGGGCACCCTCCCGGGGCACGGAGAGGTCTGGCTCTGTTGTGGCTGGTGGGAATGGCTGAGTCTGGACTTAAATAGCCCTTTACCCCCCAGGGTAATGGCACGTTACTGTCAGGAAGTTGCACAATGTAAAATCTCAGTCCAAGTACACAGTTGAGTTCAAAAAGATTGAAAACAGAAGGCTGAATGCCAGCCTCTCAGGGATGAATTTAGGCCATTGTTTAGAATGTTTGGTCAGAAAACCCACGCTTGTCCAAACACTGAGAGACGGGGTGGGGAATCCACGGAGGGAATTCAGGGACAGGAGTATCCAAGGACTTCAGGGCACTTTGTGAATCAATACTTACTTCACACTCCTTTTGAAAAAATGTCCTATTTTACAGCAAGAGGATGCAACACTGGTGCTGGATTTGGGTCAAATGCTCTGGGAGGCCTCTTGTGCTTACACGTACATTTCCAGCTCAGTTCTCAGTAAAACTGAAGTTTCTGCCAAGGAAAATGTCCCGTGAACCACCAATGCCTATGGACGGTTTTCACACTGGAGCTTCCTAACCAGCTGACCTCTTAAGAGAGGGCTGTTACAACAGGTGACACAGGAAACTCAGGTGAGGGTGTGGAGAGACAGGAACTCAGGTGAGAGGTGGAGAGACAGGAACTCAGGTGAGAGATGATGGAGAGACAGGAATTCAGGTGAGAGTTGGAGAGACAGGAACTCAGGTGAGAGTTGGAGAGACAGGAACTCAGGCGAGAGGTGGAGAGACAGGAACTCAGGTGAGAGATGGTGGAAAGACAGGAACTCAGGCGAGAGGTGGAGAGACAGGAACTCAGGTGAGAGTTGGAGAGACAGGAACTCAGGCGAGAGGTGGAGAGACAGGAACTCAGGTGAGAGATGGTGGAAAGACAGGAACTCAGGCGAGAGGTGGAGAGACAGGAACTCAGGCGAGAGGTGGAGAGACAGGAACTCAGGTGAGAGATGATGGAGAGACAGGAATTCAGGTGAGAGTTGGAGAGACAGGAACTCAGGCGAGAGGTGGAGAGACAGGAACTCAAGTGAGAGATGGTGGAGAGATAGGAACTCAGGCGAGAGGTGGAGAGACAGGAACTCAAGTGAGAGATGGTGGAGAGACAGGAACTCAGGCGAGAGGTGGAGAGACAGGAACTCAGGTGAGAGATGGTGGAGAGACAGGAACTCAGGCGAGAGGTGGAGAGACAGGAACTCAGGTGAGAGATGGTGGAGAGATAGGAACTCAGGCGAGAGGTGGAGAGACAGGAACTCAGGTGAGAGATGGTGGAGAGACAGGAACTCAGGCGAGAGGTGGAGAGACAGGAACTCAGGTGAGAGATGGTGGAGAGACAGGAACTCAGGCGAGAGGTGGAGAGACAGGAACTCAGGTGAGAGATGGTGGAGAGACAGGAACTCAGGCGAGAGGTGGAGAGACAGGAACTCAGGTGAGAGATGGTGGAGAGACAGGAACTCAGGCGAGAGGTGGAGAGACAGGAACTCAGGCGAGAGGTGGAGAGACAGGAACTCAGGTGAGAGGTGGTAGAGATCATTCCCTACAGTGGCTATGGGAATAAAGACAAGTTAATGCATTTAAATAGTGAAGATGCAGAAGTGATAAAACTTGACCACTGATCGGGTTGGATGGTGAAGGAGAAGGTGAGTTAGGGATGTCCTCTGCTTCTAGCAACAAAACGGTTTAGGACAACACACCTGGCACAGGCGGAAGGTACTTGGGGTCATGGATGATGATGGGTTCGGTTTTGACCTGGTGGAATCTGCAGCATCATGGGCTGCTTGAGAGGATGGTTAGGTAGCAAGAGTGCGTGTGAGGCTGAAGCTCCTTGCAGGGATGGGGCCGAGTGTTACTGACTTGAGACTCAGCAGCCCTTAGAAGGAAGTTCAAGAGGGGCGAGAGGAGACCAGGCAGGGAGGAAGCAGGAGGCAGGGATAGAAGTTAGCCCTGGACCAACTCCCAGAGTGAGGTACGGGAAGAGGCGGGTGCTCTTGGAGGAGGCTGTGATACAGTGGGGACAATGGGCCAGTGAGGTCAGGGGGACAGCAAGCCACAGAGCGGGAGGTGGGGGGAGTCCCCCTGCTGACTCGGCAGCCCCAGAGCTGCCCGCAGAGCTGCGGGATCGAGGCCGCCATGGCCGGCTTCATCTGGCTACGGCGAGTCCGCTGGTGTGTTCCGCGATCTGAGCCTGTGCCGCTAAAGGACTCATTGAATTAGTTTAGAAAGGCTGATGAAGAAAAGCTGTGAATGCAAATTATCCATTGATTAAACATAGTTCACTGGGTAACAGAGCCCGTGGGGTGAGGAGGGGGTCAAATAACCAAGTGCCCCCTGGGAGAGGCGGCAATCTTGGGCACAGAGGGCCGGGCTTGGTGCAGGTGCCAGCTCTGCTTCTGGCTGCTGCACAAGGAGCAGTGTTAGTCAGCGTGGGCACAAGACACAGCAGCCAACTCCAACTAGCTCAAGAAGGGAAGACTTTAGTGGCTTGTGCAACTGAATGCCAGGAGGAGAATTGTGGTTGCAGGCCCATTGTGTCCGTGTGTTAGGGGTGGAAGGTGTCCGAGTTACTGGCAGCGAATCCGCACGGGTCCGCAGCAACCTCAATTCTTGCCTCCTTAGAAGAAATAATTCGAAGGAGGGGCATAAGGCAGAAAAAGACCGAGGCAAGTTTCAGAGCAGGAGTGGAAGTTTATTACAAAGCCTTAGAGCAGGAAAGAAAGTACATTCGGAAGAGATCCAAGCAGGTACCGTGAAGGTCAAGGGCGGTGTTTAACCTTGGTCCCTAGGATTTTATACGCTGGTCCACCTCCGGCGTTCTGAGCCCCTTTCCCGTGACTCTTCCCTGAGGGTGGGCTGCCCGCCTGCGCAGAACCCTCCTCACGCTTGGGAAGTGAGCGTGCGCAGTGGGCTAGAAGTGGGACGCATGCCCATCCGAGGCCTTCTTCCCTCTTCCGGTGAGTGTCCCGGGAAGGTCAGACTCCGCCATGTTGTCTCTTTGCTCACACCCAGGCTCACTTGCCCACTACCTGCGAGTTTATTGGAAGCCCTTTTTATCTGTTTGGAAAGTTGCTTCTTCCCGGTGCCTGCATTCAATTGACACTTTCGTGTGACAGCTGCAGACCTTCAGGAGATTGTCTCTGCCTAGCTTCAGCTGCATTTATCTTATCTTTTCTTTTTTTTTTGAGACCCAGTCTGGGTCTGTCGCCCAGGCTGGAGTGCAGTAGTGCTATCTCGGCTCACTGCAAGCTCCGCCTCTGGGGTTCACGCCATTTTCCTGCCTCAGCCTCCCGAGTAGCTGGGACTACAGACGCCCGCCACCACGCCCAGATAATTTTTTGTATTTTTAGTAGAGAGGGGGTTTCACCATGTTAGCCAGGATGGTCTCGATCTCCTGACCTTGTGATGTGCCCGCCTGGGCCTCCCAAAGTGCTGGGATTGCAGGCGTGAGCCACCGCACCCGGCCGGTAACGGTGAACCATCACCCTACGGTCGCCTGACATTGCTGGCAGGTGGGGGAGAGCCCTCTCCTGCCCTGCTCATGTCTGATCCCTGTAACGTGGGCTCAGACAAGGAGATCACGGGGTCTGTCTCTCGCCATCTTCTTGCCTCTACACTGACTTTGCTCTCAGCAGCCTTGCTGCGCGTTGGGGAGAGACCACCATCCAGGGCACAGCCTTGCAGGGCCCCACGCTCTTCACACCAGAAAGAAGAGGAAACTCTCTCCAAATGAGTCTTACTTGGATCTTGCTTGCGATATCCTCAGTGGCGGAAGCGGAGCCACAAACCTGTGTGGTGACGGCTCCGCATAGCATTGTAGGGGCTCCGCAAAAGGAATGATGAACAGGCACACTTTAGACACCGAATCTAATGTCCCTCAACCTCAATTCCCCAATCTGCAAAACGCACAGGGTATCTAATATTATCAGACTAAGTGCATATTAATTGAGATGCTGCATGCACAGTTCTCTCCTGGTGGCCTGCACAAAATAGGCCTTCAACAAATAACAGGTTTTTTAAAAGACTATTTTCTTTTTTTGACATGGAGTCTTGCTCTGTCACACAGGTTGGAGTGCAGTGGCACAGTCTCGGCTCACTGCAACCTCTACTTCCCAGGTTCAAGCAATTGTCCTGTCTCAGCCTCCTGGGTAGCTGGAATTATAGGCACGTGCCACCACACCCGGCTAATTTTTGTATTTTTAGTAGAGACAAGGTTTCACCATGTTGGCCAGGCTGGTCTCGAATGCCTGACCTCAGGTCATCCACCCGCCTCAGCCTCCCAAAATGCTGGGATTAGAGGCGTGAGCCACTGCGCCCGGCCAAGACTTTTTTTTTTAAGGAAAGGTTTTAGGTTCGCAGCAAAATTGAGCAGAAGGTGCAAATAATTCCCATCCACCTCCTGCCCTCACACAGGCACAGCCTCCCCGGCTATCCACATCCCCAACCAGAGGGTTACGTTTGGTACAGTCAATGAGCCTCCATTGACACATCATTCTCACCCAAGTCCCTAGTTTACATTAGGGCTCATTCTTGGTGTTTGTACATTCTATGGGTTTGGATGAGTAGATAATGGCAGGTATCTATCTTTTTAGTATTATACAGGGTGTTTTCACCACCCTAAAAATCGTCTGTGCTTTGCCGATTCATTCCTTCCCCTGAAAGCCCTGGCAACCACTTTTGACTGTCTTCATAGTTTTGCCTTTTCCAGAATGTCATACAATTGGAATCATGCAGTTTGTAGTCTTTGGGGATTGGCTTATTTCCCTTAGGAATATGCATGTAAGTTTCCTTCATGTCTCTTCATGAACTGTTAGCTCATTTCTTTTTAGTGCTGAAAAATATTTTATGGTCTGCATGAATTCCAGTTTGTAGTCTTTGGGGATTGGCTTATTTCCCTTAGGAATATGCATGTAAGTTTCCTTCATGTCTCTTCATGAACTGATAGCTCATTTCTTTTTAGTGCTGAAAAATATTTTATGGTCTGCATGTATTCCAGTTTGTTTATTCACCCATTGAAGGACATCTTGGTTACTTCTAATTTTAGGCAATTATGTACAAAGCCAGTATAAACATCCCTGTGCAGGTTTTTGTGTGGACATCAGTTTTCAACTCTTTCGGTGAATACGAAGGAGTGGGACTGCTGAATTGCATGGGAAGCGTACATTTCATTTTGTAAGAAACTCACGAGACTGCAATGAAAGGATTCCTTTCACTCTACATCCGTGTGTTGTCAGCGTTTTGGATTTGGGCTGCTTTAGAACATGTGTAAAGTGTGTCGCTGTTGAGATTTGCATTTCCCTGATGACACGTGAGGTTGAACATCTTTTCATTTGCTTATTAGCCATCTGTATATCTCCTCTAGCGAGGTACTTGTTAAGGTCTTTGGCCCATTTTTTAATCGAGGTGTTTATTTTCTTATTGTTGAGTTTTAAACGTTTTTGTACATTTTGGATAACAGTCCTTTATTAAATATGTCTCTGCAATTATTATTTTTTTCAGCCTCTGGCTTACCTTTTCATTTTCTTCACAGTGTCTTTTGCAGACCAGAAGTTTTTGAATCACGTCCAGTTTATCAATTATTTCTTTCATAAATCATGGATTTGATGTATCTAAAAGTCATTGCCAAACCCAAGGTCATCTAGGTTTTCTTCTATGTTACCTTCTAGGAGTTGTGTAGTTTTTTGCATTTTACAGTTATGTCTATGATCCACTTTGAGTTAATGTTTGTGAATGGTGTGAGATCTGTGTTTAGATTCATTCGTTGAAGGATGTTCAGTTGTTCCAGCATTGTTTACTGAAAAGATTAGCTTTGCTTCATTTTATTGCCTTTGTTCTTTTGTCAAAGACCAGTTGGCTGTATTTGTGTGGATATATTTTCAGACTCTATTCTGTCCCATTGATCTATTTGTCTCTCTCATATATATATATATATATATATATATATATATATATATATATAGCCAATACCAGAGTGTTCTTAGAGTAAGATGTAGCTTTAGAGTAAGTCTTGAAGTCAGGTAGTGTCTGTCCTCCAAGTTTGTTCTTCTCCTTCAATATTGTGTTGGCTAGTCTGGGTCTTTTGCCGCTTTTTATAACCTTTAGAATCAGTTCGTCAATATCCCCAAAATAACTTGCTGGGATTTTGATTGGGGTTGCATTAAATCTACAGATCAAGTTGGGAAGAATCTTGATAGCTTGACCATATTGAGTCTTTCTATCCAGGGACATGAAATATTTTCCTTCTTATTTAGTTTTTCTTTGATTCCTTTCATCAGAGTTTTGCGGTTTTCCTCATATAGATCTTTTGCATATTTTGTTAGATTTATTCTTAAGGTATTTCTTTTTTTTCAAGTGCTCTAATATCAATGGCATTATGTTTTTAATTTCAGATCCCCCTTGTTCATTGCTGTTATGTAGGAAAATGATTGACTTTTGGATATTATCTTGCAGTCTGCCACTTTGCTATTAATGTAATTGCTTGTTAGTTTCAGGTGTGTTTTCTGTGGTCATTTCTCTCAGATTTTCTACATAGACAATTACATCATCTGTAAACAAAGACAACTTTATTTCTTTCTTCCCATCTATATACCTTATATTTTATTTATTTGTTTATTGCATTAGCTGGGACTTTTAGTATGATGTTGCAAAGGAGTCTGGAGAGGCGACACCGTGCCTCGTTCCTGGTCTTAGTGGGAAAAGTTTTGAGTTTCTCACCAGTAAGTGTGATGTTAGCTGTAGGGTTTGTGTAGATATTCTTTATCAAGTTGAGGGAAGTTCTCATCTATCTCAGTTATCATTTTTAATAGCTGAATAAAAGGTATTACATCGAGTTCATGTTCAAAGCTGGTTAAGGCACCATCACCGTGAGGTTTCCATGCATTGCGCAGTCCAGAGTCCATGGTTATGGCCCTTCAGTTTCAGATGAAGAACAAAACCAGAGAAAGGCCCCAGAGCCACCCTGGAGTGTGGGGTGGAAAACACCAAGAGGCCTGTTTTTCCAGACCTTCTTTGAAGAGCTTCATCTTCAGGTACCAATGCAGTGGGGGTGGGTGTCAGAGGAAGGATGACTAAGTTGGGGCGCCCTCATGGCAGGGACAGCTTGGGATTGGGGACAACGCTCCTGTGTTGGCCTTCTGCATCTGGTTTAATTCTGTCCTGAGAGACATCAGCTCTGTTAGCTCCTGCCATGTCTCCAGAACCTCAGAGCTATGGATAAGTGAATGAACTTTACTACCTGATTTATGAGAAACACTTTGTGAGTGTTTTCCATTTCTTTTCTTCTTTAAAAAGGACAGCAAGAAAGAGACAAAAAAGGGAAGAAAGAGGACCTATTTCTGTCTCCTTATCTCCCTCCCACAGCCTCCTCTGCCTCCTGCCACTGTCCCTTCCCCAGTATTCCGGTGGCCCCTGGGGTCTGGCTTGCTGGTGCCACAGCTGGGAAAGATGCTGAGATTTCAGAATGTCTAGGTCTTAGTATCACATCGCAACTCTATTTCAGCATTTTCAGTGTTGATTTATAGTCAATCCTACTTAAAGAATATGTTCTAGAAATTACTTTAAGAGATTATCTAAACACGAAAACTTAGCCACCCTAGCAAGGACGTGTCCTCAGCTGAACTCTTGGTCAGCCTTAAATTATGTTTGATAATAATAATATCAAAAACCGGGTCAATAACACTGTCTTGTTACAATTGGAAAGGTGTCGTTCTCTCAAATTGTCATTTCCAAAGCAGGACTTATTTTCTTCTCTTGAACTCAAGGTAAATTCTAGCTGAGTGAACAGCTGAGAAGCCTGAACTCCTTTGTTAGTATTTTCAGATGAGGGCCTCTAATTGTCAGGCAGGAGTGCTGGATTCATGAAACTGGCTTAGGGCTGCTTTGGGCTTTTCACTAGCATATTTGCAAATGAGAAGAGAATTGGCAAGTGAAGATCCAATTTGCTCTGCCAATCACCCTCCATTTTCTCTTTGTATTTCCTATCGAGACAGACAGATTTTAAATGGCTGAGCAACCTTCCGCGCTGGCTCAGGAACCTACAGTGTCAGTACGGAACAGGTCCTTTCAAACGGATTGGAAGAGGAACGTCAAACAGCATCTCAGAGGGCTCTTGGCATTGCGACCCAGGGGCTGCATTTCCATGTTATCTTGCAGACTTGTACAGTTCCCAAGCAGTGGCATGGAATGAGAATGTGGTCTTAGGGCTCTAATTCTCTATCAGGGCACTCCTACCTGGAGACCAGCTGAACACAGAGCAAAGTACAATTTACCAAGATAGAGAAAATTTGATGCTGGTGAGCATTTCAATCTGAAGCAGAGCTGGGCTACATTGACCAGCACGTGAAAGAGGGTGGGGAAGGGCAGCTCTGCCATGAGCATGAACCCACCAAATGGCCCAAAGTCCTGAGTCTCCTTTGTAGGACCACAGGCAATTCATGCAGCCTCTCTCTCTGTTTTCCCACCTGTGAACCTGAGGACTGTGATGATGCCCTGTTTGCGGAAAATCAAGATCAGAAACCTGAAAACACTTTGCGGGAGTCACACTCTCTACGCAAAGTATATATACATTAAAGGTAAAACCATATGATGAAATATTTTTCTATTGTGCTGTTGCTGAAGGTTGGTGAAACCAAAGACAAGGCACACTTAAGTTGCCAGAATAGTCAAGAAAAAGAACTGAGGTGAAAAATTGGCCCTATCAGATATCAAGACACAGTGAGAAGTGATTGGAATCTGTGTGATACAGGTTCAAAAAATCATTTTCATTGTTTAAAGTCAAGAGTCCGGACTCATTCAAATTAGTAAGGGGAATTATGGGTTATTTAATAAATGCTGTCAGGACAATCATTTATGTGTTTGGGAAGAAGAGATCCCAATTCACGGTATTGACAAAAATAATTTTCAGATAACTGAATGTTGTATCAAAAATTCTAAAACTTACACATGAAAATATGTTTCAGTTTTCAGAGGTGGGAATGGGTCTTCTTAAGATCCCAAAAGACAAAGAAATAAAAGATTGATAAATTTGATCTCCTAAAATTTTTGATGTTTAAAATTTTAAAAATAACTTTTATTGGAGTGTCATATACAAGCAGAAAAGAACACAAATCTGTGACTTCCTTTGACTAGCAGGATGGTGTATAACATGCTAGGTGATTTCACGGCTGGGGTTTGGGATATCTGCAGTTTCTGTTACCCGAGGCTTGGAATCCTCCCTCTTAAAAGCAAACTGTGAGAAACTCAAGTCTCATGAGGATAACTGAGGCACTGAGCTCCCAGCCAGTATCCAGCTTCCTGTATGTGAGTGCGCCATCTTGAACTTTCCAGCATGGTTAGTCCCTAGGATTGCAGCCTAGTGCAGTGGAGCCAACTCTCAGAAAATAAAGGTAAAACCTTATTGTTTTAAGCCACTAAGTTTTAGGATGCTTTGTTATGCACAACAGATAACAGAAATACTTCTTTCTTCACGGCTGTGCAGAATCACTTTTATCATAAACCAAGCATCGCAAGGAGAGTCTTGTTCAGGACTCTCCTGTTCCATTGCTCCAGTCCACCAATACCACAGAATTTACTTGGATCTCTTTATCTCAGTAACATGCGGAAGTTCTCTATGTAGAGTTCTTGCACATTTTGTTTGATTTATTCCTTTTATATTTCCTGAATATGCAATTATGTCATCTGCCCAAACTAGAGGGTTTTTTTTTCTTACTTTCTAATCCTTACGGTTGCCTTTTTGTTTTTTGTTTTTTTTTAATAGAACTGGCAAGGACCTCCAGGACAGTGTTGAATAGAAGTGTCAAAAGAGGCATCTCCCTCACTGCCAGGCTCAGAGGGAAAGTTTTCAGTATTCCGTATTATCTGCGATATTGGGTGAATACTGCTCTTTTCCTTTGTAGATACCTTTTATCAGATTATGGACATTCCCTTTTATTTCTAATTTGCCAAGAATTTTTAAATTATAAATGTTTGCTAAATTTGATTGCATTCCTTTTATTGCACATTTGAGATGATGCTGTGGCTTTTTCCTTTATTCTACTAATAGGTTGAATTATATTCATTGATTTTCAAATGTTAAACCAGCCTTGCCTTCCTGGTGTACATCTAATTTGGTTGCCATGTACTTTCTTTTTCTATGTTGTTACATTCAGGTTCTTTTTTGGTGTCTATGTTTTAAAGAGACATTGACCTGTAATTTTTCTTTTTGTAATATTCTCACCAGATGTTTAGTGTAATGGCTGTGCTGGCCTTATAAGCACACATTAAGAAGTTTTCTTGGCTGGGCGCAGTGGCTCATGCCTGTAATCCCAGCATTTTGGGAGGTGGGCAGATCACCTGAGGTCAGGAGTTTGAGACCAGCCTGGCCAACATGGTGAAACCCCGTCTCTACTAAAAATACAAAAAAATTAGGTGGGTATGGCGGGCGCCTGTAATTTCAACTACTTGGGAGGCTGAGGCAGGAGAATGGCTTGAACTTGGGAGGTGGAGGTTTCAGTAAGCCGAGATCATGCCATTGCACTCCAGCCTGGGCAACAACAGCAAAACTTCATCACAGCAAAACTCCATCTCAACAACAACAAAACAACAACAACAACAAGAAAAAAGGAGTTTTCTCTCTTCTTCTGTTCCTGGAAGAGTTTTATTGTAAGTTTAGTGTTGTTTCTTTTTTAAATGTTTGGTAGAATTCATTAAAAAAGCCATCAAGGCCTGGAGCTTTCTCTGTGCTGAGTTGAAATTACAAAGTCAGTTTATTTAACAATGTACTATATAAGCCAGAAATTATTGTCGATATCTGTCATAGACAAAAAGATTGCCCTATGTGTACTGTGAATTATGCAGGGATATTAATTGCTGTGTATTTTTTTGAACAGTGAAAAATTGGAAACAACCTAAGTATTTACGACAAGGAACAACCCCAGCATATTTTTTATTAAATAAAGTAATTTTCAGAGCAATGTGTTTAGTCTGAATGTATTGAAAACACGTAGCACCGAGCCCCAGCACGGTGCTGTTTATTTTCTAATCCTGTTGGTTTCTGTGTGTGAGTGTGGAGAGGGGTAGTGAAGACACAGCGAACCAGACCAGCCACAGCGCTGGGGGAGCCGTGGAGGGAGGGTGGGGGGCGAACCAACGTTGTCAGTCATCTGTGAAGTGAGGTTTTCTTTTGACAAGGAAATGACTCCATGAAACTTGCGTAATAAAAACTTTCTTGCGGGTGCCCAGGAACAGATGTCCCTCGATACCTGCCCTGGTCTGCTCGGGTAGCGGCCATCCTTTATCCAGGCCCCACCTCCACCTCCTGTCCTCCAAGACCAGGGACTTTCTTCCCCAGAGGAAGCTTCCTCAAGCAGCTAGGGTGGGGCTTCCTCCTACCAGCACTTTCTGAGAGCAAGGCCGACCCAGGTCCCGGTGGGTCACTCCTGCCACCTCCTCTGGGTCCCAGAGCCGGCTGCAGCTGAGCGTGTGATCCAGGAGGAGCAATTGGAGCCCTCCCCTGGGTCAGTCCTCTGGGGGGTTCAGGGAAAGGCGGCCCCTCTGCCCTGGGGAGCCAGAGTCTGGGGAGCCCGTGGCTGTGCTTGCAGATGCCTGTCTTGAGAACCGAACCAAGGGAGGTGCACAGAGCAGAGGGAGACGCAGAGGCGGGACCCTGGCGGCTTCTGTGGAGCCGTGTGTTCCAGGTGACCTGAAGCCTGTGGCCCTAGTTGGTTCCCAGGGTGTGTGGGGCAACACGTTCCCCTCTGAACTTAGGCAGTGGAAGGCTGAGTTTTTATCTCAAATGCCTGAATGAGAATGTGGAAGAGTGGGATCCCGCCCTATTTATACTCCAAGAAGTGGTTTGTCTGTGCACTGGACACTCACTCTTTGTCTCCATTCTCTGTGAAATGGGTGGGTCAATGCTTTGGTTTTTTAATAGGATATTGATAAAGAATATAAAAGAATGACAACGTTTGAAATGTCCAACTAATAGAAATTGTGCCACAAACAAAATCAAATTTGCAGATGACGCAGACGTCCTGCGCTGCTGTGAGGCTGAGCGAGGGGCGGCTTGTGGGCTGGTGTGCTCTGTCAGCAGAGGCGTCAGCAACTCAGAAAGCAACTGGGTCCGGTTCTCTCCCAGCCGCCCAACTCCACCCCAGTCTTCAGGTCATATTGAGCATGACAAGAACTTCCCAAGTGGTGGCAGGTGTGCGCAGCTGCCATTTAACGATAAATACTATGTACTGACTTGTCACAGGCCAGGCACGACATCCCAGAGCTACACAAAATGACAATGGTAATGTTATTGACTGTATTGTACAGATGAGGAAACCGAGGCTGGCAGAGGGCAGTGAGGTACTCAAAGCGGCATTCATGTTAATACGCGGCGGAATCAATATTTGACTTAAACACCCGGCGCTCAGAGTGCGCACTTGCCATCACCATGGGGGCTGTCTGTGTGTTTGCTCAGGGACCACAGAGGTGACGAAACACTTGAGAGAAGGAAGTGATTTGCAAATACAATTTTTAAAAATTGATTTTAATATCCTTTGCCTTCTGGGGATTACAAGGAGTTAAAATGCAGCACGTAACCTAGCAGGTAGCAGCGGACAGGAAAATTAGGTTTCATTCTTATCATAGGGTTAGATTAGGAGTTTCACTTTAAAGACCGTCTTCCTGTCTCCTCTTCTTTTTAAAAAAGTACTTTGACTTCTCTGCAAAAGGCTTCTGGAGGAGTTAATGCTTCTTCAGGTATGAGAAAACCAACGCAGCAATGCCCTGCCATCGCTGCTGTTTCGGGCTGGCGCTCATGGAGCCCTGGGGCCATTTTCTCTTCCCTTGCTTGCTTGTGGAGAGAAGACCCAGGAGCGACGGTCCTTCAGCTGGGAGTGCAGGAAACCCTGCTCCTTCCTGGGACGCCCAGGGTGTGTTTGGCTTCAGGCGCGGATGAATCCAGGTTAAGATGGCCAGACTTAACAAAAAACAAAAAGAAACAGGGCACCCAATTAAATTTGAATTTCACATAAAGAATGATTTTTTTTTCTAGTTCAAATATGCCCCCTCTCCATTCTTTATCTAAAATTCCACTTTAAGTGGGCACCCAGTATCTCATCTGGCAACCTGAATCCTAGGGCTCAGGTAATCGTTACTCTGCCTCTCACTCCTCTCTCGGAGGCTTCTCCCGGCCGGATGGCTTTTGTTCTGTTCACGTCTGCAGTTGTGGTCGTGCTGTGTACCTTTCTAGAGAAAGAGAGGTCTCTTCTGTTCTCGGGGCTGTGTGCTGAATTTCAGGGGGCACGGCCTGTGCCCACCCCTGAACTCACAGCGGGTGCTGGGAAATGGAGCGTGTGGTTCTCCGGTAGAAGGCTGTGATGGGGGGAGTGAGTTGGCCCCACTCAAATGACTCGCAATGTGCTCCTTGCAGGAAGAGGGTTCTCCTGCCAGGACACAGTGCAAGGGATACCTCGCTGGCTGGACAAAACCACGCGGACTGCTGGGCCACGGTGCGCCATCCTTGCCTGACAACTGAAGGACAAAATCCCATCCATGTAAAACCCACGAAGCAGCTCTGTGCTGGAGGCCAGGGTCCCCGGACCGGGCCTCTTACTGTCGAAAGATTTTCTGCCATTTCAGTTATTTTCCTTTGTGTTAGAACAGAATTCTTCTGGGTCAGCAATAACATTCCTTTCCCTCATTTTGTAAATCTGCCCACAAGCCCCGGGTGCGGTCCCAGGAGGAAAGAGAGTGGGAGAGGGAAGTCCACGGGCCTGGGGCGTCCGTGTCAGCGGTCCCAGAGGACGCGGAGAAAGAATTCGAACCTCTGCTCCAAAGGCTATTACTAAATTTTAAGCTTGGCAGAAAATTGACCGTTCTGGAAATTAATATGACCATTAATAATGATACTAATTTAAAAAACGTGTTGTAGGGTCAGAGACAAACCATGCGGGGAAGTGCAGAGCCCAGAACTGTAGGCAACTGGGCCTTGGTGCATTCTTTAGGGTGTGTCAAAGTTTAATTAAAAAGAGCAGATATTTTGTTAAGCCATTGCTACAGGCGAACAGTGGAGACCTGCAGAGACAGCAGATAGAGTCTCGCCTTCCAGCACTGGCAGCGCTGTGTGGGGAGCAGGCGCGGCCCCGGGAGGCGACCAGGACGGGAGCCACAGGTGGGGACAGGGGGCCTGGGGCAGCTCCCGCGGGCTCCTGCAGAGGCAGAGGCTGGAGAGCAGGGACAGCGGGAGGAGTGGTCGCGGAACCGCTGACCCCTCCTCTCCCTGCGCCTCTGGTCTGGGCAGTGCTGGAGAACGGTGAGAGAAACCCAGCTGGTTCCACGCGGCGTGCATCCCCAGGAAGGCGGCCAGACGGCAGTCAGGCCTCCGTGGAACTCGAAACTCTCAGCTCATCCTTCAGAAAGAGGAGAAAGGCAGCGACTAAACGAGACAAATCCAACTGCTGCCTTCAGCGACGGGGTCTGCCAGGCGACAGGCAGGAAGGACGGAGATGCAAGTCCCCAGTTCTTTTTTTAAAATTTTGATTTAAGTTCTGGGATACACGTGCAGAACGTGCAGGTTTGTTACCTAGGTATACGTGTGCCATGGTGGTTTGCTGCACTGATCAACTTATCTAGGTTTTAAGCCCTATATGCATTAGGTATTTGTCCTAATGCTCTCCCTCCTCTTGCCCACCACCCCAACAGGTCCTGGTGTGTGATCTTCCCCTCCCTGTGTCCACATGTTCTCATTGTTCAACTCCCACTTATGCGTGAGAACATGTGGCGTTTGGTTTTCTGTTCCTGTGTTAGTTTGCTGAGGGTGATGGCTTCCAGCTTCATCCATGTCCCTGCCAAGGACATGAACTCATTCTTTTTTATGACTGCATAGTATTCCATGTGGTCTTAGGTTCTTGTTCCTCCGTGAGGTGACCACTGCCCGGGGATGGCAAGGCAAGGCGTGGGAGTTAATTAGACTTTCCGTCTGTTTTAGATTGAACATAAAATAGCAAAATAAAAATAATCTTCATGTTCCCACCCTCTAATGAAATGTGCACCCACCAAACCTCTTCCTCAGAGTAAAACTAGTTCCTTAGGGACATGGACACCGTGAATTCCAGGAGGCCCCTGCGGTGGTGTGGACAGGCCAGCATGCTCAGGGCTGTGAAACTCAGCTCTGCTGTTTTCTTGCCGAGTGACCCTGGGTCTGTGACTTGACATCTCTGAGCCTCAGCTTCCTCATCTCTACCACGCGGATATAAGACCCTCATCACAGGGCTGGTGAGTGGATCACAAGACATGCTTTCCCTCCTCTTAGCAAAACAGCTGTGACCAAGAGGACAGATAAAGGAAGGGGAATCATGGTGTCAGTCCTGCCAGCACTTAGGGAGTAGCTCATTGTATTAGTCCGTTTTCACTCTGCTGATAAAGACATACCCGACACTGGGCAATTTACAAAAGAAAGAGGTTTAATGGACTTACAGTTCCACGTGTCTGGAGAAGCCTCACAATCATGGCGGAAGGCAAGGAGGAGCAAGTCCTGTCTTACATGGAGGGCAGCAGGCAAAGAGAGAATGAGGAAGAGGCAAAAACAGAAACTCCTGATAAAACCATCAGATCTTGAGAGACTTATTCACTACCACGAGAACAGTATGTGGGAAACTGCCCCCATGATTCAACTGTCTCCCACTGGGTCCCTCCCACAACATGAGGGAATCATGGGGGTATAATTCAAGAGGAGATTTGGGTGAGGACACAGCCAAACCATGTCACCTATCATGTGCTCGGCCCTGAGGTAGGCTTGGATAAATGATGTTTATTTTCATGCATGGAGTTTATGAGCCTATTGTAGGGTGGGAATACTCCATCATGCAGTTAGTTAATAAATAATAAATATACAAATAATTCCAGAGTAAATTATTTAGTGCAAAGTATAAATTCTGTAGGAGCCTAGGGCAAGGGAAATAGATGAGGAGTTAGGGTAACGGTGATCATGCTAAAAATAGCTAACCTTTTAATACGGCTGTTAAGCTAGATCACTCAGGATTAGGTTCAGCTGCAGGTAGCAGAAATCCCACCTAAGAGAGTCTTCAGCTGGATAAATGATATTTCTTTTACATAGAAGAAACCCAGAGGTAGGCAGTCTGGGGTTGGCTTGTTGCCCTTCATCTCACTCCCATTGCTTGTTATTAGGGATCCAGATTTTTCTGTCTTTCTGCTCCATAGTCCTTAATGTGTAGCTTCTAGTCTCCAAATTTCCTCATGGTTGCAAAATGGCGCTGCAGCTGTAGCCATCACATCTGCATTCCAACTAGCTGAATCTGTCCCCTTCAAGTGGCTTTCCTGGGAGCCCCACCCAACAACTTTCTATTGCTAGGGAGCCAGGAAATTTAGTTTCTTAAGAAGGGCACCTTACTGTTTCTAACATATAGGAGTTTTGTGATTAAAAGAGAAGAATAGCTATTGGATACACGGTAGAGAGCACCTGACTGTGAGGTACAGAGCTTCTCCCCTTGTTCCATCTGCCTTGTCTCCTCTTTCTCTCCACTCCACCCTCTTTCCACAGCCCTGGACTCAGCTTAGACTGGCCCAGTGCGAGACGCCTTGGCTCCGTGTGTGTTATGTGCTTCCACATGGCAGCCCGTTTACCTGGACAGTCTGTTTGTCTGCCTAGCTAGACTGCTTCATTTGCCCTGGTGTATCCAGAGCTGAGTGTAGGGCCTGGCACATAGCAAGGTTTCCACAGGACCCTGGGGGATGAAGGTTCAGTGCCGCGTGCGTTGCCTGTTCTATGCAGGTGCCCTCGGGCGCAAGCACCCAGGTGAGGTGGAGGCAGAAGGAAGAGTTGTCCAGTGTCCAGGTCAGACCTCTGTGGATAATCATAATTACTTTACTGAAGTCCTTTTGGTTGCTGTGTTTAGTTTTGTTCTAAACACTGTAATTTAGCCAGGCCACCTCTTCACTGATCAGTATTCCATTGGTGTAATTATTGTCTTTTGCTTAACAAAAGGACATTTTTGACTAAGAGGTATCTTCCCAGACTATGTCAATTTGCTGGAGAGGACAAGGTCTGTGTTAAAAAAAGAAGGTGGAGAGGGAGGAGCAGCCCAGCTGTGAACCACGGTGATGAGTGAATTGATCCTGGAGGAGATGAGCCCAGGTGGGCACGAGGAGCAGTGGAGCGGGGCTGCTGCTGGAGGACTTCCTTCTCTTCTCATTAGGAAATAACTATTGCTTAGGAGAATGTTATCTGTTTGTTGGCAGGGGACAGGGGTGGATCAAGAAAACAGAAAGTACAAAAAGTCAAAAATGTATTCCCAGTCTCATCATCTGGAAATCACTACTTTTTTTTTTAACTCTTATTTTAGGTTCAGGGGTACATGTGCTGGTCTGTTATGTAGGTGAACTTGTCATGGGGGTTTGTGGTGTAGATTATTTCATCACCCCGGTACTAAGCCTAGTACCCAATAGTTATTTTCTCTGCTCCTCTCCCTCCTCCCACCCTCCACTCTCTGATGGGCCCCAGTCTCTGTTGTTCCCCTTGTTGTGTCCATGAGTGCTCATCTTTTAGCTCCCACTTCTAAGTGAGAACATGTGGCGTTTGGTTTTCTGTTCCTGCGTTAATTTGCCAAGGATAATGGCTTCTGGCTCCATCCATGTTCCTACAAAAGACATGATCTTGCTCTTTACTCTGGCTGTGTAGTGTTCCATGGTGTATACATACCACATCTTCAGAGTCCAATCTGTCATTGATGGACATTTAGGTTGACTCCATATCTTTGCTACTGTGAATGGTGCTGGTATGAACACAGGTGCACATGTGTCTTTATGGCAGAATGATTTATATTCCTTTGGGTATATATCCAGTAATGGTATTGCTGGGTTGAACGGTAGTTCTGTTTTTAGCTCTGGAGGAATCACCACACTTCTTGCAGATCACTACGGTTAATGTTTCATAAACATCATTTTAGAGCTTTTGCCATGTGTATATTCTCCCAGAAGAGTAGATAGAAATAATTTTACACAAATGAAATACATCATGTATTCGATTTAACATTACTTGTATTTAACTAAAGAAAATGAATCTCAAACTGAACATGAAGGAAATGGATAAGTGAAGATGTGTGTTTTCTTTATAAGTGATATTAGTGATTTTTCCTAAAAATCTAAAATTCAAAAAGTTAAGCTACAAAGTTGGGGTTAGGGTCAACCTTTTTTTTTTTTTTAAATCTAATGTTATAACTTTAAAAAGATCTGTTGATTTCTTCCCCTTGAATTTGCACAATTCATATCTCCTACCCACTTTTCTTCCTCCCCCATGACTTTTGTTCGTAGACTATTTTTACAGACTTGCATTTTATATCATCTACATTTTGTTCCGTGCCACAATTACCATGTATTTCATGTGAGACCCTTCCATATTCAAATGCATTCAGCATTCTTTCCTTCCAGCTTCTTCATGCCTGAATTTTAACATTTTTATGATTCAACTGCTGTATGGCTAAATTTTTGTCATCAAGTATTTTTTTTTTCGAGAAGGGCTCCTGGGTGCTATAGTGATGGAATTCTTCTGTGGTTGAGAATACACCTTAGCAGGTTCTATGTATGGCTGAGCCTTGAACAACAGGGTTTTGAGCTGTGCGGATCCACTTATATGTGGATTTTCTTCCCCCTCTGCCACCCTCCTCTTCCTCCTCCTCCACAGCCTCCCCAGCGTGAAGACGACGCGGATGAAGAGCTCATGACGATCCATCCCCAATTCATGAATAGTAAATGTCTTTTCTCTTTCTCACTATTTTCTTAATAACGTTTTCTTTCCTCTAGCTCACTTTATTATAAGAACACAGTATATGATATAAATCACGTATAAAATAGGTATTAATCAACTGTGTATGTTATCAACAAGGCTTTTGCTCAACAGTAGGCTATGAGGAGTTACGTTTTTGAGGAGTCAAAAGTTAAGCTGATTTTTTTTTTATTGCATGGGGCGTCGACACTGCTACCCCACGAGCTGTTCAAGGGTCCGCCGTCACTCTTGGGTGTCTTTTCCCTCAGGAGGAGCCGGTACCTGACCTGGAATGCCTGGTGTGAGCGTAGCTGGGCAGGGGACACCTCTGCCTCGTAGGAGGCTTTTCCCCAGCCTGGACACTCACATGACATTTTCTCACCCTGGAGACTCAGTGACCCCACTCGGGCGTGTCTCGGTGAGGAATGGTTGTGAGCCGGTTGTTCCTAGAACAGGGGAAAAATGTCCCTTTAATCTGCAGATGCAGACTTGGCTTGTTGAGGAACATCTTTCCAATTTTATCTATATATTCTTTTCTGTTCTATTTATTTCTGTTTCAGATATACCGGTTGTCCCTGTATTGGGCTCATCTTCATATTTAATTAGGTTGAATCATATGAAATTGTTATTTTTGACCACTTTTTAAAACCTATAAAAATTCAGAGAAAGCCGCTCAAATATTCTTGTGGTTCCAATTAAAATTCCTTTCTTTTCCCTTGTCCTTTCTTTCATTGCATTATCTGTGATTATCAATAAGCCCTTTCTGCATGTACCTAATCAGGATTTAGCTGTGTTTATCCGGCTCCTTGTGGTTTCTGATATAGGTATTATTTATCTAATGAAGAATTAGTAGCCTCAATTTGTTTCTGTATCTCTTCAATTTTTCTTTGCATTTTATTCCAGTTGTCTCATTTCATTTTTGAATTCTTTTCTCAGCGACTTCTTACTCTCTTTATTTTTAGCTAACTTTCACATTATTTATTATTGGAAGCTTTTTAAAATTTCTTGCAATATGCTGCAACAGTAGGTTTAACCTTTGTGTTTTGCACGCAATTTCTCTCTCTCTTTTTTTTTCTTCTCAGCTGTACTATGTCTAGATACTCCTGTGCCTGTCTGCCTGCCTTTCTCTCTTCTAGCCGCCCTCCCTCCCTTCCTGCTTTCCTTCCTTTTCAGCTCACTCAACGTGGGAAGCCCTGTGAATCTTCTCTCTGCCTAAACAGAATGTGAAACTTCCCTGGGACTGTTGGGTTCTGTATCCTCCCTGCTCTGGTGGGGCTTGAAGGTACAGCTGGAAGCTCTCATCTTTGTGCAATTTTGTTAGTAGTCTGGGACGGTGGAGGAACTCTTGCAAGCTCAGGGCACAGCCCGTTCTGCAGGCGATGCCCTTGGGTGTCCGCTTATTGCCCCGATTTAGGAAGGAGTTTGTTCTCTGCCAGATACAAGGACCCCTGTGTGGGCTCCTCCCATCCCCATGGAAGCAGAGAAAGAGGGGGATGGGGCAGGGGGGAGTTGCCCCTGGATGTCCTGAGGATCCCTGTGCCTGAAGGGGTCTTGTTCTCTTTCCAATTCCTTCCCTCCATCCTAATGTGTTTGCTGCTATAGAATATTCCGCCCTGGACAACTGCGGTCAGTCGGTCCTCTCGTTTTCCTCTCCAGCTCCTCCTCCTGCTCATCTCTGGGGTTCCTCGGAGGTAAGAGGTAGGTGAGGGCTTTAACCCCAGAGACTCTCCTTCAACTGCTGACCAGTTGTTTCTTTTCGAATTTAGGTTTATTCGTGAAAAAGCTCAGAATGCTATCCGCTTACCCTCTTCCCCAAGGTTCTATTTCTCAGGGACAGGAGGCTGTTGTTGATTCCCATACTTTTTCCTCCTGGACTTCACTTTTAAAAGATGATGACATGAAGCTAGCCTTTCTTTTTTGGATGTTACTGTAGTGTTTTAAAACTGGTTTTCACTGGTTGCTTATTGTTCAGTTTTATTAGGTTTTGCAGGATGTTTCTGTGGTCTGGCTTTATTTGGAGAAGGACCCTTAGTGTGTTTTAAATATAATGTAAAATGTAAAGGTCATTTCCACAATGCTCAATTCCTAGGCTTCCTCCCAGGTGTCTTCCACCAGCCTCTGATACACAGGTCTCTGCCCCTGGAGACGCCTGCATGGCCTCAGACAGACCCAGCCCTCTCTACCTCTCACTGTGCTCCCCCGAGTCCCTGCAGAATATGCTGGGAATTCATGGTCCTGAGATGGGAGGGGCTGGCTGCAATAGCCTCGCTCTGTTCCAGCCCTTCCAAAACCAGGATGGCCTTGCCTGCTTTACCCCAGTGAGTCCTGGAACGCCAAGGTATAAAACCCAGGGCGGGATGCTTTCTGGGGTCCTCAGCCACAGTGCAAATAGAGCACATTCAGGTGAGACCTCTCTGCCCCAGCCACTTCCCTGAGCCTGGGGGACTGCCTGGCTATGAGCCCTGGGCTCCTGCGGTTCCTCGATGCCTATATATAAGTAGTCACCCGCTTCACGTAGCTTGTGTGGGAGGGGTCCTGGCTCCCTGGACTTGGGTAAGTAGTAAGAGTGCAGCCCAGGACGCCGTGGGCTGAAGTGGAGGCCAGTGCCTGGCAAGCCTGCTTCCAACCTCCTGCCTGTGTGGCTTCCTGTGCCCCACCCTCCAGGGCTCTTGCTGCCTCCCCACCAGCGTGCCCACGTCTGCCTCCTCTGCTGCCCCTTTGGGTCCTTCGACCTCTCGCAGTGGCCGTGGTCCAGGCGTCAGTCCTTGGGGCCTTGTTTTTCCCTTCTTGGTGGTCTTGTCCAGGCTGTGGGTTTAAACCCCTTCATGCGTTGATGACCTTGATGCCTCTCTCTTCCGGACCTATCTTCCGAACCCCATCTCAGCCTCCCTGATGGGAGGGCTCACAGGTGTTCCCTGTCCACCCAGCCCGTGCCACCTGCCATCCACATCCTAGCCCTGGCAGTGCACCTGGCCTGGCAGAATCAGGCCGGCTCTGAGGCAAGGAGAGCACTGAGTGCTGGGGGTGGGTGAGGCGGGGCGGGCAGAAGCCAGCAGGCAGCGGGTCCATGGGAGAGGGACGGCTGTGCTGGCACCCACTGAGGACCCTCACCCAGCCCGCGCCACCTGCAGCCTCCCTATCCCAGCCTGTCCAGGGGAGGAACTTCCAACCCAGGAGCCACCCTGGCCCCTTTCCTTCTCCACGCCCACATCCAGGCTGTCAGAAAATTCTGTCTCCGCTTTCACAGTTCAGACCCAGAGCCCGCTGCTGCTCCAACTTCCCCACCAGTCCCAGCCACCCTCATTCCCCCTCCATTATGCAACGGGCTTCTATTTCTCAGTCTCCTTGCTTAACCTCTGCTTATTCTCAGCAAGGGGATACCCACAATGGCTTACTCTCTCTTTCAGAATAACAGGCAGTTCCCCAGGCCCTATCTCTCCATTCTCACCTCCCTCTGCCTAGAAGGGTCCTCCTGGAAGCACATCTCTGCTCAGCGCCCCTGCTCAGCTGCGGCTTCTGGTGAGGCCTACCCTGGCCACTTCATTTCAAATTGCAGCTCTCCCTGGCACCTCCGCCAGCTTTACTGTCACTGTTCACACCCTACGCTGTGTTCCTATTTCCTGCTCCTTATCTGTTTCTCTTGTTGGAGTGCAAATTCCACGAAGGAAGGGTTTTGATTCTCTTCAGTTCACAACTGTGCCCAGCACCTAGTAGACAACACACATGCAGTGAACAAACACATCAGTGCAAGTTCAGTAAGTGAATTCTCATGGAAACAAGCTGTGGATTTAGAAGCAAAAGGCTTGGGGTCCCATCCTGAGTCCACCACTCGTGCAAACGCTCCATGATTCGGTCTCTTACCCCTCAGGTGGGGATGCTACCAGCCTGAATGATGGTGGCAATGTGCCTGCCATGGTTACCTAAATGAAAATCCACTTCCAGATTATGTCTAGTGCATAAATTAAGTAGCTACCTGGGCTCAGAAAATAGCCAGAAGTGGAAAGCTTTATAAATAGTGGGTTACAGGAAAAATAAAGAACTTTGTTCAGTCACCTCAGCTGCAGTCAACCCCCAAGGAGGGAAAGAGGAGCCCCACCGCCTCCCGCATGTCATTCAGCTCCTCTCCCAGCCAGCTTCGTCTCCACATGCACACAGGCTCAGGGTAATTACACGGCTTGTTTGAGAAGCCAGTCTGGAGCCAAATTCTTCTTTTTCCCTCAAATGCGCGGCCTGTTCTCCTACGCCGCAGCAACCCTCAACTGCAAAACATACAAATGAAATATTCAGATCATTACTTCTGATATCATTACTCTTCACTTCCTCACTTTTTTGTGAACTTCTATTAATAGACCATACTTAGGTGACCCAGAGGGACAGGCCATCACTTACTAGAATTTGAAGTAATTATTTAAAAACATTGATTGGACTTAGCTTTCTACCCTTTATGGAGAAATTCTAATGACCTGACTTCATTGTGCACATTATCCAATTTGCACATCAACACGTGACATTTCTGTTTAATTCTGGTTTTGTCACATTGATTTTTTCCCCTAGTATATAATAATGCCATCATATTGAGAATTATAAAAGTTCAGAACGATCCCTAACTCCCCTGAAACCTGTCATTATACTTACATTTCCAACTAACTTTCTAGAATTCTATGTTTCTTCCTTTGTTTTATGAAAATTCCAGGTAGTGAGGCTTCATTTCCTTGGCAAGGTCTCTTTGGGAACTTTTCCTTGAAACACAGAGAAGGAGCTGGCTCTCAGCATCACTAAGACGGCTCTGCTGGGCTCTCTCCGGCGGGTGCGGGGTCTGCAGGCACACATGCTATGGCGCAGGCTGTGTGACTGCAAAACCCACCAGGAAAGACCCAGCAAGGGAACTGGGGTTGCCATCCGTGTGTGAAAGGGAGAAGGGATGGAAACTTGTTTGCGTCTGTCCCCTGGTGAGCACTTGCTTCCCGATGACTCTCATTATTCATAAAAAGCGTGCATCACAAAGATAACCCCAGCTGCATGGAAGGTGCCAAGATGTGATGGAAATTAGGAGGAGGTAATTGCTCGCCCGTGCTCTCTCTGTGATAAGCTTCCATGAGAGAAGACAGAATATTTAAGAGCCTGAAGTCACCATGTGATGCCTGTACAACGAGGCCAGCATGGCTTGCTGGAGCCCCAGAGAACGTCTTTGATGATGACATTGCCCTCAATGCTCCTGGTTCTCTTTTTCCTTTTCTTTTTAAAAATAACTCCTCCCGTCTCCCCAGGGCCTTCACTAGTGCGTCTGGGAGGTTATTTGGAGGTGGGAGAGCTTTGGATCAGGATGATGAATATCGAGGACTTAGCTCTGTGTCGGGCACCCAGCGGCACCCTGGACTCAAGAGCCGCCCCCCAGATGGACACTTTTCAGGAGCCGGGGCTGCCCCCAGGGCACCTGCCCACCCGTTCCCATTAGAGCCATCTCTCCACATGAATGGGGACTGGCAACCCTGGCGTCTGAGTTGTGCTGTCCGGCAACTGCCAGGCTGGTTCACAGGCTGTGGGGTGTGATGGGTGATGCCAGGCTGTGGGGTGTGATGGGTGATGCCAGGCTGGTTCATAGGCTGTGGAGTGTGATGGGTGATGCCAGGTTGGTTCACAGGCTGTGAGGTGTGATGGGTGATGCCAGGCTGGTTCATAGGCTGTGGGGTGTGATGGGTGATGCCAGGCTGTGGGGTGTGATGGGTGATGCCAGGCTGGTTCACAGGCTGTGGGGTGTGATGGGTGATGCCAGGCTGGCTCATAGGCTGCGGGCTGTGATGGGTGATGCCAGGCTGGTTCACAGGCTGTGGGGTGTGATGGGTGATGCCAGGTTGGTTCACAGGCTGTGAGGTGTGATGGGTGATGCCAGGCTGGTTCACAGGCTGTGGGGTGTGATGGGTGATGCCAGGCTAGTTCACAGGCTGTGGGGTGTGATGGGTGATGCCAGGCTGGTTCACAGGCTGTGGGGTGTGATGGGTGATGCCAGGCTGGTTCATAGGCTGCGAGGTGTGATGGGTGATGAGGTTCACCCCCCGATACTTTCAGCTGAAGCTATTTGAGAAAAGTGCAGAAGCAGGAAGCCACACTCACCTTCCTTCCTCCTCTCCTGACTTGGGTCATAAAAGTCAGGCAGGACTCTCTGGCCCTCCCGGGAAGCTGGTCTAGGAGCCCCGCCTGTGAGAAGTGGCCACCCCATCATGTGGAGTGGAGTGTCCTTAGCTCGGGAGCTGAAGGGCCACACAGGCCTGCCAGGTCCCCCCGCTTTGCTGCCAGTAGATCATGCTGCTTCCTTCTGTTCTTTCCTTCCACCGCCCCATTTTCACCAAACCCCCTGTGAAACACACTCAGGCTCGCCTGTTTCTTCGGGTTGGCATTTCCTTATGAAGGCTCTTGTGTCACATAAAACTTAGATGAAGTAAAATGTGCACTTTCCTTTGTCCATCTGTCTGTTGTGATAGAAGCTTCAGCCGTGAACCTAGGATGGGTGAGGAAAGACGTCTTTCCCCTACTGAGCAGCTCTGTTGGAAGTTTTGCATCCTTTCCTTCCTCCCCTGTTGGCTGCTATTCCCAGGACCCCTTCCTTGTCCACTGTCCCTCCCTTCCCAGCCTGAATGCGACAATGGAGACTGCCTTGGGACGGCTTGGAGGGCCTCCACTGGCCTTCCCTTCTGTGCCTCTCTTGCTCTTCCTGCTGTCCCCACCCCTGTGGGTCTGCATCCTGCAGAGGTGCACACGGTTCCTGTGGGACAGTAGAGAAAGCATAAGCTATACACAGGCTGCTGAGCAGGTGCCACACGCTCTCGTGCTTAATCTATTCCTGGACCTGGGCTACAGAAACACGCCAAGAAAAAGGTGTAGAAGTTATTACCCTGAAAGGAAAGAATCATCAAAACGAAATTCAACAGGTGTCACCCAAGGATGTTGGCCTAGGAAGGCACTCCCTGGATGCGGCGCCGTGCTGTGGGGTGCCTGCGGCTGTGGGGTGTGCCTGGGCCCGCCATGGGTCCAGGGCAGCCTAGGGCGGGTGTGGATGGGAGCCTGCAGGGCTGGGGTCTCAGTGGAGCGGGAATCCTGTCTTGGCCCCAGGATCTTCCTGCAGTGCTTCAGGTAACATTTTTCTAGGCTGCAGGAAGATTTCCAGGAGCTTCCTTGAGATGGCTGCAGCCTTGTTTGCGTCCTTGGTGAATACGTAGATGTTTCACGATTCTTGGTCATCTCTGAATCCGGGAGATCGACGCTGAGTCCTACTGGCGCTCCTGCTGCCTCGCTGGGCTCACTGTGGGTGTCCAGCGGCCCTGGACCAGCCCAGATGCAGCCTCTCGCCTGGAGGGTATTCAGGAAGGAGGCCAGTGTCAAGCAACTCCACCCTATGGATTCTGTTTCAGATAAAACATGCTCATTTGGCCAAGGCCAACACAGGCACCCTCCCCCTGCTTTGTCTGGACGTAAGCAGCTGAGGCTTGGCCCTGCACCGTCAAGAGGTCTACCTGGCTGCAGAGGCTCAGCCTCCCCCCTGAGCACTGTGGGGTGTCTTCCACCCTCCCCATCACATGCTAAGCTCTTTCCTTGTAGCCATGGGGCATCGTGACAACATATTTAGCAAAATGCCACAGCTGTCATACGTGTGTTTCTCCAGCTGCTGCTTCTGAGCCAGCTTCCCAGGCCTCGGATAGACCAGAGTTCGCTCATCATGCCGTCTCTTCAGTGACTGATTACGCGGGAATTCGGGAAGTGCCGACTTTCCCCGGATGACTGGGTTTCTTGATGTGATACTCCGCTCAGCAAATCCTACCTTCCTTTCCCTTTGCAATTCTTGAGACCATTTTCTGCTTGACAATAAAGTGACCTTAAGGCACCGTGTTCATTTCAGTTTCAGACAGTTGTTTTGCTCCTTTTTTCCTGTGAGAGAAAGACACGAAGCCCCCTTCCCTGCTGCCGACTTTCTTGGTGTGTCCCTGATGCCAGGCCACCTGTGTCTTCACGGGAAACTCCACAGACCAGGGGCTGTGTAAGATGTCTGGGTGATGTACAGTCACTTTCTGCAAACTTAGAGCATGAAATAGTCAGGACAACATGTCAGCCAGGTCATACCCTTCAGTTGACTATAGTTTTGTCTGGGAGTGAAATTCTAAACTGCCAAGCAGCTTCTGTGTTATGCTGTAATCATTTAGAGCCTTCTCATTTTTGTAAGACTTTTGACTTATCTGTTTCTTGCTTAAATGCTTTCTTCTTTAGTTACGCCTTTCCTGGATGGACATGCGGGCTGTGCTATGTCTGGAGAGGCACCGGGAATCCAGTCACTGAGGCATGCTCACCGTGGCTTCAACTGTGGGCATTGATTTCTTCCCTGAAACCCTGGAGGAGACACATCGGGGCTGTTCTCCTGGCTTCTTCAGGTGTGTGTTCACACCTGCATCTGGGCCTTATGGCCTCCCTCACGGGGCCACATGGGAAGGCCGGGTGCAGGGAGGCTTCTGTGGTGGGGCTGGGGGTGTCTTGTGAGCTTCTTCCTCTCCCTCTTTTCTTCCTTTGTTGTTGTTTTTTTAAATCATGAAGGAAGAGTGATTCCCAGAATCTCACCCCTCTGGACTTACCCTTGGTCTCATTGGCCAGAGCTGGCCACGTGACTACCATACTGGCCATGGAAACTGAGGCAGCAAATATCTGGGTTTTCAGGCTATGGTGGGAACAGCTGTTGAGAACAGCAGCCGGGTCTCAATCGTGGACTGAAGTAAAGCTGGCTGTAGGTCCTCATCCTGCTGTCCCGTCGCTGCAACGAACCGCAGCTCCTCTCATCAACAGGGGCTCCTTTCCCACCCTTGGAGGCCGCGCAGCCTCTGACTTGCTTTGGCCGGTAGGAAGGGGGCCTTGCCCAGCCGAGGCCTAAGACGCCGTGAGCTCTTGCAGTTCCCACGAAGCCCTGTACTGTCACGAGCATCTGCCTGGGGCCCTGAGAGTCTCTGCGGGGCCCAGCTGGCGTGGGAGGGGGCTCGGCAAAGCTAGGTGAAGCCACCCAGCCGAGCCGGCTGAGCAGATGCATTCATTCTCCTCCGCCCCAGCTCAGAGAGCAGCCCTGCCCCAACACCACCTCGACGGTGAGCAGGCGCCAGTGGTGGTGGTTACGTGCACAGAGGTTTGTGGTTGTTTCTTGTGGTTACCACTGTGGCAATAGATAACTGATAATGGAAACAATAGCAACTACAGACGCCCTCACTATAGAATATTTAGAGGGCTAAAAATGTGTAAATACAGAAAATCACCCGGAAGCCTACCCTGCAGAGAAAACTATTATTAACACTTGGCAGGGGTGCCTTTATTTTTCTATATACTCCTTTTTCAAGTGTAGACATTATACGGTATGTAATTTTTTTCATTTAATGGTAAAAGTTTGTTTTTCATTTTAATGAACACTCTTCTTAAATATCAGTGTAATAGCATGTAAATATTGGGTTATTTGTATAGTTCAAAATTTGTATAAGCATTCCAATTTTGGATATTTGAATTTTTAAAATATTAATGCAATGAACATATCAGTACATAATATTTTTGCTCATATGCACTTTACTTCTTTCCTTAAGATGTATTCTTAGAGATGGGAGTCCTGGGCCAAAGGCAGGTGGCAGCGTCCCCGTCCTGTACCCATCCCGCTGCCTTCTAGGAAGCTGGGGCTGGGTCGTGTGCCCACATCCCATGGATGGAGAGTTCTGTTTCACTCACCATCAGCAGCACAAAGCGTCATCATTTGAAATGTTTCCTTCATGCTTCTAGAAGAAAGGTGTTTTCATTTTAACTCCAGTCGCATGGTGCTCACCTGCTGTGGTGCGTGTCTGTCTCCGCCAGCCGCAGGCACCAGCACGGGAGGCTTGTGTGGCCCAATTCTGGCATTGATATTTGTGGGAACGTGGGTGGACAGGGCCCGAGCAAAGTTTGCTAGTCCCTGAGAAAACAGCCCAAGAGGACACATCTCTTCCTCTTCCACTGGCCATGGTCAGATCTGAATGTGACGGTGGGACCATCGCAGCCTCTCTCGACCCAGGGTCCTGGCTGCCTGAGACGCGCAGAGCTCCTGAACTAACCAACCCTGAGCTCGCCCTGCCCGGATCTGCACCTCCGTTCTTTAAGGAAATGCACGTGGTGCTGCTCCAGCCGTCAGGCTTGTGCGTGTTCTCTGCGGCTGGCGCCTCCCGCGTGCCGTCCTGTGGCCTCGCCCTCCTCCTACTGCTGCTCGGCAGCTGGGGGCTTCTCTCCAGGGTCGTGTGATGGCCTTTTGAAAAATGTAACCAATAAACTCAGACACCTGGAAGCTGCAAAGTGTGTATGTGCCTCTTAATAAAAGATTTTTTAGCATGCTTGTAATTACAAATTTGTTTGCAATTAATATTAAATAAAGAAATAACAAAGAAGAAAAAGTAGATTTCTGGTTTGGTCCTTCCTGGGCCAGCTCTAGTTCAGGGGCTCTGAGGATGCTGTGGTCAGAGAGGCCCTACCAAACACCCCTCTCAAGACCTTTCTTCTCTGTATGGGTGGTGGAGACACAAAATAAACAGGGCTTTCCCTGTGAGGGACAGAAATAAAGAGGATTCAGAGAAGGCCACTCTGAGGAGGAGACATTGGACCTACCACGTGAAAAGAAAGAGAAGGAATTCACTTCAAGAAGGGTGAATTCTCATCAAGACCAGTGAAAGAGTATTTCAAGCTGTCTTGGTGCTGCACATTTGGCAGTAAAACCAGGAGCTTGGAGTACAGTGGTCTGAAGCAGCAGGTCCAGCGACAGCTGCCAGAGGAGGGTGGGCCTCAGGCTGACCCCGGGCAGGAGCTCTGTGCTGACCGTGGAGTCTGCTGGGGCCACTGTGCTATGTCTTCCACTGCTGGCCAAACCTTCGCCCAGGGTCCTGGCAGTGGCCAGAGGAAAACAAGCCAACCACGTTCAGACACGTTCCTGGAGCTGGGAGGAGTCTCTCTGGAACTGGGAGGTGTCTCTCCGGAGCTGGGAGGAGTCTCTCTGGAGCTGGGAGGAGTCTCTCCGGAGCTGGGAGGAGTCTCTCTGGAATGAGGAGGAGTCTCTCCAGAACTGGGAGGAGTCTCTCCGGAACTGGGAGGAGTCTCTCCGGAGCTGGGAGGAGTCTCTCCGGAACTGGGAGGAGTCTCTCCGGAACTGGGAGGAGTCTCTCCGGAACTGGGAGGAGTCTCTCCAGAACTGGGAGGAGTTGCTCCGGAACTGGGAGGTGTCTCTCCAGAACTGGGAGGAGTCTCTCCAGAGCTTTGAGGAGTCTCTCCGGAGCTGGGAGGAGTCTCTCCGGAACTGGGAGGAGTCTCTCCGGAGCTGGGAGGAGTCTCTCCGGAACTGGGAGGTGTCTCTCTGGAGCTGGGAGGAGTCTCTCCGGAACTGGGAGGAGTCTCTCCGGAGCTGGGAGGAGTCTCTCCGGAGCTGGGAAGTGTCTCTCCCGAACTGGGAGGAGTTTCCCTGGAACCCCCTCCCCTCCCAGGGCTGAGTCAGCGTCCGAGCCGGGAGCTGGGGCTGCCTTCCAGAGGCTGGCTCCCTCCACTGAGAGAGGCTCAGCCCTCCCTGGGCATTTGGGCTGTGTGGGAGACAGAGACACCTGCATGAGACCATCCTAGAAGGGAGGAATCGCATGGGTGGGGGCAGCTACCAACAGCGTGGAACACTCAGGGCCTGAGGCTGGAGGAGCCTGGTTTGCTCAGAAACAGAGGAGGCTGGCGTGGCTGGGACATGGCCCTGGGAGATTGGCAGACATGGGGCCTGAAATGTCTTCAAAGGCTGCCGACAGTGGAGCATGGGGGCAGTGTGAGGCAGGAGCTGAGGGTCAGCCCTCCACAGGCCAAATGTGTCCAAGCCCGGTTCCTTGAGAGCTAAGCCCAGGCCTTCAGGAGCTGAACCATGCCTGCCTTCCTCACTGGCCACATACGCCCTGTGGAGGGCTCCATGGTTACACACACACCGTGGAGTGGGTCCATGGCCACACACACACTGTGCAGTGATGACCCATACTCACCGTGGAGTGCGCCCTTGACCACACACTCAATGGGGGGTCCAGCAGGCAACAGAAGGAAGCAGTGAGGCTCTTATTCTTTGTGTAGTCGTGAGTCGCTTAGCAACGTTTCAGTCCATGATGGATGGCACAGACAACGGTGGGCCTCTGAGATGATCGTGGAGCTGGAAGACTTCTACTGCCTTGTGATGTCATTGCACAATGCATTTCTCACGCGTTTGCGGTGATGCTGGTATAGGCAAACCTACTGCGTTACCAGTTGTATAAACGTATAGCTCGTACAGTTGTGCATAGCACATTCTACTTGATAATGATGATGCGTGCTATACTATACATTTTATTGTTATTTTAGAGTGTACTCCTCCTACTAATTAGAAAAACAAGTTAATTGTAAAGCAGCTGCAGGCAGGTCCTGTGGGAGGTGTCCAGAAGAAGGCATTGTCATCACAGGAGGTGACGGCTCTGTGCGTGTCATTGCCCCTGCAGACCTTCCAGTGGGACCAGATGTTGGGGGGAAGACAGTGACACCGAGGACCCTGACCCTGTGTGGGCCTAGGCCACTGTGTGTTTGCCTCTTTGTTTTTAACAGAAACATTTTAAAAGTTAAAAAAAAAAATGAAAAAATAGAAAAAAGCTTATAGAATGAGAATATAAAGAAAGAAAATAATTTTGTACAGCTGTATAATGTGTTTGTGTTTTAAGCAAAGTGTTATAAAAGAGTCAAAAAGTTAAAAAAATTTAAGTTTATAACATAAAAAAGTTACAGTAATCTAAGGTTAATCTACTATTTCGAAAAGAAAACTATTTTGCATAAATTTAATATATCCTAAGTGTACAGTGTTTATAAAGCCTGCAGTAGTTATGGTCACGACCTGGGCCTTCAGATTCACGCTCCACACACTCACTGACTCACCCAGAGCAACTTCCCGTTCTACAAGCCCCATTCATGCTAAGTGCCCTAAACAGGTGCAGCATTTTTAATCTTTGATACTGTATTTTCTATTGTCCCTTTCTTATGTTTAGATACACGAATACTTACCATTGTATTTCAGTTGCCCACAGTATTCCCCACAGTCACATAGGGCACAGGTCTGCAGCCCTGGAGCAACAGGCTCCACCACGCAGCCCAGGTGTGTAGCAGGCTGCTCCGCCCAGGTGTGTGTCGGTGCACTCTGATGAAATTGCCTAATGATGCATTTCTCAGAATGGATCCCCATCATTAGGTGACACCTGACTATATTTCAGTATAAGTGTTTGTGTGTGAATTTTTAGCATCTTACTCTTCTTAATGGTTGATTGTCGGCTCTGCTTTTAAAGCTTTAAATTTCAAAAGCCTCATAATTGCTAAAACCATGGTTTTCCTTTTTTCTTTTTCTTTTTTTTTTTTTTTTAATTGAGACAGGGTCTCACTCTGTCACCCAGGCAGTGGCGTGATCTCGGCTTACTGCAACCTCCACCTCCCGGGCTCAAGCAATTCTCCTGCCTCAGCCTCTCAAGTAGCTGGGATTACAGGTGTGCGCCACTACTGCCTGGATAATTTTTGTATTTTTAGTAGAGGTGGGGTTTCACCATTCGGCCAGGCTGGTCTTGAACTCCTGACCTCAAATGATCCACCCACCTCAGTCTCCCAAAGTGCTGGGATTACAGGCATGAGCCATGGTGCCCGGCCATCATTGTTCTTTGTGATCTATGATAAATAGAAAGCAAATAAGTTAAACTTATCAAGTA
Organism: Homo sapiens; assembly: GCF_000001405.40. Taxonomy (NCBI): domain Eukaryota; kingdom Metazoa; phylum Chordata; class Mammalia; order Primates; family Hominidae; genus Homo; species Homo sapiens. The sequence goes on along the minus strand of NC_000006.12, from coordinate 167,701,808 downwards.
CTATTTATTAAGTGCTTGACAAGTGTTTCCCAGGTGTGGAAGACATATCATTGGTGTTTTGAGAAATCATTTCAGGTAATGCATGCAGAATAGTTTGATTTTAATGGATATTAGGGGAAAAAAGTACTATATTTTAAAAGAAAGTACTGCAGGCCCATGCTTTGGTAATTATTTTTACTTAAGAAAAATGCTATGCTGAGTTTTTAAGTTGAAAAGTGAGTCAACTTAAAAAAAGCATAAGGTAAATAACACTGTATGTGGTAAGAAAACATAGTTAAAAGTATGGTGATAGAAAACAGTTACTAAAGCTTGAGAATTGGAGAGCATGAATCAAACATACTCTCGAACCGAAGAGCTTATTTTCCACATCATGCATCTTTTTTTGAGTCTTTTTTCTTTAGGGTACCATGTGGCATATCTTACTCTGGCATTTGTGAATGGGCTATATTCTCTGCCGTCACTATCTTTGTCATTTTACAACATCACACAGCTTATTTAAAGTTACACGACTGTGTATGTTTAAGCTTTTCAAAATAATTACCTAACGTATTTGTGAAATACCACTCCATGAGACGCGGTGTGTGTGTGTGTTTTGGGAGAAAGGCCGCGGAAGGACATTTACTCTCCTCACGCTCCCGTGCTCCCCGTCTGGCCTTGCACTCATTTAATCCGGGGTTCCTGTTCCTGATCGTTTCTTTAGCCAAATTTTTATTTTGTAGATTTTATAGGAACTGAGTATCATAAATAGATTTTGAAGTTTCCTTCCTCCCTTCCTCCCTTCTTCCTTTTCTCTCTCTCTGTCTCTCTCTCCCTCCCTCCCTGCCTCTCTCTCTCTCTCTCTCTCTCTCTCTCTCAGATGGATTCTCGCTCTGTCACCCAGGCTGGAGTGCAATGATGTGATCTCAGCTCACTGCAACCTCCGCCTCCCAGGTTCAAGCTATTCTCCTGCCTCAGCCTCCCGAGTAGCTGGGACTACAGGCGCCCGCCACCACGCCCGGCTAATTTTTATGTGTAGAAATTTCTTATGCCACTTATTTTAACCAGTCTCTGGGGACTTGGCCAACATTTCTATAGCGGGACTTTTACATTTTTGAGCTAATCTTTGCTTCTTATCTCAGTTGACTGAATGTATTTTGCAGTTCATTTTCCCAGGAAGGTGTATACTTTGTATGCTCTTGCATATTTGACATAATTCCTACGCTTTTGATTAAGTTCTCTCTATTGACCAGCAGGCAAGAACGCGATGTCAAACATACAAGCCTGTCTACACAGGGAGGAAGATTTGCCTGTGCTGGGCCCTGAGGACCACATTTTCCCTCCTCCCTGGACTCTGCTGTTCATCGGGCTCTGGTGCCCAGCACTGCACAGTGGAAACCTGAGGCCATCTTCGCCTGCATGTTTTGTGTGTGACTCTTTTCTCCTGAGTGCTGAGAGTATTTTGCGAGTCACTTCCTCACACTGACTCTGGGATAGGTAAAGGCGAGGCGAGATGCATTCGCACTGCTCTCCACAGCTCCTTATTTGGGAGCCCCTAGTCTCATTTCCACAGGGGACACACAATCATCTATGATGTGATATTCATGCTCTACAATTCTCCAACTTTAGTCTTTTTTTCCATCACCATAATTTTAGCTGTATTTTCTTACCACATACAGCATTATTTACCTTATACTTTTTTAAGTTAATTCACTTTTCAACTTAAAAACTCAGTATAACATTTTTTCTTAAGTAAAAGTAACTACCAAATCACGGACCTGCAGTACTTTCTTTTAAAATACAGTACTTTTTTCCCCCTAATCTCCTAATAGGCCTAGAAGATAACATTTCCTTGTACTAATGGTTCTGAAGGACAACTTAAAACAAAAACATGAGGGTTTATGACCCTGACTGGCGCTCTGTTCCCGAAGACACAGGCTCCTGGAAGCTCCCTGGGGATGGCCCCTCATCCAGGGTCCCCTCCACCGCGAGGTGCGGAGGAAGGTCTGTGGCTGACTCCAGTTTCCTCCAGCGGTCGTGTGCTGGATTTTTTGGTTCTAGGACTGCGGGTAAATGGATTTTAGCCATGAAAGGAAATAGGTGGTGCTTTCAGCTACAAGAGACAGAAACTCTGACTCAAGCTGCTTTTAAAAGAAAAGAGGAAATGTCTTACTTCACACACCAGGAAGCAGGAAGCACAGGGCGGGTGTCACCGTGGGAGGGGGATGAGCCAGGGCTGAGCCGTGGCATCAGGCTGGGCTCCTCTCCCCACCCTTGCTGTCCCAGGGCCAGCTTTGTCCCCAGGCTGGCTCCTGCAGTCAGAGATGAGAAGAAGCTTTGGGTGGTGTCAGAGACAGGACTCAGCCCCAGCCACGGGGAACCTGAGTCCTTCTCTCTAGCCCGACTGGGCTGATGTGAGCCCCGTCCTCACCCAGGACCCAGCACTTTCCTCAGAGGAGGCACCGTCAGGCGCTGAGCTGCATGGCTGTGGCTCTGCCAGAGCACAGCGTGTTAGAACCGCAGCCCCCGCACCACAGAGCTCGGAGTGGGCCCTGCAGTCCACTTGAAGCCAGGTCCCCAGATGTTTCTGATGTGTGCCAGGCTGGGGACCAGCCAGTCAGGCTAATCCAGCTGGCCTCCCTGCAGCTGGGGGAGGAAACCCCACAAGATGAGAGGGTGCGAGGATGGGTAGGAATTTGAACACAATCTTGGTTTTGTCAGCAGGAAGAAGTGGTCCCTGTGGCTGCAGCTGGGGGGAGACTTCTCACATCCCCTCCGTCTGTGTTCTAGTTGGGGAAGAAGCGGACAGTGGAGGCTGGGGACCCAGCTCTACTCACAGGGCAAGTGTGGCAGAGGCCCCAGCGTGGAGCCTTTCCGTCTGGGGCCATAGAGCCCCCAGCGTGGGGCCTTTCCGTCTGGGGCCATAGAGCCCCCAGCGTGGGGCCTTTCCGTCTGGGGCCATAGAGCCCCCAGCGTGGGGCCTTGCTTTCATGCTGGATCTGGGAATCTAGACAGCAGCCAGGGAGGGGGCCGTCTACAGTCTCCTAGCTCCAGGCTTTGGGCTGCTTGCAGGAAGAGTTGGTTCTGCAGAGCAGGCTCCACGTCGTATTGCCCTGCAGGCCGTCCAGTGCTTGGGGGATGGACTGTGTCCTAGACCCTAGACCTGGTTGCTGCAGAGGGAGGGGCTGGAGGCACGGCATCCGGGCTGGTGGGGACAGGTTCTGGACACTGCCCCATGGTACTCAGCTGCGGGCACACACAGCCTGTTCCTGCCTGGTGGGGAATATTGCTGCCTGGCAGGGGACGTGTGGCCCTGTTGATGTCAGACCCTCTACCAGCAGAGGGTTCTCCTCTCCCCGCCTGCTCTTGCCTGACACGCAGGCCATCATGGTGGTTGAGTGACATAGATGGAGGTGCGATGGGGGCCACTGCAGCCCCCACATGCTGGGCTCCCCACACTGCCCTCGCAGTGCTGTGATGGTCTCCATGACACCGCCCAGCTCTTCCCACGGGTGCCATGACATCTCCTGGGACTCGCGTGTTTCTCCTAAAGGTGCCTCTTGCTTCTGCCTTGGGTCGCTTAGTGGCTGATCCAGGCTGGAGCATCCCCGTCTGAGAGCAAGTGGTTTTTTACTAGTCCTCTTCCAGGCTACCCACCAACCCATCCCCAGGGCCTGGTGGTTAAGCATCTGGTACCCAAAAACAGACAGCCTGGGTTCAAACCTCAGCTGCGGTGTAGACTGACCATGTGACCTCTGCAAGCCTTCTAATTGCCCTAATTCGCAACTCCCTCATCTGGAAAGGAGGGGAAATTGTAATTCTCTTATGGTGTAGGTGTTACATTAAATAGTGACCACAAAGTGCCTAGGAGGTGAAAAGAGCTCCAAATGGGTAACAATTTCTACCCTCCTGCAGTTCCCTGGGTAGGGATGGGCACAGGCCGGGGAACTCCTTACGAGGGTCTGTGAGCTCTGAGGCACCTGAGACCTCATTGCCCTGACCCGTAGGATGGACTCCGGTGGCAGAGGAACTGGAGGCTGGTAGTTTGGACACAGACCTGTTTACAGCCTTCGAACCTCACTTTAAAGAAATTTCTGCCCTTGCACCTAGCTTATTGCTCAGGAAAGTAGAAAAGCGAAAAGCCTTTTCCTGCTGAAAATCAATGGCTCTCTTTAAAATATTAAAAGAACAGACAGGAGGAGATGGCACGCCACGATGGCAGGGGCAAGGCCACCGCCCTGAGGCTGCAGCTCAGAACAGATGCTCCGAGTGCAGCCAGATGGTGTGATTGAAAGGAAGAGAGCGGCCAGCAGTTCCAGAGTGGCCGCCTGGAGACAGCCCTCAGAGGTGCAGCTCTGCCAACACTCACGGACCCACGGCACTGACTTGCCATCACCAAGAGAATATTCTGTGATTCATTCATGAAACAAAGGTTTTCGTGGTATGTGAATGTTGTGTAAGGATTGTGAAGGATATAAAGAAGTTATTTCGATTATCTCAGTGTTTCCTGTCAGTATAGATCATGTGTGCACAAATCTTATAATAAATGAAATTAGTTTTGCATTTCTGAGTGCTTTGTTTGAAAAAGATACCCTGTAGTATATGATAAAAAGTAATTCTTTGCCAAAACAAAAAGAATCCTTCGCCAAATGTGTCTTTCACAGCCCATACTCCTCCCCCTACAAATAAAAGTCCAAAAAAAAGAAAAAGAAAAAAAGAAAAAAGAGAGAGAAAAGAAAGCGAGAATGTGGCCCTGCTGGTTCGTGTAACAGCAATAATCCTGAAGATGAAGATTCTCAGTAGAGAAACAGATCACATATAGCCAGAAGTGTCAGGATAAATCCCTTCTTATTACAAAGAACAATAGCAATTTTAAAAACTCATATAAAGATAACTTTACATTAAAAAACTCTTTATTGCTTTTTTCCTGTCCGTAAAAGAAATACAGCCTAGTTAAAAATATCAAACAAAAAAACCTAAACAGTGGAGAAATGGAAAAAGATCAGAAATTAAATACTTCCATCATCTCCACTGCCCCTCGAGCCAGAGCCTGGTAAACACCCTTCACGTTTTGTTTCTCGCTGCCTGTTCTGAGACAAAGGTGGCACATGAGTTCATCCTTATAAGAACTGGATCATGCTCTACATATGGCTCTGGCACATTTTTTTAACTTAATAATATGTCTCAGACTTCTTTGCACATCAATGCCTATTGATCTATTTCATTCTTTTTAATGGCTGCCTTGCATGGCTCTACCATGATTTATTTAACCAAATCCCTGTTGATTGACATTTGGGTTCTTTCCAATTTTTGCTATTACAGACAATGTTACAATAGAGATCTTTGTCTGTAAATCCTTGTGGACTTCGTGAATATTTCTTTGGACGAATCCTCAGGAGTGAAGTTGCTTGGTCATAGAGATGTGCGTGAGCGTGCACCCCCAGGCTCCACGCCCACCTTGCCCTGCCCTCCCCCATCAGAGGATGGGAAGGGGCGGGGGAGTTGAGGTAGGCCTTTATAAGGAAGCAGAAAGCTTGGTCTTGGTCTATGGTTGCAGCTTTTAGGAGGCCACGGCTTTTACTCCCAACAGGCCCACTGAGACTAATGGGGCCACACTACTGGGAGGGGGGTGAGAATTAACTCATTAAATGAGCATCATTCTGCATAATTGTGTGAAATACGGATTTTATTGTGAGTGGAAGGCCTTGCAAACGAAGGACAGAGACTGTTTCTTTCATGTTTCAGCAGTGTTTCTCAAAGCATGGTCTTTAGACCGTCTGAGTGAGAAACCCCGGGGCAATGATTTCGCTGGTTCCCAGTCAGATCTGCCACTGCCGAATCTGTGATGAGGCCCAGAAAGCTCCTGACAGACGGTGCCTCTGTGTGCAGCAACAGGAGACCACGGCGGTCTCACCTGGTGAGTGGCGACTGCGTGTATTTCTCGTGTTCTTCGTGTTTGTGGACTTCCCACCACCACCTCATTCTGTTCTCTCCATTTGTCATGATTTTCCTTGCCTTTTTTTTTTTTTTTTTTTTTAGTATTTAGTTTTTTGTCTTTGATTGAAATGATTGTGTTTTATTCTCTCTTTTCCTTCAGGGCCTAGAAGTTGTATCTATTATTTTAGTGCTTACTCAAAAAATTTTAGCCTATTGCACATAATAAGACCTAAAAAACCAATATCCATACCCTGCTCTGAAGAACAGGTGGACCTCAGAACACTTTAGTATCTACAGCCCTGACTGACCTTCTTTGTTACTGGGCTGGCATTGTAGTTTCAGGCTGTTATTAAGCCCTTAGAGTCTTCATGGCTGCCACTGTTGTTTTTGTTATTATTATTATTATTGATTTTTTTATCATCAATGTTCACATTTACTAATATTTTTGTATATCGCATTACTCAACATTCCTAGTGAATCCCATTTTTCTTTCTGGTTTTAATTTGCTTCTTACTCAGGAAACTCTTCCACAGTTGTCATTTCAGCAGCGCTCCACAAGTGGTAAGTTCTTCTAGACATTGTCCAAAAATGTCTTTCTTGCTCTCCCTATTAAACAGTAGTTTAGCTCAACATAGTTTGTGGGAAATCTGGTGTCAGTCCAATTGCCAGAAAAATTATTGTCGTTTGTTGTACTAGTAATATGCCTTTTCTCTCTGTTTTTTTTTTTTTCTTTTTTTGACTGAGTTTAGCTCTTGCGGCCGAGGCTGGAGAGCAATGGCGTGAACTCAGTTCACTGCAACCTGTGTCTTCTGGGATCAAGCGATTCTCCTGCTTCAGCCTCCAGAGTAGCTGGGATTAAAAGCACCCGGCACCATGCCCAGCTAATTTTTTGTATTTTTAGTAGAGATGGGGATTCACCATGTTGGCCAGGCTGGTCTTGAACTCCTGATCTCAGGTGATCCTCCCACCTCAGCCTCCCAAAGTATTGGGATTACAGGCGTGAGCCACCACTCCCAGCCTTTAGTTGTTTTTAAGATTTTTCTTTGTCTTTGATGCTAATCAGTTTTTCCTTGATATGTCCAGGTATAATTCTATTTTAATGGATCTCGACTGGTATTTCACGACCTCCTTCAATCTGAGACCCATAACTTTCTTTAATTTGGGGACATTCTCAGCCATTAACTCCTAGTTAACTTCTTCTCTCTCATCTTCCCACTTCCTATGGAATGCATGATATACATTGGACCCTCTCATCTTACCTTCCATATCTCTCAGTCTTTTTTATTTTCTTTTACCTCTGTGCTACATTCTTAGTAATCTCCTCTAATCTGTCTTCTAGTTCACTGAGCTGCTTGGCTAATCTGCTATTTAATACCTTCATTGAGTCTTTAGACGCCTTGACTATATTATGTATTTCTAGACATGTAGTTTTTCTTTGTTAAACAAGGGCACTAGAATTTTTCTTAGGTGCCATCAATCAGATCTGGGAACATGAGTCATGGAGCTGGCCAACTCTCCTGGGCAGGGGCTGGATCTATCCAAAAATGTTTGCAAAGCAGAGGATGGAAGAACGACGTTTTCTCAAGGAAAAAAATGTAAATCTGGAGAATTATCTTTAGGGGCTCTCCTCCAACCTAGTGACATGTTTAAGTTCCTGGTTGTAATTCCCTTGGATTAAGAGAAAAGTCATGTGCAGTTTATGGTGTTAATTTTTTTCCTCTATATAGGGTAAAAATTAAAGTTGACATAATCAAATGATCTACCACAATTAGGACTTAAAGTACAACAGCAACAAAAATATCTACATCTCAATGAACAGTCCAAGGTAATGTTCTAGAATTGCAGGTAGCTCTGCTCCCAGAAGCCATCAAGACAACCTGGATGATGGCAGCTCCACCACCTTCAACACGTGGCTTCCAATGGGAAGGCCAGAGCCTCCCTCTTAAGGAAGTGAGCAGAGGTTGTACTGCTTCCCTCGTATTTCACTGTGAGCACTGGATCCCATTGTGTCCAGAATTTCTTCCTTCCGGTGGGTTCTTGGTCTCACTGACTTCAAGAATGAAGCCACAGACCTTTGCGGTGAGTGTTACAGCTCTTTAAGGTGGTGTGGACCCAAAGAGTGAGCAGCAGCAAGATTTACTGTGAAGAGCAAGAGAACAAAGCTTCCACAACGTGGAAGGGGACCAGAGCCGGTTGCCGCTGCTGGCTGGGGTGGCCAGCTTTTATTCCCTTATTTGGCCCCGCCCACATCCTGCTGATTGGTACATTTTACAGAGCGCTGATTGGTCCATTTTACAGTGTTGATTGGTCCGTAAGTCCAGCTGGCTTTGCCTCTCACCATGATCTCCCATAGCAGCAAGGGGCTTGGGAAATGCATCCTAGTTCTGTAGCCAGGTCCTCTCCCCAGCTCTGTTCCCATGGCAGAAGAAGATAATGGTTTGGTAGCAATCTCAGTCACTTCTAAAATGGAATTCCTTTTACAGCCTTTGGTCTTTTAGAAAAGTCTGATAGGTCTTAGAACCTTCTCCTTAGTCCTGACTACCTCTGAGATTCCGGCTTTGCAAGGCCCTCTGACCCTGACTGCGTCAAGGAAGAAAAAGGAAGGTAAGGGAACTCTGAGTTTATTTTGAGATGGAGTCTCGCACTGTCTCCCAGGCTGGAGTGCAGTGGCTTGATCTCCACTCACTGCAACCTCCGCCTCCCTGGTTTAAGTGATTCTCTTCCCTCAGCCTCCTGAGTAGGGATTACAGGTGCTTGCCAAAAAGACTGGCTAATTGTTTGTATTTTTAGTAGAGATGGGGTTTCACTATGTTGGCCAGGCTGGTCTTGAACTCCTGACCTCGTGATCCACCTGCCTCGGCCTCCCAAAGTGCTGAGATTACAGGTATGAGTCACTGCACCCAGCCTATTTTTAAATATTTTTTAGAACAGGGTCTCCAGGGTCTTGCTCTGTCACCCAGGCTAGAGTTCAGTAGCATGATCATAGCTAACTGCAGTCTCAAACTCCTGGGCTCAAGCTATCCTCTCTCCTCAGCCTCCTGAGTAGCTGAGACTACAGGCATCCACCACCATGCCCAGCTAATTCATTTTTAAATTATTATTTTAGAGACGAGGTCTTGCCGTGTTGCCCAGACAAGTCTTGAACTACTGTCCTCAAGCGACCCTCCTGCCTCAGCCTCCCAAAGTGATGGGATTACAGTCATGAGCTACTGCACCCAGCCTGAACTAATAAATATTAAAGAGAGAGAGAGAGAGAGAGAGAGAGAGAGAGAGAGAGAGAGAGAGAGAGAGAGGGAGAGAAAGGGAGAAAGGAAGAGGAAGAAAAAAGTAGAAGTTCTTTGTTTTCACTCGTTTTATTTGACTTCATTATTCAAATCAAGGTGTTTGAAAAGGTTTCATGAGTGCTATAATACCGAAGTTTTTGTGTATTTGATCAGGTCACTTTGTTGCATTTTCATGTAAATGCAACAAATCATGCAGGCGGCCTGTGTGATTTGAGGCTGCGGTCCCTCTTTCCACTTGTTTCTTTGTTTTAGGCAATTGTGATTGCTGAGGATAAGTCTGAAATTAGTTTAATGTTCCCTTTTCTAGTACTCTGTCTCTTATGCCTTGATGTTTGTATTATTTAAAAGTATCTCTTCTTTCCCACAGTACTTTGTATTCCTGTGTTTGTCATGTCATACTGATAGCCTCTGTTCTCCTCCCTCCTTCCCTTTCCTTCTCTTTCTCTTTCTCTTCCCCCCTCTTGCTCCCTCCCTCTCTCCGTCCCCACCCCCCTCTGTTTCTGATCAGGAACATTCTACACGTTCCTTGCTGGGTTGGATCCATCTTTGAACGGGGAGGTTCTACTCTGGCCTGTCTTTTCCTAGGAATGCTTTTACTGCTGGATTCTTCGCCACTGCCTTTTGTTTACCTGGGTCAGATTTGAATTGTCCTCTTAGATCAAGGCCCGTGGGGTGCATATTCATAATTTCTAATCTGTGTTTTTAAGCGAACTCTTGCTGGGATTTGTTGTAGCAGGCAGAAGCTACAGTTCCTGCAGAGTCCTTAAGCTTCTGGATTCCTTTGTCACAGGAGGTGTGCGCTAGAGGATCTCCTAGGTTTGCAGTTTGGACATCTGGGTCACGCGGGGCCCCCGGCTCACACTTCAGTTGAGTGAGTTAGTGTCCAGCATTCCCACTCTGTTCACTGTGGTCAGCTTCTGCAAATGGACTCTCAGGCCATACGCCCACTGCCTGTGAAGGATCAGGATGACAGTATCTCACGAAAGTCTTACAGACTTAAGGCAGGCAGTTCAGCGATCAGACATTGGAAGGCCCTTTCAAGGATGTAACACAGCTTAGAAAACAAACCCAGAGAAACAGGAAGATGATGTGAATAAGGTCCTCTCTCTTTACCTAAGTTTTATATTTGGAATATTTCAACATTATTTTCTTTAGAGTGATAAAAACATGAATTAATCCTATCAAGATGATTTCAGACCAAGTGTGGTATTTTAAATTTGAGCTTCGGCCCTTAGAGATATTGACAGTAAATGCAAAGAAAGTGAAGATGCTTCAATCTGGTGCTTTATTTAAACCGGGAGCCAAGCTTAGAGCTCACAGCAGTTTCAACCAGCACATCATGACAGTGCAAATGACACCAGGTTATTTCGGGTCCTTAAATCGATTCCCCGGATGGTGCAGATGGCACACTGCTATTACAGACTGCCACACAACAGGGGGAAGGTCCTGGCACTCTCATTCAGTTCAGAGTGTGCATGTGGATGAGAGGGAGGAACTCTCAGAGGCTGGGAGCAAATTCTGACTTAGAGCAGGCCAATCATTTATCATCTAGCAAGACCAGTGGAGAGGCGTGGGGAGGGGGTGAGTAGGAACGCAGAGAACCCAGGAGACATCACACATCCATGAATGCTGAATAACTGAGACAGGTCTCAGTGAATTTAGGAAGTTTATTTTGCCACAGTTAAGGACGTGCACCCATGACACAGCCTCAGGAGGTCCTGACCACAGGTACTCAGGGTGGTCCTAGCACAGCTTGGTTTTATACATTTTAGGGAGACATGAGACATCAATCAATATATGCAAGATGAGCATTGGTTTGGTCCGGAAAGGTGGGACAACCGGAAGCAAAGGCGGGAAGACTGGAAGCAGGCAGGGAGCTTCCGGTCAGGGGTAGATAAGAGACAAATGGTTGCATTGTTTTGAGTTTCTGATGAACCTCTCCAAAGGAGGCAATCAGATCTGCATTTATCTCAGGGAGCAGAGGGATGACTTTGCTTCGTCATCATTGTTGTTGTTGTTTGAGACAGAGTCTTGCTCTGTCACCCAGGCTGGAGTGCAATGGTGCGATCTTAGCTTACTGCAACCTCCGTGTCCCGGGTTCAAGTGATTCTCCTGCCTCAGCCTTCTGAGTAGCTGGGACTACAGTGCCCGCCACCATGCCCGGCCAATTTTTTGTGTTTTTAGTAGGGATGGGGTTTCACCATGTTGTTCAGGCTGGTCTCGAACTCCTGACCCCAGGTGATCTGCCTGCCTTGGCCTCCCAAAGTACTGGGATTACAGGCGTGAGATACTGCGCCCAGCCGCAGAGGGTGACTTTGAATAGAGTGGGAGGCAGGTTGGCCCTAAGCAGTTCCCAGCTTGACTTTTCCCTTTAGCTTAGTGATTTTGGGGCCCCAAGATTTGTTGTCCTGTCACACATCTCTGCTTCCTCTCTGCTGAACCAAATGTCAAAAGAGTTCATTTAAACTCAGAACAAAATAACATCTTCAAAAACACAGAAAGTGATTTCTCATTTAAAGCTTCTTATTCACTGTTGGCCCAGAAAGTCTGATATTAAGTGATCAGTGAAAGTCAAGCTTGCAAAACATTCTCAGTTGGCAACAGCAGTGATGAAGTCCACAGATAACCTCAGTCAACTGCAGCCCTGAAACTCTTGAGCCAAATGGCACGCTCGTCATTCCACTTCTGGGGAGGAAACACCCCTTGCCTGATACCGACTTTTCCCATGTTCTGGCCTGTGGGGTCAGGAGGTGGGCCACGCACTAGTGCACATAGCTGGGAAGTGCTCAGCGTGAAGCTTTGTCTCCTCCCTCAGGGACAATGGGGACTGTGCCAGGTCTTGGGTGACCCCCTCGAAAAGCAGGAGCAGGGAAACCATGCCTTCTTTTCTGTGCCCAATGCACAGAAGCTCCGAAGCCAGCACTGCCTTCCTTTGGTGATGTGGGGGATTCTCTGTTCTTAGATATTGAGGGAGCCCCGGATCATTGCTCCTAGAACCACTGGCCTGAGCCCATGGGATTCTGCTTAGTCTTGCTGCCTCCCCTGGCTGCAGGGTGCTGAGTGGGCACTCATGCTGGATCTGGCCCCAGCAGCAGGGTCTCCCCAGGGCTGAGTGGAAGCTCTGATGTAGAGACGTGGCCTTATAATCTGTAAAATTCTCAACACGTGAGTTACAGGGCAAGGGCTGTGTCCTCACTCTGCGTCACAATGACTCCGTGCTGCCTCCACTGAGAGTGGAGCTGCAGGCTGCCCCTGGCTCCCAGGTGAGGATGGCAGCACCCCCAGAGGGAGACCAGGCACCCCCTCTGATTCTGAGACTGTTGGGGGTCCTTAAGGCTGAGGCTGTCCCTACAAAACGAGGGTTTCTGAGGGACCACTGGGCTAGTGCTGAATGGTTTTGGGAGATTCGCTCCACCATTCTGGATTCTGGTTAAGAGGAAGTCTCACCATCAGAGCCTGGATGAAGGGGAAAGGGAGCGTTCAAAGGAACACAGCGGGTGGCAGGATGATTGAATGGGGGGTAAACACCCATCGTGGCAGCTCAGCACCCATTCACTGACCGGAGACCAGTCAGCTAGAAAGCCAACCAGTACAGGAAAGAAAAAAGCAGTTTAACTTTTCTTTCTCTTTTCTTTTTTTTTTTTTTTTGAGATGGAGTCTCGTTCTGTCACCCAGGCTGGAGTGCAGTGGCGCAGTCTCGGCTCACTGCAACCTCCGCCTCTCGGGTTCCAGTGATTCTCCTGCCTCATCCTCCCAAGTAGCTGGGACTACAGGCACGTGCCACCACACCCAGCTAATTTTTGTATTTTTCATAGAGACGGGGTTTCACCATGTTGGCCAGGATGGTCTCGATCTCTTGACCTTGTGATCTCCCTGCCTCGGCCTCCCAAAGTGCTGGGATTACAGGTGTGAGCCATGGCGCCCGGCCTTAACTTTTCTTTTATAAGCCCCATTTGTCCTCATCTCATCCCTTCCAGGTAGCTAAATGACAAATATCTTCCAGCAAAAGGTGCAGGAATGTGCGAGCGAGAAGAAGGTGCAGTGGGAGCTGACTGGCTCCTGGTTCTGACATCGTCCCGCTTCCCTGGTGCCCTGCAAGGAGGCCCATTGCTCCCCTGTGATGGCACTCACTCTGGATGACAGTCATCAAGTCCAAACCCAGAGCTTCTGTTCTGATTGCAGGGTGCCTTCATTAGCAGGGTCACGTGGTTGGAGAATCTAAGCACCGACCCGTGAAATGCATTTAAGTTAATGAGCTCATCCACTGCTGTGAGCAGTGCCTCCAGGAGGACCCCCATGAAGGATCAGCACCCACACTCCATCCACAGATGATCTGGGGCAGGTGTAACCAGAACGTGCTGCATGGCACCCTGGCTGTGGGCACCATCCCGCCCTCTCTGCGGGAGAGAAGAGTGTTTTACTGCAGCCAAATTCCAGGCACAAAGCTGGTGATTCCAGCCAGTAGGGCTGCTAGAGCCAGGGGTCCTACTCCCGTTTGACAGCAGTGTGTCTCCAGCGAAGATGCTTACCTGCTGCCATATCAAGAAAGGGGAGACCAGTGCCAGCCATTATGCACGCTGTAGGTGACCAACAGCTCAGATGTGCTGTCGACCCACAAAGACTCTCTCACTTAGACACGAAGACACCCGTATTTGCACAGACACCGGGGGAAGAGACACAGGAGGGAGAGCAGGGTGGAGGTTGTGGCTTTGCGCCTGCACACCCATGAAGAAGGAGTGGACTCGAGGCACAGTTTTGAGAACATGGTCCGTCTCTTTCTCTAGGAAACTCACAAGCCCTGCACAGGTGACTCCTGAGTCTCCACACACACACTGACAGCCATTCGGGGGTGTGAGGTTCCGTCTAGAAAACTACCACTGCCAACACCTGCAGCAAGGGGCCCGTTAACGCAGATCACAGGTGGAGGGAGGCGCAGCCCAAGGCCTTCCACTGCGCAGGAAACAACCGTGTTATTCTGAGCTTTCCTTCCAGATTGCTAATTCCTGTTTCTGAAAATCTTCCTGATTCTTCGAGTGCTAAGAAGCACTTACCTCATGCCTCCATCTGTTCCTTTATCCTGGCTCCTCTTTTTGGATCACACGGCCGCTCTCTCAGAAGTGTTTGACTCCTCATCAGTGAAGGTTCAGGAAGTCTGTTAGTGGCTCCCAAAATGTCTGCCTTTCACCTTCCAAGAAAATCCTGCAGCCACGGAGGGCAGGACGCTGAAGAAAGAAACGCAGCTCTCCCGGTGCGGGCGGCTTGGCCCCCAGAAGGGCCTGGATCCGAGTTAACTCTGCAGCACCTCGGGGCATCTTTCACTGTTGAGGAGAGAAATCTGCTTCACACTTAATCACAAAATCCAGATCTCACACTGCTATAAAAAGAAGTGATTTCAATCAAGCCCAGCAAATTGGAGCAAAATGCCAACAACGAGGCAGGACATCTGCTGCCATTTGATCGTCCCAGGGCAGCCAGCAGGCAGCAGGGTCAGAATGGAGGCCACAGCCACACTCTGTCCTCGAGTGGGGGACAAAGGACAAGATGGGTGTACACACACACACACACACACACACAATCACACAAATATACACACATGCAAACACATAAACGTCTACACACATGCATGAATATACACACAAATTCACACAAATGTGCACAAACACACAAATATATACACATGCACACACAAATATACACACAAGCACACACACCCTCATACACATGCTCACACATATGCTCATGCAATCACACAAATACACATACACAAATGTATACACACACAAATATACACACATGCACACACACATGCTCACACACGCTTAGAATTATACACAAATACCCACAAATGCATATACACATGTGCCCACACAGATTTTAACACACATGTGCACAAACATGTACACACATGCACACACAAATGTATACACACATTTGCACACACAAATACACATGCACACACAAAACGTATACACATATGTACACATAAATACATATAAATGCATACACATATGTGCATGCACAAATGTATTCACATATGTACACCTACAAATACACACATGTGCAAACAAATATACACACAACTGTATGCACATATATGCACAAACAAATGCATCCACACACATTCACAAACATGTGCACACACACGCTCACAGAAATGCATATACACATGCTCACACACAAATATAAACATGCACACACAAATGCATACACACGTGCACACATATAAACATGCACAGAAATGCATGCACATACAAATATAAACATGCACACTTACAAATATACACACACGTGAACACGCAAATGTATATACAGATGTGTGCACACACAAATGCATGCACACATGCACACAAATACACAAATATAAACATAAGCACACACAAACGTATACACATGTGCACACACATGCTTATGTACTCACATGCTCACACACATAGTCTGCACACATCCTCACATACGCACACACACATACCCTCACACACACCCACACACACACAGTCGCATGTACACATGCCTAGATACACACTCACCTGTATACCCACCTGCACACACACACAGACACGCTCAGATATAACCACTTATTTATTTGCCAGACCAGTGAGCAAAATTTTTCCTGCTGTTGAAAATCAATGAAGTGAAGCGATGTGGGAAAGTTCCTTTTCCTGAGTCACGTTTAGCAGTTCTGTGCCCAGGCCGGTGAGGTGCACTGGGGCAGGAAACAGATGTGCCGGGCACCATCACACACAGATGCCAGGAGGCTGGTCCTTCCCAGCTCCCTGTGCAGGGCAGAGCCTGAGAAAGGTGTCCCCGACTTCCGGGTCCTTTCTCCCCTCACCTGCCCTAACTTCCACTGTCAAAATCTTCCCGGAGCCCTCCCTCCCTGAGCCCTGGGGCATGGGGTGGCCACGGGGGGCATGTGCTGGGTTCACCCCAGCCCTGGCCTTTGGGGAAGAGACATCCGAGATGTGGCCACTGCCACCCCAAAGGCAAGATTCTTCCGTGAGGCTCAAGTAACTGTGGTGACTGCCAGAGCTCCTCACTCGCTCTCGAGGTTACACCAGAGGATGGAGCCGCTGTTGTTAACCATGTTAACTTCTTCAGAGGAAAGGGAGGTGCTCCTGCTGTCTCCGCTTCTTACCGAGTTCCCATTGAGGAGGAAGCCAGGGAAAAATAGAACTCAGAGAGCGACAGCAAGATGAAATTTTCCCTTTAAGGTCAAAAGCGTGCCTGGAAAGTGTGCCCCTTGGGGAATATATTTCAGTGACAGAAAAAAAAAAAAACAGAAAAATGAAGCCTGTAGAATTCTTGAACTTCCCATATGTGCTAGGTGCACCCTAGGAAGTGGGGAAGACAGGAAGATTCGGGAAGCATGGGCTGTGTCCTCCAGAAGCTTAAAACACAAGATACCATTTTAGACACAAGATACAGAGCATTAAAGAAGTTAAATAGTGAAAAGAGACCATTTCTCAGGACCACAATGGAAGCACTGCTGCGTGCGGGCAGTCTATGGCTAACTGACAAGTCACCACAGAGAGGAGGAGGCCATGCGGGGCAGCTGGGAGCAGGTGTGCTCAGGCGATCCCTCCCCTGGCAGGTAAGTGTCCCTCCTCTGTCTTCCTGGGAAACTGCACCTGGACTGAGCTTCGGGGATAGGTTTCGACAGGGCCAAAAAACAGAAGAGCAGGAAAACATTCCAGGTGGGTAGAACCAGACGGTGGTGGTTTCTGTGGGGTTTATTTGAGGTGTGGCTGAGGGGAACTCCCCGGGGACCCTCCTCCAGGCTCCGTGCTCATTGCCTTTGCCTGTTATCTGGCAAGCACCCCAGGGTGGAGCAGGCAGAGGCAGTGGCAAGGCCTGAGGTTGAACAAACACCGCGGTGGGTCTGGACTCTGCTGCAATCTGGCTACGGTCGGGTAAACGGTGTTGATATGGTTTGACTCTGTGTCCCCACCCAAATCTCATGTTGAATTGTAATCCCCAATATTGGAGGAGAGACCTGCAGGGAGGTGATTGGATCATGGGGGCAGATTCCCCCCCTTGCTGTTCTCGTGATAGTGAGTCAGGAGATTTGGTTATTTGAAAGTGTGTAGCACCTCCCCCTTCACTCCCTCTCTTCTTCCTGCTCCACCATGCGAAGATGTGCCTGCTTCCCCTTTGCCTTCCACCATGATTATAAGTTTCCTGAGACCTCCCCAGTCATGCATCCTGTACAGCCTGCAGAACCATGAGCTAATCAAACCTTTTTTCTCTATAAATTACCCAGTCTCAGGTATTTCTTTATAGCAACACAAGAATGGATTAATACAGGTATGTCTTTTCTTTTTAAAATTTGCAAAGTACTATGTTTCAGGTGTTTCTACTTTTCCTAGATGGAGTTGACTCCCATCAGAGCCCTCCTGGACATGAACTCCTGAGTGCCAGAAACAAGATTCATTTAAAGATACAACTGTGAACGCTGCTGACCACATTCCAGCGCAGTGTGGATGTTCAACACCGAAGGGAGGGGACTCGGGCTTGGATCTGCAGCTAGCATTGGATGGACACAGAATCCTGAACTATGCATCGTGCTTTAGCTGCCATGAAAATTGATTTTTTTTTTTTTCAGAAAGGAATGTGCCAATGATGGGACTTAAGCTGGTGAAAACCACGTGGAACGGGATGCTCATGGGACCTGCCCCTTGGAGCTCCAGGCCTCCAGGCCTCAGTGCTGGTTTTCCTAAGTCCTTATTTTCTCCCGTGTTTGGCTGGGGGCTGGTCCGACTTCTCCCTTTGGTGGACTCTCAGTTGTCAAGTGTGAAGTCTTTGAACTGCACACAAGAGTGGGGACAACGTTTCTATCTGCAAATCAAGCAAGCGCTTGGGCGAACATCTTCCCAAGGCAGAGATGAAGAATGGGTACTCTAGGATGCTCCATTTTGGGACAAACGTCTAGTGGGGCCACATTTGCATGGCAACATGCCATTTCCACTTTTTCCGTATTTAGAAGCTTCCCATGGAGCTCCCGCTGACAGGAGCCACTCATGTGCACACTGAGTGGAGGCTCAGAAGGAGGATTTGTCGTAGAGTTGTTTTTCAGAGGCTGGGAGTCAGGGCTGAGGGCCAGCGGGTGGCTCTGCACCCCCATCCCTCCATCCCCTGTGGAATGCCAGGAGTTCTCTTCTCCGTCCCTCATGCGTGATGGGGGACAAATGTCTCCTCACCGGTGACAATAATGACAGGCTTCTGTCCAGAGGCAGGAGGGGGGCCAGTATCATGCACTGAAGAAACTTTCACAGCACAGTTGTCTGAGACAGGGAAACCCACACGCAGACGGCCAGGGGACCTTGACCTCCTTAGCAAACAGGAAACAAAGTGCTCTTGTTCTCAGGCCGGAATGAAGCGGCTGTGCGAACACATCCCAATTGTACATCTGATGCTGACTCACACAGAGCGTTTCCATTTTTAGATTTCAGCTACAGAAGGCAGGAATCCTTTGGACTTGGCCCTTTATCAGTGGAATGGACAGAGGTGAGCAGGCGTGGCCAGCATGGCATTCCCCTAAACTCATCCTGGCACTGTGGCAACTCTTTGAGCAAAATTCCCAGGGATGTTGAGTTTGTTGTCAGCCACAAGTACTTCCGTTAAGGGCCACTAAGGGTTGTGTTCATCAAAACTGTATTTTACAAATATCTAATATGACCAAGTTATGAAAGACTTTCTTTGTTCCAAACAAATTTGGAGGAAATGGACACACTTTGACTCAATTTGTTATCACATTAGAATGCAACATTATGGGCTGGGTGCAGTGGCTCATGCCTGTAATTCCAGCACTTTGGGAGGCCAAGGTGGATGGATTGCTTAGTTCTAGCTACTTTGGAGGCCAAGGTGGGAGAACTGCTTGAGCCCAGGAGGTCAAGGTGACAGCGAACTGAGATTGTGCCACTGCATTCCAGCCTGGGCAAGAGAGTGAGACCGTGTCCCCCCCGACTCAAAAAAAAAAAAAAAAAGAATGTGACATTACACCTCATAATTGGATTGTGGATAATTTCCTTATCTCAAAACAAAATGATGGCAGGAAAATTGCCGAGCTTATTTCTCTTTGATCTGTGGCACTGGCTGGATGGTAGAAGCAGAATGCCACCCTCCATTTAGCTGATGACGATGACCCACATCTCCTTGCCTTCCCAGCAGCTCTCGGTGGGGTCTCTGTTGGGAATGCCTGCTGAGACGGGACCAAGGACGGCTGCAGGATGTGGTGTCTGTGCTCAGCGTCACCTCCTCCCAGGCTCCTGGGAAGCACCTGGTAAGAAAGCCCTTCTGGCCATCGGCCCCAGGGATCAGGAAGACGGCGGCCAGGCTCCCAGCCACAGTGTGGCTCTGTGTATCTCGCGCTGTCCGTTGTTGAGTTAGTTCACAAAACACAGGCACCCTGAGCACAGCTGTGCCTTCTGGACCTGATCCCCTATCTTTGCATGTGGGAAATCCAGGATCCTCCCAGATATTTCTGAGGATATCCATGTTTTGGGGGTGATGGTGAGGGCGGGGAAAGAGGAGACTCATGTTTTTCCAGATGCTTCCTGCCCCAAACTCCAGCTTCCATGAACTTCTGCATCCCTGGTTCTCTGGGCATGACTGTCTTCACCTTTATGGTTCACTCTGTGTCACTGGTGGGCTTTGCTCTGCTTCCTCCTCCCCCAGAGCATCTCCTGACAAAGCCACCATGAGCAAGACCCTCAGAGAAGGTATGAAGATGAGAGGCTGGTGTGAAGAGGCTGCTGTGAAGCAACTATATAGCATCGGGCAGGACATAAGGGGAAATTGTTGCTTTCATGTTCCTTTACCCCCACAGTTTGGATTTCTGCCACAAGGATCACTGTGGTCTTCCTCCCTGGGGCTCACTCCACCTACCCCACACCTCCCACCTCCCCCGTCCTCTCTTGGGGGACTTCCTGAGTTCTCGACAGAGCAGTTTCACTGTCTTCTCTCCACGCTTCCTGGACTGGCCCGCCCATTTTTTTCTATGACCCAGAATTCCTTCCCAAATAAGAGCGTCATATTCCTTGAGCCCCTTCACTAGAAGCAAGGAGATGGGCAGGCGTTGAACTGCGGCTTTTCTCTAGACTCTTCCCTAATCCCTAGGTTCCCCCAACTATTTAGTCTAGAGCAAGCCCAGGAACAGTGATTTTTTTTTTTTAACCTGCCATTTCTGTTATTCAAGCTGTTTTAGTCAGTTCAGGCTGCTGTAACAAAAATGCAATGGCCTGGGTGGTTTTAACAACAGAAATGGATTTCTCACAGTTCTTGTGAGGCTGGGACGCAGGAACCCCCACATCCAAGTGCCAGGCAGTTCCGTGGCTGGGAGGGCTCCAGACTGGTGTGTGGATGGCACCTTCTGCTGTGTCCTCACATGGCTGAGAGATGGGTCATCTCTGTTCTTATCAGGGCACTAATCCCATTCACAAGGCCCCCCATGACCTAATCACCTCCTAAATGCCCCGCTTCCTAATACCAGCACCTTGGAAAATAGGGCTTCAAGATACAAATTTTGGGGGACTCAAACATTCCATCCATAGCACCCGCTCATGTGCTGTGATGTCCAGTGAGCAGGCGGAGTTCCAGGGCTGGTCAGTGCCAGGTGCTCCTTCTCCCACCCGAGAACAGGGGCCAGGTTGCTCCTCAGGCACCCTGGGCAACTGCCCCTTCCCTTCCAGTGGGGCCTGACCTGGCTACCGAGCTTGGCAGCTAATAGGCGGGCCCCTCAGCATTCACGCTCCTGAGCTGCTTTATCAAACTAGGATTGTTCCCCCAGGTCTAAGAAAACCATCCATTCACTGCAAAGTTATTTATTACTGCGGATGGGCTAGGAGTTAGAGGAAGAGAGTGACTCAAATCACAACACCTCCTGGACGAAGCTGGAAGGGATTAAAATACGGCCTAATTTCTCCCTTGCTGTGTGAAGCGTGTGGTTCTCCTAGAACATCAGCCCGACTGTCGCTGGGTAGCGGCGGTACTGTTCATTCTGCATTAGCTTTGTCCAGATTGTTCAGTGTGGGTCCCTGCCTACAGATCTTGATTCCTTGAGATTGCCCTTTGTGCTTCTGTCTGGGGACTGCCTGTTTCTGTAATGGCCACCGTCTCAGAACACATGGTTGTAGGCCTCAGCATTTGCCTTACACACAGCCCCCTTGGAGACAAACCGTGTCTGTGTCCCTCAGAAGGCCCTGACTTTCAGGGCACACTCCAGCCTGACTTTGGCACTCTGCTAGACACATCCGAAACGCTGGTTCTCGTGTTGAAGTCTGTTATGGATATGTAGGGTAAGGCAGGGAAACTGGAGCGCCTGCATACCCTTGACTTCCTCCATTTGGAAAAGATAACCCTGAGACATGGTGGAGGAGAAGGGGCCCTGACCTGTCAGCTACATCTGGATGTAACTCCCCTGATGAAGAAAGTGCCAGAGGCAGCAAAGCAGCCCTTATAGGGTATTTTGTGCTCCCCCAACAGAGGAAGAGGAGCTTAGGGTCTCCAGGGAGAATGTCTGGTTGTGAAGAGCCGCCAGGACCTGGAGCTGCACGGTTGCTCAGTGTGCATTTCACTTGGTCAGCCCCTACGCTGGAGAGTGCTTGCATCCGAACCTTCAGTGCCTGGATAGACACTGAGCTGAGCGAACGGTATGCTGGAAAATGAAGCGTGCAAGTGACAAAGTGCTCAACTTAGACTCTGGGCAAAATTCTCACAAAGGGCTTTCTAATCCTCACTTAATGGAAGAGTGGAGCAATTTCCAGCAGAAGTTGTGGCTTGCTTCACCAGGTCTGCTCAGGTCAGCGGGGTGAGCCTACGGCCAGGATGGGTGGTAATTAATATTGGAATACTTGGCCAGTCTGCAGACCTCAGACCACAAAAAACCCTCCATCCTCAAGCAGTCTCTTCTTTATGCCTCGCAAGGGGAAGATAATTAAAGACTGTGGTAACGGGTTAATTTATAGGAAAATAATGTAGCATACTCAACTATCTATACTTTTTCTATTGCTAAATTTAATATACATCCATTTCTATTGATTATCAGAGGGGTCTAGACTCCCGGCCAAGAGTTGCGAAACCAGTCATTATCCCGCAGGCACCTTCCTGCTTTATTTCAGAACATTCAGTCATTCATTCAAAACAACCCAAAGCATCTGCATTCACAGAGCTGCCCTAACAGATGAGTTTTTCTTCATCTCCCAAGGTAATGATATAAAAAAAGTGTCAGCCATGGGATTTTCAGTGGGAAACGGGAAACCCAAGGCATGGTGCATTCAATGGAAAAATTCCTCAAGCTCGTGACCTGCATAAATCTCCAAATCCTTTTCAACATCATCCTGTTTAGTGTTCGGCATGAGGGTGCCTGCAGAGGAGGTGAATCCCTGCGTTTTCTATTCTTTTTTTCTTCCGACTGGTGTGGATCCCAGACAATTTCAGGGTCCTGCAGGGTTTGAGACCCTCTGTGAACACTGACCCGGGACCCCGTTTTGCCCATGGGAAGTTGAAGCCAGCGCAGCCCCCGGCCAGGGGCACTGTCTCCTCGGCCCCGGGATGCTGGACGGAGGGGACAACGTGCAGGGGCAGCTGCTGCTGGGCTGTGGACCTCCCGGAACCGGAGGAGCCCGGGAGGGGCTGGCCCAGCAGTGAGGGCTCCGATGCGCCTCAATTCATATGCTAAGGAGCCCTGGATTCGGCTTTAATTGGTGAGAGGAGAAAGTGGTGCAGCTGCCTGGGGCCGCGCTGTGGGAGCCAGGGCAGGAGGAGCTGTTTGAAAATAATCCCCGCGGGGACACGCAGCACCAACTCGGGCTTCAGTCCCTGGAAAGCGGCCGGGGGCGGGGCGGGAGGCCGGGATGCGGCGGAGAGCGACTGGCAGGGAAAGCGTGAGGTCACGGTGGCCACCGCACCGGCTCCAAGCAGCAGGGGCCCAGGGCTGAGCCCTGATTTCCACACCGGCCCCTGGATGAGCCTCAGTGTTTCACTCTGGCAATGGAAATAAGAATACCTACCTCACCCCATCGTTGGAATAAATGCAATAATGCAAAGGGAGGTCTTAGCACAGACGCGGGGCAGGCGCTCAACGCCTGGTGCCCACCGGCGCTGCGTCCTGGACGTGTCCAGCGAAGCCCGTGTGAGGCTATGACGGGAACGGAGGAGCTGGCGCGGCGCCTCACTGCTCCCCAGAGCCTTGCAGCGTCTCCCAGCCCAGGCTTTGCCCCACCACGGCTCCCATGGCTGCCGGAGGGAACCTCAAAGGCGGTTAGAATGCGCCGGGTAAATGCGCAGCTTTTCTTCTGGAGCCTCCACGAGAAAGAAATGGAGAGTTTTTTCCTGGGGCTGCTTGTGGTGCAAGTCCCGCTTGGGTGCAGGGCGAGCGGCTTCCGAGGAATTCACTGTCTCCTTCTCTCTTTCTAGCCGGAGTGGGAGGTGACCCCAGGGGCCCAAGCTGGGGGCGTGGCTGGGAAATGCACAGAAAGAGACTTCGACGGGGGTGGCTATGGTTTGTGCTGTGCTGTGCACACGTCTGGCTGATAGAAATCTATGTCTATAAACAGGTAACACAATTTGGTTTATCAAACCCATAATAAGCAGATTTTCTGACTTGCATAAGAATTTCTCTGTAATCTTTGCTTTAAAGTCCGTTGAATGCCATAGAAAAAGTTGCATTTGATGAGGCTTCAGGAAAGAAAAGGTAACAAACTATTCTAAGAGATGAGGATAGTGCCTGAGTGGGGCCCAGGACAGACAGGGGGTCCTCACCTCTTGCTGCTGGGGTTGGCTGCAGGGCTTTGCCTCAGTCTGATTTTTTGCAGCATCTACACAGTTTAAATACTTGGAAAAATCCTCTTTGTGAGTGTATTAAGTCACAGCCTACCAATGTGACAAATGACATCTAAATGCAATTTACAAATCCTAAGTTCCAGGTAGAAGAGAACGTGGTAGGTCCACGTCTTCATTTTCCCATACCTTTAGTCCGTCGAGACTCCGCTTAGCCAGCTCTGGCCATCCCTTTATCCTCCTAGGAACAGAATCTTACATGCAGTATTTTTACTGGTACGTAAAAAATTTAAGGCTGCACTAAGCAGGCGCCCAGGCCCCCAGAGTCAGAAGGGAGTGTACGGTGCACACATGATGACGATTTGAAAAGAGCCTGGCTTCAGGGCCTTGCAGATGAAGCTAACAAACCCCCTGTTCGGGAGGGAGCACCTGCACCCCAGCCCCCTCCCTCAGGGATGCATCTGCAGCCACTCCGGGGCAGGGCTGATGCCTCTGTGATGGTCCCGATGGTCCCGCCCGCAGCCTGCTCTTTGTGGCTCTTTGTTGCTCTTTGTCACAGTCCTGCTCAACAGCTGGTGCTTGCAGGAAGAAGCTCTCTGGCTGCAAGAAAGCCAGGGTGTGGGTGGATGACAGAATAAATGGGAGGGATGGAGGGCGTCTACTTGGCAGTTCGGATTCCTGGGCAGGGTCAAGATCAGGAGAAATAGGAAAATAGAAATAGGAGGAAAAGCTTCTGCCTTTTGTTCCAAACCAGCCTGGCTTGCCTGTGAAGGGGAGGACTTGACCAGGGCACTTTCCTGGGGCCACTGCCTGGCTTTTGGAGATGAGGTAGTGGCCTTTGTCTAAGATCATGTTACCTATACTCCTGGTTTAACTTTTTATTTAAAATTTTTTTAGACACAGGGTCTTGCTCTGTTGCCCAGGCTGGAATGCAGTGGCACGATCACAGTTCACTGTAACCTTGAACTCCTGGGCTTAAGCCATTCTCTTGCCCCGACCTCCCAAGTAGCTGGGACTACAGGTGCCCACCACCATGCCCCACTAATTTTTTCATACTTTTCTGTAGAGACAGGGTCTCGCCATGTTGTTCAGGCTGGTCTTAAACTCCTCGCCTCAAGAGATCCTCCTGCCTTGGCTTCCCAGGGCGCTAAGATTACAGGTGTGAGCTGACACACCGAGCCTACAACTGCATTTTATGTATCTCATTTTGTGTAGATATGGCCACAAAGTAGTAAAAAACCGGGTCTGTCATAAAGCTGTGATGGGGTGCTAACTCCATGCCGTCGAGTCTACGTGATGAAAGGATTTTGAATTGGAAGGGGGCTTATATATCCTCTGGTGGATAGGACCCCCCCTGTGCAGATGAGGTCCCCAGGTTTGATGCCATCCTAAACATCTTCACTCAGCAGTGGTGTTGGGAGGAGACTGTGGCCTCCGGTTTCCCGTCCAGCCTTTCCCAGCTGCTTCCTCTGCTTGTTTCTCGCGGAGATAAAGCCGGTGAAAAATGAGGGCAAAGTTCACAGTCCTGCAGTCCTGCAGTCGCTGCCATAGCAGAAACAGTAAACACGCACATTTACACAGGCAAAAAGCAGCAAACAGTGCTGGTGAGTGGCCGAAGTCCACACGGTCATCCAGGCAGTGCATGCTGAGTGCTTTCTATGCACCAAACACTGGCCGCAGCATGCTCCTATCCTCAAGAGATGGGGCACAGACACGGCTAATCACGCCAGCAATTATTGACGGTCCTTACATATGCTCTGAAGGAAGCTAAGGGGGAAGATGGGGGAAGAGTTGGCTCGGGTCTAGTGCAAAGTGCACCTTCGTATCACCTGGGGAGCTTTTTAACATCCCAGCTCCTAGTCATGGAATCTCTTGGGGGTGAGCCCTGGGCACCAGTGTTTTTTTATTTTACTGCTGGTCACCAGATGGTTCCAATGTGAGAACTATTGCTGTGGAACCAAGTTTGAGAACCATTGCTGTAGAGAAGTGTTGTCATTTAGAACCTTTACATGTCCCAGTGAATACTGTAACTCACTGCATTTTCTCACTTGTAAGATATCACCAGGTGTAAGACAGAGCCAGGACTTAATCATCACTTTCCAGGAAAAAAAATACTGCCCATGTTGTAATGTGAGATGCACCCTTCTCCCCACAAACATGAAAATATGAAACAGTACATCCAAGATCGAGAAAATGCAATATTTGAAAAAAGATGAATAATACATGCTTTTCAAATGTAGTCTTAGAGGCAGAGTTAATACTTGAATAACAAATCAAACTTCAGCATGACCTGAAAAGCTGAGCTGACCCAACCCAATGGAATCAAATGGTCAGGCAGCAGTGGAGGCCAAGCAGCAAAGCCACAGAGCACAGTGCACAGGCAGCAAGGTCTGGAGTCTGGCCGACTGAGTTAGAATGATTTTGTGCTATAATAATGATATCTAATGTTTTCAGAGTGCATACTGTGAACCAAGCACTTAATAAGTGCTATATATGTATGTATTTTACACATATATACATTTATATACTGTATATATAAACACACATGCACATCCACAAATATATGGAACTTGATATGGTTTGGCTGTGTCCCCACCCAAATCTTATCTTGAATTGTAGCTCCCATAATTCCCATGTGCTGTGGGAGAGACCTGGTTGGAGGTAATTGAATCATGGAGGTGGGTCTTTCCTGTGCTGTTCTCGTGACAGTTAATAAGTCTCACGAGATCTGATGGTTTTATAAGGAGGAGTTCCCCTACACAAGATCTCTCTTTTTGCTGGCCACCATGTAAGACGTGCCTTTGTTCTTCCCTTGCCTTCCACCATGATTGTGAGGCCTCCCCAGCCATGAGGAGCTGGGAGTTCATTAAACCTCCTTTTCTTTATAAATTACCCAATCTCGGGTATGTCTTTACCAGCAGCATGAAAACGGACTAATACATAACTCTTTTAATTTCCCAACCCACGTACAAAGGCATAAACTCAGCTTGGAGAGTGAGCAGGTTGCTGAAGATTACACAGTATGCTTTGAATTCAGGCAGTCTGACTCCATAGCCTGCTCTGCCATCATTAAAAAGCACTGATGAATACAAAGGCAGGACTCAGCTTTCTTTAATGTCAGTATGAGGTTCAAGCCCTCTGTAGTGAGCCGCAGCCCTGGGAATGTCACATGGACCCAATACGTAAGGTTCCCAGGGAAATGTCCACAAATGAATGCATGCCATGC
The DNA here is from genome assembly GCF_000001405.40 of Homo sapiens. Lineage (NCBI taxonomy): Eukaryota > Metazoa > Chordata > Mammalia > Primates > Hominidae > Homo > Homo sapiens. The sequence goes on along the minus strand of NC_000006.12, from coordinate 167,674,610 downwards.
GTGGCCCATCCCCGGAAGCTCAGCACGGGCCACGCTTAGATCTCCTTTTACTTTACTAGCCTTAAGTCCACCCCCAGGGTCTGGCCACAATGATAAAGATTCTGATATCACTTCTTGGATGACAGGGAGAGGGCATTTCTGAGGTTTAGCTTGGAGGAGTTAGAGAAAGGGTATACGGGAAACCTCAGAAATGTTTCCAAATATTCCCAAAGTTATGCACAAAAGAAGGAAGACATCTTTTCCATGGAGGCCTCGTGGGCAGAGATAGCAAGAACCAACGAGTAGAAATTGTAGGGAAATTTCACCTTCATACAAAAAGGAACTTTTCCCCAATTGCAGTTGCCTTCAAATAGATAACTAACTGTGAGTGGCAGGAAATCTCTCCAAAACCTGAAATCTGCTAAATGCAGACACGGTCAGCAAACGCTTGATGAGAAACCCAGGAATGTCTTAGGGGAATTCCAGGGAAGGAGGCTGACTGGGTCGTTTTCCAGCATGTCCTCATCTCTGGAAGCTTTTTTGATCAAAGTTGTAAGCAGAATGAGGACAGGGACCATGGCTATTATAACATATGCATCCCTATCCACCCAGAGCTCAACAAACCACCCGTAAGTGAGCAAATAAATGGAAAACACCCTTTCTATAGACAGGAGAGTGTAGGACAAGGACATAGGTACTGGATCCAGGCTGCCCTGGACTTGAATTTATCTCCACCAACCACTAGATCTGAGGCCTTGGTCCAGCTCCCACACCTTCTGTCCCTTTTTCCTACTGTACAATGGGTCCAATGATACTACCCACCTTATTGGGGTTAAATGAAATGTTCCTTTTTTTTTGAGACAGAGTCTCGCTCTGTCGCCCAGGCTGGATTGCAGTGGTACAATCTCAGCTTACTACAACCTCCGCCTCCTGGGTTCAAGCGATTCTCATGCCTTAGCCTCCTGAATAGCTGGGACTACAGGCGTGTGCCACCACACCTGGCTAATATTTTGTATTTTTAGTAGAGCCGGAGTTTCACTGTGTTAACCAGGATGGTCTTGATCTCCTGACCTGGTGATCCACCTGCCTCAGCCTCCCAAAGTACTGGGATTATAGGTGTGAACCACCACGCCCGGCCTAAATGAAATATTCTAAGTAAAATCCTTAGGACAGAGCTGGGAGAAAAATGTAGTGTTCAGTGACTATTAGCCCTTCTTTTTTGTTTAGTTTTGCAAATATCTTCTTCCTCATCCATCTCCCCATAGCCCTCAGACGGTGCCCTTCTGGAGAGCAAGTCCTCTGTGTTATGCACCTTCGTTTCTGTAGCCTCGATACCTGCAAGCTGTTTCATGGGGGTTTCCTGAGTGCAAACATGAGTAAATGAGGGACAGATGGATAAGAAGAGAGACTGCCCTGCTATTTTCCAATTCAACTGGAATCTGTCTCTGGGATTCTTGGATTTTTTTTCTCCTGAAAAGTCTGAAACAATTCTGATTTATCTAGATTTTTTGTTCATTTTGTTCTCCTACCCTGTAGTGTGGGCTGGAGGGACATTCACTGTAATGGGATTCCATCACCAGGGATCAAGGTCTTCAGTACTGGAGGCTGCCGTCAAAGCATGCCATCACACCTAGGGAACTGCTAGCCAGACTCTCCTACGAATGTAATGGTTAATTTTCAATAATTGATTATTCACTGATTAACAAGTCTTAATTAGATTCCTCTCTGGTTTACCTTGGACCCTGACCTCCCGAAGTAGGGTAGTGTCAGGTACATGTCACTGTTGAACAGCAACCATGGAACAGTCTTCTATTTAGATCCTAAGTGCTCTGAGCTCTCAGCCAGGGAAGTTGGTGATTTTGTTTAGTGAGACTGTTTTTCTTTGTTTCTCTTGAAGTAGAGATGCAGTGTGAAAACTTCATTCATGCAAGAACGAGGCATGTGAAGGAAGGAAAATGTGAAGTGTGGTGGGAGAGCACTGGGTGGCCTTGCAGTCCCTCCCCACGTGATAACGATGGCAGTGCAGCTGTAGGTGGCAGCGCGGCTGTAGATGGTAGTGTGACTGTAGATGGCCGCGTGAATGTAGATGTTAGCGCCACTGTAGATGGCAGTGCGGCTGTAAGTGGCAGTGCGACTGTAGATGGCAGTGTGGCTGTAGATGGCTGTTCGACTGTAGGTGGTAGTGCGACTATAGATGGCAGTGCGGCTGTAGACAGCAGTGCGGCTGTAGACAGCAGTGCGGCCGTAGACGGCAGTGTGGCTGTGGGTGGCAGTGCAACCGTAGGTGGCAGTGTGGCTGTAGGTGGCAGCGTGGCTGTAGATGGCAGCGTGGCCGTAGATGGCAGTGTGGCTGTAGATGGCAGTGTGGCTGTAGATGGCAGTGTGGCCGTGGGTGGCAGTGTGGCCGTGGGTGGCAGTACAACCGTAGGTGGCAGTGTGACCGTAGATGGCAGTGTGGCTGTAGATGGCAGTGTGGCCGTGGGTGGCAGTGTGGCCGTGGGTGGCAGTGCGACTGTAGGTGGCAGTGCGACTGTAGATGGCAGTGCGGCTGTAGACAGCAGTGTGGCCGTGGGTGGCAGTGTGGCCGTGGGTGGCAATGTGGCTGTAGATGGCAGTGTGGCCGTAGACGGCAGTGTGGCTGTGGGTGGCAGTGCAACCATAGGTGGCAGTGTGGCTGTAGATGGCAGTGAGACTGAAGATGGTAGTGTAGCTGTAGATGGTAATGTGACTTAGGTGGCAGTGGGTGTAAATGACAGTGTGGCTGTAGATGGCAGTGTGGCTGTAGATGGCAGTGTGGCTGCAGATGGCAGTTGGCTGTAGGTGGCAGTGTGGCTGTAGATGGCAGTGCGACTGTAGATGGTAGTGAGACTGAAGATGGCAGTGTAGCTGTAGATGGTAGTGTGACTTAGGTGGCAGTGGGTGTAAATGACAGTGTGGCCGTAGATGGCAGTGTGGCTGTAGGTGGCAGTGTGGCTGTAGATGGCAGTGCAGCTGTAGATGGCAGTGTGGCTGTAGGTGGCAGTGTGGCTGTAGATGGCAGTGTGGCTGTAGATGGCAGTGAGACTGAAGATGGCAGTGTAGCTGTAGATGGTAGTGTGACTTAGGTGGCAGTGGGTGTAAATGACAGTGTGGTTGTAGGTGGCAGTGTGGCTGTAGATGGCAGTGCGACTGTAGATGGTAGTGTGACTGAAGATGATAGTATGACTGTAGATTGTAGTGTGACTGTAGTGCCTCAGGTCTGAGCACCTAACATTTCCACACTAAACAAGGAAAAGTGTTGGCTGCATGAGACTGCAGAATAGAAGTGGAATGGAAAACTTTTATTTAATCTGGCCAGCCTGCACTGTATCCATGAGTTTGCATTGACATGAACTGTGACTTCCAAGCAGGCCCAACTGCCATAAACCTTAGCAGCTGGGTTTCCTACTGATTTGAACAGCAACTTGGATTTTGTCATTTTTTAATTCAAAAGAACAGGAGTGCATTGGGTCGGTCACACTGGTATTCTACGTTCTGATGCAGCCTGTCCTGGAGAAACCATCAGTCTGTAACTCCCTCAACACGACTCTGCGATTCAGCGTTGATTGGGTCACTGGGACCAAAGGTCGCTGATTCCTTTTGTAGCCTGTGATTTTTAGACAGAATGCCTGCTGTACTCTTAGCCTCCTTAAATATTTAGTAAGATCTCTAACGCTCTCCTTGTACTAAACCTGGGTTTTCAGTTCCTTCCAGGTCTCCGCGGAAAACTGAAGATTCCTGTGTGCTTTCAGAAAAGAGGTTCCAAGGAAAAGGGCAGCCATTTAGTTTTCACAAGTCTGGGCAGTGAGCGATTTGGAGCTTCCATCCTTGGCTGACATCATGAACACCAATGTTGCTGGCCTCGATCGCAAGAAGGGTGGGACTTCGTGCTTAGCCTTCCTGGGGAAGGGCCTGTCCCTGGGTCACGTCCCCAGTGACCACAGGAGGAAGAGAAGGGATGAGGATCCTGGGGGGCCTGGCTCTGCGTCCACCCGTCTCTGTGTGGATGCCTCCTGTGTCCAGGGTGATAACCGGTCACCCGACTGTGTCCTTGGGGTCATTCCTGGCTTCTCCTGCCGCTTGATCACCCCTCTGGCTGCAGGGAGCCCAGGACGGAGAAGGAGAGACCTCATTCTCCCTGGGGAATGCAGGCTGAGACCACCCATGCTTCTGGAGCAGGGTTTCATGTGGGGGAGGTCCCTCCAGGGAGGGACAGTGAACTGACGCTGTGATATTGCTCAGGATGGAGGCCCAGGGCAGACGGCGTCACCAGCTGCCGCAGAAGCCAGGTTGCCAGAGGGGCTGTGTCACCAGCCCTGGGGACGCCATGTTGCTGTGCGTTTCGACACATTCCTGTGGAGTGTCTGAGGAAAAACAGGGCACACGCATTCCTGATAAGATTGCACCAAAAGGCCAGGGTGGGGGACCAGGCTCCCAGCCTCCCTCTGTCTCAGTTGGGGGCCGAGGGGCAGGGACAGCCAGGAGAAGGCCCAGCCAGATGCTGCTGGCTTCCCCCAGGACTCTGCCCGACTGGCCTCTCGGTTAAACCTCCTCACCTGAGCCTCTCTTATGGCGTGGTTGAGTCACACATGAGAGGGTTTTGTCTGCCGGGAGGGGCTCTTCTTATGGGACAACAGGGGCGCGAGGTGTGTGGTGTGGCTCTCAGGGATGTGTCTGGACTCTATCACGTCTGAGTGTCCCTGGGGCCAGAGTGCTGGGGGCAGGAGCCTGTGGTTTATCAAGCACCTTCTGCCAGCTGAGGCCGTGACTTTTTGTCCCTCACTGGAGGAGGCTTCAAGGTCAGCCTCTTTTTCCTTTGGTCCCAAGCTTGCCGTGTCTCCTCCTCATTCCCCACGTCCACATGAGAAGGCAGTGTTCACAGGTGGGTTGGTCTGAGATTGAAATCGCAAGGCCAGGATTTTCTGTCTGGGCAGCCCCCTCGAGTCAGCCTCAGAGGAGCCCAGACCTCTTGGATGGCTTTCGGCGAGCCTCCCAGTGGGCACAGCACTCGCCACCGGACACTGCATGGACTCAGCTTCCACACTGCGATGGGTATGGCCTGGTCCTTGCACTACCAGGGGCAAGGAGGAACGCTATGCCTGGTGGGGGTGAGCACCCCATCTCATGACAAAGCAGTTCTCCAGGGTCTGCCCCACTTTTCTGTAAACCTGGGGGTCCAGCCCAGTGCATTGGCTGGAAGGAGAGGGGACGCCTCCTGTCCCAGCTCATGGCGCTCTGCCGACCCCACTGTCAGCCCCAACCTTGGTGCTCCGGGGGGCCCCAATGCCATAGATGCACTTCATGGGGAGCAACTGGGGCTGTTCCTGAGGACCAAGATGGGCAGAGACCCTAAAGACGTCCATGGATTGACCCCTGCTCTCTGTGGCCCCTGCCTGGCTGGCCTCCCCTCCTCACACTCTCCACAGTTCTCATGCAACACAGCGCCTCTAAAAATGCTGTCCTGAAAATGTGCGCTTTGGGGAAGAGCAGCTTCCTCCTCTTCGACCAAGTTCGGGTCCCTTCTACCCTTCAGTGGCTGTAGGCAGTCGGTGAGGGTCCTGGACGGGGTGGGCCGGGGGCAGGGAGGGGCACTGTGGGCTTTGGTTGCTCAGGGGTCCTGGCAGACACACCAACCTGGTGTGTTTGGAAATGCACCTGGATGTGTGCTGACCTCTGTGTGGAGGACCACGGGTCTGTTCATCCCCCACTGGCTGCACCCCCGGGAGGCTGCAGCGTGCACTATTCGGTCCCTACGCTGCAGTTATTCTTGTATCTGCCTTGTCACTGGCCTTGCTGCCCATGACTCCCTCAGGTCAGCCCACGTCTCTGTCAAACTTTCATCCTCCGCAATTCTGCGCAGCCTGTAAATGCTTAAAAAATATTGCGGAACAGGTGAGTCACATTACAGAAAGGACGCAACCTGGAAAAGCACAGACATTCCTTCCCCTTCTGCACCTGTTAGAGTAAGGGAGGGGCATGAGGGGGTGGGACCTGCACAAGGTGCAGCTGATAGAAATGCAGTCTTCAGGAAAAGCCCTGGCTCTGAAACGGCAAAGGCTGTGTGCCTGGGAAAAAGACAAACGTGTCTTATCCGGAGACGGCCCCCCTGCCCCAAAGGCTGTCACGCTGCCGTTCAGTTATCTATTCTGCAGCGATAGAACTGGCTTGACCTAAAAATTCAGTGACGGAAAAATGTCATCTAATGCTGCTTAGTGCAGTCAGGCGGTCAGCAGATGAGGGCAGAAGGCCACTGGTCTTTGACAGAACACGCGGATGGCGAAATAACAAAACAGGTGGCGGATGAGGGCAGAAGGCCACTGGTCTTTGACAGAATATGCGGACGGCGAAATAACAAAACAGGCAGCAGATGAGGGCAGAAGGCCACTGGTCTTTGACAGAACACGCGGACGGCGAAATAACAAAACAGGATTCAGGCTGCACTGTCAGCAGCAGAGACAAACAATTCTTCCAAAATAAACAAGCGAGCTCCCAGCAGAGGCCTGTGAAGTCTCCCGTTCTGCCCAAACCACACACATGTGGCCCACAGAGGAGGCTGCAGAGGCCCACGGGGAACTCAAGTGGCCGAGTGTGAGACCCAGGCCACCGGCCGTCCTCCCTGTCAGAACAAAAGGTTCATGGAAAGGGCCAGGAGGACACAGCAAGGGGAACCGAATGCCACTGGCATTTCTTGGATCTTTTGTACCATAGTCTAAGCATTTAGAGGAAGCACCGCGAGTTTGCTGCCCTGGAAGCTGACGTGCTCCCCAAACACAAGACGCAGGACTGGAGGCCTTGCCCCGCAGCTCGAGAGGCCGTTTTGGGACATATCAAGGAAGGAAGGCTTAAGCGACACAGGACCTGGCTGACTTACGCACCCGCTGTCTAAAGATGGGGTGCTGGCCGGTGAACTGGAGTGGCTCACGGCAGACCTGGAGTGACAGTCATGGGTCTGTACCTGTGTGGAGTCCTCCATGGCTGGGCTTGCAGAGACTGAGCTGGACTGCATTGCACATTGGCTGGAAGGAGAGGAGCCACTGAGAGACCCAGCTTACGGCACTCTGCCCACCCCACTGCCCACCCCAACCCTGGCGCTCCAGGGGGGCCCAATGCCACAGACACACTCCAGGGGGACAATTGGGGCTGTTCCCAAGGACCAGGAGGGACAAATGCCCTAAAGATGTCCATGGTTTGACCCCTGCTGTCTGTGGGCCCTGCCTGGCTGGCCTCCCCTTCTCACACTCTCCACAGTCCTCATGCAACACAGCACATCTGAAAATGCTGTCCTGAAAACGCGCACTCTGGGGAAGAGCAGCTTCCTCCTCTCCGAGTGGAGCGGGCTGGCCCCATGAGGCGTGATTTTCACTGTGAAATGTGCTTCACGTAACACTGGGGCCTTTGTCACCATTTTTAATTGTACAGTTTGGAGGCATTAAGTGTGTTCATCATCACCACCTTCCACCCACAGAGCTTCTTCGTCTTCCCAAACGGAAACTCTGTCGTCGGTAAACACTCCCTCCCCTCCCACAGCCCCTGGCACCTGCCTTCTCCTTCCTGTCTCCATGAACCTGACAACTCTTCGGACCCCACCTAAGTGGAGTTGGGCAGGATTTGTCCTCTGTGGCTGGCTCGCGTCACTCAGCGGCCCTGAAGACTCATCTGCGCCGCAGCCTGTCCCAGAATCTCCCTCCCTCTAACACTGATTAATATCCTGCTGCACAAAAAAACAAAGATGATCATTTGATACCCGAAATCCACTTGAAAATTGGTAAGAAAATGGGTCTGGCCATGTTTTATTTTTCCACACAATCTCTCCCGACCCCGTGTTGCGTCCTAGTGCAGAGTGAGCACAAAACCATGGGCTTGTGGAAATGAAACTTTGTATTTCCAGTGTCAGAGGGGAAGGGTCTTCTGGGGAGGTCCTGAGCCTCCTGCTGCCTCGAAGGTCTTCCAGTGTCAAACCCCCAGCAGGTGCTCACCCAGACAAGCGCGTCCCCACCTCCGAAAGGGGCAGCGTCAGGAGGGGCCCCGGGTCCTGTAGTTCAATCAATCCTGACGCTGTCCAGCTGGAATGAGTTCCAGACCCACAGGTTGAGGGCTCAGTCACACGAGAAGGCCCCCACTTCAGGTGCCAACCACAAGCCCGTGTGTTTCTGACCGGCTGGCTCTGTGTACATCAGGGTTCCCAGACCCTCTCCTTGGGTTTGGTTAATTTGCTAGCTCGGCTCACAGAACTCGGAGAAACGCTCGACTTATGTTTACCCCTTTATTGCAAAGGGCGCAGATGAACCGGTCAATGAAGAGATGTGTAGGTGAGGGCTGGGGGAGGGGTGAAGCTTCCCTGCCGGCCGCAGGCACCACCCTCCATGAGGCCAGCTACCCTGAGGCTCCTCCATCCCAGTCTTCTCGGGTGTTTATGGAGGCTTCGTTACAGAGCCGTGATTGATTACATCATTGGCCATGGGTGACCGACTCAACTTCGGCCCCAATCCTCCTCCTGGAGATCGGCGTGGGCCTGGACGTTCCCAGTGGTCACACGGGGAGAATGACATGCACGTACACAGGTGACACACGGTGGGTGCCACTTGTACTTCAAATGCATCTACTTGTTTTATTCTCACCACAGCCTTGAGAGGGAGGGCATTATTATTACTATGTCCATTTTACAGCTGAGGCACAGAGAGGTTAAGTCAGTTGCCCAACGTCACACAGCCAATGAGAAATTCTTTAAATTACAGGCCCAGGGGCTGGTGACCAGGTGAGCAGAGCAGAGAATCCAGGACGGTGGCCAGAGGCAGGAGCAGAGCTGGGGAGAAGGCTTCAAGCTCAAGCTTCCAGCACCTCTGTATGTGAGCACATGTTATGTACGTGTGTGCGTGTGTGTAATTGTGAGCACACACATGTGTTTGCATATCCGTGTGTGTGTGTGCGCACACTACCCTTTTAAATTCCACGATCTGAACCGTGGTGGCTTGGGGGATGGGGATCAGCAGTGGAGGAGGAATCCAGCCTATGTGTTGTACGTTTTGAAGGAAACTAAGCTTGCAAGTTTCAGGTGAAACCCATAAGTCCTTTTCTCCTCAAATCCACACGCTCAGTGTCAGCTGGGCTTTGGAAAAACTTCAGAGAAGAATTTAAGCTGAAACTTCCACAGTTCCCAAGGTTCCCAATCACTCATGTTTGTGTGGGAGGCTATTCATTCTCTGAAGGAGAAGTGATTGAAGAGGCTCATGGAGGGCCAGGTTGAGGAACCCATCACCAGGCTCCCACAAACATGGGCAGGAAACATGGGCTCCCGAGGGCTCTGCACGCGGGTCAGAAGGCACGGGGGAGGAGGGGCCTGGGATAATAAAGGCCTTTTCCTGAAGCAGCTGCAGGCAAGTGTTTGCATGAATTAGACAGTGATGGGGACAGTGGTGATGAGAATTACAGCAGCACGCCCTTCAGAATCCAACCGCTTCCCTTATTTTGGACAAACAAGAATGCTGGCAAAGGCTATTTTCCCTGCCTTTCTCTACAGTGCTCACTCAGGCAGTCTGAACTGGCCTGATCTTCTCTCCCAGAAACACACACACGTGCACAGACATGCACACATGCACACGCATGTTTATATGCACACAGAAGTATGCACAATGCATACATATAAACACAGGAAGACATTTGTGCACACAAGCACACAATACCCACATGCATGTGCACACACATGCGAATATGCAGACACACATGTGCTCACAAGTACACACATATGCACGCACACACATGTACATAACATGTGCACACACAGAGGTGCTGGAAGCATGAGCTTGAAGCCTGCTCCCCAGCTCTGCTCCTGCCTCTGGCCACCGTCCTGGATTCTCTGCTCTGCTCACCTGGTCACCTCCCCCTGGACCTGTTCCCCAGTTTCTATCTGGGCTTCTCTTCGTAACACAGACTCTAGAATCATTCTGCACCCTGAGAGCAAGTTGCACCTGACTCCATGTCAGTGGCCATTTCCCAGGTTCCTGTTTGTCTGAGACATGTCTGTTTGGGCACACTATGACCTCATGATTGTATTCACAAGAGCCTGATGGTATCTGCAGGCCACATTATCCGTGTCTGAAAGGCAGGGCTAGAATCCTAGAGACGTCTTCTCTGTAACGTTGTGGTAGGCATGGCTCTAGAATCCAGGAGCATGGATTGTCCTCTCCCGAGAGTGGAAAGGGGTTCCATGGCAACAGGTTGTACGTCATGGCAGTCCATGAAGTACCTGGCTTTAAGCTCATTCTAAAAGGGGATGGCCCCATGTAAAGGAGAGATCAGCTCGCAACCTCAGTGCTCCCTGAAATGTTAGTCACTGATTCCAGAAAGGGATGGGCGGGGACCCGAGGGTGGAGAAGTATTGACTTTGTCACAGCCGCTCTTTCTTGGTTGTCACCAAACACGGCAAGCGCCTGGCACGACTCTCCCACGGACCTGGCAGGAGTCACTGATGTATTTTACTCCAGATTTTCCACGTCAGGCAGGGCTAGGGCAATCTCTGACTATCTTTTTATTCTCACATCTGATGTGCTCCCAGAGACACTCAGCCCTCAGCATCCTGCACCTGTCAGCTCAGGTGCGTTTCCACCTGAGGACACCCCGGAGGATGCAGCGGCCACAGCGGGGAGGCGGATGTTCGCTGCATCCCAGGGCAGCGTCACTTCGTGGAGCTCCAGTTCAGACCAAAGGTTCAGGCATGACTAGGAGGAGCCTCCCCGTCTGCCGCACACAAGCCATCCAGGCGCGGCCTTTTATCTTCATATGGGACTCAGCTTCTCAGCTTTGCAGAGCCCCCATAACGTTGCTAAGAGAGTCAGTGTCAGGATTTTGGTTTTGAGGCCAGGATTTTGGTGCAGTTGAGCCTTCATAACCTCACCAGGTTTTTTTTGTGTTGTTCACATTTCACAACTTTAATATTTTAATTATTCCTTACAAATTGAAAACAGTGCATTCAGTTACAAATGTGTTCTAAGGTTAGGCTGAGCACTCTCCACGGGCCTGGTCAGTGTGGACACGGCTGTTCCCGGCTGGCGGAGAGTGCTGTCACCCACTGCTGGTGGAAACCCCACCCACCAGCCACCAACCAGTCACTCCACACCCAGGACTTTCAGACAGGATGAATGGTGAGTACAAGGCCATGGGATAAATGCATCCCATGGGGTCTGCTATTGAGGAGGCTGCTGAGATGTGGCCCTGAGGAGTGAGTGCCCAGAGTGAGGAAAAGCCTCTGGCCTCCTCAGGTGTTGTAAACACACCATCTCCATCACCACACAACACATCATCTCCAATAACACACTCGTGGCTCTGAGCTCAGCTCCTCTGCATCCTCTGCTCGCTGTCTGTCTCCTTCCCTCAGGCAAAGGACAGAGGCTGGTCTGTCTGTCCTGCGGAGTTGCATGCCTTCTTAGGGGACTCCTGTGAGCCACTGTGCACAGTACACGGCCCCCACGGTGGCCCCGCAGAGCCTCAGGCACCTCCCTTCCTCTCTGGGAGAGGCTACAGGTTTCCAGAGCCTAGGGGGCCTGGGAGCCAGGGGCTGGTGTGAGCTGCTGCGTGTTGAAGGCTGTTGGAGGAGTGGCAGCCGCAGAGGCCCGCGCTCCATGCAGCCAGCACTGTCCCCAGGCTCCCAAAGGCAGAGCCACTGCCGCTGGTGCCACCCAGAACCCAGGCTGGCTCACGGGGCAGCGAGCAGTGACAGCGCGGGTGAAACGGGCGGGGGCATCTCCCTGGCTACCTCTGAGGCTCATCAGGGGATGGCCTGGGGTGCGCCTCACTGGCGGGTGGCCTGAGGACTAAACAAGAATGGGAAAGTGCCCAGCCAGTGCTTGGGAGGCCCTCCTGGTGCCTCGGTTTACCCCTTCACGCATCCTCACCAGCCACCTGAGATGGGCTCGGTAAAGGAGGGGCTCCGCCAGGTGTGGCTCCTCCTGGTGATCAGGATCTCAGCCCCGTGAGGCCCTGCGCCAGGCCGCGGGCAGAGAGCGCGGTGAGGAGTGGGCCCTTTTCTCCAAACCGGTTGGCTTCCGGGGTCCTGACAGTGGGTGCAGGAGTCACGCAGAGTCGCCCAGTGGTTCTCCAGCTCCAGAGAGCGCAACGGCAAACGCAGCCTCTCGCAAGTGCCTCCCCAAGTCCCGGCTGGGAGGTGTGAGGGGTCCCGGAAGCGGAGTGGCCAGTGGGGCCTCTGGAGCCTTGAATCTCAGGTCGAGAAGCAGTGCCATGAAGCACGTTGAAGAGCTCCAGGGTCCCGACTGCGCGGCCCATCACCACCTGCAGGCCCTGAACGTGCTCCAGTGATCGTGACTGCGGGAAAGGTCCAGGTTTGCCGTATGTTAGCTCTGTGGCCTGAACGATGCGTCCTAGAGATGAAGACGTCTCTCCTCTTCCTTCATGCCCCCGCCCTCCACGGCGTCTGCTTTTCAGCTCTGAAGTTGTATTTTTTCCTGCACAAACAGGCCACCATCGTCTGGAGCTTTTCAGGTAAATGAAATAAAAAATAATGCTGGGTAATAACATTTTTGGTGAAAATTCTGAAATATGACTGGGTTACTTCTTTAGCTCACACACCAGCCCTGAGCATGAGTCCAAAAGGCGGTTTCAAAAGTGTCTGAAGCCCTGGAGTGGGGTTGGTGTGAGCAAGCGCCTGCGAGGCTGCTGGGGCCGGAGAACGCCCATTAAAGAAACACTGGAAATCTGTGGATCAACAATTGCAGGAATAAGGCTTTTTTCCAAAACTTCAACCTTGTTTCTAGGCAGCCGGTGATCCTCCCAGCCTCCAGGCACGCCATGAAAAGTGAAATGTTTCTGGCTCTGAAGGACTTCCAAAGCAAGACAAGGGCCCCTTCACCCCAAGATGCTCCAAACTTGGATGGGATTAGTCCCCAGCTGATACTAGAAAATGCATTTTTACATCAGGAGGAGAGTGTGTGGGAGGAGGTGAGGGAAGGAGGGTTGGGCGGTGGAGCAGTGCTGGTAAATGTTTAACAACTGGCTCTCCAGAAAAAAAAAGTACCTATGAGGATCTTTGTATATCTGTTATAAATCTTTCTGATAGAAAGGAGGCAAGTTGCACAAGTTCCAAATAAAAAGCCACATAGGACACTCACTGCACACTCCGAGCAGCCACCCCATGCCCACAGGACATTCTGGTGGTTTTTGCCCAGCTTTCACATCTGCAGACAGTCTCTGGGTACAATCCACCCATGGTGTGGTAATGGGGCTATTTTCAACCTGTCACTTTTCTCCATACATTCATTGTTAAGCGATACGATCTCCTAAATGGTTTCTCATGTCAGCTCATACAAATTTTATTGATTAAATGAAAGCTGTCAGTTTCAGCACTACCAACTGTGATTGGCCCACTTTAGCTTTTTGTGTAGTTGCAGGGGTGGGAACGGTCCTTAATTCTGCATTTTCTCACCATGGCTGTGACTAACTAGTTTGAAACATTCCCCAGAAGTTACTAATTGGCTCTTAGGAGCTGGTGCAAGCAGGCTCCAGCACATCCTGGGGTGGGTGGCCAGGCTGGGACCAGCGCTGTTATAGAATGCCCTGGTCAATTTAGGGTTGCCCCGTTAGAAATTGATTTCGGAATTTTCTGGACTCGTTTGATCTTGGAGACGACATCACTGATGTCCAGGAGATGAGGAGCATGTTGGCTACAGTGCACATCTCAGGAAGCTGGGTGGGTTTAGGACATCAGAAAAAGACTGACCTTATGGTTCCCTTTCTAGTTTAACTCTTCACAATTTTTAACTGAAAGGGCCTTCTTACGATTTACAAAGAGAATGGACCTATCGGGGGCCCCTTTGACCCAGTATACATTGTTCAGCTCATTTAATAAATATTCATATTGGAACCAACCCCTCTGGCATTCGCTTTAATCTTTCTCTATTAAAAAGAATTCCACAGCACTCAGAGAAGAGAGAGGAATTTAAATATTTCTTTTTCCACACAACCCAAATTCATCTGACTAGCATGCTGTTTCACAAGTTTAGAATACGCCTGGAGCCCACGTGCAGTTATTTTAAGCCCCTGGCTTCTCTTTCTTTGTAAACACCCTGTCTGGGCCCACAATTACCCACCTTCACCATAACTGGGGAAGTCTCAGGTGGCCACAGTTTACCTTTTGACTTTTTGTTATTATAGAATCAGTCAGTTTTGAAATCTGATTCATTTGGAATACACAGACGTTTGTCACCTTGCTTTCTGTTAACAGATGAACAGAGTTTCCAATGAATTAATGAAATGAAATAGAAATATTGACATAAGCATTGTTTATGTATATTACTTATATATTATTTTATATGGTTTTATATATAAATATATGTGTGTGTGTGGGCATGTGTGTACATAAATGTATATATGTGTGCATGTATATATAAATGAATATATATGTGTGTCTATAAATGAACATGTGTGTATATATATGTATGTGTGTGTATGTGGGTATGTGTATATGTATATAACTGTATGTGTGTATATATAAATGAGTACATGTGTGTATATAAATATATGTGTGTATGTATATGTGTGTGTATGTATATCTGTGTATACATGTAAATGAATATATGTGTGTATATATAAATGAATATATGTATGTGTGTATATAAATTAATACATATGTGTGTGCATATGTATGTGTGTGTATGTTTAAGTGTATGTATATAAATGAATATATGTGTGTGCATATGTATGTATATGTGTGTGTATATATGTGTGTATATGTGTATATATAAATATGTGTGTATGTATGTATATGTGTGTATGTATATGTGTGTATATGTGTGTATATAAATGAATATATGTGTGTGCACGTATATATGTATGTATATGTGTGTATATATGAACATATATGTGTGTGCATATGTATGAACATGTGTGTATATGTATATGTGTATATATAAATGAATATATGTGTGTGCATATGTGTGTATATGTATATGTGTATGTATAAATGAATATGTGTGTGTGTGTGTGCATATGTATGTGTGTGTGTGTGTGTATGTGTGTATGTGTGTGTGTATCTACACTTCAGCTCGATTGCCAAGCTGCTTTGCCATCCTGTAAACCTCATCACACAGGAGCAAGAAGAGGAAGCATCCTCCCAGGGCACTGAGCCCCTTTGCAGACCAGCTCCAGAGCAGTGACTGAACACAGGGCCAAGGAGAGGAGCAAGGAGCCAGGCCCCAGTCCTCAGGCCATGTGTCAATCAGGATTGAGTTTGGCTGCAAGTGGTCATTGCACACACATGCACACACACTCACACACACACCCCACTGTCTTAAACACAATCATAGGGCAGCAGCCTGGGACTGCATATGAGCTTCAGGGTACAGGCTCCTTTGTCTCACTGCTGAGTCAACCTCAATGGCTTCCAGCTCTCAGTCTGAAATGACAGCCCAAGCTGGGGCCCGCACTCCGGCACTGCAGCCAGAAGAAGGGAGGTAAGCCCTGGGAGCCACTCTTGAGGACACCCCTGCACAGTGGTACCCCTGTATCCCTGGGGCGTGTGTTCCAAGACCCGCTGTGGACTCCTGACACAGCCATACTCCCAGACCCACTTGCTGTCTATCAGGACACGCTTCCGTGCATGTCTTCCACCCACAAACTCAATGCCTTTTTTAACTTAACTAAGCACTCACCATGCACTGCTGCTGTAGCTTTTGTCTTTTGAGATGCAACAGCAAAACCAACACAAATTTCTTTTCCTTCTTTATAGTTTCACTGATAGAAGAGTCATTCCGGCCGGGCGCGGTGGCTCACGCCTGTAATCCCAGCACTTTGGGAGGCCGAGACGGGCGGATCACGAGGTCAGGAGATCGAGACCATCCTGGCTAACACGGTGAAACCCCGTCTCTACTAAAAATACAAAAATTAGCCGGGCATGGTGGCGCGCGCCTGTAGTCCCAGCTACACGGGAGGCTGAGGCAGGAGAATGGCGTGAACCCGGGAGGCGGAGCTTGCAGTGAGTCGAGATCGCGCCACTGCACTCCAGCCTGGGCGACAGAGCGAAACTCCGCCTCAAAAAAAAAAAAAAAAAAAAAAAAAAAAAAAGAAGAGTCATTCCTACTGTAGATCTCAGCAGCCTCAGCATACGATTCTTTCCTTTGCTTATTGAGAACTGACACCTTTTCACTTTATGGCTTCTTCTTGGCAGAACCAAATGGCCAGTCTCTTGCGGCCATTACTGAGTGAACCAGGAGTGACTTGAACAATGGGAGACTTGAACTGGGAGACTCTGACAGTTGATCTGATAACCAAGGTGACTACAAAGTGACTCACGGGCAGGGAACGTGCACAGTGTGGATCCGCTGGACAAAGGGAGGACTCATCTCTGGGGAAGGAGATGAGGGACAGTGAGAGTCCTCATCACACTACTCAGAACAGTGTGCAATTTAAAACTTGTGGATTGCTGATTTCTGGAATTTTCCATTTAATATTTTGTGGCCTCAGTTAACAGGAACACTGGAAATTGAATCTGTGGTGGGGGGACTACTGTAGTTGTTAACCACACCTTCACACACCTCTGACCACACTCAGTGTCTTAGTCAATTCAAGCTGCCACGATGAAGTACTGCAGATGGGTGGCTTCAACAAGGTGAATTTATTTCTCACAGTTCTGGAGCCTGGAAGCCCAAGATCCAGATGTTGGCATGGTCTGGTGAGAACCTGGTGAGAATCAGGTGGTCCGTTTCTCCTGCCTGGGATTGCACATGGCGGCCTTCCTGCTGTGTCCTCACCTGGCCTTTCCTCAGGAAGGCGGAGAGAGAGAGACAAGCTCCGGACTCTTCCTCTTTGATAAGGACCCTAATCACATCGTGGGGACCCACCTGCACGACCTCATCTAAACCTAGTTCCCTCCCAAAGGCCCGCCTCCAAACACCATCCCACTGCGAGTAGGGCTTGAGCTTTGGAATTTAGGAAGACCCAGTTCAGTCCACAGCCCTTAGCTGCAGGGAAGGTGGGTAAGTGTGTCAGGCCATTCTCACACTTCAATAGAGAAATACCTGAGCCTAGGTAATTTATAAAGAGAAGAGGTTTAATGGGCTCACCATTCCACAGGCTGTACAGGAAGCATGGCGGCTTCTGCTTCTGGGGAGACCTCAGGGAACTTTCAATCATGGCAGAAGGTGAAGTGGGAGCTGGCACCTCACATGGCAGGAGCAGGAGGAAGAGAGGAGCAGGGAGGTGTTACACACTTTTAAACAACCAAATCTCACGGGAACTCACTCGCTATCACCACTCAGTACCAAGGGGGAAATCCACCTCCACGATCTAATTACCTCCCACCAGGCCTCACCTCCAGCACTGGGGATTACAATTTGACATGAGATTTGGGCAGAGATGCAAATCCAAACCATGTCAGTGAGCTGTCTTCTTTTCCAGGATGCCATGTGTTCAGCTACGCTATGGAACCTGAGTATTAAGGAAGAAGGAAGAACGAGGCTCCACAGGTGGCCCCTGGGAGCTGTAATCCTGTGAGTCTACAATTCCACCTTCATTCCCCTCTGGGTGCAGTCCCAACTCTCCCTTTGTGGATGAATGGAGCAGCATGGTTTTTTGTTTATTTTAATTAATTAATTAATTAATTTGAATTAAACATTTTCCA
This sequence comes from Homo sapiens, assembly GCF_000001405.40. Lineage (NCBI taxonomy): Eukaryota > Metazoa > Chordata > Mammalia > Primates > Hominidae > Homo > Homo sapiens. Next base: position 167,656,990 of record NC_000006.12, on the reverse strand, counting down.
ATTTCTATGCTCCAGCCATAAGTGGAGTTGCCAAATGCCTTTCCGTACGTATTTTCAGTTACTAGGAGTTTTTTGTTTATTTTTATTTTTATTTTTTTGTTTAAATGTGTGACTTCTAAGGGAGAAACTACTAAGCTGGATTAGGAAGACAATATTAGAGATCCTGGTATAACTATACTGATGACATGAAATTATAGATAATTGAATTATTTGGAGGTATTACTTTCTCTCTCTATTTTCCAGTATAAATTCTGTGTCTACATCTAGCAAACATCAGTATAAACTATATTTAAAAGTAATGGTGTGTCACATAATCTTTCCATATTTTAAAAACAACCATTACCAAGATGAAAACGTCACGAGAAAAAGCTTCAATCATAATTCGAAATTAAACAATTAACATAAAATAAGCACTTTTCCCATTGTATGGAATATTTAAAATAATCTGTCTTTGTAATCACCTGTTTTTGAATAATCAGAAATAATATACCATGAAGATAATGCCAAGGGGAATTAAAATTAACTTAATTAGGTTACATTGAAAATACCACTGACTTGACTTAGCTCTTGGTATGCTATGTTCAAATTACACCTTAACTTGGCAACATATATGGTTCTGTGTGATCGCACTCATCTTTAAGAACATCAAGACTGCAATATGTTCTTTTCAGTCTTGAGCAAAAGCACTCTTTTTAGTCATTCATTTGTGTACATGCTAGATTTTCACATTTATCTTTATTAAGTAAAATTATAAACGTTTCTTGTTTGGGTCTAGTGAAGTTTTAGAGGGATTGCTCTGTGTGCAGAGTTATTAATGGCAGGCAGCTGGAAGGGCTGTGAAGTTGGTGGGGGGTGCAGAAAGGGGGCACAGTGACAGGAGCCAGGTAGAGCTAGCGACAAAGATGGGCCTGGGAATATCTGGATTCAGGTGTGTTTGTGGAGTCAGTGGAGAAAAGACTGTGGCTGGTTGAAATTATCTGAATATATTTTTACTCGATGATGAGTGATAGAATAGTGCTTCTCTCAGTGATTGAGGGAAACATGTCTCCAAACTTTCATCTCACTTGGTGTCCCCTCCATTTAAATAGTAACATGCAAATAACACCTCCTTACCCACCTTTCTCCTCCTTCTAGCTCAGATACCATCTCTACCTGGTATTTCAAGCCGGAAACTTCTCATTGCTCCTGTCTCTGACTCCTCCATCCAAAGTTCTTTGACAATTTATCCATTCATCCATCCATCCATCCATCCACCTGTCCATCTGTCCACCCATCAATGTATCATCCATCCATCCATCCATTCATGCATCCACCTGTCCACCCATCAAGCTATCCATCATCCATCCATTCATCCATCTACCTGTCCATCTGTCCACCCATCAATCCATCCATCCACCCACACATCTATCTGTCCACCCATCAACCTATACATCATCCATCCATCCATCCATTCATCCATCTACCTGTCCATCTGTCCACCCATCAGTCCATCCATCCATCCATTCATCCATCCACGTGTCTATCTGTCCACCCATCAATCTATCCATCATCCATCAATGCAGTCATCCATCCATCCATTCATCCATCTACCTGTCCGTCTGTCCACCCATCAATCTATCCATCCATCCATCCATTCATCCATCCATCCATCCGTCTACCTGTCCATATGTCCACCCATCAATCTATCCATCCATCCCATCCATCCATCCATCTACCTGTCCATCTGTCCACACATCAATATATTCATACATTCCATCCATCCACCCATCCACGTGTCTATCCACTCATCAATCTATCCATCATCCACCCAGGCATTCATCCATCCATCCATCCATCCATCTACCTGTCCATCTGTCCATCCATTCATCCACCCATCCATGCATCTATCTGTCCACCCATCAATCTACCCATCATCCATCCATCCATCCATCTACCTGTCCATCTGTCCACTCATCAATCCATCCATCCTATCCATCCATCCATCCATCCATCCACCCACCCATCCATCCATCTACGTGTCCACCTGTCCACCCATCAATATATTCATCCATCCATCCATCCATCCATCCACCCATCCATCTATCCATCCACCCACCCACTAGGCATTTTCCAGCACCCACCATGTATGTCAGGTGCTGGGGATGCAGTTTTGAGCAGACACAGATATCTACAATAATTGCTCAGTTTGCTATCTAGTGCGGGAGGCAGACAATCAGATAATCACACTAAGTATTATTTAATTATAAATGGTGCAAATTATTTTGAAGGAAAGGAGCATGATTCTATGAAAGCAAGGGACAGGAATCTCATGTGGATCGCCTCTCTGGAGGAAAAGGTGAATGACTAGGAGGAGGTAGGGGATGAAGCAGTGAGGAGGAGCATCCGGAGCAAAGACCGTGTTGGAGGAGGACTGTGTGAAGGCCCAGAGGCAAGCTCAATGTTACTGGAGGTGAGAGCAGGCACAGAGAGCTTTGCCATTTGGCTGGGAAGGTAAACAGGCCCAGATCCATCAGGGCCTTGGCGGCCATATTAAGGAGTTTTAGTTTTTATCCTAAGAACCATGGGTCATGGGAAGCTATTGACACATTTTGCCAAGAGGTCAATGCTGTGATCAGCTACATGTTAAGTATAATGTGATTCTTTTAGTTTATTTTACAGAAAACCTGAGTCAACGTGGTTTAGGAAAAACAAGGTGGGTGGACTACTGGATCACGTAACTAAACAAACCTCAGGAGAGGGCCTGTCCCAGGCTGTAAACAATGTGGCCTGGTTTCTGTCTCTAATTCTGGGCTCTGCTTCTTGGAGTCCTGTCTATGGTCCTCCTGTCCGAGGTCACTGTCTGGGCTGTGTGCTTTGCTGTTCTTGGCCAGTGGAAAAGAGTCTGCTTTCTTGAGAGTTTTTTTGTTTGTTTGTTTTTGTTTTGTTAATCTCAGAGTTTAGTTTAAATAATCTTATAGGTTTCTCTTTGGATGACTCCCCACCTTGAAAAAATGTCCATGGGCCCTGCACATCCCGAGTGTGCAGGGCAATCGGGTGTTAGAGGAAGTGGGACAGTGGCATGGGGCGGGAGCAGCGTGTTTCTCCTAACTCGCTCGGGCTGCAGCACACCAGGTGTTCCGCGGGGAGCAGAGTGATGTGGAGGGAGCAGTTGGGAAGGTGCAGGAACCTTCACGAAGACCGATGGGCATGGGAGCTTGGACGAGCATGGTGGTTGTGGAGACGGAGAGAGATGGTCGAATTCCGGAGACACTTGGGAGGCAACACGCAGACACGAGCTGGGCTGGGCGCAAGGCGGCAGGAGTCGCCCAAAGTGCTGTCCCAGTCTGGCTTGCAGAGCTGCACGGTTGCAGGCACCAGGTACCCACACGGGACCTTGGAAGACCGTCTGTTGGGGGACGTAAAGGTTAGCACTTCCATCGTGGGTATGCTGACTTCGGGTTGTACATCAGGGTTAGATGAGCAGACTCTGAGCTTACCAAAGAGGCTGCAGCCAGAGTTAGGAGTCTGGGAGTCACCTTCACTTAAAGGGTAACTGGAGTCACGGTGAGATTTCTCAGCCGCATAGGATGAAGAGAGAAGAAAGTCTGGGATCAAGCCATTAGGAGTTCTGACATGTAACACCAGGCAGAGGAGCACAAGTTGGGGAGAAAGTAAAGAACGGGCGTCCAGAGATGCAAGGGGAAGACGGGAGATGACACGCCGTATCTGAAGTCAAAGTGGGAAGGCGAGGAGGAATAGCCAGCCTTTGTCCTACACATGCCATAGATGCCCACGACGTCTCACAAATGCGCCATATTCAGAGCCGCTGTCCGGCCAGTACCATCACGACCTCCCCGCTCTGCCGGACCACAGCCTGTTCAGGTCTCGATGCCGTTGCCAACACCATCGCCCCTGTGGGCAGGAGTATTTCCCTGACAGCTGCCTTCTGAGGGCTCTACCCAGTTCTGTTTCCCTATGGGGCCTCTCCGTCCCTTCCTGCAACACCACCACAGCCCCGCCTCACCTGCCCTCCCCTGGCCAATGGCAATCACATCCTCTTAGCTGGGGAAGTGCCTGTGGGGGTTTCCGCCTGGCCATGGGTTAGCTGCTCCCAGGCTGGGCCGTGGTCTAGCGCCCCGTGCCGCCTTCTTCCTTTTCCCTGTGGCCCTCTGATTTCTTATCAGCCCCGTCCAGCCCTCCTGGTGGTTCTGATACGGTGTGGATTCTTCCCCTTCCATTCGGCTTACGCCTGCTTCCTCTGAGCTGCAACTTAAGTCGTGGGCGTTTGCCATGAACTCACTTTCTATTGTCTGAAGTCATGGGGGGCCTGTGGCGAGGCGGAGGGGGGAGTGTGCATTCTGTTTTCATGGTAGTGGTCGTGGGGGTGGGGCACTCTTGGCCATCCTGGGATCCTCCTCTCAATTTCCCCTTGCGAGTCCCCTTCTGCATCCCACCGTGGGGACAGACTGGTGCGCTGTCTTCCCCGCAGCCCCTCTGCCTGGCGAAAACGCGGGAGCTGCTTGCTTGCTTGTGGTATGTGAGTACCCCCGATTGTATTATGCTGGACGCGCCTCTGTGTGAATGTGCACATACGTGTGCTTTTCCTGGACGAGTGCCCGTTGTCATCCAATTCGGAGAGGGTTGATCCCTCGCCTTGCATGTCAGCGCTGACCTCCAGGACAGCCCCTTTAACTTTCCCTCTGCCCTCTCCACTTCATTTCTGCTCTTTTCCATCTTGCAACATACGTGTAGGCAATGCTGGGCTACTTGCAGGTCAAGAGACACACACACTCACACACACATTCATACCCCACATAAACTCTCACACACCACGCACGCACACCACACACCACACACATACACTCTCATACCACACACACACACACACACCACACACACATCACACATGCACCACACACACTCATACCACACACACATCACACGCACTCATATGTACTCCACACACATGCACACACACCACATACACTCTCACACACACACCACACACACACACTCATACCACACACGCACTTATACTCCATACACATGCACACACACACCACACACGCACTCATATATACTCCATACACATGCACACACACCACATACACTGACACACACACCACACACTCATACCACACACACACCACACACTCATACCACACACACCACACACGCACATGCACACACACACCACATACGCACACACCACACACACACGCACTCATACATACTCCATACACATGCACATACACTCACACAACACATACACTCACACATACACCACACATACCACACAAACTCACATACACCACACACACACTTATATCACACACACCACACACGCATTCATACATACTCCATACACATGCACACACACCCACACCACATACACTCACACACATACACTCACACACATACATACAGACATACACCACACACACACTGCACACACATACACACATGCACCACACATTCACACACGTGCACACACCAAACACACACACACACTCCACATACACAAGGGCACACACAACACACACATTCACAAACACACCACATACACTAACACATTCACACACAGGCACACACCACACACTCCCTCTCACACTCACGCCCCTGCTCTCTTGTGTCTCCATGGCTCTGTCCAGGCCGCCCCCTCCGCCTGGGATCCCTCTCCTGCCCAGGGCTGAGCTGTCTCACTGCCTGTGTGGGTTTCTCAGCCTCACACACATAGCTTCTCGGTGACCCGCTGGCTGTGAAGGCTGGCAGGACTCGCACACATATTTTTCTCCCTGAAAAGTGTCGACAGCCACCTGCTCACATAATTAGCTTTAGCACTTTGACTGGTTTGACTTCAAATGCTGAAAAATTCAGAATAGACTCTGATGTCTTTGCAGTAGCAAGGTGTAAGAAGCAGTGGGCCCCCTCCCACCTCCACTTCTTCCTTTCCCTCTGTTTTTTTTTTCACAACAGCATCTGTTTGCCCACAGCTGCTCCCGTCCTGAGCACACATGGAGGTGACGGGGGGATGGACGGAGTGCAGGGAGGGCTGGGGGACACCCTCTTCCACGTGTCAGCGGCCTGAATTCCAGCACCCCCTTCTGTCTGTCACAGCACTTTCTGCTTCCCACAGCATCGCAGAGCACGTGTGTTTTACACCCAGCTGCATGGAACTTCGGAAGATAGTTAATTATATCCTGTCAGTGCATGCTAAGTTTTTGCATTAATAACATATTTCTGCTGTGTTTTTATCCTCTTTTGCTTATGGAAAGCAAAAGTTCCATGAAAAATTCCAGAAAAATCTTTTTCCATAAAAAAGTTTCAGAAAGCCCGGTAAAGGTATCGTCCGAAACGTGTAGGCAGCTTTGGTTCGGGACATTTGCTTAGTTCAGTTATATAAACTTTATTACAATTAGATGTCCTAAAATAATAAAGAGAATATATGAAAGTTTAAGTGCCAAGAATGGTCTAGTAATCTTAACAGTAACACCTAGCATTTACTGAGTGCTACCACATGCTAGGAATTCTGTTTTAAATATATCGCCCCATCTAATCCTTTCAATGAGGAGTGGGTGAGAACACAGCCAGAGAGGTTCAATAACACACCAGACATCACACAGTGATCAAAGACGCATGGGGATTGGAACCAAAGTCTCCTGGTTGCAGAGCCTGCACTCTGTACCTGTATTCGGAAGGTCCTTGTTATTCACTTACGGTGAATTTGCTTAAAGGGAGTACCAGAAAATCAAAAAAATAGTGATAACCAGTTTGGTTTGGGACATTATCTTGAAAGGTGAAAATCAGAAGATAGGCACATAAATGTATTTTCTCACATATACAGGAAAATTAAGTTTTCACTTCTGACTAGTACTTAAAAGAAATGAGAAAGGAATCAAATGGGCGTTGGGGGGTTGGTGTCATTTTCCCAGTAGAATTTTACGTGACGTGATCCTGCCTTTCACCCTAGGTAGCTTCTGTGAATGTCTGTGTCAGCCTTCCCAAGGGCCTCTCTCTGATACTCAGATCATCTTCTGGGAATTTGTGGTTTGCCATGGTCTGTGTTGCGTTCCTCGTCCACTGCCAACTGAAGATGACCTTCCCAGCCTTGTTTCTGTGGGTGAGGGTAGAATAGCCGTCTCATGCGGGATCATGCCTCCTGCGAGATTTGTATTTTATTTTGTAGTTAGTTCTCACTGTGTACCAATGTTCAACCTTCCAGCCAGTGAGGAGCTGCTGTACCAGCCCTTCTGTGTTGAGCTGAGTATCAGCAGATATTGCCCTCCGCTCCCCCTTCCCTGCCCTACAGACTTTGGGTTTGGTCATGTGACTGGCCTTGGCCAATGGAGTGTGGGTGGCCATGATGTGATCAGAAGCTCTGAATGAATCGTGTGCTTGGCTCGGACCTTGGGCTCCTGAGAAGAATGCGTCTAAGGAGGATGAGAGGCACTAGGAGAAGACTTAAACCCAGCCTGCAGCTTGCACCCAAGACCAGGCAAACCTCGCTTACAAAACAGCCACCTGCCCCAGGCCAGGTTTTGATTTTGTTTCGGGTTTTTTTTTTTTTTTTTTTTTTGACGGAGTTTTGCTCTTTTTGCTCAGGCTGGAGTGCAATGGCTTGATCTCCGCTCATGCAACCTCCACCTCCCGGGTTCAGTGATTCACCTGCCTCAGCCTCCCCAGTAGCTGGGATTACAGGTGCGTGCCACCGCGCCCATTCCCAGCTGATTTTGTATTTTTAGTAGGCACGGGGTTTCACCATGTTGGCCAGGCTGGTCTTGAACTCCTGACCTCAGGTGATCTGCCCACATCGGCCTCCCAGAGTGCTGGGATTACAGCTGTGAGCCACCGTGCCCGGCCTATCCCGGGTCAGTTTTAATCACATGAACCACTGTGGACCTGCAGGTTGTGAGCACAGAATCGAGTTTCCTGGCATAGGTTGGAGTTTTGGAGTCACCTGTCCCACAGCCTGTTGCAGCGACAGCTCCGTGATGCACTGACTTCCAAAGACGTAGCCACACTGGGCAGAGTCAGACATGACATTGAAGCAGAGAGGGGTGTCTGGCTGTCCCTTTATTGGTGGACAGCTTCATAATTTTTGCTTTCCTCACAACCGCACAACTGTGGGGACTCTCATACTGTTTACTGGGTTTTCCAGGACTTTGCAGAAATAAATCTCAGGCAGGCCTGGGGTCTGCCCCAGCTGGGGCAATGGTTTATGTGAAAATTTAACTTTCAATTGTCCCAGTTTAGCAGGAAACACGGAGCTGGTTATCAGCTACTTCCATGTGGCATGTACTTTGGCACTTGTTTCCAGAACAGTTGGGGGAAGAGGAGTGGAAAACAGTGCAAAGAACTCTGGAAAAGGACACAGTTGGGTGTCTCCCAGGCCCTGAAGGGATTCTTAGACCCAACAGAGAGTGGCCTCGGTGCTGGGTGCTAGACCGACTCTCAAATCTCAGCATTTCTGAGCTGCAAAGGAGGAGGGCACAGTTCCTTATTGAAATAAATTATTCAAATTTATTGAAATGTCTCAAAAGGAGTTGAATTGGCCATGATCTAACTCCTCTTCCCTTCTTGCCCACCAACTCCCAAGAAAAAGTGGAGGTGGCCAATCACTGGGTACAGAAGGAGACAGAAAAGGAAGGGAGGGGTGCCTCAGGCTTAGGGAGAAGCTGCTCAGTAATGAGCTCCAGTGGGGGCTGCTGAGCCACACCCCCCAGGAGAAAGAGGCCCAGGGGGCCTGGCTCCCTTCCTGGAAGACCAATGACCTTCACGGCGGTGGTCATCGAAGGGTCTGGGCCAGGAGCTCAAGGAGCCTTCAGGTAGGGACATTTGTCTCACATGCATTCAGCTGCAAAATGAAAAGCAAAGTGAAAAACTCCCCATAACTACAATGAGCTGCAGCGAAAATGTGTGCACACTGGTCAGCATGCTCTGCTCTAACCCTGGGCAGCGATAATGTGTGCACCGGTCAGCATGCTGTCCTCTGCCCCTGGACAGCGATAATGTGTGCGCACTGGTCAGTATGCTCCTCTCTAACCCTGGACAGCGATAATGTGTGCACCGGTCAGCATGCTCTCCTTGCAATAATGCGTGCGCACCAGTCAGCATGCTCCCCTCTGCCCCTGGACAGTGATAATGTGTGCACCAGTCAGCACGCTCTCCTCTGCCCCTGGACAGTGATAATGTGTGTGCACTGGTCAGCATGCTCTCCTCTGCCCCTGGACAGTGATAAAGTGTGGACTGGTCAGCATGCTCTCCTCTAACCCTGAATAGAGATAATGTGTGCACCGGTCAGTATGCTCCCCTCTGCCCCTGGACAACGATAATGTGTGCACCGGTCAGCATGCTTTCCTCTGCCCCTGGAATCCAGAACTAATCGCTGGCCCCAGTCCTATTTAGGTCCAAATGAAAAAGCAGCCATTGATCAGCTTTTTTGTATTCTGACAAAATCACACCCTACTGTGGGAGCTTTGTTAAACTCTATTCCTTGAGTCATCTAGAGGAATGTGACTGTGCTTCCTTCCTGTTTCTGTAAATTGGTCACAAAATGCAAAAACGGTTTTGGAGTCATGGCATGGCTTACCAAACTCAGTCAAAATTTGCATCTTTTCTCTTTATTTTTTGAATGATCAGTGTTGGTTTTTTGAGGAAATATAAACTTCTGATCCTGGGCTAGCAATGACTGGGAGTCACCATGGGAGCCCTGAAGGTGGAAGTGAAGTGTGGACATGGTATTCCCGTTAACTTGCAGGATACTCCAGATGTGTTGATGCCTTCACGAGTTGGCTCTTTGGCAGCCCAATAATGTGAAACTAAAGAAACAGCTTAACTTAAAATTTGGGGGAAAGTTAAAAATCTCATTTGGACGATTTTTACTATTAATTCCATTGAATTCTCTAATATTCTTTGTTGGCTTACAGGAAGTTGGATTGATAAAAATCTGAGGTTGTGATGTAATATTGAGGTTTCTTGATCAAAAAGACTTGAAGAAATTAAAGTCCAATATTAAACTTTTCTGTGATAAAAAGTGAATTAATGACTCAAGTGTCCAGACAGTGAGATATTAAGAAAGTTTATAACAATTGTAACAAATTCGTGTAGGTGTCTGTCTCCCCTCCTTCGCAACTTTGTGAATTGTCTGAATTTCTTTCTCTGGTGCCAGATGTTCTGTTTATGTTTATTCTTTTATTTTTACTTGCTTTGTAAAAATGTAGAAAATACAATCTCAAGGTGAACCACACTACTACCGCTCAGGTCAGTGTATAGACGGTCCTGTGGGTGATGGTGATCACAAACTGTCCCGCAGGAGGAAGGCATGGTCCTTGGCTCAATGGGAAGCATCTCTCTACCCTTCCTCACGTATGTTGCCTGTGCTGTGCACCCCGGTCCACAGGGTCCCATGTGTGTGGACGGAGACAGATGCATGGTTGGGTTCTGGGGGCTCCCCTACTCTGCGGCATGCAGGTGGCATTGGCTCATTTCATTGCCATCAGTTCTCCCATTGAATGCATGTTCTTTAATGTTATCCCCAGTAGAGTCTATAATTTCCTTTTTTCTTTTCTTTTCTTTTTTTTTTTTTTTTTTTTTTGAGACAGAGTCTCGCTCTGTCACCCAGGCTGGAGTATAGTGGTGTGATCTCTGCTCACCGCAACCTCCACCTCCTGGGTTCAAGTGATTCTCCTGCCTCAGCCTCCCGAGTAGCTGGGACTACAGGCACGCACCACCGCGCCTAGCTAATTACTGTATTTTTAGTAGAGATGGGGTTTCACCATGTTGGTCAGGGTGGTCTGAACTCCTGACCTCGTGATCTCCCTGCCTCGGCCTCCCAAAGTGCTGGGATTACAGGCATGAGCCACCGCGCCCGGCCCCCTTCTTTCTTAGTCACCTGGAGTGAAGCAGTGCTGGTCGTCGGGGGACACGAGGACCTTCCCACTTTGGAATCAACCCCTGAAGTCTAGCTGGGGAGAAATAGGAAAGAAAAAAAGTGGAGATTCCTGTTAAATATGGGGAAGGTTCTATAATTTGAACCTATCGTTAACATGTGATAATATATAAGATGACACAGGAAAGCAAATAGAAACATTAAAAATAACAGGCTTTCCTATTGGAGCAAAGCAAATAAAAACTTAGATACATTGGATTGGGTCAGATCTCAACTCTTCCACTCATTATCCATTTCTGCAGAGTCTTTAATGAAAAATAAAGAAGAATTCAAAGTCAGGGGTACCGTGTGTTGAAGTGTTGTTAACAGACAAACCTGGGAGAATCTCTTATGATTCGGGAGAACGCCTGAGGAGGTGACCCTGGGTCCATGTGGCTCTTCCCCAGGGGTGAGGCTAGGGGCAAGTCTCATTTTCTTCTTTAAGGCTTTACCTAATGCTGCCTGTGCGTTTATCTTTATATGCTACAATAGCTCTTGAACCGTGCAGTACACAGGGAACCGGTTACCTCTGCGGCCTCTGGAGGAAATGATCTGCCACATGTGTCCTGTAGTTTTACATTTTGAATCAAGTGAAAATATTACTTAACAATTCGAACAAAAAAACTGTCAGCCCGTGAACAGTGTTCTTGTTTCAGGCACTGTTAAAGTGGGTTATTTTATAATCAGAAAAATAATCCCATAGTTTGTTTGGGAGGAAAAGCAGAATTTATACTAAATGGGTACTACGGTAATTTAAAATTGCAAAGCGTGATATGTGTTGTTCAGGGGTCTGTGAGGCTCCGAAGGAGAGGTGTCGGTGAGCAAGGGCGGTCTGGGGGACCGAGGAGGAGGCCAGCTGGAGGGTGGGGAGGGGACGGGGGACCCTCCAAGTCTCAGACCTACATGGTCATGCAGCCATCAGCAGTTTCCAGGAGTGATGGCCAAGTCGTAAATAAAAAATGCTGTGAGAAAGTTTTCGTGGCTTCAGATAACTGTGTGATAATTTCCCTGTTATTTAAGGCTGTGGCTGAGGCCTATAAATAGCTTGCAGTGTGAAGTTAGAACTGATCAACTCTGCTGTCCAATCAGAGTGCGGGGTGGCGCCCAGCACACCCTCCGGATGGAACCCCTGCAGGTGGGCAGGGTGGGCGGGGCAGAGCCCGAGGTCGCTGCTCCCCTGGGGTGGGTAGTGGGGCGTGCGGGCCTGCGTGGCTCGTATGTGCTGGGCAGAGTGGAGTGAGCGGAGCCTCTCCGGTGTGGGTGATGAGGACGGATGTTGCCGGAGAACTGTGGACTCCTACCCTGCCAATCACAGAGGCTGCTGACCCTGGTCATCTTCTGAGAGTTCTGTCCCTGCTTTCAGCCTCATTTCTTCTTCCTTCCACAGGCTCGGTGACTAGGAAGAGTGGCTGAAAGGCCCCACCTCTGACTCCTCCCTGCTTCTGATAGCCTGAGTCCTGGGGGACAGAGGGAAGCGCCTCTGGGTTCCCCTCTCCGTGTGAGGCAGACAGCCTCCGCCCAGGCTCTGAGGGGCCCTAATTCTTCCTAACAGACAGCAGTTTGGAGCTTCTCCCAGAGTGACCCAGGAGCCAGCCCAGGAGTGGTCTAGAATAGACAAAGGACCGTTAGTATCCCGATGTGAATTTTAGAATGTGTATATTTCATACATAAAAATAGAAATGTATATGAATGTAATATAGATTATATATTTATTATGTATGTAAAAACAGTATGTGCACATGATAAATGAGCATATCTACGTCTCTAACACGTCTACTCGAAGTGTAATCCATGTGTAGGACACACGCATGGGTGTGTGTGCACCTAGAACACACAACGCCAGTCTGGGGCTTGCCCGTGGAGGGACCTGGACACTTAGCAAAGTCTAATTCTTGTTTTCCTGGCCAAAGTTGCTTAGGAGTGGCCTAAATGGGTCACCAGGCTTATCAAAACAGGGAAAGGTTGAAATGTGTCATTTTTTTCTGATTCAGGCAATTTTGTAAAAGAGGAGATGATTCCAGTGAAAACTTTGCTAGGGCCTCCTACGAGTGGTGGGCTGGGCAATGCCTCCTGGCCAGGTCAGGACGTGTCCAGGTTGCCTTTTCGAAGGCTCTGGCTCGGAGCTGCTGTGGCAGGGAGAGGTGCCAACTGACCCAGGACCCGAGCCTCTCTTCTTCAAGGCAGAGGCTTACGCAGGGCCGCAGACTGGTCTGCGCAAGGTGCTGAGATGTGTAGTATTCATTATAAACCAGCGAGCTGAAGTGAAAGCCCAGCTCTATGCTTTGGAAAATGTCGCATGGGAGGCCTGAGGTGTGCCGTGAGTTGTTGACACCCTCCTCATTCCACCTGGAGGCATTTGGGTTTTGTGAGGAGCACAGAAGGATCCCATCCCTCCTGACTGCCCAGAAGGATCCCATCCCTCCTGATTGCACAGAAGTAGATTCCTGACAGAAAGACACAGGATATACCTAAGAATCCCCCCAGTCACCAAGCACTGAAACCAAATCACCACCAGAATGTTGGCGTCCTTATCAGTGGTGGAATCCACACCCGGCTTAGCTCAAGGGGCCCCTTGCGTGAGTTTCCTTGTGGTGCTTTATGCAGAGCTGAGGCCAATGTTCTCAGCCCCCTTCCTTCCCACCCGGCTGTTCATAGAAGCAGCTCTGGGTAGCATTGTGATGGAAACTGCAGGCAGGACAGAGGGTATGACGGAAACGCAGGTGGGGGAATCTCCATCTCTGTGTCCTGCTTCCTGGTGTTACTCTCACCAAAAAAGAAAAGAAAAAAAAAAATCCATATGCAGTTGTAGACTCTGACAACTGGCGGCCACTCTGCTCTGACTTTGCGTCAGAAACGATGCTGTATTAGATGGCACGGCCTTTAAGAGAAAGTGACAAGGGGGTCCTAGGCTTCAATCATGATGAGCAAAGGAAAAACAAACTTTAAAAGATAAATGCACATATAGATTTCAAAATAGAGAACAACTTGAAATCCAAACATTCCTTGAGCATTGATTTTATGCCAGACGCCATCTCATCAACCCTAACATATATCTACATGGAAGGCGCCACTGTTATTCCCATCTTACAGCTGAGAAAGTCAAGTGTCAGAGCATGAGCCTGTCAAAGAGAACAAATTTGGTAGCATCAGAACGAGGAGTTAGTTGAGCTCTAATTGTTTTAACCCCAAATACTACATTCTTTGCAATCATGGAGTAAAACTACCACCTCCCCACACCCAATCACCTCACCTAAGATGTACCACCAAAATGTTACTGAACTCCCTCCCGTTTCTGCCTGTGTTCAAACACAACATGCACACACATGCACACACACACACACTCAGAGTTATATAAGTGGGTTCAGACAATTCATGCTGTTGTACAAGTGGCTTTTCTCACTTGACAGCGTATCACGAGATCTAACTATGTCCGTTTTCCTATATGGTGTTGACAGTTTAAATGCAGGAAAAGTCTGAGGCATTCAATTTACTCACCTGGAGAGAGAAGCTCATTTCTGAGGCACCTGCTGCAGGAGGACTGTTTCTGGGGGCGCCGCAGTGTGTTAACCGCGTGCAGTCAGCCGCATGCTCCTCTCTCCTTCCTGGTTTGCACAACTGCATTTAATTGAGGGAGGATGGCCCAGCATGGGTATACCTTGGCTTCTGGAAAGGCAAAACCTTATTAGCCGCCTGCTAGGAAAGGAAACAGCCCTTTCTGAAAAATTGTATTCAACAGACACACACTCAGCATGGAAGTCCCTAACAGCCTGCAAGTCCGAACATTGATTATTTGTTTCTCCAGGCCTAAGTGATGAACACATAAGGGAAGCCCTAATCACACTGAATGAATGAATGAATGAATGAATGAATGAATGGAAGAGGCAAGCATAAATATGGAAGCACTTAATGAACACTGAATGAATGAATGATGAGGCAACTGTGTACAGGTAAGCACTTAACACTGAATGAATGAACAAATGAACAAATGGAAGAACCAAGTTTATACAGGGAAGCCCTGAATCAATGTTGAATGAATGAATGGGGCAAGTATGTCATATGTACTAATATGTGCAGAGGCACAGTTGAGGAAGATGAAAGTAACTACTATCTCTTTCAATAAAGGAAAATTTCTTAAAGGAATCAGGATTTCAAAAATTTCTTGAATATGAGAAGAAAGAAAACTTGGTGAAATGAGGGTAAGGATACTCTTGGCACAGTGTGTAGCTGGGGAGGAGCCTTGACATAGGAGCAAGATGCTAAGGGGATTATCAGAATGTATGTGCATGACACAATTAAGTTCTAGATGCAAGGAAGGGCCAGTGTATAAAGTGAACATCTGAAGAGAAACAAACCAAGGTGGTGAGGGTGATGATGGTGGTGGTGTATGTTTGTGTGTGTGGGTTCTGTATGTAGGGAGGTGGTTGCAATGTTGGTGTTTGTGAAGGCAATAGTGGTGGTGATGATTATAGTGATGGTGGTGGAGGTGGTGGTGGGGGTGGTGGTGGTGAAGATGGTGGTAGTAATGATTAGAGTGATGGTGGTGGTGATGGTGGTGATGGTGGTAATGGTGGTGGTGGTGATGATTGTGGTGATGGTGGTGGAGGTGGTGGTGGTGGTGGTGGTGGTGAAGATGGTGGTAGTAATGATTAGAATGATGGTGGTGGTGGTAGAGGTGATGGTGGTGGTCATGA